>NC_000018.10:22161206-22786206 GCF_000001405.40 Homo sapiens | reverse complement strand
GCTTTTGTGGGGAGCCTAGGCTAAGACAGGAGTCAAACAGAAAACATTTTTTTGAAAACTTTTGTGTTAATTGCAACTTTCTATAAATACACTTACCCTGAGATGCTCTCTCCTTGCTGAAAGACCTCCATTAGTTCTTTATGGGCTGAGTAATAAAGATCCAGATCCTTAAAGCAAGATACTTTACACTGTCACCCTACCTACCTTTTGAACAGCTATAAACCAGTGCTTTAATTTCTCCCAAATATATGATTCACATTTTTGCCGTGTGTGTGTGTGTGTGTTTGTGTGTGTGTGTTTTCTCCCAAGGATTAACTCATATATCCTCCTAGACACCTTCCTCAACCATTTAGCATCTAACATTCCTGCCTCCTATGCACCCTTGCTACACTTTTTGTTTGGATGGCTTATATGGTACGTATGCCATGTTGCCTCAAATTATTTATCTCTTTATTTATATGTTCTGACTAAACTTCATTATAATCATCTGTGGGAATAGATTATATCTTATAATTCAATATCTGCAGTAGTACCTCACACAATGCCCTGAACAATAAATGCCACCCGTGCTGAGACTGACATTGTGGTGACATGATCTAAACCAGTGTTTATCAAAGTGTATTCATGGGGTATTAATAGGCATCATAAGAACAAAAGTGTTTTATGTTCAATTAACTTGGGAAACCCTGGAAGACTTCTCTGAGTCTTTAAATTAACCTTTGTTGCAAATCTCTAAGAGAAAAACACAATATATAGTTTTCCCAAACTTACTAAGCCATAGACATTTTTTTCACGAAGCATTTACTTAGGCTAGTCTCCTGAAAGGCATGTTTAAACTACTTCTAAATATATTGATTGATACACTACATAGAAATTCCTGGGATCTATGGCAGAATGAGGGTATAGCAGGTAGATGTAGCTCACAGACAGAAATAATATATGGTATGAGAAAGGCTTATAATTTGCATGAAGAGATAAAATATTCACATCTTAAAAATCACTACTGAAAATTGATCAGGAATATCTGTTCCAATACCTTAAATATATTTTTGGCATGTACTTACTTAATTACATATTTTTCTTTAAAAAATTTTTAATGTAATACATTATACTAATAGATTTCTTAAAATTGGGAAATGTTGCTTTCTGGAATAAACTTTGCTTAGTTATAGAATATAACTATTTTAACACATTGCTAGATTTAATTTGTTAATATCTGGTTTCAGATTTTAATTGTAAGTATTCTAGTTTTCTTGTTGGAATATGTTTGTCAGGTATTGGCATTAATATTATGATAGAACTGTAAATTGAATTGGGAAGCCTTCTATTGTTGTTCCTTGAATTTAGGGACAACTTATCCACAAACATCCTGAATCTGGTACCATTTTTAATTGTAGAGCTTTAATATATGTATATTATATATAAAAAATATATATATATTTTCAAATTCTGTAGTTGTTGGGTTGTTTAGGTGTTCTACTTGTCATTTAGTTAATTTGGGGAATTTATATTTTGATAGAACATCATTTGTTTCCTTTAGATTTTCAAGTTTGTTGTCATAAGAAAAGTGGTAGCGGGGAGGGGCCAAGATGGCTGACTAGAAGCAGTTGCCATCAGAGGCTCCCACCAAGATAATGAAAATGGCCAACGAATCCTGCACTGGCAACTGTGGTATCCAGGTTCTCTCATTGAATTAGGCAGTTGGCGCAACCCATGGAGAGTGAGGAAAAGCAGGGTGGAGCAATGGCCCTCCTGGGAGTGCAGGGGAAGGGGAGCTCCCACCCCCAGCCAAGGGAGGTGTGAGTGATTGTGCTACCTGCCCCAGGAAACCACACTTTTTCCACAGATCTGTGCAACCCACAGGTCAGGATATCCCCCTTGTGAGTCCGTGCCACCAGGGCCTTGGGTCCCAAGCATAGAGCTGTGAAGATTCTTGGTGGCCACTTGGCTGGAGACTGCCTAAGACTACTGAGTTTCCAGGGGGAGGGTTGACCACCATCACTGCATTCTCCTGCTGCCTAAGATGACTGAGCACCTGCGGGGAGGGGCAGGAGCCATCACTGCAGCTCCAGTCTGCTGTTTTCCCCCTGCCAGTGCTGGGGATACTGGGTGATTTGGACTCAGGAGGAATTCCCCATGGCACAGCACAGCAGCTATGGCAGATTGTGGCCAGACTGCCTCTCTAGGCTGGACCCTGACCCATCGCTCCTCACTGTGCAGGGCCTTCCTGTGGGAATTTCAGCAATTCCAACCAGGGGTTTACAGACAGAACTCTGATCTCCCTGGGACAGAGCCCCAGGGAGGAGGGGCAGTCTCTGCAGATCAGCAAACTTAGTCTTTCCCAGTGCTGACTGTGGAATCCGGGCAGTCCTGATGAATGGGATTCCCCACAGTGCAGTGCATCCCCTCTGCCAAGGGACAGCCAGAGTGCTTTGTTAAGGGGGTTCCTGATCCTGTCCGTCTTGACTGGATGAGACCTCCCCTCCCCCTGCCCACCCACAGGGGTTGCGAGGCACCTTATACAGGAGCTTTTCTGCTGGCATCAGGTCAGTCCCCTTCCGGGACACAGATCCCAGAGGAAGGTGCAGGCAGCCATCTTTGCTGTTTTGCAGCCTCCAGTGGTGATACCTCCAGGTAGGGAGGGACCCAGGCAAATAGGGTCTGGAGTGGACCCCCAGCAAACTGCAGAAGCCTTACGGAAGAAGGGCCTGACTGTTAAAAGAAAAACAAACAAACAGAAAACACAGTAACAACCGCATCAACAAAAAAGTCCCTCCAAAAACCCCATCCAAAGGTCAGCAGCCTCAAAGATTGAAGCTAGATGAACTCATGAAGATGAGAAAGAATCAACAAAAAAAATGCTGAAAACTCAAGAAACCAGAGTGCCTCTTCTCCTCCAAATGATCGCAAGACCTCTCCAACAGGGGCATAGAACTGAGTGGAGGCTGAGATGAATTAATTGACAGAAGTAGGCTTCTGAAGGTGAGTAATAACAAACTTTGCTGAGCTAAAGGCAGATGTTCTAACCCAATGCAAAGAAGCTAAGAGCCATGATAAAACATTACAGGAAATGTTAACCAGAATAACTAGTTTAGAGAGGAACATAAATGACCTGATGGAGCTGAAAAGCACAACACAAAAGAACTTCACAATGCAACCACAAGTATCAATAGCCGAATGCATCAAGTGGAGGAAAGCATTTCAGAGATTGAAGACTATCTTGCTGAAATAAGGAAGGCAGACAAGATTAGAGAAAAAAGGATGAAAAGGAGTGAACAAAACCTCTGAAAACTATGGGATAATGTAAAAAGACTGAACTTATGACTGATTGGGGTACCTGAAAGAGATGGGGAGAATGGAACCAGGTTGGAAAACATACTTCAGGATATCATACAGGAGAACTTTCCCAACCTAGCAAGACAGAACAACATTCAAATTCAGGAAATCCAGAGAACCCCAGTAAGAGACTCCATGAGAAGATAAATCCCAAGACACATAATTATCAGATTTTCCAAGGTTAAAATGAAGGAAAAAACATTAAGGGCAGCCAGAGAGAAAGGCCATGTCACCTACAAAGGGAAGCCCATCAGACTAACAGTTGACCTCTCAGCAGAAACTCTACAAGCCAGAAGAGATTGGGGGCCAATATTCAACATTCTTAAAAGAATTTTCAACCTAGAATTTCATATCCAACCAAACTAAGCTTCATAAGCGAAGGAGAAATAAAATCCTTTTCAGACAAGCAAATGCTGAGGGAATTCTTCACCACTAGGCCTGCCTTGCAAGAGCTTCTGAAGGAAGCACTAAAGATGAAAAGGAAAAATCATTATCAGCCTACACCACAAAAGTCATTACCAGTCTAACACTACAAAAACACATGGAAGTACAAAGACCAATGATACTATGAAGCGACTACATCAACAAGTGTGCAAAATAACTAGTTAGCGTCATGATGACAGGATCAAATTTACACATAACAATATTAACCTTAAATGTAAATGGGCTAAATGCCCCAATTAAAAGACACAGAACAGCAAGCTGTATAAAGAGTCAAGACCTATTGGTGTGCTATATTCAAGAGACCCATCTCATGTGCAAAGACACACATAAGCTTAAAATAAGGGATGCAAGAAAATTTACCAAGAAAATGGAAACACCAAGAAAATGGAAAGCAGAAAAAAGCAGGGGTTGTAATCCTAGTTTCTGACAAGACAGACTTTAAACCAACAAAGATCAAAAAAGACAAGGGCAATACATAATGGTAAAGGGCTCAATTCAACAAGAAGAGCTAACTATCCTAAATATATATGTACCCAATACAGGAGCATCCAGATTTATAAAACAAGTTCTTAGAGACCTACAAAGAGGCTTAGACACCCCCACAATAATGGTGGGAGATTTTAACACCCCATTGTCAATTAGATCATCGAGACAGAAAATTAACAAGGATATTCAGGACTTGACCTCCAGCTCTGGATCAAGTGGACTTCATAGATACCTACAGAGCTCTCCACCCAAAAACAACAAAATATACATTATTCTCAGTGCCACATAGCACTTACTCTAAAATCAATCACATAATTGGAAGTAAAACACTCCTCAGCAAATGCAAAAAACTGAAATTGTAAGAGTCTCTCAGACCACAGCACAATCAAATTAGAACTCAAGATTAAGAAACTCACTAAAAACCATATAACTACATGGAAATTAAACAACCTGCTCCTGAATGACTGCTGGGTAAGTAATGAAATTAGGCATTGTATTTTTAGTAGAGATGAGGTTTCTCCATGTTGGTCAGGCTGTTCTCAAACTCCTGACCTCAGGTGATCTACCTGCCTCGGCCTCCCAAAGTGCTGGGATTACAGGTGTGAGCCACTGTGCCTGGCTCTTTAATTTTTAAATTATATTTTGTAGTTAAAGCATACATATTTTGTACATGGTGTGTTTACTTTTTTACATTTATACCTAAGTATTTCTTTGGAGCAATTTTAAATGGCATTGTGTTTTTAATTTTAGTTTTCATATGTCCATTGTTGTATAAAGAAATGCAGTTGATTTGTGTGTTGATTAAGCTGTAACCTGGCTGTACTTTTGTATTTTTTTTTTAGGGTTATAAAAACTTTTGATCCCAGTTTATTTTGTATATTAAGAAAAGTTTTGTAAATAGGGAGATTTATAGACTTCTTAAATAAATTTTACGTTTTTTCCTTCTCAATTACAACTTTATGAATGTCATTGAAATTAAACAAGCATTTGCTTTGTGTCAGGTAGATTCTGCTCAAATAGTAGAATAATAAGGCAACTTTTGTTTTCCATTTTTTTCTGAGTTTTCTTTGATTTTGATAGAGATGTAGAGAAGCTGGTGCCACCCCCTGTAACAATGTCTGAACTTCATCAGAGAACTTATCAGAATGAATCTTTTTGTAAAAACCCTGGTGGGAAATAAGTAGTCCTCTTTGATTACTGGGCAGCCCATTGCAGTAATACCTAATCGGCTGGCTGAACTTAATTAGCTTTAGGAGGTATTTTGTTTCATTTTGCTTTTATAGATACTTTGGGATTTTCTACACTGTCCTCACATCTGCAAATAGAAACATTTCACCTGTATTTTTATAATTTTTAAACATGCTGAAAATTTGAAAGAATATTACAATGAATACTTGCATATCCACTTATAATACCCACACTTGTTAACACATGTTGAATGTGTGTGGATATGTGCATACACATTGGTTGGACATCATGATGCTTTACTTACAAACACTTCATCACATATATGTTAATTATAAGTATATTCTACTATAGTTACATTCTACTATGACACCTCAGGAAAGTAACAGTTGCCTAATATCAACTCATATCTAATTCACACTGAAATTTCCTCAGTTTTTCTCCATGATGTGTCTTACAGTTATTTCCTTCAAACCATGACTCTATGAAGTTTCATGCATTATATTTGGTTATTATATCTCCTTAGTGTCTTATTTTTGAGCAGTGTCACCTATTTTTTTTCCCTGTGAAATTGACTTTTTGAAGAAACTTGGCCAGTTGTCTTATAGGACATTCTATGTTCTGAATTAGCCTTCTTGTTTCCTTATGGTTATTTTTTTGTTTGTTGGTTTTTTTTTTTTAGACTTGTTCCTTTATCATTTCTATTTCCCATAAACTGGAAATTAGGTTTAAAGGGTTGATAAGATTCAAGTTAAACATATTTGGCAAGATATGTAATAAATGATGCTTTGTGTTTTGTATCACTTCACATCAGTAAGAACATAACATTAGAGTATCCTACTATCAGTGATGCTTAGCTTGATTATGTGGTTAAGGTACTAGATATTGCCCCTGTGTAAAGGTACATCTTTGTCTTTGCAATTACCAAGTAGCCTGTAGGAATGATGCATAAATGTTGTGAAATGCTTTGATGGAAGCCAGTTGGTTCTTTCCAGAGGAAGATGTTCTTTGCGATAGAATCACATCCCTTTTAGGAACCTTTGAAGATGAATCTCCACCTTGGGGTGGAAAGATATGAAGTTTGCAAAAAGATTTCTGACCTTTAAAGCATAGAAAATGTGACTCTGGTGTGCTGAAAGAGAATATTTAATGAATAGTCTACGTGAGACTAGCTCTATAATTTAATGTAACTATATCAATTAAGGAATACTCTAAGGAATACTTTGAGAGAACAGAGAGTGGGAAAATTCTGCACCTCAAGATGTGGTCTCTAGGGCAGAAATCTCTCTAGTTTTGCTCTATGTTGGTAGCAGATAGTCACCTAATGAAGGAGTGTCAAAGACCTAGTGAGACAGGCTTCACTTTGGAGGCTGTCTATTGAGTGAGCATGGTTTTATATAAGGTTTCCTAAAAGAGGATTTGAAGAGTATAATGTTGGCTCGAAGGTGAAAAAAGTTATCCTCTTGTCTATGTCAAGTGTCAGAGTGCCCCATGCTCTAGAGATTAGTTTGGCACTTTTCCCAGCATTGTGACAGCTCTTGAGTTCAGCCTGGTGTGATGCTCTGGAGTGAAGGGGGAGGATGCCCAGGGACTTCCTGCTGCTGATCTACAGCTTTAGGGTGCTGCTGGAGAGTTGAACCAGAGGTGCCAGGACAATCAATTTGTTGCCAAAACCATGCCCATAGCCAGTCTTATGAGTGAGCAGAGTGGATGAATTGAGTAGTTCTGGGTAGTTCCTTGGTTCAAAATACCTCCCTCCTGGAAATGTAGTGTGACAGGAAATGTACCTCCCTGGCTTTGAAGGAGGACAGATCTAGTTTTACTACTTACTACTAATAATATGAGCTTGGGAAAGTTACTGTTATCTTAGTGTTTATTTTGGGCCAGTTGTTGTTTTGTTTAATCTTCACAACAACCATAGGAGAGAGTTGCTATTAATATTCTCTTATTTATTTATTATAGAGATGAGGTCTCACTGTGTTGCCCAGGCTGGAGTGCAGTGGCTATTTACAGTCCCGATAATAGTGCACAACAGCCTCAAACTCATGGGTTCAAGTGGTACTCCCACCTCAGCCTCTGGAATAGCAGGGACTATAGGTGTGTGCCACTGCACTTGGCTTAATATCTCCATCTTACAGAAGAGGACCCTGAAGCACTGAGAAGTATATGTGTGTATATGTGTTCTATGGATCAGGTGTGGGACATGTCAGACAGAGCTGCTGAGGGACCACACCTTAGGGGGTTTCCTGACACAGGTAAGGAAATCTTACAGGAAAGGGATAGAAGTGTCTAGTCAGAGGAGTAGGGGGTGAGAAGGCTGTAAGCAACCAGCCAGAAGAGAGAGATTGATGTCTCAAAGGAACCTCAATCTAATAGCTGTCCTAATGGAGAAGGGGAGTCACCATAGAAATAGCAGAAGTGCCCCCATGAGGAAAAGAGACAGTTTAAAACTCATTTCCGACCCAGAGAGCATTAACACTAGGCAATTCTGGTTCCTTTCAGGTACAACCTTTTCTGCTCCTTACCAAACAGTACCACCTTCCCCTTTGCCCTACTTCAACTCTGGAGAGAGCAGAAACCACAGCAAGAAAGCTGACAGGGAGGAAGAGAAGCAAGGAAAGGCACCCAGAGAAGAAGGTGACCATGTCCCTCTTTCCCATTGCAGGCTTCCAGCCTGTAGCAGCCCATGCTGGGGAGGGGAAGAAGCATTCCCTCTAAATGAAGCTTGGGGTTTTAATTTTTTGACTGTTACATGGGAAAGGATATTTAAATAATTGAAGTAAGTTAGATTTTGGATAAAAGTGAGAGTAAAGTGTTTTGTGTGGAATTTTGTATTTTCGTATCTGATGGGGCTAGACAATAGACATACTCTAGGTTCATCTCAAGGAGAGAAGAGAATTAGCTTCATGGAACAGGTTTGAACAGGCGGTAGGAGAAAATGATAATGTTGTGTCCTTTTTGCATTTCTAGAAGTCTCCCTCTTGTAGGATAATGCAGATTCTTCTGGGAGGAATAATAATTACCTAGTGGGCTTCAAAATACCAGAATATCTGAGGAATCTTTTTTTCAGAATAAAATTTACGTAGAATAGTAAAGATTCAAAGCAAATAAAAACAGGTTCCCTTCTCTCCACCTATCTTCACCATTACCACCCAATTCAACTAAAGCAGCACTGCCTGTATATGTTTCATATTTTTAGCACTGAAGATCAAAATTATTGATGTGATGATGACACCTTAGCAAACCCATTTGGCTTGGACATGTAACTTCTGGGGCTTCTTAAACATGTCTCTAAGGAATTAGGTACAAAAGTACCCACTAGGTTTCTTTGTGCTCGACTTGAGCAACCTTGTTTTAGTGATGGATAGGTTAATCCATGCTTGAGCTCCCCAAGGCAGCCCATTGTTTTCTTGGTCATAGCTGACTATAAGAAAGTTCTTACTTAATTGAGCTAAATAAGTAATGGCCGTTCTTTCTTACCTTCTGGTGGAAGAGACCATGGGCTTTTAAAGTGGAGAGGCCTTTTGCTTTTCCTTTTCTTCTAGTATTCCCCTTGTAGTTTGAGGGGGATAACTTTTCATTCTTCTGGTCGATAGTTCTGCAGTTTTGAGAATGGTCACGGTGTCAGGTATCAGGAACAGCAATGTCATAAGTTCTCAGGGAGAGATAAAAAAGTACTTTCAGGCCGGGCGTGGTGGCTCATGCCTGTAATCCCAGCACTTTGGGAGGCCGAGGTGGGCGGATCACGAGGTCAGGAGATCGAGACCATCCTAGCTAACACGGTGAAACCCCATCTCTACTAAAAAATACAACAAATTAGCCAGGCGTGGTGGCGGGTGCCTGTAGTCCCAGCTACTCGGGAGGCTGAGGCAGAAGAATGGCGTGAACCCGGGAGGTGAAGCTTGCAGTGAGCCAAGATTGCGCCACTGTACTCTAGCCTGGGTGACAGAGTGAGATTCCATCTCAAAAAAAAAAGTACTTACATAGATTCAGAAAAATATTCTCAAACACAATATAAGAAAATGAGGACTCTAGATTTACTGTACTTCCCCTACCCCACCCCGTATCAGATTATATGATATAAAGTGAGGCATGGCATCCTGGAAAGTTTGCTTCTTTTACCGAATGTGTCAAGATGGAAAGCATTAATGATACTTGGTCTGAACACATTTTAGGTAAATAAATTCCTGATTCAGCTTAATCTCTGAAGCTTCTGGCTTCACAGATCTTTGTATTCTTCGCTCTGACTAAAAGGTCCTCCAATTTCTGTTTGGGAATCCTGAGTTGGGTTTGTTCTTGGCACATCATTTTTTTTGAAAGGCCCAAGTATAACATTACTGCACCCTACAGTCCACACAGGGTCTGGGCAATGTTTTTGGAAACACAAGGATGATCTCACCCAGTTGGAAGAAGGGTCACATAATAAAATAATGGTCCTTCTCTCTCTTAGGCCGCTGCACACTGCTGAAATATATTGCTTCTTGACCTTTTGGCTAAGATTCCACGTAGAACAACTAAAATATTAGCTTCCCATCAGCTTTACCACACTTGGGGCTATAATTTCTGACAGCTGTAAGAGATTGTATGCTTCGTGGGGGCCTAGATGAGCTGTCTTTGAAGAGGTCTTTTTGTGATAGCTGAGTTTGTCTAAAAAGCATAGATCATAGACTATCCAGTCCAATAATACACATAATTCTTGAATCATCATTGTAATGTTTGTTTGATTTTCCCCTGGCAGAAGTTTTCCAGCCTGGGCTTGAGTACCACCAGTGAGGGGTAGGGAACTATGAGGTTGCCCATTCCATTTTTGGCTTAATATTTGTCTGAAGAAGAAAGAGTTTATTCTTGCTGAGCTGAAATCTGCCTGCCTGAAATTCACATTCATTAATCCTAGTTCTCCCCTTCTGGATCTATGGACAGTACATTGAATCCCTTTTTTAACTATTTGAGTATAGCTACTCTTTGTTCTCTAAATCTTAGCTTTAGGTTGAATAATCTAGTCCCTTGAACAGGTTCTTTTGCAATTTGGATTCAGTTTCTTTAACCAAGCATATCCCAAGGATACTGTAATATATGCACCCAAAGCTGAATTCAGGACTAAGTTATCCACCTTCTCATTCTCAATGTTACACTTTCTTAGAGCACTATCAAGTGCCATTAGTTTTTTTTTGGAATCATATCACACTGTTAACACACACTGAGCTCATTATTAATTAAGATTCCTAAGTCTTTTACATACTTGCTGTTACTAAACTTGCAAGATTGATTTTTGAACCCATGTTGAGGATCTTGTACTTATTCATTCTAAATTTTATATATTACATTTAGCCCGTTGCCCTAGCCTCTCATAAATCTTTCTGAATCTTGATCCTTGTATCAACAACATTTGCTGTCACTCCTGGCTTTTTATCATCTATAAATTTGATGAGCATATTTTCCATGTTTCTATCTTACTCATTGATGTTAGAAGGACAGAGCTAAAGACAGGGCAAGTGAAAATGGAAATTTCAGTCCAATAATGAAGTAACCTCACTTTTTAATATTAATGAGCTCTAGGTCTAACCAGTAGAACAAGCCTCTGTGCAGTGAACCTGGTGTGTTGGGAGAAATTGATAATGTCTCAGTAACTTGCACTCTGAACAATACAGCTTCTTAATTTAAAAAAGAAGAAAGAAATTAAAGGCCGCATTTAAAGCAAAAGTAACAAAACACCCATTGGTGTATAAAATTTTTAAAAAGATAGCCAATATTTCATTTGAGGCTCTGGTTACTTCCCCAAACTTGAATTGTTCTTTTTTATTTTAAAAACAAAACCAAAACCAAACAAAACAAAAACCTTAGTGCAGAATAATCTTTTCAAAGTTGAGTTTTTAGAAACAATCATCTGGTTCATTTGATTGATAGCTAAAGGTGTGGTTTTGTTTAAACTACCCCATATGTAGGTTTTTAGCCCCCTCCCCTTAAAATTAATCGCCACAATTCTTGACAGTGACAGACACATATATGTGAGAGATGGAAAGGAACTTAATCTCAGTTGGTACACTCTGACGGAATAAAGAGAAGTGGGCTTCAGAAGATAAATGTGAGGGATGAGTTGAATTTTCCAACTAGGAAAGGATCTAGCATGACTCTCCATGTTAAAGATTTCCAGATAAGTTCAAGAGGAAAAAACTGAAGCTAAATTTCATAAGGAAGTAATAATTCACTTCTGATTAATGACTGTCCATAGGCAATGCTGCTAGGACAGACAAATTGCAGCACTGCATTCCAGCTTAAAAAACAAAAACAAAAACAAAACAAACTCCTTTCATCAATTGTATACTTAAACCTAGTTTAAAGTACTCTAATGAATGAGATGCATGCCAGTATGCATGATCAGTAATGGGATCATCGTACTTTATTTTCCTTTTGTTTATGCAGTGTCATAGTTACATTTCTGGCTATGTTTTATGTTGTTATGACCTGGACTGCAAACACATACCTACTCAAACTGTTACAGGTTGTTTGTAAAATATTTTGGAGTGTAGTTTGTTATAACTTTCAACCCTCCTCTGCTACATGTACATAACACACTCACACACCCCCCCCACACACACACGCACACGCACACACCCACACACCCACACACCCACACACACTATCCTCCTCAGTCACCATATATTTATTAGTTATTAGTCTTGTCTAGCATACGTATTGTAATTATAATTCACTTGTAGCTGAATATTGTTTTTGTGAAGCATCATCTATCCTTAAAGTTCTTTTTTTTTTTGACTTTTAAGGCTTGGATGGTCAGTGTGACATATAGATGGGTCAATAATATCCCTATCCCCCTATACCCTCTCTGCTTTAACCACAGTGAACTCCTTACTCTCCAAATGTATTATGATACAACCTTCTCCAAAGCTTTGCCTACGCTCTTCCCTTTAACTGGAATGTCCCCTTTCTCTGGCTCAATAATTCTTAGTCACTCTTGAAAAGGAGGCTGATATACTGTCTTAGTCCATTTGTGTTGCTATAAAATAATATCTGAGGCTGGGTAATTTATGAAGAAAATAGGTTTATTTGGCTCATGGTTCTACAGGCTGTACAAGGAGCATGTTACCAGCATCTGGTTCTGGTGAGGGCTTCATGGCAGAAGACAAAGGGGAGTGGGTGTGTGCAGATCACATGGGGAGAGAGGAAGCAGGAGAGAGAGGAGGGAGTTGCCGGACTTTTTTTTACAACCAGTTCTTGCAGGAACGAATAGAGTGAGAACTTATTCATTACCTCAAGGAAAGCGCCAACCTGATCGTGAGGGATCTGCCCCCATGACACAAGCACCTCCCACTAGGCCCCACCTCCAACACTAGGGATCGAATTTCTTAAAAAAAATTTTTTTTAATTTTTAATTGTTGTGGATACATAGGTATATATATTTATGGGATACATGAGATGTTTTGGTAAGGTATGCAATGTGAAATAATCACATATAGGGTATCCATTCCCTCAAGCACTTATCCTTTGTGTAACAAACAATCTAATTATATTCTTTTAGTTATTTAAAAATGTACGATTAAGTTATTATTGACTATAGTCACCCTGTTATGCTATCAAATAGTAGGTCTTATTCATTCATTCTTTCTTTTTTTTTTTTTGAGACGGGGTTTCGCTCTTGTTGCCCAGGCTGGAGTGCAATGGCACGATTTCGGCTCACTGCAACCTCCGCCTCTCATGTTCAAGCAATTCTCCTGCCTCAGCCTTCCAAGTAGTTGGGATTACAGGCATGTGACACCATGCCCAGATAATTTTTGTTTTTTTAGTAGAGATGGGGTTTCACCATGTTGGCCAGGCTGGTCTCGAACAAAGCTCCAGTGAATATCTTTATACATTTATCTTTGAGCAATTGTGTGTTTCCATAAGACGTCTTCCTTCAATGAGAATTGTCTTCAAAGCTATTTTTATTTTTTTGAGACGGAGTCTTGCTCTGTTGCCCAGGCTGGAGTGCAGTGGCGCGATCTCGGCTCACTGCAATCTCTGCCTCCCAGGTTCACGCCATTCTCCTGCCTCAGCCTCCTGAGTAGCTGGGACTACAGATGCGTGCCACCACACCCAGCTAATTTTTATATTTTTAGTAGAGATGGGGTTTCACCATGTTGGCCAGGCTGGTCTCGAACTCCTGACCTCAGGTGATCCACCTGCCTCAGCCTCCCAAAGTGTTGGGATTACAGGCTTGAGCCACTGCGCCTGGCCTATTCATTCTTTCTATTTTTTTTAAATACCTATTAACCATCCCCACCTCCTCCTCAATCTTCCACCACCCTTCCCAGCCTCTAGTAACCATCTTTCTATTCTCTAGCTTCATGAATTCAATTATTTTGATTTTTAGATCCCACAATTAAGTGAGAGCATGTGATATTTGTCTTTCTGTGCCTAGTTTATTTTCCTTAACATAATGATTTCCAATTCCATCCATTGCTGTTGCAAATGACAGGATCTCATTCTTTTTAGTGGCTGAATAGTGCTCCGTTGTATATATGTACCACATTTTCTTTATCCATTCATCTGTTGATGGACACTTAGGTTGCTTCCAAATCTTAGGAGTGCAGATATCTCTTCTATATTCTGATTTCCTTTCTTTTGGGTATATACACAGCAGTGGGATTGCTGGATCATATGGTAGTTCTATTTTTAGTTTTTTGAGGAAACTCCAAGATGTTATCCATAGTGGTTGTACTAATTTACGTTTCCACCAGCAGTGTAAGAGGGCTCCCTTTTCTTTATATCCTTGCCAGCATTTGTTATTACCTGTCTTTTGTATATAAGCCATCTTAACTGGGGTGAGATGATATCATTGTAGTTTTGATTTGCATTTCTATGATGGTTAATGATGTTGAGCACCTTTTTCATATGCCTGTTTGCCATATGTATGTCTTCTTTTGAGAAATAGGCATTTCTATTCCAGTCTTTTGCCCATTTTGATCAGATTATTATATTTTTTCCTATAGAGTTGTTTCAGCTCCTTATATATTCTAGTTATTAATCCCTTGTCAGATGAGTAGTTTGCAAATATTTTCTCCCATTCTGTGGGTTGTTTCTTCACTTTGTTGATTGTATCATTGCTATACAGAAGCTTTTTAATTTGATATTATTCAATTTGTTCATTTTTGCTTTGGTTTTCTGTGCTTTTGTGGTATTGCTCAAGAATTTTTTGCCCAGACCAATGTCCTAGAGATGTTCTTCAATGTTTTCTTTTAATAATTTCACAGTTCAAAGTCTTAGATTTAAATCTTTAATCCATTTTGATTTGATTTTTGTATATGGTGAGAGATAAGGATCTAGTTTCATTTTTCTGCATATGGATATCTAGTTTCCCCAGAACCATTAATTGACAAGACTGTTTTTTCCCTAGTGTATGTTCTTGGCACCTTTGTCAAAAAATGAATTCACTGTAGATGTGTAGATTTATTTCTGGGTTCTCTATTCTGTTCCATTGGTTCATGTGTCTGTTTTATGCCAGTACCATGCTGTTTTGGTTACTATAGCTCTGTAGTATAATTTGAAGTAATGTGATTCCTCCAGTTTTGTTCTTTTTGTTTAGGATAGCTTTGGCCATTCTGGGACTTTTGTGGTTCCATATAAATTTTAGGATTGTGTTTTCCATTTCTATGAAGAATGTTATTGGTATTTTGATAGGGATTGCCTTGAAACTGTAGATTGTTTTGGGTAGTATGAATATTTTAACAATATTGAGTCTTCCAATCCATGAACATGGAATATCTTTCCATTTTTTGGTGTCCTTTTCAATTTCTTTTTTTTTTATTTTAAAACAAATTTTTTAAATTTAAAGTTGCTTAAATTTAAAAATAGATAACAAAATAGTCACAGAAGAAACTGACAGTTATAAAGAAATTATTTCTGAAAGCACTGTGAACTCAAAAGTTCTACAAGTACAGACTTTCAACCTTTCATGAACAAATCATTCCCATGTTATAATTGCTTAATGCACAGAAAAAGATATACAGTTATCCTATTTACTTTAGAGAGCTAGCAAAATCCCAGTGTCAAAATACAATAACCAGGCTGGGCATGGTGGCTCACACCTGTAATCCCAGCACTTTGGGAGGCCAAGGTAGGTGGATCACCCGAGGTCAGGAATTCAAGACCAGCCTGGCCAACATAGCAAAACCCCATCTCTACCAAAAATACAAAAATTAGCCTGGTGTGGTGTCACATGCCTGTAGTCCCAGCTACTCAGAAGGCTGAGGCAGAGAATCACTTGAACCCCAGGGGTGAAGGTTACAGTGGGCCGAGATTGCACCACTGCATTCCAGCCTGGGTGATAGAGCAAGACTCCATCTCAAAAAAAAAAAAAAAAAAGTATAATAGCCCAAAAGACCAATCTCAGTAATGTAAAAATGTAAATTTCCTAAATAAAAGATTAGTAAATAAAATTCAAATGCATTTCTAGGGAGGATGCATGGTTGGCCAACATTAAGTCTGCAATCACTGTAGTGTAGTTTTTCTTTGATGTCGTTTTTTATTAGACAGCATTATGTCTCTAATATTTCAAAAAGGACTCTCCCTTGTGGTGGTTTCTTTCACTTTTTATCACATTTTATTTCTATCCCAAAGTTACTGAGACTTTAACATGCTTAACACAAGTTTTAACAATACCTTAAGAAATGCCTTAAAGAACAATATCTTAGTGAACAATACCAATGTGAATGTTATTTTTATTGTTATTATTATTATTATTTTTTGAGTCAGAGTCTCGCTCTGTTGCTCAGGCTGGAGTGCAGTGGCGCGATCTCGGCTCACTGCAAGCTCCGCCTCCCGGGTTCACGCCATTCTCCTGCCTCAGTATTATTATTTTTTAATAGAGACAGGGTCTCACTATGTTACCCAGGCTAATCTTGAACTCCTGAGCTCAAATGATCCTCCCACCTCGGCCTGCCAGAGTGCTAGGATCACAGGCATGACCCACCACCCCTGACCTCAATGTGAATGTTAAAATAGTCACCAAAATCGCTGTGTGGTGCTGGTAAAGAATCCTGGGCTTTACAGGATACTGACAAAGAATAACAGTGTATCTGTTCACCATTTCAAGTGGCACTGCTACCTGGCAAACGCATATGCAGTTTACAATGCGCCAGTTTTGAAATTTTGTAATTCTTGCCGATTTTTTTAGGCTATAAGTATGTGCATTACTTCAAATTTTGAGAACAAAGTGAGCCTTTATTAATATTAGATCGACTTTTAAATCCATATAATTTATGACTTATGGGACCAAATTGAACAGGCTCACTTGGAGTTACACACTTTTGAAGAACTCAATTTCTTTCATCGGTGTTTTGTAGTTTCTATTATAGAGATATGTTACTTCTTTGGTTAATTCCTAAGTATTTAATTTTATTGTTGCTATTGTAAATGGGATTGCTTTTAAAATTTCTTATTCACATTGTTCACTGTTGGCATATAGAAATGCTACTGATTTTTGTATGTTGATTTGCATCCTGTAACATTACTGAATTTATCAGTTCTAATAGTTTTTTATGGAGTCTTTAGGTTTTTCTAAATATAAGATTATATCACCTGCAAACAAGGATAATTTGACTTCTTTCATTCCAGTTTGGATGCCCTTTATATCTTTATCTTATCAGATTGCTCTAGCTAGGACTTCTAGTACTATGTTGAATAACAGTGGTGAAAGCGGGCATCCTTGTCATTTTCCAGATCTTAGAGAAAAGGCTTTTTCCCCCATTTAGTATGATATTAGCTGTGGATCTGTCATATGTGGCTTTTATTATGTTAAGGTATATTCCTTCTATGTCCAGTCTTTTGAGGTCTTTTTTATCATGAAGGGATGTTGAATTTTATCAAATGCGTTTTCAGCATCAATTGAAATGATCATATGGTTTTTGTCCTTCATTATGTTGATATGATGTATCGCATTGATTAATCTGTATATGTTGAACCATTCTTGCATCCCAGGGATAAATCCCACTTGGTCATGATAAATGATCTTTCTAATGTATTGTTGAATTCAGTTTGATAGTATTTTGTTGGTGATTTTTGCATCAATATTTATCAGAGATATTGGCCTATAGTTTTCTTTTGTTGATGTGTCTTTGTCTGGTTTTGGTATCAGGGTAATACTGGCCTCATAGAATTAGTTTGTAAATATTTCCTCCTCCTTTATTTTTTGGAATAATTTGAGTAGGACTGGTATTCTTCTTTAATTGTTTATAGAATTTCATCAGTGAAGCCATAGGGTCCAGGCTTTTCTTTATTGGAAGACTTTTTATTGGAGCTTTGATCTCATTGTTTTCAGTCTGTTCAGGTTTTGCATTTCTTTATGGTTCAATCTTGGTAGGTTGTATGTGTCTAGGAATTTGTTCATGTCTTCTAGATTTTCCAATTTATTGGCATATAATTGCTCATTAGTGTCCACTAATGATCCTTTGAATTTCTCGGGATCAAACTTCAAAATGAGGTTTAGCAGGATACACATCTGAACTATTGCATGTGCTTTCAGGAAGTTTTTCCTGATTCTCAGCTCTTATTCATATGCTCTGTGCTTATCATTTACATATCAGATATCACACCACAGTATAAATATTAATGTACTTCTATATCTTTTATTTAACATTGTATACCTATATATCCTCCCATTTATAGTAGGTGCTAGTACTATCTGAGACATAATAGGTACTCAAAAAATGTAATAAATATTTTTTTAAAGCAGGGGTCTTTCTTATTTTCCAGACTAGAATAGGTGCTTATATTGTATAGTCTCATAGAGCACTGAATTTCTCCTTTGTAGCACTTACCATATTTGTAATTATGTACTTGTGTAATTATTTGATATCTACCCCTTCCCTAGTTACAAGCTCTGTGAGGGCAGGAACCATATCTTTTTTTTCCATTGTTCTATTTCTGTTCCTGGGACAGTACCTAGCACATGCTATATACTGAGTAACTATTTGTTAAATCAATGACCAATTGAATGAATGTGTCTCTGTGAGAGAAATAGGTGAAGGAAGTGGTGCCCCAATGTTTTAGTTTAATGGAAGAAGTTGCAAAGGGGAAGTGTTATTAAAAAAAAGGGTAAGACTGTAAGAGAATTTCTTGAAACCCAAACTGGGATATTAAAGATATAGTGGGTAGAAGGCAGCAGGACTGAGGATGGGAGGGAAGGACAAGGGCCTGATAAGAGGAAAGTAGTGTGGAGAGAAGGGTTTATACCCTAACCTACGAAGGTGGGTCACTGTGATGAAGGACACAGGGAAGTGGGAGGCAGAAAGGAGAGAGTGATAAGGTTTACCTACCCTTGGGGTTCCAAATAGGACTTTGGCTTAAAGACTTTTTTCATAGTCTCAGCAGCTCCCCTTCCAAAGGCAGCATGGCACTGTAGAATTTTGACTTTGATATCAGACAAACCTGGTTCCAAAATGCAGCTATAAGCCTTACTAGTTGTCTGAATTTGAGTAAGACATGTGACATTTCTGAGTCTCAGTTTTATCATTTGTTTTATTTCATTAGTTCCATATTTTTATTTATTTATTTTTAAACTTTTAACTTTAGAGGTATATGTGCAGGTTTGTTATGCAGTTAAACTCATGTCATGAGGATATGTTGTACAGATTCTTTTGTTACCCAGGTATTAAGCCTAGTACTCATTAGCTATTTTTCCTGAACCTCTGCTCCTTCCTACCCTCACCCTCCAGTGGGTCCTAGTGTGTGTTGTTCCTCTCTACGTGTCCATGTCTTCTCATCATTTAGCTCTCACTTATAAGTGAGAACATGTGGTATTTTGTTCCTGCATTACTTTGCTAAGGAAAGTGGCCTCCAGCTCCACCCATGTTCCTACAAAGGACATGATCTCATTTGTTTTTATGGCTGTATAGTACTCCATGGTGTATATGTACCACATTTTCTTTATCCAGTCTATAATTGATGGGCATTTGGGTTGATTCCATGTCTTTGTTATTGTGAATAGTGCTGCAGTGAACACATATGTGCATGTGTCTTTAGTATGGAATGATTTATATTGCTTTGGATATATACCCAGTAATGGGATTGCTGGGTCGAATGGTATTTCTGTCTTTAGCTCTTTGAGGAATCACCACACTGTTTTCCACAGTGGTTGAACTAATTTGCACTCTCACCAACAGTGTATAAGTGTAGTTTTATCATTTGTAAGAAGAGGACAATCATATTTATCTTGAAGAGTTCTGCAATCAAATGAGATAATGTTCCCAATGCATCTAACTCAGTATCTGGCTCAGAGCAATTACTGAACAAATGGTAATAGTTATTAATATTAACCAGACTTAACCTTTATGAAACTTTTAAATGGTTCGGTTCTTGGCCCTAAATTGTTCAGTATTTTAAATCAACAGTTTGAAGCATTCTTATCAAATTTAAAGATGAAACAAAACTGAGAAAAACAGCTAACATGTTGGCTGACAGGCTAAGGAGCCATAAAAATCTCAACAACCTTGAAGGATAGGCTGCAACCAGCATGATACAATTAATAGGGATAAATTTAGACTCTAACTTTTGTGTTTAAAGGATCAGCTGAAACCAGACCAAGGGAGACTTTGTTTAATAGTTTATAAGAGCAAGAGAAAGGCTCAGGAGTGTTAGCTGACTGTCAGCTTAACATAAGCCAACTGGGTTAAGGCTGCCAAAATGCTAATGTGACCTGAGGTCATGTGATGGAAATAGAGAGTCCAGAAGGAACGAGATAATCATCCAAATGTCCTTGTGCTGGTCAGATAACATCAAGGAAGTTGTGCTCAGTTCTTGGCCTGCACTTTACAAATGACAGATCTACAAAAAGGTTAATAAGAGGGACAAAATTCTGGAAATCATGTCATCTGAACGATGGTCAAAGTACTAGAGATATTTAGTCTGGAAAAGAGGAGACCAGTCTGGTATAGATTTGGAGTGGAAAGTGGGTGGTATGGAGCATGCCACAGCCCTCAGCTATTTGAAGAGTGTTCATTTGGAAGAGGAATCAGATATGTTCTGCAGTATTTCAAAGGATGGGAGAAACTTTATGACTGGAAATTGTAAGGAAGGGAAATTGTGGTCACTATATGTTAAAGTATACTCATTATAGATGTATCTGCTAGCATTTAAAAGTCTCCACTGTGTACAAGGCTCTCTGCTGAAATCTTCTTATATATTACTTATTTAATCCTTACATCAACTCTGTAAGATGGGTATTATTATCCTCATATAGATGAATAAACTGAGGCTTAGATTGACTAATTGATTTGCCTAAAGCTACACAACAGATTAAATGGTAGAGCTGGGACTGTAACTCAGGTCCTGTGACTAGAAACCCTGTGATTTCTAGCCCTGTGACCTATTTATTATAGGGCTTCCTGAGACACAGGACTTTCATGCTAAAACCAGAACAGTCCATGACAAACCAGAATGGGTGGTCATCCTAATTTTATCATATGTTCCTCTGCACCCCCAAGATGGAAACCTCTGACGCCTGGAAAGCTAGGATTATAGCTCAGCACCTGGCTTTGGCTCAAGTTTCAAAAGGCTTTCCAGAACATTTAACTATTCAAATATGGAAATGGTCTGCACTAAGTGGCAAGGAGCTCCCAATTCCCAGATGTAGTAAAAATGAAGCTGGATTCTACCTGTCAGAATTGTTGAAGATAAGAATTCTCTATTGGGCTTGTCAGTGAAGACCATTTCTGTAGTTTTTTCTATCACTGTCATTCTGCATTTCAGACAGAGAGGTGTCCTTTCTTGGATCCTGAGGAGATCCCCCAGGCTCTTTTTTATTTATTTAACTTTAAGTTCTGGGATACATGTGCAGAACATAAAGGTTTGCTACATAGGTGTATACATGTGCCATGGTGGTTTGCTGCACCTGTCAACCTGTCATCTAGGTTTTAAGCCCCACATGCATTAGGTATTTGTCCTAATGCTCTCCCTCCCCTTGCCCCCAACCCCCTGACAGGCCCTGGTGTGTGATGTTCCAATCCTGTGTCCATGTGTTCACATTGTTCAATTCCCACTTATGAGTGAGAACATGTGGTGTTTGGTTTTCAGTTCCTGTGTTAGTTTGCTGAGAATGATGGTTTCCAGCTTCATCCATGTCCCTGCAAAGGACATGAACTCATCTTTTTTTGTGGCTATGTAGTATTCCATGGTGTATATGTGCCACGTTTTCCTTGTCCAGTCTATCATTGATGGGTATTTGGGCATTTTTTTCTTTTTTATTATACTTTAGGTTTTGGGATACGTATGCAGAACATTCAGGTTTGTTACATAGGTATACATGTGCCATGGTGGTTTGCTGCACCCATCAACCAATGTCATCTACATTAGGTATTTCTCCTAATACTATCCCTCCCATATGCCCCCACCCCTTGACAGGCCCCGGTGTGTGATGTTCCCCTCCCTGTGTCCATGTGTTCTCATTGTTCAACTCCCACTTATGAGTGAGAACATGTTGTGTTTGGTTTTCTGTTCCTGTGTTTGCTGAGAATGATGGTTTCCAGCTTCATCCATGTTGTCTGCAAGGACATGAACTCATCCTTTTTTATGGCTGCATAGTATTCCATGGTGTTTATGTGCCACATTTTCTTTATCCAGTCTATCATTGATGGGCATTTGGGTTGGTTCCAAGTCTTTGCTATTGTGAATAGTGTTGCGATAAACATAAGTGTGCATGTGTCTTTATAGTATAATGATTCATAATCCTTTGGGTATATACCCAGTAATGGGATTGCTGGGTGAAATGGTATTTCTGGTTCTAGATCCTTGAGGAAACGCCACACTGTCTTCCACAATGGTTGAACTAATTTACATTCCCACCAACAGTGTAAAAGCGTTTCTATTTCTCCACAGTCTTTCCAGCATCTATTGTTTCCTGACTTTTTAATGATTGCCATTCTAACTGGTGTGAGATCGTATCTTATTGTGGTTTTGATTTGCATTTCTCTAATGACCAGTGATGATAATTTTTTTTTCATGTTTCTTGGCTGCATAAATGTGTTCTTTTGAGAAGCGTCTGTTCATATCCTTTGCCCACTTTTTGATGGGGTTGTTTTTTTCTTGTAAATTTGTTTAAGTTCATTATAGATTCTGGATATTAGCCCTTTGTCAGATGGATAGATTGAAAAAATTTTCTCCCATTTTGTAGGTTGCCTGTTCACTCTGATGATAGTTTCTTTTGCTGTGCAGAAGCTCTTTAGTTTAATTAGATCCCATTTGTCAATTTTGTCTTTTGTTGCCATTGCTTTTGGTGTCTTAGTCATGAAGTCTTTGACCATGCCTATGTCCTGAATGGTATTGCCTAGGTGTTCTTCTAGGGTTTTTATGGTTTTAGGTCTTATGTTAAGTCTTTAATCCATTTGAGTTAAATTTTGTATAGGATGTAAGGAAGGGGTCCAGTTTCAGTTTTCTGCACATGGCTAGCCAGTTTTCCCAACACCATTTATTAAATAGGGAATCCTTTCCCCATTGCTTGTTTGTGTCAGTTTTGTCAAAGATCCAATGGTTGTAGATGTGTGGCATTATTTCTGAGGCCTCTGTTCTGTTCCATTGGCCTATATATCTATTTTGGTACCAGTACCATGCTGTTTTGGTTACTGTAGCCTTGTAGTATAGTTTGAAGTCAGGTAGCATGATGCCTCCAGCTTTGTTCTTTTTGCTTAGGATTGTCTTGGCTATACGGGCTCTTGTTTGGTTCCATATGAAATTCAAAGAAGTTTTTCTAAATCTGTGAAGAAAGTCAATGGTAGCTTGCTAGAGATAGCATTGAATCCATAAATTATTTTGGGCAGTATGGCCATTTTCCTGATATTGATTCTTCTTAACCATGAGCATGGAATGTTTTTCCATTTGTTTGTGTCCTCTCTTATTCCTTGAGCAGTGGCTTGTTGTTCTCCTTGAAGAGGTCCTTCACGTCCCTTGTAAGTCGTATTCCACGGTATTTTATTCTCTTTGTAGCAATTGTGAATGGGAGTTCACTCGTGATTTGGCTCTCTGTCTATTTTTGGTGTACAGGAATGATTGTGATTTTTTTCACATGTATCCTGAGACTTTGCTGAAGTTGCTTATCAGCTTAAGGAGATTTTGGGCTGAGACGATGGGATTTTCTAAATATACAATCATGTCATCTGCAAACAGAGACAATTTGACTTCCTCTCTTCCTATTTGAATACGCTTTATTTCTTTCTCTTGCCTGATTGCCCTGGCCAGAACTTCCAATACTATGTTGAATAGGAGTGATGAGAGAGGGCATCCTTGCTTTGTGCTGGTTTTCAAAAGGCATGTTTCCAGCTTTTGCTCATTCAGTCTGATATTGGCTGTGGGTTTGTCATAAATAGCTCTTACCATTTTGAGATATGTTCCATCGATAGCTAGTTTATTGAGTGTTTTTAGAATGAAGGGGTGTTGAATTTTATTGAAGGCCTTTACTACATCTATTGAGATAATCAAGTGGTTTTTGTCATTGGTTCTGTTTATGTGATGGATTACATTTATTGATTTGCATATGTTGAACCAGCCTTTCATCCCAGATATGAAGCAGACTGGATCATGGTGGATAAGCTTTTTGATTTGCTGCTGCATTTGGTTTGCCAGTATTTTTTATTGAGGATTTTCTCATCGATGTTCATCAGAGATATTGACCTGAATTTTTTTTTTTTTTGCATGTGTGTGTGTCTCTGGCAGGTTTTGGTATCAGGATGATGCTGGCCTCATAAAATGAGTTAGGGAGATTTCCCTCTTTTTCTATTGTTTGGAATAGTAACAGAGGGAATGGTACCAGCTCCTCTTTGTACTTCTGGTAGAATTTGGCTGTGAATCTTTCTGGTCCTGGGCTTTTTTTGGTTGGTAGGCTATTAATTACTGCCTCAGTTTCAGAACTTGTTATTGGTCTATTCAGGGATTTGACTTCTTCCTGGTTTAGTCTTGGGAGGGTGTATGTGTTCAGGAATTTATCCATTTCTTCTAGATTTTCTAGTTTATTTGTGTAGAGGTGTTTATAGTATTTTCAGATGGTAGTTTGTATTTCTGTGGGATCAGTGGTGATATCCCCTTTATTATTTTTTATTGTGTCTATTTGAGTCTTCTCTCTTTTCTTCTTTATTAGTCTGGCTAGTGGTCTATCTATTTTGTTAATATTTTCAAAAAACCACCTCCTGGATTCATTGATTTTTTGAAGGATTTTTCATGTCTCTATCTCCTTCAGTTCTGCTCTGATCTTAGTTATTTCTTGTCTTCTGCTAGCTTTTGAATTTGTTTGCTCTTGCTTCTGTAGTTCTTTTAATTGTGATGTAAGGGTGTTGATTTTAGATCTTTCCTGCTTTTCCCTGTGGGCATTTAGTGCTATAAATTTCCCTCTAAACACTGCTTTAAATGTGTCCCAAATATTCTTGTACATTGTATCTTTGTTCTCATTGGTTTCAAATAACTTATTTATTTCTGTCTTAATTTTGTTATTTACCCAGTAGTCATTCAGGAGCAGGTTGTTCGGTTTCCATGTAGTTGTGTGGTTTTGTGTGAGTTTCTTAATACTGAGTTCTAATTTGATTGCACTGTGGTCTAAGAGACTGTTATTTCCGTTCTTTTGCATTTGCTGAGGAGTGTTTTGCTTCCAATTATGTGGTTGATTTTAGAATAAGTGCAGTGTGGTACTGAGAAGAATGCATATTCTGTTGATTTGGGGTGGAGAGTTCTGTAGCTGTCTATTAAGCCCACTTGGTCCAGAGCCGAGTTCAAGTCCTGAATATCCTTGTTAATTTTCTGTCTTGTTGATCTGTCTAATATTGACATTGGGGTGTTAAAGTCTCCCACTATTATTGTGTGGGAGTCTAAGTTTCTTGTAGGTCTCTAAGAACTTGCTTTATGAATCTGGGTGCTCCTGTATTGGGTGCATATATATTTAGGATAGTTAGCTCTTCTTGTTGCATTGATCCCTTTACCATTATGTAATGCCCTTCTTTGTCTCTTTTGATCTTTGTTGGTTTAAAGTCTGTTTTATCAGAGACTAGGATTGCAACGCCTGATTTTCTCTGCTTTCCATTTGCCTGGTAAGTATTCCTCCATCCCTTTCTTTTGCCCCAGGCTCTTTGCATAGTATTAAGAGCAAGCCTGGAACATGGACCCTTTTCTCCCTTCTTGCAGTCATTGCCCCCTGTTAAATGTAGCCAAAATGTTCTGAGATTTTTGCCCTTAGAGCACACATGCCTTTGGATACTCAACCCAAGTCTCTTACAAAAAAGATCCAGACACCAATTAATTATATATAGGTCATTGATATGTTTATTCACTTCAAAGTCATTTCAAAAAGAGAAGAAACAAAACAGGTCTCAGTCTGTTTTTTGGAATGTACTCATCAGTGAAATTTCATTTCAGTGATGGTCTTTAAAGGCCTCATGCCTGACTGTCTTGGAGCCCATTAGTGTTCTGAAAAGGATCTTTATGTTTTTTAGATCCTTCAGATTTTTTCTGTGAGTATTTGTGTAATGTTGTCTTGGAAAAGTCTTTTTTTTTAATAGCCTATGCTGGAGTAAAACTGATTTAGAATAAGCAAAGTAGCCTTGATAATACATTTGCCCACATAAGTTAGGAAATTCTTAGTGATTCCCTGTTATCTTACTTGGAGAATCCCATGGGACTGTTCCTCCATGGGAAAGCTTCTGTCACTTGGTGAGTCTCTCTTGTCAGCTGAAGGAGATACCTTCTTGTCCTTTGCAGTGGTAAGAGACAGGTGGCCAATGCAGGGAATTCTCAATGGGGAAAACTGAAAACAGCAAAAATTTAAAGTCCACATTTTATTCCATCTATGTTCTTATTCTGTGTATATCTTCTGGATGAGTATTCCAAGCAACAAACAGCAGAGTTATTTTTCATGTGAGTTTAACATATTCATGTCTATCCTCTTGTATAGTTCTTATGCTCTTTCTGTTTTCTTCACTAACAGCTATCATTATTAAAGAGCCCATGTGGAGTCAAGCTCTGAGATCATGCAGTATTTGTCTTTCAGAAAGTGATATCATTCTGTGTCTGGCTTATTTCACTTAACATAATGTCCTCCAGATTAATCCATGTTGTTGCAAGTAACAGGATTTCCTTCTTTTTCATGGCTTAATAGTATTTCATTGTGTATATATACCACATTTTCTTTATCCATTCATTTGTTGATGAACACTTAGGTTGATTCCAGATCTTGGCTATTGTGAATAATTCTACAGTAATCATGAGAGTGCATATATCTCTTCCACATATTGATTTCATTTCCTTTGGCTATATATCCAGTAATAGGACTTTTGGATTATATGGTAATTCTATTTTTAATTTTTTGAGGGGTCACATATTGTTTTTCATTTTACATTCCCACTAATGTTGTGGAAGGGTTCTCCTTTTTCCATATCCTCATTAAGAGTTTTTATCTTTTGTCTTTTTGGTAATAGCCGTTCTAACAGGTGTGAAGTGGTATCTCATTGTAGTTTTAATTTGCATTTCCCTGAGGATTAGTGATGTTGAGTGTTTTTTCATATACTTGGTTATTTGAATGTCTTCTTTTAATAAATGTCTATTCAAGTCCTTTGCCCTTTTAAAAACCAGGTAATTTGTTTTCTGGCTAATGAGTTGTTTGAGTTCCTTATATATTTTGGATACTAACCCCTTATTAGATGTACAGTTTGCGAATATTTTCTTCAATTTTATAGGTTGTCTCCTTTCTCTGTTGATTATTTCTTTGTTGTGCAGAAGCTATGTAGTTTGGAGTAACCCCATTTGTCTATTTTTGATTTCATTGCCTGTGCTTTTGGGTTTATAGAAAAAAAAATCATTGCCAAGACTAATGTCATGGAATTTTTCCCTTACATTTTCTCCTAGTAGTTTTACAGCTTCACATTTAAGTCTTTAATCCATTTCA
This sequence comes from Homo sapiens, assembly GCF_000001405.40. Lineage (NCBI taxonomy): Eukaryota > Metazoa > Chordata > Mammalia > Primates > Hominidae > Homo > Homo sapiens. Next base: position 22,758,851 of record NC_000018.10, on the reverse strand, counting down.
AGTTTTTTGTATCTAGTGTGAGACAAGGGTTCAATTTCATTCTTCTGCATGTGAATATCAGTTCTCTCAACACCATTTATTGAAGAGACCCTCCTTTCCCTATTGTGTATTCTTTGCATCATCACTAAAAATCAATTGACCATAAATGTGTGGCTTTATTTCTGAGCTCTCTAATCTGTTCCATTGGTCTATGTGTGTGTTTTTATTCTAGTATCATGCTTTTTTGATTGTGATAACTTTGCAGTATATTTCAAAGTCAGGTAGTGTGATGCTTCTAGCTTTGTTCTTTTTGCTCAAGATTGCCTTGACTATTCAGATCTTTTGTGGTTCCATATAAATTTTAGAATTTTTTCTAATTCTGTGAAAAATGCCCATGGAATTTTGAATAGGAATTGCATTGAATCTGTAGATTGCTTTGGGTAGTATGGACATTTTACAATATTGAATCTTCTAATTCATGAGCATGGGATATCTTTCCATTTGTTTGTGTCTTCTCCAGTTTCTTTCATCTATATTTTGTAGTTTTTACTGTACAGCTGTTTTACTTCATAAGTTAAATTTGTTCCCAAACATTTTATTTGTTTTTTCTAGCTATTGTAAATGGGGCTGTTTTTGTGGTGTCTTTTTGCACAGCTTGTAATTAGTGTATAAAAGTGCTATTGATTTTTGTATGTTGATTTTATATTCCAAAACTTTTCTGTATTTATTAGTTCTAAGAGATTTTTGGTAGAATTTTTTTTTATTTTTAATGAAGTCTCACTCCATTGCCCAGGTTGGAGTGCAGTGATGTGATCTTGGCTCACTGCAGCCTCTACCTCCCAGGTTCAAGCAATTCTCCTGCCTCAGCCTCCTGAGTAGCTGGGATTACAGGCGTGAGCCACCATGCCTGGCTACTTTTTTTCTATTTTTAGTGGAGATGGGGTTTCACCATGTTGGCCAGGCTGGTCTTGAACTCCTGACCTCAGGTGATCCACCCACCTCAGCCTCTCGCAGTGCTGGGATTACAGGCGTGAACCACTGTGCCTGGCCTTTTTGGTGGAATCTTTAGGGTTTTCTGTATATAAGATCATTTCATTTGCAAAGAGGGACAATTTAACTTCTTCCTTCCCAATCTTGATGCCTTTTATTTGTTTCTCTTGCCTAATTCCTCTAGCTAGAACTTCCAGTACTATAAAATAGGAGTGGTGAGAGCTGGCATCATTGTCTTGTTCCTGATCTTGGAGGAAAATCTTTCAATGTTTACCATCGAGTATGATTTTAGCTGTGGATTTGTCACATATGACATTTATTGTGTTGAGGTATATTCCTTCTATACCTAAATTATTAAGAATTTATCATGAAAGGATGTTGAATTTTATCAAATGCTGTTTCTGCATATATTGAGATGATCATGTGGTTTTTGTCTTTCATTCTGTTAATGTGGTATATTTTATTTATAGATTTGCATATGTTGAGCCATCCTTTCATCCCTGGAATAAATTCTGCTTGATCATGATGAATGATTATTTTAATATGCTATTGAATTCAGTTTTCTAGTATTTTGTTGATAATTTTTGCTTTTATGTTCATGAGGGATGTTAGCCTATAATTTTCTTTTCTTGTCGATCCTCGTCTAGCTTTGGTATCTGGTTGATGTTAGCCTTATAAAATGACTTTGGAAGTATTCTTTCTTCTTAAATTTTTTGGAAGGACGTGAGATGGATTGGTATTAGTTCTTCTTAACTTTTTATTTTCATTTTATTTTATTATTATTAATTTTTAAATATAGGATCTTGCTTTGTTTCCCAGGCTGGAGTGCAGTGGCATGATTATAGCTTACTGCAGCCTCAAACTCGTGGGCTCAAATGATCCTTCTGCCTCAGCCTTCTGAATAGCTAGAACTATAGGTGTATGCCAGCATGCTCAGTGAATTTTAATAAAATGTTTTTTTTTTTTAGACACGCAAAAAAAAAAAAAAAACAGGCTTTGCTAAAAATTGCTATGTTGCCAGGCTGGTCTCAAACGTCTGGCCTCAAGTGATGCTCCCATCTCTGCCTCCCAAAGTGCTGGGATTAAAGGCATGAGTCACAAGCCATTGTATACGGCCAGTTTTTCTTTAAATGCTTGGTAGAATTAAGCAGTGGTCATCAGATTCTGGGCTTCTCTTTGATATGAGAATTTTTATTATTGATTCAATATGTTTGCTCATTATTGGGCTGTTCAGATTTTCTATTTTTTCATGATTTAGTCTTAAGAAATGTATATGTCTAGGAATGTATTCATTCTTTTCTAGGTTATCCAATTTCTTGGTGTATAATTGTTCGCAGTAGTCTGTTTTGATCCTTTGTATTTCTGTTACACAATTTGTAATATCTCCTATTTCATTTTTTATTTTATTTGAATCTTTTTTCTTAGTCTAATTAAAGGGGTGTCAATTTTGTCTCTTCAAAATCAACTCTTACTAATCTTTTGTATTGTTTTCCTAGTCTTTCATTTATTTCTACTCTAACATTTATTTCTTAACTTTGCGCTTAGTGTGTTCTTCTTTGCCTAGTTCCTTGAGGTGTAATGGTAGGTTGTTCATTTGAGATTTTTCTTCTTTTATGGTCTAGGTGTTTTTCCTCCTAGAACACGTTAGGTGCATCCCTTGTTTTAGTATGTTGTGTTTCATTTTTATTTGTCTCAAGATATTTTTTAAATTTCCCTTTTAATTTCTTCTTTAATCCATTGAATGCTCAGGAACATGTTTAATTTCCATGTATTTGTGAATTTTCTGAAATTTCTTCTGTTATTGATTTCTAGTTTTATACCATTATGGTTAGAAAAGACACTCAATATGATTTCAATCTTCTTAAAGTTGTTAAGACTTGATTTGTGGCCTAAAATATGATTTGTTATGGAGAATGTTCTGTGTGCACTTGAGAAGAGTGTGTATGCTGCTGCTTTTGGATGGAATATTTTATATGTCTGTTAGGTCCATTTGGTCTAATATGTAGTTTAAATTCAGTGTTTCCTTATTGATTTTCTATCTTGATCTGTTCGTTGCTGAAAGTGGGGTTTTGCAGTCTTCTGCTATTATTTTCTCGTAATTTATTCCTCCCTTTAGATCTATTAATATTTGCCTTATATACTTAGGTATACTGATGTTGAATACATATATGTATATATATATATATTTATAATTGTTATAGCTCTTGACGAATTGACCCCTTTATCATTATATAATGACATTCTTTATCTCATTTTACCATTTGACTTAAAGTCTGTTTTATCTGATATAAGTTTAGCTACTCCTGCTCTTTTGGTTTGCACTTGCTTGGACTATCTTTTTCCATCTCTTTGCTTTCAGTCTATGTGTGTCCTTACAAGTGAGATGAGTCTCTTGTAGGCCACATATAGTTGGTTTTTAAAAAATCTATCCAGCCACTCTATGTATTTTAATTAGATTATGAGATCTGGGATTGAATTCATTTTTAGCAAAGCCTATTTTCTTTTTATTATGGTACTCTTAGTTGTTTTAGGACTTCTATCTTCTAATATTTATGGACCATTATTCTGTTCTTTGAGACATCTTTTACATAAGTTGCTTTTCCTAAAGATACTCTAATCCTTAAGCCTTAGAGAAGCCTTACTTTAGATCAGTGACTGGATCCTTAATGCCTAAAGATTTTCACTGGTCATTTTGAACTGTTCCTTATCTATTGCTTCCCAACCAGAATCGTCGCCTGGCTTCTCCTAAAGAAGTATCTTCATTGACCATAAGTACAGTTTTCATGCACTTGTCACTGAACGTTCTCACCCCTTGACATGAATGTAATGTTTAATATGAAGAATATATTTTAACATCATAGCTCTCTGTTGATATACTCTTGTTCTGACCTCCTTTCTAAGCTCTTAGAAAATAAAATCTCTTTAATAGTACTCTGTAAGGGCAATGGGAGGTGGGCAAGGGATGTAAACTATCTGCCCTCCTTATGTTTCTATAAAAGGGGACCTCTTTTATAGAAAGAGTCTGCCTCTCTTCCTATAAGACATCTTTCTAAGACATCTGCCTCTCAGTATTTCTGGGATGAAAGAGTGCACCCTTTTCCCACAGTCTTCCCTCCTTCTTTTGGCAGGAGAGTGCCACCTTTTTGGCCTCTTCCATGTGCAAACCAGTAGGGTTAGTTTGCCACAAAGAGCCAAACAGACAAGTGCATGTTCTGATTTTCCTTATCTCTTCCTCAGGTTGAGTGGTGGTGATGGTAGTGTGCTTCTGATGAGTTGAAGTCACATGGAGTGTGCCCCACTAATCATCTTAAATCTTGGGAGGAGACCACTATGCAGGTCAGCTTCCTGCTATATCTGGTGAAGAAGTCCCCAGGGATGGCTCTGAAAGACTGAAAATAATTATCCTCCTCCTTCCATAACTCCTGGGATCTAAAGTATTCCCTCCAGGGGTTTTACTCTCCTCTCACCATGACATAATCCGTGCATCCCATTCTAGTAGTGCTAACTTCACCTTTTCCACAATCATCTCCTACTTACAAGTAGGTCATGTGTCTGGAGTGGCCAGGTACAAGAGGGACATGGTATTTTTGTAAAATTTATAAAGGACTTATTTTATCCTCTTCCCTTGGTCCTCATGGACCACTGGAGAGGGACTTGGTGAGTAGTGTACTAATTCAAGAAGTCATCTCACATCCAACCTAAATCTTTTTGATCTAGAACTATATCAGCCCAGTAAGGGAATCTAGGAGGCTTAACCTGAATTAAGTTTGAATTCTTTAGGATCCCTTTCAGCCAGGCTGCCATGCACAGTGTATATTACACAGGCTGGCCTAGGTTATTGTTAGGGGAAAGAAGGAAACATTATGCGCCAGAATGGTCAAGAGAAATTCCAAATTTCAAAATATGCTTATATAACACACCCATTCCTTTTATTCTTGATCATTAATAAGGAGGTAGGTGAAAGGAGATAAGCCCCTTTGAGGGATGACTGCTTTCAGTGACCAAAGGAGGAAGCGAAAGAAAGAGAGTAAAAAATCATTTTGAGTTGATTTTTTAAATAAGTGCATTCCACCTCTAAATGATGAAAAGGGGTGTGAAATGTGCATTGAATACCTTGACTATCGGCCCATTGTTGAATGTCTTTGTGACAAAGGTGAACTATATTTAGACTATAAACAGTCCAGAAAGCCAGAAACCTGACACAGCTGAGTTACAAGAGCCACAGTGTGCGGCTAGGTTCAGCTTATTGAACTAAAATAGTAACACTGTACGCTGAGTAAGTGTCAACATCACTGAGACTCCACCAGTAGCCCAAGAGGAGCTCAAACATCTGAAATGGTCAATGTGCCAGGTGCGAATGGGGGCAATACCTCTTACATTGCGGGCTTCTTCATCATGAGACAAATGGGCTAGTTTTTGGCATGAGTCAAAAGCTTGATATGCAATCATGGCTTCTGTATCAGAAGCTTTATTTTGTGCCCAGTTTATAATAGTAGATGCCTTGTCATGTCCCGTGCAATGATGGATCCAAGTGGCAGTGGTGTCCATCTGAGTGGTACAGGTTTGGTTCCAGTCAGTCTCATCGGAGGATAGGTCCTTATCATGGGGAAACACATAATTGACCCAGACTATCAGACTGACAGTTACAACTTGTTCCCACAGTTCGCAGCCCAAAGAGTATTTTCTTTAACTAATCTGTGATCTTTCTTCCAAGTGCCAAATCTGGTTGCAAGGCCATTGGCAAAAATCCAAGTCAGTAAAAATATAAAATACCTGGTCTGAAGGAGTGTTGTCTAAGGTAAGGGTTATGGCTTTCAATGCAGACCATGGTACTGATTGGCTCTTGCTATAGACATTCTTTCAGCGTTGTTCCTAGGATCAGAAAGCTGCTTCTGCCCAGTGGCAACATTAGCAATCAGCTTAGCTGAATAATCAGTAAATTAGTCGTGGGCATAAAGGGGAACCTCTGACAGGTGAGGGTCCTCACTGAGCCAGCAACTTTGCTTCAGGTGGCAGAGTGGGGAACAGAGTCTCCCCAAAGGGGTGGCAGCCACATTTTTGCATAAAGCTGAGATATTGCCAGGGTCAGGCAGGCTGTGCTCTTGAGTGTACCATTCCACTTGGCTGGTGATGCCTTTTGGGCCCTTCCCAACATATTAGTTCTCAAGTCCTCATCGACCCATCCCAAAATAGGGACATCAGGCCGGAGAGTTACAAGGCCGTATGGGTCAGCCATTCAGTTTTTTTTCCACATTGGTACAAATATTTATACATATTTATGGGTACATGTGATAGTTTGTTACATGTACAAATTGTGTAATGGTCAATTCAGGGTATTTAAGGTGTCCATCATCTTGAATATTTATCATTGCTATTGTTGGGGGCATTTCAAGTCTTATCTTCTAGCAATTTTGAAATATATAATACATTGTTGTTCACTATAGTCACCCTACTCTGCTCTCAGACATGAGAACTTCTTTCTTCTAATTGCAAGTGGAACATGTGAGCGGGTGTCTGCTGTGGGGGTAGTGGCATTTGGATGTGCTTCATCTCAGGACCCTGGGTAGAGTGTTCAGGTACCAATAGTGGTGGACTGGGCTGGGTGGTTTCCAGGCCCCTGGATGGAAAACTTGAGGACTGGTGGGGTAGATCTGGGTCAGGTGTATCTGTCCTCAGGGACCCTGGTGGTGCTTGCAGGCATTGGCTGTGTTAGGCAGTGGCAGGGTAACCCCAGGCCCAAGGCAGAATGCTTGGGTGAAGGCAGCAGTTGCTGCACTGCAGCCCTGCTATTGGAGAGGGCGGGGTTGCTTTTAATGGTAGCAGATATGTGCAGGGTGCTGGGGAGCATGTACTTCACTTGGTCTTCAGCCCCAGGCTGTGGCAGCCCACAGTGGCAGCAGCTGTTTATGGGGAGTTTCTCCTGGGGGTGTGTGAAAATACACTATGGCTTCACTGTTGGGGCCAGTGAGGTGTTTGCCAGTGGCTTGTGTTTCAGCCCTTGAAGCAGAAGCCAGACATGGTGGTGGCTACAGCAGGGGCATCTCATTGGGGCGTGGCTACAGGAGGGGCATCTCACTGGGGCTCCAGAGATGTGGAGATGCAAGGACTGTTGGTTCCCTGGGCAGGATGCAGTCTCAGGGAGCCTGGGTTTTCATTGGGACACCTTGCTGTACCTGTCTAGAGCTCAGGAGCTGTGTAGGACCCAGCATGAGCCCCCTCTCTGGAGCTATGCCTTCATGTGGTCTCCAGGACATTCTGTTATTTGTGGTGCTTGCAAGAGTCTAGGGTTTTTCTTGGCTAGGATGAAAGAATTAGCGGTGAGTATGTGCACTGCTTGGGGTCATTCATTTACTCTTTCTTCACACTGGGGCCTCTCCTGGCTCCCAACCTACTGAGCAGGCTGCCTCACTTCCCTTTTCTTCCTCGCTTTAGATGTTTCCTGTCACTTCTCTGTTGAATTCCAGTGTTCTCTCTTAGGTGATCCATTCAAAGTGTGATTATCTACCCCCTATTTTGGCTCTTTTTTTGTATAGGAGATGAGTACCAGATGCCTCCAGTCAACTATCTTGAAGCCCCTCAATCAGCTGTTTAGTTTTGACAAGAGCCCAGTGGTATGCTAATCGCTGCTTCTGAAAAGAATGTCCGTATTGGAGAGATGATGAGTCTGAAACCCAAAGGGGTGCCTCTGAGTAGAACCTGCCTAGTTTCCTCCAAAGCTGAGGCAGAACAAATAGTTCAGGTACCACACACAGCTGAGGTTTAGGAGTGTACATATGAGGTGTCTGATATAGTTCTATGAAAATATAAGGCAATATTTTTCTTTTTGTTATCTTTATTACATCTTCTCCAGGATGGCTGGTGGCTGATTTTCTACATAGTTGGATCCCAAGTGCTTTTAGGCAGGGTCCCTGAATTCCAATTTTCTGTTCACTAGGTAATCTTGCTTACCTTATTGTTATTCTTTCCAAAGGGAACATCATCTATGTAGTCATTAACAAGCAGTGAAACATTTTAAGATCAAAGAACACCATGCTCATATATGAACTGTAATTTGAACTGGAGGAAAAGCTGCGTGTTAGAAATAACAGCAGTTGACTGACATATAAGAATATATGGTTTCACAATAAATGTCTCAAAATGCTCTCTGTAGGACTCTTGTTAGTAGAATGAGAACTAAGGGATATCTTCCAGGCTAGAAATTTTGAGTGTCCAAAGCCCAGTCACTCAAACCATAGCATGGTAGTTCCCATGTATAGCAGTAGATCTTGACTGGGCTGATGTAATAAATACGTGAGGTAGGTGGTCAACTGCCAGTGCTATTTAGATGCTAAGCAGGTTTCCCTCTGCCAAATAACTCCCAACAGCTGATTTTGGTACCTAAAAGTTCAACATTAGTGATTTAGTCTTTTGAATATTGCCCTATTAAAAGATAAACATCCACAGAGTGATAACAGGTGAAGATTTTTGTTAGCCAACCTGCTCCTTCCTGAAGAAGACATCTGTAGGGCTGTGTGATATAATGGAGGAAAATAAAACCAGTGATAATGGAGGAAAATAGGTCCATGCAGATTTTTGTAAGGACATTAAGTTTTAAACTGCTTTGGGTAAATAACAAGGAGCATGACTGCTGGATCATATAGTAAGAGTATATTTAGTTTTGTAAGAAACTTCCCAACTATTTTCCAAAGTGGCTGTATCATTTTTCATTCCCAATAGCAGCGAATAGAGTTCCTGTTGCTCCACATCTTAGCCAGCATGTGGAGAAGTCAGTGTTCTGGATTTTGGTCATTCTAATAGGTTTATAGTAGTACCTCATTGTTTTAACTTGAATTTCCTTGGTAACGTATGATGTGGAGGATTTTTTCATATGCTTATTTGCAATCTGAATATCTTGTCTTGTAAGGTGTCTGTTAAGGTATTCAGCTCACTTTTTAATTGGGCTGTTTGTGTTCTTATTGTTGAGTTTTGAGAGTCCTTGTGTATTTTGAATAACAGTCCTTTATCAGGATTAAAGAAGAAAAATCATACGATCATATCAGTAGATGTAGGCTCCTTTAGCTCAGAGGAGTTTGTTATTACCCACCGTCTGAAGCCTACTTCTGTCAATTCGTCAAACTCATCATCCGTCCAGTTTTGTTCTCTTGCTGGCGAGGAGTTGTGATCCTTTGGAGGAGAAGAGGTGTTCTGGTTTTTGGAATTTTCAGCCTTTTTGTGCTGGTTTCTCCCCATCTTTGTGAATTTATCTACCTTTGGCCTTTGATGTTGGTGACCTTCGGATGGGGTCTCTGAGTGGACGTCCTTTTTATTGATGTTGATGTTATTCCTTTCTGTTTGTTAGTTTTCCGTCTAACAGTTAGGCCCCTCTGCTGCAGGTATGCTGGAGTTTGCTGGAGGTCCACTTCACACCCTGTTTGCCTGGGTAACACCAGCGGAGGCTGCAGAACGGCAAAGATTGCTGCCTGTTTCTTCCTCTGGAAGCTTCGTCCCAGAGGGGCACCCGCCAGATGCCAGTGAGAGCTCTCCTGTATGAGGTGTCTCTCGGCCCGTACTGGGAGGTGTCTCCCAGTCAGGATACACAGGGGTCAGGGACCCACTGAGGAGGCAGCTTGACCCTTAGCAGAGTTTGAACGCTGTGCTGGTAGATCTGCTGCTCTCTTCTGAGCCATCAGGCAGGGATGTTTAAGTCAGCTGAAGCTGCGCCCACAGCTGCCCCTTCTCCCAGGGAGATGGGGGTTTTATCTATAAGCCCCTAACTGAGCTGCTGCCTTTTTTTCAGAGATGCCCTGCCAAGAGAGGAGGAATCTAGAGAGGGAGTCTGGCCACAGCGGCATTGCTGAGCTGTGGTGGGCTCTGCCCAGTTTGAACTTCCTGGCGGCTTTTACACTGTGAGGGTAAAACCGCCTACTCAAGCCTCAGCAATGGTGGATGCCCCTCCCCCCACCACGCTTGAGCATCCCAGGTCAACCTCAGACTGCTGTGCTGGCAGCGAGAATTTCAAGCCTGTAGATCTTAGCTTGATGGGCTCCATGGAGAAGGGACTCGCTGAGCCAGACCACTTGGCTCCCTGGCTTCAGCCCCCTTTTCAGGGGAAAGAACGGTTCTGTCTCGCTGACATTCCAGGCACCACTGGGGCATGAAGGAAAAAAAAAAAAAAAAAAAAAACTCCTGCAGCTAGCTCGATGTCTGCCCAAATGGCTGCCCAGTTTTGTGCTTGAAACCCAGGGCCCTCCCTGGTGGCGTTAAGTATTGGAGGGGATCTCCTGGTCTGCGCGTTGTGAAGATCATGGGAAAAGTGCAGTATCTGGGCTGGAGTGCACTGTTCCTCACGTCATAGTCCCTCATGACTTCCCTTGGCTAGGGGCAGGAACTCCCTGACCCCTTGTGCTTCCCAGGTGAGACAATGCCCCACCCTGCTTCGGCTTGCCCTCCGTGGGCTGCACCCACTGTCCAACCAGTCCCAGTGAGATGAACCAGGTACCTCAGTTGGAAATGCAGAAATCACCCACCTTCTGCGTCGATCTCGCTGGGAGCTGCAGACCGGAGCTGTTCCTATTTGGCCATCTTGCCAGCCAAGACTGATTGTTTCTGTCATTGGTCTTTTTATAGGGATTGCATTGAATCTGTAAATTGCTTCGGGTAGTATTGTCATTTTAACAATATTCTTCCAATTCAGGAGAATAGAATACCTTTCCATTTTTTTGTGTCCTCTTCTATTTTTTCATCAGGGTTTTATAGTTTTTCTTGTATAGATCTTTCATTTCTTTGATTAAATGGATTCTTAAGTAATTGTATTCTTTGTAGCTATTATAAATGGGATTGTGTTCTTGATTAGCTAGTTCATTATTAATGTATAGAAATGCTACTAATTTTTGTATGTTGATTTTGTATCCTGCAACTTCACTGAATGTATCAGTTCTAACTGTTTTTTGGTGAAATCTTAGGAGTTTTCTAAGTATAAGATTATATTGTCTGCAAACGAGCTACTTTGACTTCTTCCTTTCCAATTTGGATGCCTTTTATTTCTTTCTCTTGACTAATTGCTCTGGCCAGGACTTCCAGTATTATGTTGAATAAATGGTGAAAGTGATCATCCTTGTCTTGTTCCAGATCTTAAACCAAAGACTTTCAATTTTCTCCCATTCATATGATATTAGCTTTGGGTTTGTCATATATGGCATTTATTATGTTGAGGTATGTTTCTTCTATATCCAATTTGTTGAGGGTTTTTATCATAAAAGAATTTTGAATTTCACCAAATGTCTTTCCAGCATCTATTGAAATGACCATATAACCTTTCTTATTGGTTTTATGTGATGTATCACATTTGTTGCATATGTTGAATCATTTTTTGCATCCTTGGGATTAAATCCCACTTGATCATGGTGAATGATCTTTTTAATGTGCTGTGGAATTCAGTTTGCTAGTATATTGTTGAGGAGCTTTGCATCTATGTTAATCAGTGACATTAGCCTGTGGTTTTGTTGTTGTTGTTGTTGTTGTGTCCATTTCTGGTTTTGGTATCAAGGTGATGCTGGCTTGTCCAATGAGTTTGGAAGTATTCTCTCCTTTTCATATTTTTTAAAAGAGTTTGAGTAGACTTTGCATTAATTCTTTAAGTAAAGCCGTCAGGTGCTGGGCTTTTATTTTAGTTTTTTAGACAAGATGTCACTCTGTTGCCCAGGCTAGAGTGCAGTGATATGATCATAGCTCACTACAACCTCAAACTCCTGGACTCAAGCTGTCCTCCTGCCTCAGCTTCTGGAGTAGCTTGGAGTACAGGGGTGTGCCACTACACCTTTAAAACAATTTTAAAACTTTTGTGGAGATGAGGTCTTGCTGTGTTTCCCAGGCTGGTCTCAAATACCTGGCTTCAAGCAGTCCATCTGCCTTAGCTTCCCAAAGTACTAGGAGTATACACGTGAGCCACCGTGCCTAGGGCTTGGGCTGTTCTTTGATGGGAGACCTTTTAGTGTGACTTGAATCTTGTTACTTGTTACAAGTTTATTAAAGTTTTCTATTTCTTCATATTTCAATCTTGGTAGGTTGCATGTTTCCAGAAATTTATCAATTTCCTCTAGGTTTTCTAATTCATTGGTGTATAGTTGTTCATAATAGTCTCTAACGATTCTTTGTATTTGTGTGGTCTCAGTTGTTATGCATCCTTCTCTGTTTCTAATTCTATTTGAGTCTTCTCTCTCTTTTTCTTGGTTAGTCTAGTTAAAGGTTTGTTGATTTTGTTCATCTTTTCAGAAAACCAACTTTTCATTTTGTTGGTCTTCTATTTTTTTGTTTCATTTATTTATGTTTTGATCTTTATTATTTAGTTCCTTTACTAATTTTGGGTTTGGTTTGTTCTTGCTTTTTTAGTTCCTTGAGGTGCATCATTAGGTCATTTATTTGAAGTCTTTCTACCTTTTGGATATGGAGCATTTTTGCTATAAACTTTCCTTGTAGTACTGCTTTTGCTGTATTCCATAGATTTTGGTATGTTGTATATCTATTTCCATTTGTTTCAAGAAATGTTTTAATTTTCGTCTTAATTTCTTCATTGACCTATTGTTCATTCAGGAAAATGTTTAATTTCCATGTGTTTATGTATTTTCTGAGGTTTCTTTTGTCATTGATCTCTAGTTTTATTCCACTGTAGTCAGAAGAGATACTTGATTGTTTTGTGGCCTAAGATATAATCTGTTGGGGGGAATATTCCATGTGTTGGGGGGAATATTCCATGTGTTGGGGGAATATTCCATGTGTTGATGAAAAGAATATGTTCTACAACTGTTGGTTGAAATGTTCTGTAAATGTCATTTAGGCCTATTTGGTTTAGTGTGTAGTTTCTTTGTTGATTTTCTGTCTGGATGATCTGTCCATTACTGAGAGTAGGGTGTTGAAGTCCCCTACTAATATTGTATTACAGTCTAATACAATATTAGTAGGTTTAGATCTATTAAGGTTTGCTTCTTATACTTGGGACCTCTGGTGTTGAGTGCATAGACACTTATAATTATTATAGCTTCTTGCTGAATTAATCCCTATATCATTATATAGTGACCTTCTTTGCCACTTCTTATAGTCTTTGATTTTTAATCTATTTTATCTGATATAAGTATAGTGATTCCTGCTCTCTTTTGGTTTCCAGTTGCATGAAATATCATTTTCCACCACTTAACTTTCAGTCTGTGTCTGTATAATGAAAGTGGATTTTTATGTAGTTAAAATAAGCAGTATGTAATTGGGTCTTTTTCTTTATCCATTCAGCCACCGTGTGCCTTTTAACTGAACAATTGAGTCCATTTACATTCAGTGTTATTACTGATATGTAAGGACTTACTACTGCCATTTTTCAAAACTTGTTTTCTGGTTGTCTTGTAACTCTTCTCTTTCTTTGTTCCTGTCCTCCTTTGTGGTTAAGTGATTCTCTTTGGTAGTGTGTTTGAATTCATTGCTTTTTTATTTTTAGTAAATCTATTATAGGTTTTTTAAAATCATAGTGGTTATCGTGAGGCTTACAAAAAACTTCTTATAGATATAACAAGTTATTTTAAAGACTACTTATCTTAGATTACAAAGAAAAACGAAGAAAAAAACCTCTACCCTTTAATTCTACTTTCCCCACATTTTAACTTTATGTTGTCTCAATTTACATATTGTTATATGACTTATCTCCTAATAGGCCAGTATAGCTATTATTGTTTTTGATAAATTTGTCTGTTGGGCTTCATACTAGAGTTATGAATGGATTGCGCATCACAGTTACAGTATTAGATTTTTTTTGTTTGTTCATGTACTTAATTTTACTAGTGAGTTTTATATTTTCAAATGTTTCTTTTTGCACATTAGTGGTTCTTTTCTTTCAGTTTGAAGAGCTCCCCTTAGCATCTTGTAAGCTGGATCTGGTGGTGGTAAATTATCTTAGTTTTTTGTTTGTCTGGGACTTTAATCTCTCTCTCTTTATATATTTGAAGGACAGCTTTGCTGGACAAAGTGTTCTTGGATGGTAGTTTTTTTCCTCTCAATACTTTGGAAATGTCACACCATTACCTCCTAGACTGTATGGTTTCCATTGAAAAGTCTGTTGCTGGGTCAAATGGTATTTCTAGTTCTAGATCCCTGAGGAATCGCCACACTGACTTCCACAATAGTTGAACTAGTTTACAGTCCCACCAACAGTGTAAAAGTGTTCCTATTTCTCCACATCCTCTCCAGCACCTGTTGTTTCCTGACTTTTTAATGATTGCCATTCTAACTGGTGTGAGATGATATCTCATTGTGGTTTTGATTTGCATTTCTCTGATGGCCAGTGATGGTGAGCATTTTTTCATGTGTTTTTTGGCTGCATAAATGTCTTCTTTTGAGAAGTGTCTGTTCATGTCCTTCACCCACTTTTTGATGGGGTTGTTTGTTTTTTTCTTGTAAATTTGTTTGAGTTCATTGTAGATTCTGGATATTAGCCCTTTGTCAGATGAGTAGGTTGCAAAAATTTTCTCCCATTTTGTAGGTTTCCTGTTCGCTCTGATGGTAGTTTCTTTTGCTGTGCAGAAGCTCTTGAGTTTAATTAGATCCCATTTGTCAATTTTGGCTTTTGTTTCCATTGCTTTTGGTGTTTTAGACATGAAGTCCTTGCCCATTACTGGGTATATACCTAAAGGACTATAAATCATGCTGCTATAAAGACACATGCACATGTATGTTTATTGCGGCATTATTCACAATAGCAAAGACTTGGAACCAACCCAAATGTCCAACAATGATAGACTGGGTTAAGAAAATGTGGCACATATACACCATGGAATACTATGCAGCCATAAAAAGTGATGAGTTCATGTCCTTTGTAGGGACATGGATGAAATTGGAAATCATCATTCTCAGTAAACTGTTGCAAGAACAAAAAACCAAACACCGCATATTCTCACTCATAGGTGGGAATTGAACAATGAGAACACATGGACACAGGAAGGGGAGCATCACACTCTGGGGACTGTTGTGGGGTGCAGGGAGGGGGGAGGGATAGCATTGGGAGATATACCTAATGCTAGATGACGAGTTAGTGGGTGCAGCGCACCAGCATGGCACATGTATACATATGTAACTAACCTGCACATTGTGCACATGTACCCTAAAACTTAAAGTATAATAATAAAAAAAAAAAATTCAGACCAAGTCATTAAACTTTTTTGCTTATGGAAAGTAAAAAAAAAAAAAAAAAAAAAAAAAAAAAAGTCTGTTGCTAGACGAGTTAGAGCTCCTTTATATGAATTTACTTTCTCTTGCAGCTTTTAGGATTCTCTCTTTGTCATTGGCTTTTGAGCGTTTGATTATTATATGCCTTGGGGTAGTCTTAGTTAGGTCTAATCTTTTTGGTGTTCTCTGACCTTCCTGTACTTGGACATTTATCTTTTTCTTAAGTTTGAAAAGTTTTCTGTTATGATTTCTTTGAATCATCTTTCTACCCCTTGTTCTTTCTCAGATCCCTCTTGAACACCAGTGATTCTTAGATTTGGTATTTTGAGGTAATTTTCTATATCTTATAGGCATTCTTCATTTCTTTTCATTCTTTTTTCTTTTTCCTTCTATGACTGTGTATTTTCAAATATCCTGTCTTTGAGCTTGCTAGTTCTTGCTCTAGTGAGCTTAGGTTTATCCATTCTACTGTTGATAGCCTCTAATGAATGTTTTAGTTCAGCTAACATATAGCTCAGTTCCAAGATTTCTGCTTGATTTTAAAACATTATTTCAGTCTCTTTGATACATTTCTGAATTGCTTTTCTGTGTTATCTTGGAGGTCATTAAGTTTTTGAAAAAAACTGCTATTTTGAATTATAGTTCAGAAAGTTTACATATTGCTGTCTTGTTTGGGTCAGTCAGTGGTGCCTTGTGTTGTTGGTTTGAGGCAGTCATGGTTCTCTGCTGTTGTTTGTAGATGTATGTTTATGTCTTTGCGTTGAAGAATTAATTATTTAATTCACGCTTCTCTGTCTGGCTTGTTTGATTTTTACTGGATGTGTTTGCTTAGAGATTCTTCATAATTTATCTGTTGATTTTGTTTCTCCCTGCCCCCACCACTATGTTGCTGCCTCGTTTTTGGGACTAGATGACATGTTAAGCTCAGTTTTGCTTTGGTTCTAGTAAATGATCAGAGTGCCATCTGTCCCAAATGGGAGTGTTCCAAAACGGGATTTCCTAGTAGTGTGGGAAGGCTGGCTAGGTGTTTGTGCCCAGGGGACTTGTGGAATGAACCTCCTACAGTGTGGTGCTGCTGAACAGCCACTCTGATTTGTCATCTCCTTTGCATGAGTTACAGAGCAGCATTTCCAGGGCTGGGAAGGTAGTTTCACTTCTCCCTTTTGTCTCTGGCTATCTTCAGGAATATTTTTCCCTTCAGGCACTGCTGGTGTTTATTGTGGGTTGAGGCAGGGTATCCTGCCAGGGAACCCAAGATGGTGGGAAAGTTGGTTGTTAACCTCGATCTCACATTTTCTAGTGTAGAAACTATGATTTGGAGTAAAAAATTTCTGTATGCTTGGTGCTGGGTACACTGAGGGAGGGGTATCATGGATATTGAAGTCTCATTCTTTTACTGTCTGCTTGGAGTATTTTCACATCTGAATGGCCCCAGTAATTGTCTCATTCTTGTATTTGAGTTCTGGGATAATATTGGTGATAATCTCATCACTGTGTATTCATTTTTGTTTCTTTGTTGGGGAGAGTGAAGCCAACTTGCTTCTATACCACCATTTTGTTTTAAAATTTTAAAAAAGTGTTTAATGCATGTATTTTATTAGAATGATATTTTGAACACTGAGATTTGTGATTTTAGTCTCTTACAGTTACTCTAATACATACATTTAAAACAATGGCCAAAGCAGCAATTACATCAGCTTGCTCCAGGAGTCATTATTTACCCAAATACTATTTTGGTAAATTATAAAATGAATGTACACAGGAGCACGTTAAGTAGAAATTAAATCAATTTGGGACACACAAGGCTGCTAACTTTTGTACTGGAATCCAATGGCAGATGAGTCATTCTTGGGGTGGAAGGACTCCCTGATTTCACAGAACACTAAGTACGACCACCAATGGACCATTTCAACTATCTCACAACCAATGGAAGAGTCAGTTGGTCTCATCCCAGATGCCAAAAGCAACAGACAGGCCATCACAATTTGGCTTGTTCACCTTGTAAATACATGACTTTATTTCTGCTTAAGTCATTCATATAAGCAAGTCTAATAAATACAATAAAATATAGCCCAACCAAAGTCTCATGTCACGTTTTATAGACATGGGTATATGAAACCACGAACGTGCTAATGGAAAATAGAAGCATTTTCTTATTATCATATTACCATGAAACTGAATCTGCATCCATTCTTAGAAAGGAAACTACATTTCCTGTTTGAAGAATTAGCATAGGCCTACTCATTCTGTGCAAAGATCCTTAAAAAAATCAAATTTTACTTAAAAAAATAGTGTCTGTCTTTAGATTATGTGCCAATAATTCTTTGAAGTAATTATTTTTAAAATGTTGGTACACAGGAAAAGTTCACATTACAGAATACAAAGAACAAAAACTGGTCCCTCCAAAATGGATTTTTCCCCCAGAAAAATGAACAAGACTTTGAATCTCTTAAGAAATACGAAGATAAGTAACAAATGAACAGTTGATGTACAGCAGGATAGCGTTTACTTCTGGATATATAAGGAACTTAAGAACTATACTTATGGAAAATCAGAATGATTTTCAGCATATTTCACCAAATAGATGTTGGCGAATAGTTTGGCAACACATATATAGGAAGATGGTTTATGCTACACATAAATGAAAGGCAAACATAAACACAATTGGCGAATAGTTTGGCAACACATATATAGGAAGATGGTTTATGCTACACATAAATGAAAGGCAAACATAAACACAATTGATGTGTTTTATTATATTACTACAATTTACACTATACCTATACCCACATGGAAAAATTCACAATTATAAATAGTGAATTTTTATAATTTTATAATTATATAATTATAAATATAATTATATGATTATAATTATATAATTATAAACATAATTATAAATATATTCATAAATATAATATATATTTATATATATTTATAAAAATAATATATATTTATATATATAATTATAAATATAATATATATATTTATAAATATATACAATATATATTTTATATATTATATGTATTATATATATTATATATTATATATTATATTTTATTTTATATTATATATTATATTATATAATATATATAATATATTATATATTATAATAATATATAATATATATTATATATTATTATAATAATATATAAAAATAAATATATATATACATGGTAATATATATTATATATAATTATATATAATTATATATATAAATTTTATATTTATAATTATATATAATTATATAACTATTTATAAATATATTATATTATAAATATAATTATAATTCACTATATAGTGAATTATAAATTGTTCTATTTATAAATATATTATAAATATAATTATAATTCACTATATAGTGAATTATATATATAATTATAATTCACTATATAGTGAATTATAAATAGTTCTATTAATTATAATGTTCTATTATAATAGAATATTATAATATTCTATAAAAACTGAAAACTAGAACAGTAAAAAACTATTTAAAACAGTCTTTTTACAACCACTATTTGCATAATTTCCAGTAAAGACTTAAAAGCTGTATTAGTCTGTTCTCACACCGCTATAAAGAACTACCTGAGACTGGTGACTTATAAAGAAAAGAGGTTTAATTGACTCACAGTTCTGCAGGCTGTACAGGAGGCATGGCTGGAGAAGCCTCAGCAATCTCATAATCATAGCAAAAGGCGAAGGGGAAGCCAGCACACCTTACATTGTGGGAGCAGGAGGAAGAGAGAGAAGGGGGAAGTGCTACACACTTTAAAACAACCAGATCTTGTGAGAACTCACTCACTATCGTGAGAACAGCAAGGGGATATCTGTCCCCATGATCGAATCACCTTCTACCAGGTCCTTCCCCCAACATTAGGGATTACAATTCAACATGAGATTTGGGTGGGGACACAGAGCCAAATCATATCGGAAGCCTAATACATGTATGCAAATCTTTTATGGATTATAATAATGTACATTTAAAATTATATTTTAATATTGTGGCATGAAAAATATAAACACCAGTGCAGTGTGTTTTATGCTTAGTCAAAGTTAACTAGTTTAGAGTTTTAGAAACTTTTCCAGGTAAAATAGAGTCAAGTCTGCTCTAGATCACCATCCTACAGATTCCTATTTATCAAACCTGGCAATCTCAGTGAACTGTGATTGCACTACTTCACTCTAGCCTGGGCAACAGGCTAAAAATAAACCCAAAACCAAACCAAACAAAAAAACCCACACCTGGCTATCTACCTCAATCCATCAATGACCTTCAGGCCTTTCTTTGAACTTGACAACATCACTCCCAACCTTAGTTTTTACACTAAAAGAGAGAGAGGAATAGTAATGTGAAGCATTTAAAACAGAAATGAAACCTGCATCTTTAGAATGTCATTTTTGTGCTTTAGAGTTTTCCTTTGCCTGTTGGTTCCTAAATATAGACTCCACATTTCGGTTCCAAGAACTGACTTAGAAAGATGTAGAGTGTTTTAATGTTTGTTTTAGATATATTCTTAGAAAATGAGCAAAAATAGATATAAACCTCAAGCTGTGTCTATAGCAATATCATTCAATGTGACTTTTTTTTTTTTTGAGAGGGAATCTTCCTCTGTCACCCAGGCTGGAGTTCAGGGGCGCCATCTCAGCTCACTGCAACATCTGCCTCCTGGGTTCAAGTGATTCTCTGGCCTCAGCCTCCTGAGTAGCTGGGATTACAGGTGTGTGCCACCACTATTTTTAGTAGAGATGGGTTTTTACCATGTTTCCCAGGCTGGTCTTGAGGGCTGACCTCAAGTGAACTGCCTGCCTTGGCCTCTCAAAGTGCTGGGATTACAGGTGTGAGCCACCACGCCCAGCCAATATGGTATTATTTTTACCAACAAATTATCCAACTTGATTACTCTATACAAAAAGTGTATGCATATGAAATACATACTACATACAAAACAAAAAGCATAGAGTTAGAGAAAACAAATGAAAACTTTATACAAAATACTTGATTCCATCAGTATTTAATGTATTGTTTTGGCTGGAAGACTCTTACTCTGTGTATTCTTTTCTGATGTTAAAGAGTAGTCACATCTATGTAGCATTCGTAACTATAGAAAAATAGGAACGAAGGCCGGGCGCGGTGGCTCATGCCTGTAATCCCAGCACTTCGGGAAGCCAAGGAGGGTGGATCACCTGAGGTCAGGGTTCAAGACCAGCCTGGCAAACATGGTGAAACCCCTGTCTCTAGTAAAAATACAAAAATTAGCCGGGCATGGTGGCAGGCGTGCCTGTAATCCCAGCTACTCGGGAGGTTGAGGCAGAAGAATCGCTAGAACCCAGGATGTGGAGGTTGCAGTGAGCCGAGGTGGTACCATTGCACTCCAGCCTTGGTGACAGAGCGAGACTCCATCTCAAAAAAAAAAAAAAAAGAAAAATGGGAATGAACGTGGGGAGGGGGTGGCTACTGACACAGCTAAAATACACAAATGTGCTGTTTATAAATATGTATACAATTTAGCAGGGTCATATTATCTGAGTTAATTTCTTTTGCTTGTTTACATTTACCAGTAAGTGGTCCGGAATACAAAATATGGTAAAAGAACTCAATTTTATAATTACTCCTTGGTATAGTTACCAGAATGAAAAACTTGCATCCTAGGAATAGGGAGGTATGGAAAACAACTTTTCTTAACTTGGAGATAACACATTGAATAGCTGTCAAAATTCAAATTGACTAGTTTTGAAAAACTTGAAAAGTGTTCAAATGAATAAAAAACGAAAACAAAAGAAACCCATAGTTGCCTAAGAGTCTTAAAAATTAGAAATTTAACACTCTCATCAATACACCACCATTTTGGAACCAGAACTGGGTTTTCTTTGTTTATTTGTTTTTTTGGCCTATACTTCTGGACTGTGAACTTCACACATGTTTCTCAGTTCTTCCCACCACTTAGGTGGGATACAATGGCTGGAGTGGACTAGAGTTGGGTATTTCCCTTCTTCCACATGGAAGGCAGAGCTGGCTGGAGTTGGATTATTTCTCTTCCCTCAGGTCTGTTAAGCTCTGTTAAACGGTTTCTCCTGAGGGGTGGACCTTATTAAGAACTGAGTGCTCTGGCATCTTTAAAAATGTTTCCTTTTCCCTTCTTCCTGCAGGAAGTATGAGGAGATTTTCCTCCAGTATTCACTGTGAGAAACTGGTCCTGCTCCTGGAGGCAAATTCACAAAAGCACGGAGGCCCTGATGACTGAGTGCCCCCCAGTTTTTAATCTCTGGGGCTCGTTGGCTCTGGGCCTCCAGCCACTCATCAGTGATGTTCAGGTTTCCCTACCTTGGCACTGCTTCCCACGGAGGTTTGTTTTTAGGGGTTTCAGTCTTCTGCATATGGCTAGCCAGTTATCCCAGCACCATTTATTGAATAGGCTGTGGGTGGGTGGTTGCTCCGCAGTGGGGGCTGGTGTGCTAGATCTCTCCTAAGGTCAGGTGTGGTCTGCTAGTAAAGGAGCTATGATGATGGCCCCTGGTAGTTACCCTGGTTGGGCATCAGAGGCTGTGCTGCAAATGGGTGCAGCAAGCTGGGGCCCCAGAAGAGACCAGCAGATAGGGGTTGCTCAGATTGGACTGGCCCTCATCTCATGGGCAAGACCACCTTGCTCTATTCAGGTCTGGCACTCATTAAAGGCCAAGGCCACCTAAAGGAGCATGGAGAGTTTTGGGAGATGGGCATCCCCAGCCATGCTCCACTGTAGCTGTTTCTATGCCAAACCCTCTGGGTGCCACATAGACTGGAGTCCTGCCCCTACCCCCTTTCTAAGCAGCTCTCCCTACCAGCTCAAGTGTCCATGGGAGTCTTTGGGTCTCCTGCAGCTGGGATTCTGGAGGTCCATCATGAGAGCAGGCCCCTCCTTGCCTGTTCAACTCACCCCTTTCTCAGGAAACACTATATTTTAAAACTCGTTCTGTTTTTTTGTTTCCTCTAAATTATATAAGCTTTTAAGGCTTTCTTTCTTTTTTGATTTTAAATTTTATTTATTTGAATTGACAAGTTAAGATTGTGCATATTTATGGTGTATAACAATGTTTTGATGTATGTATACATTGTGGAATGGCTAAATCAAGCTATTTAACATATGCATAACTTCACTTTTTTTTGTGATGAGAAGACAAAATGTATTCTCTTAGCGCTTTTCATGTGTGCAATTGTTATTAACTATGGTCACTATGTTGTATAATAGATCTCTCAAACTTATTTCTCCAATCTAATTGAAATTCTGTATCCTTTGGCCAACATCTCCATCCACCCCCAACCTAGTCTCTCATAACCACCATTCTGCTCTCTATTTCTATGAGGTCAGCTTTTTTAGAGTCCACATACAAATGACATCATGTGGCTTTTGTCTTTCTCTGCCTGGCTTGTTACACTTAACATAATGTCTTTCAAGTTCATCCATGTTGTTACAAATGACAGAATTTTGTTCTTTTTAAAGGCTAAATAGTATCCCATTGTATATATACTACATTTTAAAAATTCATTCATCAGCTAATAGACACATAAGTTGATTCCATATCTTGGCTGTTGTCAATAATGCTGCAATAAATGTGGGAATGTGGATATCTTTTCCACATACTGATTTCATTCCCTTTGGATATATATCTGGTAGTGAGATTGCTGGATCCTATGGTAGTTCAAGTTTTAATTTTCTGAGGAACCCTCCATACTGTTTTCCACAGTGGCTGTGCTAATTCACATTCCCACCAACAGTGTTCAAGGGTTCCCTTTTCGCCACATCCTTGCCCACACTTTTATCTTTTTTAAGGCTTTCAGTCCAGCAAATTTTTAAATGATACACCTACTACGAATACTAATAAAAAATGACAAAATTTCCAGAATACTTTACAGAAGAAGGTAAAAAACTAAATAACATGTTTTCATTGAAGCATTTTTTCCTAATATCCAAAGACTAGAAACCACACAAGTAGAAGTGTCCACCAATAGGGGATTGACCATATAAACCTAGGTATTTAATATATCCACAAAATGAAATATGTGATAGCTGTAGCTGACTGTGAGGAACAGTACTGGATGCGGCCGAGAGAAGGAGTGTGTTTTCTTGTTGCATTTTGTGTGGTAGATGCAGCTTAATGCCACTAGCAGCTTTGCCTGGTTCTGGTGGGGTGGCTGGGCCAGCTGAAAGGCCTCTTTTATAGGCAGAAGCCTCTTCTTTCCCATGGCATGGGACTGGCCCTGCTCATGTTCCACTGCAGCTGGCCCAACCACCCCAAGGCCAAGGTCTTCACAGAGCCGCCTCGGATGGCTGCAGAGCACCCAGGTGTCCACCTTGTTTTGATGGATGTTACACTGATAAGAGGCATTCAGAAGTTTTCCTAAATGGTTGGAATATTAGCACAACAATTCATTTTTGTTAACTCCCTAGAGTGTGTTCCAACTGACCTTTTATAATAAGTTTTTTTCCAAGTTTACAACTCCTGAGAAGGTAGAAGGATGATGAAATTTCAGAAGAAATTTTGAAATTTGTGAAATCTTAGCCTTTGGGAGCTAGTCTTGGGATACAACATTGTTACCTAAATGATATGCTGTAATCCTAAACCTCCTTTTCAGGAAGCAGGCTGGAAAAACATTCAGTGATGCAGTAGGCTGTGGAATTGCTGAAATGTAGCCTGAGTTTTGGGAAATATGTGATGTGTTAAAATAGCTGGGACCCCAGGGATAGTGATGCACCAGACCAGCTGTGGACCAACGTTAATTCAAACCTCTCGACTCTGAGACACGTGGTTTCTCAATATGAACAATGTGGAAGACAGTAATTTTCTGCAAGCTCATTTTTGAAACCTGCTGTGTTTGTACATATTATTTGAGACTTATTTTTTTCATTTGTCTCAAGTGTATTCATAATTGCTCTTCGAAGCCTTTTTATGATGGCTGCTTTAAGATTCTCATCAGATGATTTCAACGTCTGTGTCATCTCTGTTGATTGTCTTTTCTCATTCAAATTGAGATTTTCCTTGTTCTTGGTATGATGAGTGATTTTCATTTACATCTTGGACATTTTGGATATTATGAGACTCTGGATCTTATTTAAATCTCCTGATTTAGGGCTCCTCTGGTTTCACATCGCCAAGGGGAAGGGGCCTTGCCTGTAACTGCCAAGTGAGGGTGAAAGTCCAGCTCCCCCACAGCCTTTAGTGACACTTGTGGGGGTGCTTTGTTACTCCTGGGGTGGATGGGGGGCAGGCTCCACATCAGGCTTCTGCTGGCACCGCCTGGCTGGCAGGGGGTAGGGGCCCCTCATTACTGGTGTCTGCATGCCCTCCACTGACACTGAGGGAGAGGAGGGGCTCACTATCCCTGGGAGGTGGTAAAAGTCCTGGCTTCTCACTCAGCCTCTTCTGGCTCCACCCTACCAGGAAGAGGTGGGGCACCTGGGCCATTATGGGAATAGTGTACTGCCGTAATATGACCGGCTCTTATCATTTTCAAGAAACTTTTTACATATACACAAAAGTAGAGAGACAAATATAATGAATTCCATATACTCATCATCCAACTTCAACAATGATATTTTGCCAATCTAGTTTCATCTGTCTCCCCCAAACTTGTCTTGCTTATATATGTTATAGCAAACCCCAGATATTATCTTATTTAGTAATACATACTTCACATGGAATTTTAAAAACTGTAACTCCAATTCCATTATCATTTTTAGCAAATTAATAATTATTTCTTAATATCTTTTTTATCAGTCTTCATTCAAATTTTCATGATTGTATAAAAAAGCTCTTTTTTACAGTTGGTTTTTTATATTGCAACTCTCACCTTAAAAACAAACAAACAATCTAACATTCTCCTCTTGGTAATTGTTGCTCATTTTTCTACTCCCTTTTATGATCAAATTCCATGAAGGAGACATCTAAACTCACTGTCTCAATTCCTCAACTCCCATTTTCTTTTTAACCCACTTTGATTTTGTCCCCATAAGTCCACTGGAACCACTCAATATCACCAATGGCCTCCATGTTTTTGAACCCAATGGTTCGTTTTAATATATACTCAAGTCCCAAGCAGTTGAGGAAGCTGATGTTTTCCTCCTGGAATATTTTCCTCACATGGTTTCTGGGACGTCATGTTCACCTTCTTTTCTTAACTCACTTGCTACCTCTCCCCTTCCTGATCTCTAATTTTTGGAACACTCTAGGAAGTACTTGGTTCTCTTTAGTATATGCATGTCTTTCTTAGGTGATAAACAAACTTTTTATGTTCATACTAACTTTTCATCTGTCCTCCAAGCTATATGTCAAACTAGCATATACATCATCTTCTCTTGGATGTCTAATAGGCATCTTAAACTTAACATCTTCAAATACTGACTCCAAATCAGACTGTGCTCCTCCCCAAGTCTTCCTCATTTCAGCAAATGGCACAACAGTAGTAAAAGAAGAGAGTAATGAGTTAACTTGGCATTGTAAACTTGTGTTATCTGGGGATGCCTCTCTGAAGAGGTAATATCTGAACCAAAGTTAGAATGACGAGAAGGATCTAGTTTAAAAAAAAGAGAGAGATGGAGGAATCTGGGAATCATTTATTTATTTTCTTATCCCCACATCTAATCTATCAACAAATTCTTTTTGCTCCACCTTCAGAACAAATATGGAACCTGGCTAGTCTTCATTACTTTCATTACTACTACCTTTTACTAAGTCACCATCATTTTTTACTTGGACCACTGCAATTGTTTTTCAAGTGGTCTTCCACAAGGATGTAATCTCTATCAGGATAGGGACATCTTTTATTTACTGATATACTCCTTGCACTTGCAACAAAACCTGGTAAATATTGATGCTCAGTAAATTATTATTGAATGCTTTCTCTACTTTTATCAGCCATATAAGGTTCATGGTACCTTTCTGCTCAATACATACCCATTCAATGGTTTTATATCACAATTAAACCTAAAATCTGATTATCACCTTACATGATTTGTCCCCTGCTATCACCCCAACTCATCTCCATCTGTCTTTCTCCTCACTCCCTCAACTCCAGCCACATTGGTTTCCTGGATGTACCTCAGACATGCCAAGCATGCTCCTATTTCATGGCCACACATGGCTGTTCCTTCCACCTGGGACATTGCTTCCCCAAATCTTCCCTGGCTGGCTTCTTCTCCTAGTTTCTGCTCAAATACTGCTTCTTTGGAGCAGCTTTCCTGGCAACATTATTTAGAGTGTCAACACATTACTCTCTTTCGTTTACTATGATTTTTTTTCTTCATAACCCTTATAACTAAAGGACATTTATGAATTTACTTTTTATTGTCTATCAAATTCACTAGAATGTGAGATACATGAGATAACTCTTATGTAACTCTAGCTCAGTAATGTTGTTGAATAAAGATATGTATCAATCCAGCAATATAACCTTCTTGCCTTACAAGTTTGGACATTGAGAACCTGAGAGGTAAGGTTGCTTGTTAGGTTGGTGGCTGAGCTGCAGCTCCTCTGCTATCCTCTGGAGTCTCAGTCCAGATTAAATTTCACTACATGACATTGCAATAAGGCCCTGAAAATTCTACTAGTTCCACTCCCTGCCCACTATACATGCAGAGCTTGCTGCGTGTTTTTATTTAACATCTTTAACAATAATGCAAGCTGGTTGGCACTTTCCAGGATTTCCCTAAGGGGAGAGGAGGAGCAGAACACCTCTGCTGGTTTCTCCTTTGAAACGGAGACTTTGCAACGTCAGCTGCCATGCCATTGTTGGACAACAATATGTGTCTCAGAGGCAAGGAAAATTTCCCACACTCGGTGCTTACCAGACGCCTGGCTGGTGAGCCCTGGTCTCCCCATTACTCCTGGGTTCCTTGTTTCTTTTTCCTCTCTCTTTGTTATGTCATCTATTCATGACTGGGGCAAGATGCCATGCTATTCTTTCTCAATTCTGGATCAGTCTGTTATTAGCTATTCTCCTTGGGTGCCCTATTCATGAAAACCCAGCCACCCCCAGTTGCAATAGGTGAATTACGTGGAAAAGTTCAAGGCACATTTTTCCTGCTTGGTTTGTGTGTTTCCTGTGATTCAGCAATCTTCAGAGAGAGCTCTTCATCATGTTACACCATCATGGCCTGTGTCTCTTGGTCCAAGTAGGCTAAATCCAGTCCAGAGTTTGTGGACGTTCTTAGGGAATATAAAGCTAAGGGGCAGCAAAGTGAGTCTGTATTGTGAGTTTGTTTCATCAATCTATGGTTTTAAGAGACCTAAAAATGGAAATGTACTCATGGTAAGAGCAAGTGGATAGAGAAGGTTAAACACGTGATGCTCCAGTCACTTTAGGTTAAACTTTAATTCCTCTCCAGGTGTGCCTCCCCCAGCTCTAACACTTTCCTAAGTTACCCTGCTTTCTGGACATCAGATTCCCCACTCAGTAAGTGGGGCTCAGAGCAATAACCTGATACAAAAATCTGGTGTTTTGTATTGTGCTTTTAGCTATTTTTAGACAGGAATTGAAGCCAGACTGAGCATCCTTTCATCTGCAGAGCTTAAGTGCAGGATGTTGGGAATCAGGACTCCAATTCATTGAACATGTGCCTGATCCTTTCACCTGTGAAGTTGTATACTTTTCCCCAGTTCAGGAGTTATACATATGTATGTGCCTGCATGCGTGTGCATGTGTGTGTGTGTGTGCAAATGAAAGAACTGAACTGAGTCCTGAAATGCCTTTTGAAATGTTAAACCATCAGATAAAATAGAAATGGTGCAGTATTGTATCTTAAACTTACAGATTAAGTACCTTAATTTCTAAGTATTGTATCTTTACCATATTTTATAGTATTGTATTTTAAACTTACAGATTAGTAGCACCAAATCTGTGGAGCCAGAAGATGTGGATTCAAACTCCTGCTGCACATCTTGTATGCTTTTTGATTTTGAAAGAGTTTTTTTTTTCCTTTTTGAGCCTTGGCTTCCATATATACAAAATGAAGTTACTAATAATATCAACCTTATAGGGTAAGCGTGAAGATTAGATAATGTATATGTATATAAAATGCTTAGGATAGTCTGATATTTGATAAATGTTCAATAACTATTAGTGTTCAATAAAAATTATAATTAGTAATATAATACACAGCGCCATAGAATCAGTGATAAAATAGAATTGCATGTTTTCTATCATATTCCCTTCTCTTTAGAATTTCATTGAAGCTTCTCTCTGCCTAACTGTACACCTTTTCAAAGACAAACCTCCCCAAATATGATACGGTCATGGTGGCCCCTTGAAGGAAATCTCTTCATTGCTTGCTAGTCTTTTGGGAGACCTCCAGGCACTTTTTTTCTAGAGAACTACAGATTATATTTTTATATTTTTCCCCTCATTTTAAGCTGTTTCTGAGGATTTAGGAGGGGGACAAATTATTGTGTGGGATTTACTCTTTCCATTCACTCTTATAAATGAATAAAATCACCTAAAATTCTCACCATGGGTTATTGGGGAGAGAAAAAAGAAACACGGAAGAGAGTGGAGAGGAAAAGCAATGTGGAAATGATAGTTTACCACTCAGGACTGAGTTTGACATGCAACAAATTCCAAATAATCATGCCTCAAACAAGGTAAAGCTTTATTTATCTCATGTAGAAAAAGTTCCAAGGAACATGGCCTGGGGTTAGCGTGTCCCTCTCTGGTCTTCTGTGACTGGATGCCCATATTTTCTTTCTGTCATCCTTGGTGTGTGGCTTTCAGCTGTAAGTTCTCTTTATGTCCCATGGTGGCTGCTGGAGCTTCAGTCTCCATGTCCACATTCTTGGGGACATGATAAAATAGATAAAATACAGGATACCCAGTTACACTTGAATTTTAGGTAAACAACAAATGATTTTTTAGTGTTAGTATGTTCCAAACTGCATAGAATGTACTTATACTAAAACCAATTATTTGTTGTTTGTCTGAAATTTAAATTTAAGTAGGCACCCTGTGTTTTTATTTTTTAAATGTAACAACCTGACATATTCTAGGCAGAAAGAAGGAGGAAGGAAGGAGGGCAGAAGGTCCCAGGATTGTCCCTCCTGGGTGAGTAAGGCCCTTTCAAACACTTCTACTTACACCTCATTGGTTACCCTTAGCTGCAAGGGAGAATAAATGAATGCCTAGAAGAAAATTGACATTCTGTTAGTAAGGAAGAAGGAAAAAAAATAAATACTGGGTAGACAAATAGAAGTTTCTGTGACAGGCAGAAGTTTGTTCCAGTGCTTCTGTCAGGTGGATGAATGGAGGGATCAGACTTTCACAGCACTTTTTAACAGTTTCTTAAGTGGGACATCTTATAGTCTTCCTTTCAACCTCTTCACTCCTCTACACCAGTTTAGCAGTGTTAGATGCTACAAAGTAACCCAAGGACATTGTCCTTTTTTCTGGAAGACTTTCCTATCCTTTTTGTATGTGGAAAAATATAAATTAATTAGAAAAACTCAGCATATTAAGGTCTGTTTTAGGAATGTCCATAACTTAGGTATTTTGGGCACATGGTTTTGGGCTATGTACTAATTGTTGATTCATTCTATATAGTTTCATCAGTATCTCCTGAGATATAAGTATGAAACACAAACAACCACCTTAGAATAGTTTAAAATAAATCAACAAGCTTTAATCCAACAGACGATAAATATGGAGCTTTCCAATCTAACATACTTCATACTCTCTTGGCTATAGAAAGAAGTCCATTTATGCTGAAATATTTGTCAATGATAAGAATGAATTCCTTGTTAATGAGTAATTTATTGTTAACAAGTAACAAGTAAAGGCATTTTAACATAGCACAGGAGGAGGATATTCAATATAGTCAAAGGCAACACTAAGCAGACAAGAAAACAAATAGGTTTATGAAAATGGGATATTTGAGCCCTTGAAAAGCTTATGTCTACAAATGACCAGTTTTTAAAAGAATTCTGGCAATAGATACAGAACTGATATAGTAGTATGGCATTTAGAAATCCACAAAATAGCTTTGATCTTGGATCATGCTATGCAGTGGCTACAGGACTAGGCAGCAGCAGGGGCATAAGGTATCCCAATAATACCTCTGCTCAATGACCCAAGGCCTGGCAGGAGAAATGTTGGGCTGGGAGACTTGAAGATCATGTTTGGTGGTGAAGCCAAGCAGATGGTTCACCTGAAGCATTGCTTCAAGAGGGCTAATTAGAGAAACAAACCTAGGTACTTGCCAAGGTACCCGAGTATGCAGGTTGGAATGAGAGTAGAAGGCAAAGCCTCCTTTGGGTTTGCACAAGATCCAGAGTGCAGGGGACAAAGACTTTTTGTAGTGTGTACTCAGGCTTTTGTGTAGGTGGGAAGGTGCAGTTAAGAGCACTGTGCTGGTCTGGACAAGGGTCAAGGAGACACACAGCATAGTGGTAAGAAGTATGGTGATTCCTTGTTTGCCTGGGACTCAGTTCCAGATCATAGGACTTACAGCATAAACTGGGAAAGTCCTGGTCATACTATGAAAAAAGAAGGTGTTGAAATCCCAAGTGGACTTTGGGCCCAGTTGGCCTATACAGTAAGGAATCACCAGTTATCAAAGCTGAAAGATACCTCAGAGGCTGTCCATCTATGCAAAACTTTTTTTTTCTTTTATTATTATACTTTAAGTTTTAGGGTACATGTGCACATTGTGCAGGTTAGTTACATATGTATACATGTGCCACGCTGGTGCGCTGCACCCACTAACTCGTCATCTAGCATTAGGTATATCTCCCAATGCTATCCCTCCCCCCTCCCCCCACCCCACAACAGTCCCCAGAGTGTGATGTTCCCCTTCCTGTGTCCCTGTGATCTCTTTTTTAACTCAATTAAGATCTCTCTCAATCAGCAGTCCCCAAATTTTTTGTCACCAGGGACCGGTTTCACAGAAGACAATTTTTCCACAGACTGGGGTGGAGTAGGGAGGATGACTTTGGGATGATTCAACCACATTACATTTATCATGCACTTTATTTTTATTGTAATATATAATGACATAATTATGCAACTCACCATAATGTAGAATCAGTGGGAGCTCTGAGCTTGTATTCCTGCAACTGGATGGTCCCATCTGGGGGTGATGGAGGACAGTGACATGGAAGTGTGTTGCTTATGTCCAGTCTGCTCCGTAATCTCGTTTTGGTTGCTGTCACTGCAGAAAATTCTGCTTCACTAAGATAGGATGCTGGGAACGGAAGTAGGCTTTTCAGTGCTTTTGTGGCAATCACAGGATATTTCACCTTGACTTTAATCCAGAACTATGGAGATTTGAAGTTTTCTCAAACATACTTTTAAGGCTACCATCATATGCAATCTCAAGCAGTTGATCCTCTTCTAGCATGGACAAAATCTATTCACCTGGCATATTCACAAATGAGTCACAGATCCATTCCTTCCCAGTTTGGGAGTCTTTTGTGTTGGGAAGTAATGCTCAAACTCTTGAAAGCTGAGATAGGTGATCATCCACCAGCTGGGAGAAAGACAGCCCTGGCTCTGTCTCTTTCAATATCTTTGCTAATGTTTGAAACATGTCAGAGACCCCAGTTCCCAATGTTCACTTGTTGCCCCTATAATTCCAGTTTGGCTTTGAATGAAGCGAATTTATCTGCCAACTTGAATACAGTTGTCATTCTCCCCTGAAGTGACATGTTGATTTTATTGAACAGGTTGAATATGTCCCAAAAGTAAGCAAGTTTTGGGACTCATTCTATGTCACTGAAATGTGTTGCCAGTGGTGATTCTTTTTCTAAAAGAAATCTCTGCAGTGGCTCTCATAACTCAAAAACTCTGGCCAGTGATCTACTTTTAGAAAGCCATCTCACTTCTGTGTATAAGAGAAGACGTGTGTGCTCTGTGTCCATCTCCTCACAGAGCTGAGTGAACAAATGTGAATTAAGGGCATGTACATTATTATGGTTGATAATTTTAATCATACCCTGCAAAACATTGTTAAGTTCAGGTGACGTTTTTTGGCTAGTCAGCATTTCTCTAGGGATTACACAGTGCATAGACTCACACTCTGAAGCAACCTCTTTGACCCAAGTAGTGAAACCAGAAAGCCATCCAGTCATGGCAGCTGCTTCATCCATGCATAAACCTACCCAAAATGACCAATTCAGTTTTCCTGACATGCAGTCATTCAAAGGCTTGAATAGTTCTGCAGCTGTGGTGTTGGTTGGCAATAAGAGTGAACATAACATATCCTCATGCACATCCTCCTGAAAAATAAATCACGCACAAACAAGTATTGTTGTCTTGTGGTCAACACTGGTAGACTTGTCAACCTGGATTGTGTACCACAGTGGCTCATTAATTTTCTCTGACAATTGTGCCTCAATAGCCTCTGCTATTTCATCAATTCATCTAGTTTTGGTACTAGCTGAAAGAGGAACAAGTGCCACTTTTGAACCACAGCCTCTCCTAAAAGTTCATGACAGGCCAGGCGTGGTGGCTCACTCTTGTAGTCCCAGCACTTTGGGAGGCTGAGGCGGGCGGAATCACTTGAGGTCAGGAGTTCAAGACCAGCCTGGCCAACATGGCAAAACCCCATCTCCACTAAAAATACAAAAATTAGCTGGGTGTTTTGGCAGGTGCCTGTAGTCCCAGCTATTCGGGAGGCTGAGGCAGGGGAATCACTTGAATCTGGGAGGTGGAGGTTGCAGTGAGCCGAGATTACACCACCGCACTCCCGCCTGGGCAACAGAGTGAGACTCCATCTCAAAAAAAAAAAAAAAAAATTCATGACAGATGTCCTTAGCAGCAGGCAGGATCAACTCTTCACCAATAGTGAAGGGCATCTTACCTTTAGCAATGCAGTTAGCCACTAAGAATGATGCTCTCTGTGCAGACACATTTGATGAAGTGGTGGCCTTCACTAATTGCTTCTGTTCTTTGTGTTCATGTTTTTTTCTTTTGAAAAACTCCAAAGGCTTGTCTTTTAATGCAGGGTGCCTCATCTCCATGTAGCAAAGCAGTTTGGAAGGTTTCATGGCTTCGGTGGATAGCCAGTCACCACATATTATACAAAGCAGGCTTGGAGAAGGTGAATCACTTGGTGCAATGAAACCATAATTTAAGTAGGACTCTTAGTATTTTCTTTTAAATGAAGATTTCTTTTTGTTGGCAGTCTTAGAGTCTTCTGCTGTCTCATCATTGGGTCTTTCCCTCTTTTCAAAGAAGCTCTCTAGTGACGTTTATTTTTCACTCATTTTGGCTTGGGTTAGCTTGTGGGCTTACCAAAACTGTGACAGAGACAAGTGCGCAGTGCAGGAAGGAGGCATGGATGGAAGTGGTAAATAAAATAATGGGCAGGCCACACACGGACTGAAATAAGTGTCAGATTCTGACTTAAAGCCTGCCACCAGATGCAGCTGTACAATCAAAGTACATCAACTCACTTACCACTATAAAGCCTGACACCAGATGCAGCTTAATTGTCATTTGCCACTGACTGATATAATTTTGTTATGAGTCCGCAAGCAATTGATTTACTAAGGTCTCTGTTCAGTCAAACCTCTCTGCTAATGTTAATCTGTATTTGCAGCTGCTCCCCAGTGCTAGCATCACTGCCTCAGCCCCACCTCAGATCATCAGGCATTAGATTCTCATAAGGAGCATGCAACCTAGATCCCTCACTTGCACAGTTCCCAATAGGGTTCGTGCTCCTATGAGACTCTAATGCTGCCACTGATCTGACAGGAGGTGGAGCTCAGGTGGTAACGCGAGCGATGGGGAGTAGCTGTAAATACAGATGAAGCTTTGCTCACTCGCCCACCACTCACTTCCTGCTGTATGGTCCAGTTCCTAACAGGCCACACACAGACTCGTATTAGTCGATGGCCCTGGGGGTTGAGAACCCCTGCTCTAGACTACCCACAACTGGCAGTTTGTTTTCCTGAAACTTCTGTTTTATTTCTTATTTATTTTTTCCACCTTTTAGGTTCACTGGGTTTGTTATATGGGTAAATTGCATGTCACTGAGGTTTGGGGTATGAAGGATCCCATCACCCAGGTAGTGAGCATAGTACCCAATAGGTAGTTTTTCAACTCTTGTCCCCCTCCCACCCTGAACACTTTTAAATGGTTTGAATTTTTAGCTATTATCATGCTACTAAAGAATTTTTAAAATGGAAAGTTACAATAAAGCAGTTCTCTTTTATTTTGATCTATTCAGAAATGAAAGTCCCTTGTACACATTTCAGTTCCTGAATAACTGGGCATTTACTCTTATTGATAACTACTTAAATATCAATTTTATAAACAGAGAAGTACTGGGAAAATAATAGAATTTATAGCCGGAAGGTCTGCGTTTGAGTCCCAATTCTATCCTGAATGAATTCTTTGACCTTGCTAGATTAAGAGGCTCAGAGAGATTATGTGACCTGCTTAGTACAGCAGAGCATTGTAACGACCTAGAATCTGTGCTCCAGAAAACCAAGCCCATATTCCGAGTTCCTCAGACTTCTTTGCTTTATCAACTATAATTCCCTTGAGTTGTTGGCTAACATCTTGCTAATGTTAAAACAGAAATCCGGGGGTCCTACTGATCCTCTTCAGGCTATGGTGACGCAAAAGAATGTAACTCATATCTTGATGACATATCTTTTTAGCTAAAAAATGTGCATATTATTACTATGCATCTGCAGCACAGCCTGTAACTTCTCAGTTCACTTTAACTGCAGTCTCATGACTGACACAGATGTTATTGCTCCCCAGTTACAGTATTTTCTGCTTGGAGGCATCTTGTCCTCTGTAATAGATCATGGGCCAGAGCCCCAGTGCTAAACATTAGCTAGTAATTTATGATCATACCTTCTGAGCAGAGAGGGCAGCCATAGCTCACTTTGGACTTGGAAAAGCACTCCAGGTTTTGCCTCAGCTCTTTTTATTCCTCTTTTCTTTTTCTGCATTTACTCATTACTATATCTTTTCAATTTAGAGATGGCCTGGATTCTGCCATGTAAATCAAAGAAGAGAGGGCCTAACTCAGCTGCCTAGCCTGGATCACCTGGAACCCATTAGGATACAGGATCATAAACACCTCTATTTTCCCTTCAGAGAGAGACCAGAACCACTGGAGTTAAGCTACCTGCATAAGAGTTGAGTGCGATCAGCTGTACTTAATCTTTAAATGTCCAACCCACTGATAACCTTTGGTTTGCTTTGATAACTATGAAATAAATTCTCACTGCATTGGATACTGGCATTCTGGTTTTTATTCAAGGCTGTATTGCAGATGTCATGGAATTTTGGACTGGACAGCAGTCCTTGGAGATCTCTGAGCCCGGTTACTGGCTTTCAGGCACTTAATTTCTAAGCCTTCCTCTGCCAACTCTAAATTTCTTCAGGGAATGACATGGCATTTGTGCATTACCAAGCTTTAGGTACTTTATGGGGTGAAAACCATTTGGAGGTGGGAGAAAGGTAAAAAAAAAAAAGAAAGATCCATCAAATCCAAAGCTTTACAACATAGTATAACAGAAAGAGTGCAGTTGAAATTTTGAGCATCTTGGGTTTGAATTCAACTCTTCTATTCTTGCCCCTTCTCCCATCCCCTGTCTCCCATCCCCCAGCAGTGAGATCTTGGGAAAATATTAACTCTTTTGGCCTTGTTTGTTTTTTCCTCTGTATAATGAGGACAGTGTTCAATGCCTCTCAAACTTGCATGTATATATCAACCACTTGGGGATCTTGTTTAAATGCAGTTTCTGATTCAAGCAGGGCTGGAGTGGAACTCTAGATCCTACATTTCTCAAAAGCTCCCAGTAGATGCCAACTCTGTGGGTCCGAGGACCATGCTATGAGTAGTAAAGGACTAAATCAGTGGTTCTGGCTAAATCACATAAAGAGCAGTTAAAAACACTGATGGACTCATTTAAAACCAGTTAACTCAGCATCTCTATTGGTGCACTCCAGACACTGAGAGTCTTAAAAACTCTCAGGTGATTTTTTTTTTTGACCTGAAATGATTACCCCTATAGTTTATTTAGAACATTTCTTTTTTTTAATTTAATTTAATTTTTATTTATTTATTTATTTTTATTATTATACTTTAAGTTTTAGGGTACATGTGCACAATGTGCAGGTTAGTTACATATGTATACATGTGCCATGCTGGTGTGCTGCACCCATTAACTCCTCATTTAGCAATAGGTACATCTCCTAATGCTATCCCTCC
Source organism: Homo sapiens (assembly GCF_000001405.40). NCBI lineage: Eukaryota > Metazoa > Chordata > Mammalia > Primates > Hominidae > Homo > Homo sapiens. The sequence continues at coordinate 22,722,510 of NC_000018.10, read as the reverse complement.
CCCCTCCGCCCACCCCACAACAGTCCCCAGAGTGTGATGTTCCCCTTCCTGTGTCCATGTGTTCTCATTGTTCAATTCCCACCTATGAGTGAGAATATGCGGTGTTTGGTTTTTTGTTCTTGGGATAGTTTACTGAGAATGATGATTTCCAATTTCATCCATGTCCCTACAAAGGACATGAACTCATCATTTTTTATGGCTGCATAGTATTCCATGGTGTATATGTGCCACATTTTCTTAATCCAGTCTATCATTGTTGGACATTTGGGTTGGTTCCAAGTCTTTGCTATTGTGAATAGAGCCGCAATAAACATACATGTGCATGTGTCTTTATAGCAGCATGATTTATAGTCCTTTGGGTATATACCCAGTAATGGGATGGCTGGGTCAAATGGTATTTCTAGTTCTAGATCCCTGAGGAATCGCCACACTGACTTCCACAATGGTTGAACTAGTTTACAGTCCCACCAACAGTGTAAAAGTGTTCCTGTTTCTCCACATCCTCTCCAGCACCTGTTGTTTCCTGAGTTTTTAATGATTGCCATTCTAACTGGTGTGAGATGGTATCTCATTGTGGTTTTGATTTGCATTTCTCTGATGGCCAGTGATGATGAGCATTTTTTCATGTGTTTTTTGGCTGCATAAATGTCTTCTTTTGAGAAGTGTCTGTTCATGTCCTTCGCCCACTTTTTGATGGGGTTGTTTGTTTTTTTTCTTGTAAATTTGTTGGAGTTCATTGTAGATTCTGGATATTAGCCCTTTGTCAGATGAGTAGGTTGTGAAAATTTTCTCCCATTTTCTGGTTTGCCTGTTCACTCTGATGGTAGTTTCTTTTGCTGTGCAGAAGCTCTTGAGTTTAATTAGATCCCATTTGTCAATTTTGGCTTTTGTTTCCATTGCTTTTGGTGTTTTAGACATGAAGTCCTTGCCCATGCCTATGTCCTGAATGGTAATGCCTAGGCTTTCTTCTAGGGTTTTTATGGTTTTAGGTCTAACGTTTAAGTCTTTAATCCATCTTGAATTAATTTTTGTATAAGGTGTAAGGAAGGGATCCAGTTTCAGCTTTCTACATATGGCTAGCCAGTTTTCCCAGCACCATTTATTAAATGGGGAATCCTTTCCCCATTGCTTGTTTTCCTCAGGTTTGTCAAAGATCAGATATTTGTAGATATGCCGCGTTATTTCTGAGGGCTCTGTTCTGTTCCATTGATCTATATCTCTGTTTTGGTACCAGTACCATGCTGTTTTGGTTACTGTAGCCTTGTAGTATAGTTTGAAGTCAGGTAGCATGATGCCTCCAGCTTTGTTCTTTTGGCCTAAGATTGACTTGGCGATGCGGGCTCTTTTTTGGTTCCATATGAACTTTAAAGTAGTTTTTTCCAATTCTGTGAAGAAAGTCATTGGCAGCTTGATGGGGATGGCATTGAAACTATAAATTACCTTGGGCAGTATGGCTGTTTTCATGATATTGATTCTTCCTACCCATGAGCATGGAATGTTCTTCCATTTGTTTGTATCCTCTTTTATTTCATTGAGCAGTGGTTTGTAGTTCTCCTTGAAGAGGTCCTTCACGTCCCTTGTAAGTTGGATTCCTAGGTATTTTATTCTCTTTGAAGCAATTGTGAATAGGAGTTCACTCATCATTTGGCTCTCTGTTTGTCTGTTATTGGTGTATAAGAATGCTTGTGATTTTTGTACATTGATTTTGTATCCTGAGACTTTGCTGAAGTTGTTTATCAGCTTAAGGAGATTTTGGGCTGAGACAATGCGGTTTTCTAAATATACAATCATGTCATCTGCAAACAGGGACAATTTGACTTCCTCTTTTCCTAATTGAATACCCTTTATTTCCTTCTCCTGCCTAATTGCCCTGGCCAGAACTTCCAACACTATGTTGAATAGGAGTGGTGAGAGAGGGCATCCCTGTCTTGTTGCCAGTTTTCAAAGGGAATGCTTCCAGTTTTTGCCCATTCAGTATGATATTGGCTGTGGGTTTGTCATAGATAGCTCTTATTATTTTGAGATATGTCCCATCAATACCTAATTTATTGAGAGTTTTTAGCATGAAGCGTTGTTGAATTTTGTCAAAGGCCTTTTCTGCATCTATTGAGATAATCATGTGGTTTTTGTTGTTGGTTCTGTTTATATGCTGGATTACATTTATTGATTTGCATATATTGAACCAGCCTTGCATCCCAGGGATGAAGCCCACTTGATCATGGTGGATAAGCTTTTTGATGTGCTGCTGGATTTGGTTTGCCAGTATTTTACTGAGGATTTTTGCATCAATATTCTTCAAGGATATTGGTCTAAAATTCTCTTTTTTGGTTGTGTCTCTGCCCAGCTTTGGTATCAGGATGATGCTGGCCTCGTAAAATGAGTTAGGGAGGATTCCCTCTTTTTCTATTGATTGGAATAGTTTCAGAAGGAATGGTACCAGTTCCTCCTTGTACCTCTGGTAGAATTCGGCTGTGAATCCACCTGGTCCTGGACTCTTTGGTTGGTAAGCTATTGATTATTTCCTCAATTTCAGAGCCTGTTATTGGTCTATTCAGAGATTCAACTTCTTCCTGGTTTAGTCTTGGGAGGGTATATGTGTCGATGAATGTATCCATTTCTTCTAGATTTTCTAGTTTATTTGCGTAGAGGTGTTTGTAGTATTCTCTGATGGTAGTTTGTATTTCTGTGGGATCGGTGATACTGATTCTGATATGCAGCCGTGGCTGAGAACCATAAGCCTAGGTCAGCGATTCTGAAACTTGAGTGTGCATCAGAATCACCTGCAGGACTTGCATGAAAACACAGGTTTCTGGGCGCTACTCCCAGAACTTTTGATTCAGTAAATCTGGGCAGGGCCCCTAAATTTGCATTTCCCAAATGACGTTGACACCTCTGGTCTGGGGACCACACTTTGAGAAAACTGGTCTAAATAATCTCTAAGGTCCCTTTCAGCTCTGAACATAGCTTAAGCCGTTAAGAAACTCTTCTTTTTCCATAGCACGTATTCAAATATAGATTATTCGTGACTATAGTGTATAAATTTTGAAGTCAGTTACTCAGTTGAACCAAGGCATCTGTTCAAAACATGAACTTCTTTTTTTCATTTACTTTTCAAATATAACTTCTTGTTCTGTCCTGATTATAAACATAAAACATGACTACTATAAAAGTTGTGGAAAAGAAAGATAAATATAATGAAGAAATTTTAAAAATTCCCATATAACAAATTATATTCCCATCCAATATTTTCTTTTTATGCAAGCAAATATATATTTAAATAGTTATAATAGTCTATACAATTTTATCTTCTGTATAAACTGTTAAGTGTGGCTTCTCAAGTGCTGTATCTGGATTTATATCTTGACTCTAACACCTAATAAGCTTAAGGATCTTGGTTCAAGTTCCTATCTCTCTGTGTTGAACTTTTTTCATTTGTAAAATGCAGATAGTAATGGTGCTTACCTTGTAAAATTTGTTTTGAGGATTAAATTAGTTAATACGTTTAAAGCTGTTACAAGAATAGCTGGCTCATAATACTCTATTAATTTTATTATTTAACATAACAATATTTTTTCATAATCAAAAGTTACAAAGACTCTATAAACATAATCTTTTGTAGACTTCGAATTATTCTCTAGTACTATCCCTACACTAATTTTTCCATTTTCTTGTTTTTATTGATTATTATGCTGTTCTGAAAATCTTTGTATATGACTTTTTGCTCATAGACGTGAATTTCCTGTAGGTAGTAAGAAGTAAATCTAATAGGTGTCTATATCGAAATGCAGATTTAGGGTTCTTCATATATATGTACAGCCCTTTGATGATATATTTCTGGAATTTAGGAACAGTTAAGGCTGTGACTTGTTATTGATAATTATTAGCCTGTGCTGGAAATGGAAGTGGGTAGAAGAGCTTGTTTCTGCTTTCTCCTCATCCCAAACTATTTATTAATTCAACAAGAATCAAAGGGTGCTGTGGGGCACAACAAAGGGAAGAAGGCTTAATCCTATTCTTGTTTATCTTTGAGTTGTAGAGGTCAGAGTTAAACAAAGCTGTCTGGGCTTAAGTGCGGGTTACTGTTGGTGAAAATGGGACATACATTTATGTTAAAGGTAATAGCTCTACCATTTATATTTAGCAAAAGGTCAAAGAATATTTGGCAGATCCTCATGGTAGACATTTCTATCATTTGTGAGCAAATTAATATTAAATGTATTCATGAGCTATCATAAGACAATATTGGGCTAAATTTATGTTCATTTTTATCATAATTCTTTACACAAGTATTTTCACTCTGAATATATATCATATTATGGAGGCATTATAAAATAGTAAAAGTGCATGAATTTTGAAGTCACATAGACCTCGGTTCAAATCCCAGCTCCATTACTTATGAATTATATAGTCTTGAGGTAAAAAGAGATTCTGCTATGTCAGTTTTCTAATATATAAAATGAGTGTTTGTGTGTGTATGCACATATATATCTATCTACCTAGATATAATTCTAAATTAGCAAGTAAACCATGTATAAATTAATAAAGTGTATTTTAGAGCAATTAGGCTGCAGTCTGGTAGCTAGGAGACTATACAAGGTTGAAATTAGAAGTTTTTGAAATTCATAAGTTAAAAAAATGGGCCAGGCACTGTGGCTCACGCCTGTAGTCCCAGCACTTTAGGAGGCCAAAGTGGGCGGATCACGAGATCAGGAGTTTGAGACCAGCCTGGCCAACATGGTGAAACCTGTCTCTACTAAAGATACAAAAAATTAGCCAGGCATGTTGGCGCGTGCCTGAAATCCCAGATACTCAGGAGGCTGAGGCAGGAGAATCATTTGAACCTGGGAGGCGGAGTTTGCAGTGAGCTGAGATTGCGTCTTTGCCCTGCAGCCTGGGTGACAGGGCAAGACTCTGTCTCAAAAAAGAAAAAGAAAAGAATTTATTAAATTTTAGTGATTAATAATCAAGCCAAACTATATTTTAACCAGCACTGGAACTGATTTATATAGAAGTATGAGACCAAATATGCCTACCTTATGATACTCCCTTTTCCCCTTTGGTATCAAAAAATAGAATGAGCTTCTTTTCTCTAGACTGATGCCTCTGTAATCACAGCTCTGTCCCCAACCTATTCAGATGGCTTCCCTGTATTATCAGCATGACCCTTCCATAGTCAGGCCAGTACTGTCTGTATTTTAGGACCTTCCCTTGCTCTTTCCCACCTTCATGTAGATTTCTGTTTTCAGGAAGCTTATAGCCTAGAAAAGAAGAAGAACATCAAACTAAGTAGTTATTGAAAAGAGGGATGAGTGATGTATGGAAATTTACAGAGTGTGATAGCAACAGAGAGCTGGGAGACCTAATCTGGCATTTCTGAGAAACACCATTTATTCATTCAACAAATACCTGATGGACACTTAGTATGGACCAGACATGTGTTAGGTCTAGTTGGGTATTTAAAAGGAAACATTACAGACACAGTCTGTAAAAATGATGTGTAGCTGGAATTAAAAGATGAATAAGAAATAACTGTGACAGGAGGTGGGAGAGGAAGATGATTTTTGGAGATGGCAGGAGGGCTGAGTGATGGTTTAATGTGGGGCAAAAGCAAATGAGTTGAGTCAAAACTGTATTGAGCAGCTGGATCGACGGGGGCACCATTTACTGAAATGATGGATAGCAGGTTTGGAGATTCATTTATTTGTTTATTCCATAGTTACTTATTGATTCTGTTTTATATGCCAGACCCTGTTCTAGGCATTAGGAATAAAACAATGAATAACAAGACCAACATTCCTGCAAGGTAGTCTACAATCTATGGAGGAAGGTAGACAATAAAATATATAGTATGTCCAATATTGATAAATGTTATAAAGACAAGTCAGGAAAAGAGGTTAAAGAATGCTAGATCAGTGGGCGTGTTGAAATTTTATGTACGATTGTCAGGGAAAGCCGTACCAACAGGTGATAGTTGACTGAAGTCTTCAGGGATGGGAGAGAACAAATGCTTATATCAGGTGGAAAAATAGGAAAAGCAAGTGCAAAGGCCCCTGAGTTGGGAGCATGGCTAGAGTAGTGAGTTGGGGGATGGTAGTAGGAGATAATGTCAGGGAAGCAAATGAGTGGAGAGGGATTATTCAGGGTGTTGTAGGCTTTATAATGCCTTAGGATTTTACTTAGAGCAGATGGGTGACATTGAAGGGTTCTGATCAGAAGGGTACATTTTAAAATGTAACTATGATTAAGTTCATTTAAACATGTTCATTAAAAAAAATCACTCTAAGTTCAGCTTTGGGCATGCTAATTTTTGAGACTCAAGAGATATCCAAATGGGTTATTCAAAGATAATTAGATACATGAGTCGAGCTCAGAAGGTGGTCTGCAGAGAGACATGCATGTGTGAGTCATCAGAAGTTCAGTGACAACCAAAACATCAAGCCATGGGGATTGATGAGACCATCTAGGAAAGAGTACAGAATGCAAGGCACAGCTGTCCTGGGATGGTACCTTGAGGTGGTTGGGAGAAGAGCAGGACTCCGTAAATGAAATGGCAGAAAGTAGGAGAGAACTTGAAAGACAGTGGTGTCAGGAAACCCAGGAAAGGGCTCTGAGAAGGATAGAGGGTAAACAATGCCCAAAACATGTTGGGAGGTCACAACAGGACAGAAGAGTGTCCATTAGACTAAATAATGTGGGGAACATCAATAACCTTGGCAAAAGCAGCTTCAATGGAATATTGAGGAGGATGATGGAAGAGGAAGGTAAAGAAGTTGATGAAGCAAGCCCAGGTAAACCTTCTAACTTTGGCTGCCTAGGGGAGCAGAAGAGAGGATAGCAGCTGAAGAAGGAGTTTTGTAAGGTGAAAAAGACTCAGGTATGAGTTTCATGTTGATGAAAAGAAGGTACCACTGGAAAGAAGGAAGTTTAAATCCCAGAGAGCGGCAGTGATAGATGGAGTGAGATTCCCAAGAGGGTAGGCAGGAGAAAATGAGACCTAGAGCAGAGTAGAGGGATTAAACTGAGATGGAGGGAGGGAAACTTGAGAGACCAACATAGAGATGGGAGAATGGCTGCTAGTTGGTGGGAGTGGGAAGCCTCGGTAGTATTTGACACGCATATGTAATTGTGATGTGTTCTTACGGTGGGTCAAACATGGGGGGAATGGGTGGGGCTACTGGCTGCCACATGATACAGCTGTCAATTACTCCACTGTCCCAGGAGCCCGAGAAGATGGACCTATTATTATTTTAAAAATATGTAATATCCTTTATTAAACATTGCATATAGCCACTTGTGTTTGGGTTTACACCTACAACTGCAGTGTGACTTGCTATTTTTTTTTTTTTTGGCAAATTCCACCATTAGTTTTATAATTTTATAGCCACCAAGAATGTCACAAAATGAGTGATAAATGCTTAATAACTATTGGATTCAGCAAAGAAGTTGCTATGCCATTCAAGAAGAGTTATAATTCTGACATGAATATTAGCTCATTTATGTTAACAAGAAAAATGGAAGTGAAACAACAAAGATATATCTTAAAAATTTTTTTCATGGTTTGAATTTTTTTTTTGATGGACCTATTCGTAAGCGCGACTTCTTTTTGCTTACAAAATTTCAATGGACCATCTGACAGGATCTCGCCTAATATCATGGGAAGAAAAGTCATTTTCTTTCCATCATTTTGTACTGATTATCATTTAAGTTCAACATATATTTTGCAACAGTGTTCTTACAAGTATTTGTATTACATGTTTTTGGCCGGGCGCGGTGGCTCACGCCTGTAATCCCAGCACTTTGGGAGGCCGAGGCGGGTGGATCATGAGGTCAGGAGATCGAGACCATCCTGGCTAACAAGGTGAAACCCCGTCTCTACTAAAAAAAAATACAAAAAATTACCCGGGCGCGGTGGCGGGCGCCTGTAGTCCCAGCTACTCGGGAGGCTGAGGCAGGAGAATGGCGTGAACCCGGGAAGCGGAGCTTGCAGTGAGCCGAGATTGCGCCACTGCAGTCCGCAGTCCGGCCTGGGCGACAGAGCGAGACTCCGTCTCAAAAAAAAAAAAAAAAAAAAAAAAAAAAAGGATTTTCCCCCACATATAAATAGGAAAAAGCATGAAACAAACCATACAATATCTAACAATTCTTTAAGATGCAACTCTAAGCTTAATTTCAACAAAAACTACTTTCAGAGTTTAAGGGAGCTGTTTACACTGATGAATTGATCTTGCCAAACCATTTCTAGCCTTGAGTCAAGTTAGACAAGTTCTTCAACTTGAAGCAAGGGGTAAAGATGAAAATTTGTATTTAAAAGTATGGCTTGCCCCCTGCCTCGCACGCCCCCTTCACTCTTTCCCTGAGGAGATGGCTGTTATTTCTTTTTCATGTCACTTGGTACAAAAAAGTCACTTGGTACAATTAAATCACTTCAAGATAGATTGAAAAAGTTTTTAATGTGCCTGGTTCTAAGGCCTAACATAAGAAACGAACATGGAAAACGGTCAGTTTCAAAGACCATCAAGTCTTTCTCTTAAAAGCGTTTGTACCCCAACTTTTAGCTTACTATTGGTTTCTTTGTGAGAAACTGGACATATACAGCTCTTTTATCTAATGATGTGTGATAATTTGGGAGAAGTTCTAAGGGACTAGGGGTACCATCTTTAGAGAATATGTTAGGATCTGCCTTCTCAGAAAGAAACACAGGGAAGTTCACCACTGAAATGCTTGTCTTAGCAGGGAGGTGGGAGACTCACATCACTCTCAGAGAGTTGTGTTTGGTTCAACAAAGTGTTATTCACAGGGAGAGACTGGAGGATCCAAAAATAGTTGACCTTTGGAGTTAAGCCATTGCCTTTTTAAGTCTGAAGTCACAGATACACAATTGTGTTAATTAGTGTCTGGGGAAGCCTTTACTTTACCATGTTAAAAAAAAAAAGTGGTTTCCCTTATATTCTGTTTATGAGATTTCAAGACTCCTTCATACTGGAAATCGGAAAAAAATTGCATTATAAATCATTTGGAATTTTCTCTTTGTAGAACTAAGCAACATGTCAAACATTTCATTTATCTTGTGACTCGGGCACCTACTTAAAGCTTTCTCCTCTTCTGTTTGATTATAAAAGGAGTTCTTGAATAAGAAAATTAAGACATTTTCTGGTTTTCCCTGGAGGTTTAATCAGTTGGCATCAAACAGGTATTTTTATTTTCCTGGCCTTGAAATCTTTCTGGAAGGGGCATGAGAGAAATATTTGGAAATGTCTTCTTGGTTAGCAAATACATCTTTGCTCTTTTTGTTTTCTGTTTCTTTTCTGTTTTCTTAGCCTGCCATCCTCCCTTTCCCCTCAAATGTATACTCACATGTACAGCCCCAAAGTTATTACTCTTTTTCTTCCATGAGCGGTGGAAAAAAGCTCTCAGACTGGGTTGACTGATTTGTAGTCACTGTCTATGACTTGAGTGAGGACACAGTCTGAGTGTCCTCAGGTTTCATAGCCTATAAAAGTACAGATGAGGTCTCATAGCATTCAAACCTGGACTCAACTGCTCATATTTTTTTTTTTTTGAGATGGAGTCTTACTGTGTCACCCGGACTTGAGTGCAATGGTGCGATCTCAGCTCACTGCAACCTCTGCCTCCCAGATTCAAGTGATTCTCATGCCTCAGCCTCCTGAGTAGCTGGGATTATAGGTGCGTGCCACCATGCCTGGCTAATTTTTTTTTTTTTTTTTTTTTTAGTGGAGACAGGGTTTCACCATGTTGGTCAGGCTGGTCTCGAACTCCTGACCTCAGTTGATCCATCCACCTCGGCCTCCCAAACTGCTGGGGTTACAGGTGTGAGCCACCACATCCAACCCCACTGCCCATAATTTTTTACACTTCATCATGCTGGGCAGTAATGCACAGTTCCCCTATGCATTTCTGGCAGTTACCAGGGATGCTTGCATTTTACCAGACTGCATCAGTGGCACCTGGGAAGGCCCTGTGGGCCTTGGTGGTGGTCTTCTTTGGGCACCTGCTATGCTCAGCCTGGCTCCCTCCAGGGCTCTGCTGTTTTGTTCACCATTCCTCCCTACCAGGGGGAGCCCTGCCCTCATCCAGAGGCTGTTTCTCAATTTTCTTTTGACTTTTCCCTCTAATTCTACCTCTTCAGAGCAGATCAAAAAGCTCAGTTAACAAGACTGCATGGAACCAGATGTCTCCAATTCCCTGCTTCTGTGCAGATCACAAGAACCTTTTCTTTAGTTTAAAGCACAAGACCTCAGGCAGAACAAACTCATACAAAAAGATCAGAATCCCAGATTAGATTTATACTTTGATACAGTAATTTTTAGTCCTCTAACATACAATGTGAATTTGGAATATAACATATCATTCTTAAGCATCTACTTTGTATTCTGTACTGTGTTAGGTACTTACCTTTGCCATTTCATTTAATTCTTATAATCCTTTGTATTATGTTGTTTATTATTGTTATTCCTATTTTAGAGATGGGAAAGCCGAGACTCAGAGGTAATAAGGAATTCACGTACCAAACACCGCAGAGCTGATAAGGGTGGGCTTAGGATCTGGTTGCAGGGTCCATGCTCACCCTCTCGAACAATTCTTCCCATTTTGGAAAACAAGTTATATGTATTTTCATCTCAGCAAAACATAGCGTAGCTTTTAAGAAGAAAAATGGCTCTAAAAAAGACACAAATAACTCAATGTTTAAAATAAATCTAAAATTGCTAAAAATGGCCTATCAATTAAAAAAAGACACCTTTAGCTAAAGCAGGTGAAGTGGTGTGTTTATATACCATCATCAACACTCTAGTTTTAGATATTTGCAAGAAATTCTAAGTGACAGAATTCGTGTGAAAATGCTTAGAAGGCACTTCACTCGTGAAGATTACACATGAGAATGAGCAAGGAGCTACCTTTTTACATGGAATTTACATTATCCTAGTCATCTGTCTGAAATGGACTTGTAGGCTGGTGAGATATTTGTATGGCTTTGTGAATCATTACCTGCTAGATAAATAAACAGAAACTCAGACTTTGTGGCTGCCAATCTGACACTTTTCACCAAATCGCCTTAAAAGATTCTATTCAAGGAACTTAGTATTTTGTAGATCTTTTCATTCTTGTTCCAGAAGCCAAAACCCTTGAGTGGCTCTTCTGCTGCTGAATGAAATATAATATGAGAGAACTAGTCTTGCAATAATTCCTGTAACTGTGACTTGGGAAAGGGAAGGGAGTGGAGCTTTGCAGACAGCTCACCCCGCAGGGAATGGCAGCGGGGGTGGGGAGGTGGGAGCGGGGAGCCTGTGCAGAAACCGAGGTGGGCCTGAGGACACAGGGAGGCAATCTCCGGCCAGACAGGACTCCTTTCCTGGTGAGGGACGAGGAGCCTGTGGCCTGGTATTGATCATTTGGTTCCATTACCAACTGAGAGCTGTTAGAGAGAATGTCGTTTCACCTTTCTATGTAAGATATAAGATATTCTAGTTTTACTTTCTATTTGACTTCCTTTGGAATGAGAAGGAATGAGGGATATCTTTTACACTTTAGAGCTTCCAAAGGGCTTTCTGAGGCTACATCCCTTCTAATTCTTAGAGTAACTTATTGTTATTTATTTATTAATTTATTTTAGCTGACGGAACATGTGATTTAAAGAATTAGTGACTCAGAGGTGCTTGCAGGAATCTAGGAATTCCCAGGCTGAATCCCTCCCTCCAAAGACCCAGAACTCTCTCACAAACTTGGGAGCGCTTGCACTTCTCCCTATACCCATGGCTTTAATGGGTGCCAAAACACTGCATTGAATGCAACTGAAATATAGGATTAATATTTTCAAAAGGCACTTAAGATAAATGGCTTTATAAAAAAGAAAAAAAACCAAGAAACACTGAAAATGGCACGTCTTTCTAATGTCTCAATCTGCTATCAGTAGTTACCCCACTATTCTCCTAATCTCCCATTTCAAAAGAAAATCATCTTTGATGACCTTTCCTCCTTGTTTACTGGTCTTAACTGCCCTATATTACTGGTCCTACTGGTCCCACGTATAGTGAGAATATGCAGTGTTTGGTTTTCTGCTCCTTTGGAAAATCAGTTTTGATCAAGAGCCCTGACACATCTGAAAAGACAGTGGAAATAAAATTACTTCTGACATCGTGGTTTTCCCTCACTAGTTTAGAACCAACATAAGAGAAATGTTTGAATGCCCAACTTAGCAGCAATTCAAATGAATCCCACAAGAACAGGAAACCAAGTGGAAGTTCAAATATAAGGTATGCCCTAAAGTTGCCATCAATAATCCCTGAAATGAAAACAATGAAATTGGAATATTGTTTGGGTAGCCCTCCCACCTGGTAACTAAACCAGGAATCAGCCTATTTTCATCATTTCCAGTTGAAGAACTAGCAAAGTGGAGAAAGTCCAACAGAAAGTGGGCAGTGATGTTTGCTCCTTTGTCAATGACAAAATCATGTAGCAATTTCCTGGCCTGCAAAAACATCCCAATAAATCTCTTCTGTATATCATTAGGAAGAAGTTTTGTGGAGCTGGGTGGACTTCAGAAGGCTGCTAACCTTGAGCAGCTCTGCTGTTATCCTGCCCTTATTGCTCAATGGAAAATTCAGCAGAATCACCAAGTAACAGGAGACTAGGTTCAGGGCCATAAATCTCCAAGAGATGCTCACTGACATCCACGGTGCTCTGCAGAATGAGTCTAACAAGGTCATTCTTGCTGAGCTTCCTTTCAGTTGGAGGCTACAGCTCACTGTCAGGCCCAGAGCCAGGCTCTCTATCATCGAGAAAACCCAAGGGTCAGGGGTGGGAGGCTGTGAAAGGTAACTTTTAGGCTGGGCCCCAGTGTCAAATGGAACCTGGGTGGAAGCCCTATACAGAACGTCAGCTCCTTGGAGTCCTCTGATCCTTTTTTTGCACCTGCTACTTTAGCCTTACCATGCAGTCTTCCAGGGACTTCCCACATTCATTGCATCAAATGTAAACTTCTGGCCACTGTCTTCAAAGTCTTCTCATTTTACTTCAAACATCAGAGCATACCTTTGACTCACTCTTGGGTCTAGCCACAGTGTTCTTTTGATATCTGCACGTGGCTTTCTCTATTCTAAACCTTTCTTACCCATCAATGCAATGACTGAATTCCTTTTCTTTGAATTTGCTGGAGGTGACGAAAATACCAAAGAACAAGGAGAGTAGCAGGGGCCAGAAGCATATTTGGGAGCCCTTTTGTAGCAATAGTGGGAGAGGGTGGTGAGAATCCAACCAATATGAGAAATCCAGGCCAGGCATAATGGCACACGCCTGTAATCCCAGCACTTTGGGAAGCTGAGGTGGGTGGATCACCTGAGGACAGGAGTTTGAGACCAGTTGAAACCCCATCTCTACTAATAATACAAAATTTAGCTGGGTGTGGTGGCACCCGCCTGTAATCCCAGCTACTCGGGAGGCTGAGGCAGGAGAATCGCTTGAACCCGGGAGGTGGAGGTTGCAGTGAGCTGAGATGGCGCCACTGCACTCCAGCCTGGGCAACAAGAGTGAGACTCCACCTCCAAAAAAAGGAAAAAGAAAAAGAAATCCAGTCAGCAGGAAGATGGGGCTCACTCTACCTGGGAATGTAGGACGGTGTCTTAGAGCTGCCGCAGAGCTGCAGTGGGAGGATTAGGGACTCTGGAGCACTTGTGTTCTGCATTCGTCTTGTATAGACACTGACGTGTTATTTCATTTGCTCCTCACTGCAGTGTCATGAGGTAGACAAAGCAGGCATTATTGTTCCCATTTCGGAAGTGAGACAACTGAGACTTAGAGAGATTACATCACCTTGCCCAGTAAGTTTGAACCCAAGTGTTGTCATCATTAACTACATACTGTATATTTTATGTCAGATTCAATAGTTTCTGATGTAAAGGCCCAGATTTTAAGTGTTTTAGGCTTTGTGGGCTACACGGTCCTTATCACCACCAGTCTGCTCTGCTATTGTAGCATGCAGTTATTCATACAATACATTAAAATGGGGGCATGGCTGTGTTCCAATAAAGCTCTATTTACAAACATAGGTGGTAGGTTGGATTTGGACCCTATCCTATGCTAGAAAGCTATAACCGATTTTATGTGAAGAGTAAAGATTCACAGGGTATTAAATACACTTGTGCATTTTAATTCTCAAAAAGTAAATATTGGCCGGGCGTGGTGGCTCACACCTGTAATCCCAGCACTTTGGGAGGCCGAGGTGGGCGGATCACGAGGTCAGGAGATCAACACCACCCTGGTTAACACGGTGAAACCCCGTCTCTACTAAAAAAAGTACAAAAAAATCAGCCGGGCATGGTGGTGGGCACCTGTAGTCCCAGCTACTTGGAAGGCTGAGGCAGGAGAATGGCGTGAACCCGGGAGGCGGAGCTTGCAGTGAGCCGAGATCGTGCCACTGCACTCCAGCCTGGGCGACAGAACGAGACTCCGTCTCAAAAAAAAAAAAAAAAAAAAAGTAAATATTAAGTAACAGAGTGTAAAGGAACACAGCCTAACCTAATGTGATTCATGTAATAAGGAAAGAGCATAGGGAAGTTAGTTGAGTGGAGGTTACCTAGCAGTGAGGTGATGGGAGCTCAGGAGATACTCATGGAGGATGAGGGAGGTGGGTGATGCTGGGCAGTTATTTTCCAGGTGCCTCTGCCATGTGACTGCCCTGGGCCCCCCACAGCTCTCTTTTTTCCACTCTCTACCTTACTGTTCAGGCCTCTGCTGAGCTGTAAACCTGCATTTTCTATTCTGAACACCTCTCACAGAACCTCTCATCTCCTTTCTGATATGACAAATATTCCAGACCCTGCTTCCTGAAGGGAAGATGCAGGCTCTGCCCTAAGGTCAGGACAGGAAATCCTGGCAGGGAAGAGGAGCTAGGAGACTTGATGGGAATAGGTCTTTATTTCTTCCACCCACATCTGGTTCAGCCCAGTGACCCTATTATTTGGTGACACATTTCTGTCCACCCGGCTGGTTAGCTCTGCCAATAAGGCTAGAAGGGAAAATAGGAGAAACTCTAAGAGCAGAGCTCACTCTTTGAACATGGTACATTTCTTTCTTTCTTTTTTTCTTAATTCTTTTTTTGGAGACAGAGTCTCACTCTGTTGCCCAGGCTGGAGTGCAGTGGTGTGATCTTGGCTCACTGCAGCCTCCGCTACCTGGGTTCAAGCGATTTTTGTGCTTCAACTTCCTGAGTAGCTGGAACTACAGGCACGTGCCACCACACCCAGCTAATTTTTGTATTTTTAGTAGAGACAGGGTTTCACCATGTTGGCCAGGCTGGTCTTTAACTCCTGGCCTCAAGTGATCCACCTGCCTCGGCCTCCCAAAGTGCTAGAATTACAGGCATGAGCCACCGTGCCTGGCCTGAACATAGTAAATTTCTATTTATACTCAGAAAAATAGACTTCTTAGTAGGCCCAAGGAATCTCAAACTCCTTCTCATGCTCCTCAATGTACATTTCCAAGTGCATCTCATTCCTATTTTCTCTGCTATTTCTGTCACCTAGGATGTTTTCCCATCACCCCTCTTCTGTCTCTTCACCTACCCAGTTCCTGCTCATCTTTAAGGTTCAGCTCCACAGCTTTAAGGAATTGCTGTCTCCTTCATGGAGCTTTCTCTGCTCAGTTCTGTACTGCCTGTACCATTCATTCATTTAGCATTGTATTTTATACTGCTTTATGATCTTCCAGGTTAATTAACTTTTCACGTGTGTCTTGTGCTGTAATGACAGTTCAGCTACTCTAAAGCGTTGGCTGGGTTTTAAGTTATCAGTATCTTCCAGCACAGTGCTAGACTCATACTAAGCACACCTATGGAGTGGGCTACATCCACAACTATGATCTTTCAGTGGGCTTTAACATGGAGATTCCTTTCTCTCCATTTCTTTTTTTTTTTTTTTTTAACTTTTATTTTAGGTTCAAGGGTACATGTGCAGGTTTGTTATATAGGTAAACTTGTGTAATGAGGGTTTTTTGTACAGATTATTTCATCATCTAGGTACTAAACTTAGTACTCAATAGTTATTTTTCCTGATCCTCTACTGTTTCCCACCCTCCACCCTCAAGTAGGCCCCAGTGTGTGTTGTTCCTCTCTGTGTCCATGTGTTCTCATCATTAACTCCCACTTATAGGTGAGAACATGTGGTATTTGGTTTTCTGTTCCTGCACCAGTTTGCTAAGGATGATGGCCTCCAGCTCCACCCATGTTCCTGTAAAGGACATGATCTCGTTCTTTTTTATGGCTGCATAGTACTCCATGGTGTATATGTACCATATCTTCTTTATCAAGTCTACCATCGATGGGCATTTAGGTTGATTCCGTGTCTTTGCTCTTGTGAATAGTGCTGCAATGAACATATGTGTGCATGTGTCTTTATGATAGAGTGATTTATATTCCTTTGGGTATATACTCAGTAAAGGGATGGCTGGGCCCAATGGTAGTTCTGTTTTTAGCTCTTTTGAGACAAGTTCTTTCAGGGGCAGGTTGGAATGTGTAAGTGACCACACATGTAAAATGATCACTTTCTGTTGGTCTTCAGCCATTGTCCTCGGTCAAGTCTAATCAGTACTCTGTAAAATCCATGAGAGCAGAGACTGTGTTTGATTTTGCTCACTATTATATTTCCACCATTTAGCAGGTGCCTGACACATGGTAGATGTAATAATTATTGTCTGATGAAAGAAAGAGTGAATGAATATTATTTTTACCTGGTCCTGGTTGAATCCCTTACCCTGTGGGAAAGGGGCTGACTGTCAAGAAGTGAGGGGATGTCCTTAGTTGTCCCTTCTTGCCAGAGCATCTCAACCCCTCGGGATTGACCCCTCAACAGGTGATGAACAGAGATCCCAGAAGTAGTCACTTTCTGAGAAAACATCTCCTAATCTAACCCACCAAAGCTTGCTTCATAGTGTATTGAGATGTGCTTCCTGTCTTGGTCTGTCAAAAGACTTGAAATCCCTTCACAGTGTGAGTCACACATGAAGTGAGTGCTTAGTGGTGACTGTGTTTGCTGATTTGCTTATGAAGGCAAAATCTGATTTAAGAGCCAAAATTATATATGTATATATTCTTTGAACATCCCTAATCTGAAAATCTGAAATGCTCCAAAATTTGAAACTTTTTAAACACCAGCAGGATGCCACATGTGGAAAATTCCACATCTGACCTCATGTGGTGGGTCACACTCAAAACACAGGCTCATGGCAGTTTCCTCAGCACCCCCAGCTGTTCTGGCGATGCTACTGTGCTTCCTTACCCTTAACGTAATATTTTTTCACTGTATGACTGGTATGTCATTTTTTTTTACTGTGAAATACTTCTGTTTGTACACATGTCAACAATGATTCTTGGTAGCGTATCAGTTCAGTCAGGAATGACAGTGATGCCAAACCACCACAGACCGTCCACATGCGTGGCTGAGACAGGGCACCTTTGCTTTCTGATGGTTCAGTGAACATGAACTTTGTTTTGTGCATAAAATTATTAATAATATTGTATAATCTTACCTTCAGGCTATGTTTATAAGGTGTATATAAGACTTAAATTAATTTTGTGTTTTAGGCTTGGGTCCCAGCTCCAAAATGTCTCATTATCTGTATTTGAATATCCCCAAATTTGAAAAATTCAAAATCTGAAACACTTCTGATCCCAAGCATTTCAGGTAAGAGATTTTTTTTCTCTCTCTCTCCATATATGTATGTATTTATCGATAAACTTTCATAAAATATAAAAATTGTTAATACATGTGATTCACACATGATTAAATACTAGGGAGAATATACAGAATATTCATTCTGTCACATAGGACATGTTGTAATATATATTTAATTATCCACATGCTAAAATAGTTCATTTTCCTGAATAATGTTTTAATAAAAGTATTTTCCTCTTTTGGGCATTATGTAATAACACACTAAGGAGAAGGTTGGTTGTGTTTATTTACTGGCTTTGTGCATATTTACCACAAGGTGGCAGTATAGCAGCCCCTCCTTGCTTATTAGGGACAGAGATACACACCTCTTAATGTCGAGATAGCAGAGATTGTTTCTTCCCCCTCAAGTTTCCAAAGTCTAAAATCACGTCCGTATGTCCTGATTCGTAGCTAAGTAGATTTTTAAATTAAACGCATACATGCATAAGTCCAAATTCTCTCACACTCACAAAAACTCTCATCTACAACCTGGCCTGTATGACAGGATGAATAGTCTGTGTATTCTTAGTTAATCACGAGTGAATTGTATTAATAATTAAGCAATCTCTTGTGTAATAGGCAAAATCAGTTTTAAAACTTATTAGTGAAACTTTTAAAGCAGTTTAGAAGGCATAACCTATTTCAGTGGTGATATTGTTATAGGAGAAAAGAGGCCTCCATAGTTCTCGGTTGGCACAAGGAGAGAGAATCTACAGGAGGAAGGTGTGTGGGAGGCTGCGGGGAGAGGTGCATAGGAAGCTGTCAACCATTGCTTTTTGGCTACAAGCATTTACTGATCACTAATCGTTCATGAGTTTATTGTGTAAAAGCTGGTCTTTGACTTTTAAGAGCTTATGACCCAAAGCTATAGACAGCAGAGAAAGAAACCAGTTAATAGGTGAGAAGACAATCACCATTACCATGATCTAAGAAGGAGGTAAATAAAGAAGGAAGAAACACTGCTTTTATATGTCTTTCCAGGGGATGAGAAAGAGAGTAGAAACAGGCAGAATGGAATGGGTAAAAGATCAAGAAAATAATAATGAGATCCAGGTTCTTGCCTCAGTTCTGCCCCTCACCATTCTAGGTCACTGCAGCTTCCTCATGTGCTGAAGGAAACGTGGATTTAGGTTTTGGCTTTGGAAGCATTAACAGAAGTATGTTCTGCCAACAGTTTTTATTAATGGGTACTCTTCAGAAAAGATTTGTGTTGAAATAAGTGGGGAAAGCAAATGATCATATTGCATCTCATCCTCTCCCCCTCACCGTCAGAGAGTCACAATGTGTGTTAACATAGAAAGGCTCTGAGTAGCCTGGCATGAAGAAACTAATGTAACTTTGTTTAACCTAACACTTTGAACTTAATTTGACCATGGAACACAATTCCTCACGTCATCCTACTCCAAGAAATACCAATTAATATTGCATAGAATATTAATGACCTTTGGTAGATAATTTGGAAACCACAAATTGAGAGGTCTTCAAAGCCTGTTTCAGCTCTAGGAATCTGGATCAGAAGCTCCAGGAGGGTAGGGAACTAGATCCCACTGCTTTACTTTATCCCCAGTGCTTGACATAAAGTAAATGATCAATAATATTTGCAAAATCAATGAATGAACTGTGATCGTTTAGGTCTATTTCTCACTCCTTGCAGGAGGCATGGGCTCTGTCTACCCCCTTCTGAAGTTATGTGCATATCAAATTTAAGCAACTCCAGCTACAGAAAGGAGATAGGGACCTTTTGTAGTGTAAAAACACAAGGGAATTATGCTGAGTCTTTCTTGGCAATGTACGAGTGTGTCGTCTTGAAGATATTTGACCCTAATAGGATTGCTTTTCCATTTCCTCCTGTTTTCATAAGTCAAAGTCTTATTCAGATTCATCTGGGAAAAAAGAAGAAAACAAAATTAGTTGGAAGGAAATGACTGACATCCCCATTCTGAAGATCAAAGAGAAGGAAAGAATCTCAGGGGGGAGGGAGAATTAGAGGTTTCTAAGGACCAAGAGGCTCATGGTAGTGGACGATGGAGAGAGAGAGAGACTCTATAGAAGTGGGAGGCTCCTTGAAGGATAGGGAGACGGTGACTGAGTAATTGGCCCACACAATTAAGAAAGAAGTTTAAGAAGCTGCTAGAATAAGCTGAATAAGGTAGAGAAACCACTCCAGGTGCTCTGTTTGGGTTATAAGTGTATCTTGAGCAGAAGTAAGGAACTCAGGTGTATTCTATCAGATCCTGTGTACATGGGTATTCAGTTAAAAGCAAAACTTTTCTCAGGGTCCAGATAGCACCATTCTGCAATTAAAGACATAATATGGAAGGGGCAAACCCAACTCTACTGAAAGGATTAATAGCATAGAGTGCAATTTCAGGCTACACCCACCCAAAGATATCAGCTGCCTACTGTAAACTCCTTTGGTTAAGGCAAACTCTGGGAGGTGCCTGCTGAAATGCAATATGTGACCCAAAGAGAAACAGCACATTTACCCAAGAGTAATCATATTCACAGCACAGAGAACAGGGTCCTAGGACACAAAACACTGGAGAAGTAAATTTTCCTGGGGAAAGAGAAGCTGAGGAGCATGGGACAATGCCGCAGGACAGCACTGCACAGGCCCTGGGAGCTGGGAGCCAGGCCCGCGGGTGCCAAGGGCTTGCAGGGAACCCCAAATATAAGACGTGGGAGACATCGAAGGTATATTTTATCTGCTTCACCATTTTGTTCACAGCAGATGTAAAAAGAGACAATGTC
This sequence comes from Homo sapiens, assembly GCF_000001405.40. Taxonomy (NCBI): domain Eukaryota; kingdom Metazoa; phylum Chordata; class Mammalia; order Primates; family Hominidae; genus Homo; species Homo sapiens. The sequence continues at coordinate 22,702,039 of NC_000018.10, read as the reverse complement.
AAGTTGAAAACAAAAGATCTTGGAAGACAGCCCAGACCTCCCCATTTCTGCTTTATATCAACTGTCCTGTTCTTATTATTTGTATCTAAAAATAAAGTATTGATGTGTATAATTATTAAATATTTGTACACATATCTGTACAATATATGTATAAATATAGTTGCAATTATTTTTAAAGTAAATTAAATCAAATTCAACATTTGAGGTTATTCTTGTAGTTCTTCATTCTTGCTCACTTGCATGCCAATATGATTTCTTAACAAGGAGAAAAAGGAACAGGGTTGCAATTGGCACTCTGAAATTGCATATAATATGGAGCCTGTAATATTTCCATCAAAAACAAGTGACTCTGGAGTTAATAACTGTAGTGATTATAAATCACTCCACTGCTTTACTCCTCCCCCTCCCACATTATCTCGAGTTTCACTACGATGTAGGTATCCTATGAAGGTGAGTCAGGTGTGCGAATGTCACCTGGCATGTGTGTAATGTGCGAAGAAGATTGCTAACTGTGAACTGGGCTCATGTCTCCAGCATTCAGATGGAGCAACACTGCTGGCTTAAAATGAGACAAATCCTCCGGACATGTGGAGGCCATTTTAAAAGCCATACCAGCTTGTAAGAATACTCTTTAACAAAAATTCCCGTCTGTTCAGATACAAGTCAGTTTTACATCCTTGATATTGCATGGTTTGTGCTAATTTTTCTAAGTCATTCTAACTTAGGGAAACAAATATTTCAAAGAAATAAACTCACTCCTAAATACCCATACAATACTTTGTATGTGATGATTTCCATTATAGGATGATTTCAAATAATAAGGAAATAAGGAAATAAATAATAATAAGGATATAAATAATAATGAAATAAATAATAAGGAAATAATAATAAGGGTATAAATAATAATAAGGAAATAAATAATAAGGAAAAATAATAATGAAGAATAAATAATAAGGAATAATATTATAACGGAAGGTTTCAAATAATAAACAGAATATTAACAAGTGTATATACTTAATGTCAAGGTAAAGTATTCATTTTTTACCCAACAGGAAATGACTCTGCTCAAAATATTTATTTCATCTGCTTATTACAGTTTGCTTTTAGGCAAAAAACTATTAGTTTGAGTGAAAGGACATGATTTATACTACTGTCCTTGGTTACCCTGAAGATTTAAATGTTATGTCAACTTTTCAACATTCAAAGCAGAAAAAAATTCAAGGATCAAATTAATTTTTATTAAGGAGGATTAATGGTTGTTTTCAGCTCCAATGTCACCATCCACCTTAGCCAAACAATTAAAAATAGAGTCTGGGAAGGGCAGGGGAAGGGAGAGATCAGGATACACAATTATGGGTAGAGGAGAAGAGTAAGTTCTAGTGTTCTGTACCACTGTAGGATGACTATCGTTAACTACAGCACTATAGTTACCACTATACCACTATAGGGTGACTATAGTCAAATGGCTAGAAGGAGAATATTGCTGCTTCCAACATGAAGAAATGATAAATCTTTGGGATGTTGGATATGCTAATTACCCTGATCTGATCACTGTACATTACATGTATGAAAACATCCCTATGTATCCCATGAGTATGTGCAATAATTATTTGGCTGTTAATAAAATAAGTTTAAAAAAAACCCCAAAGTAAGAAGTACCCATATGTTAGCTTGTTGAAATATTACAACCGTGTTTTTGGCATTTCAAGTGACAGCTATGTACAAGTTTGTGCAAAGAAATGTTGCCCAGCTTCATGTTCTGGTAGAAGCCCTCAAATCTGTGATTTGGATGGACAGATGAGAATCTTATACAAGCCATGCAATAGGGCAAAGGAGGGGAGACATGGGACCCACTATATATGTGTGGTAGGCAGAATAACATTCTGATGTGCGTGTCCTAATCCCCAGACCTGCGAATATGTTACCCTCCGTGGAAAAGGGGACTTTGCAAACGTGATTAAGTTAAGGATCTTGAGATCAGGGAGACTATCCTGGTGGGCTCAGTGTAATCACCAAAATCCTTATCAGTGGGAGGCAACAAAGTCAAAATCGGAAGAGGGAAGTGTGATAACAGAAACAGTGGTTGCCGTGTTGTACTTTAAAGATGGAGGGAGGGGCCACGTGGAAGGAACGTGGGAGGAGGTACCTGGAAACTCATAAAGCCGGAAACAGATTATCCCCTGGAGCCTCCAGAAGGAATGCAGCCCTGCCCACACCTTGCTTTTAGCTCAGCAAGACCCATTTTAGACTTCGACCTCCAGAACACTAAGATGATAAACGTGTTGTTTTCAGCTATTAACTTGGGGGTGATTTGTTACAGCAGCAATAGGAAACGAATACCTATGTGACCCAAATTTCCTTTCTTCTTCTTCAAAGACTCCTAAGAGTTAATACGAAGTAGAAAGAGAAGTTGGAGTTAAGCAGCTCGTTCCAGTTCTGATTTTGCCATTTCCTGTCTGAGTGACCTGAGTAAGTTATTTAAACTTCTTTGGCCCTAACTGTCTTCATCAGGAAAAGAGGCTGTGGTAAGAGTTAAAGATGGTAAAATGACAAAATGCCCAACATAAGGCCTGGATGATTATCTTCAAGATAGACCTTCAAGAAAGGTTACTCCCATTCTCCACCAGCCTGCTGAAGGTTTATTGCATAAAAGTGGTCTACTTGGCAGTTTCTACCTTGTGTTAGAAGCCCCCGGAGCCTTCTGGGCAGATGCCCATCCTGGTCTCTCAGCCTTAGTCAAGGGTAGCTGAGACATGGTGTCCAAACCTGTAAGCTAAGAAGAGCTGAGCGATGCTCCCCGAGGTAGGATTTGTAGTCTTACCGTCATCTTGTATGTTCATAGCATACCTTGTGAACTTCTGGCCTTTCCTGTCGCACTTTGTCTGTGACCCAGGGATGGTACTATCTCACACCTGGTGGCACTGTGAAGAAGGTGAGAAGCCCAGGTGTTCACAGATGGGGCACGATTACACTTGGTAGCAGCTGCCTGGATTTTGCAGATTAAATCCTGAACTTGTGGGCTCCATGGCTCAGGTAGTGCAAGCCATTGCCTGTTTGTTGGTCCAGGTCCTGAGTAAGCCCTTATTTGTTAGCAAATAAGAGGACCACATTTCCAGGCATGGGCTCAGGTGGCCTGGAGAGGATGAATCACTTTATGAAGCTGTTTTCACTAGAGAATATGGAGCAATCCCAGATAGGCAGGATTTGGTTTTCAAAACACATTTGAAAAGATAACCCTTAAGAAATGAAGGTAGTTTCTTTGCTTATACTTGAAATCTCATAACCCAGGGTGAGGCACAAGAAGGACAAATCTTTGCTGGTAAGTTTATTCAGGTGGAACTGTTAAAGTTTGTCCCTTGCCGTTATGTGGATTTTGAAGAAAATTGGTCTTTGCCACATTGTTTCCTCCAGTTTTTATTTTTGCTTTGTTTTGTATAAATGTATGAGGTAGAAATGCAGTTTTGTTTCATGCATAGATTGTGTAGTGGTGAAGGCTTTTAGGGTGTTCATCACCCAAATAATGTACATCGTACCCATTAAGTAATTTCTCATCATCCACGCCACCCACTCTCTAATCTTAAAAAATTTGTCTTAGTCATTTTTAGAAGATTGGAAGAACAGAATTCAGTGCCGTAATCAATATGGATTACTACATCTGAGTGTCCTGAATCCACATCTTAAATCGAGTACACTCTACCCTCAACAATGTTAATTTGACCTGTATTTAATAATCTGTATAATTGCTGTTGCTCTGTATGGTAATTAGGCATAAATGGTAAGCAGTTTCTATAAATTCCTGTAATTGTTATTACTTGTGTTACTACCAAGCCTTATTTTTATGACTTTTTTGCTTCGAATTTCTTAGCTCAGGATGATGTATAAAGTGTCGTTATCACAGTTTAGATTAATTTAAGTTTCATCAAATACAGTGTAAATTCTGGTCCTCCAAGAAGCAGATGCCAGGATGTGCATCGATGTGCACAAGAAACACCTGTGAAGGATAAAGGGGAGGGGGCAGCGAGAGTCGTCAGACCCAGATGCAGCCTCACACCTGCAGAGGAGACGGGAACAAAGGAAGATTGGATAGGAAGGGTCCCAGACTCTAGAGCAGTTTCAAGAAAGCTTTGGCCAGGCCTCTGGGATGTCCTCGAGCCCAGGCACCTATTAGAGGAGCCCTGATTCTCACAGGAGTGGGCCTGCACTCACTCCCTGCTGTGCTTGGGGTTGATTGGGAGCAAATTGCTGGCAGCATGGCTTAGGTTTTGACATAGCCACAGCGGTGGACCCAGCAGGGCAGTGGCTGAGGTCGTCAGTCAACTCTGCCCCCCACAGCAGAAGAGCTGCATGGTGCATTTTCATGGCCACCCCACTCTTTCTCCACCCATACACACTGGCACATATTAAAAAGCAAGGATTTTTTGCTGTGCAGAAGCTCTTTAGTTTAATTCAGTCTCACCTATTTATCTTTGTTTTTGTTGCATTTGCTTTTGGGTCCTTGGTCATGAAGTCTTTGCCTAAGCCAATGTCTAGAAGGGTTTTTCTGATGTTATCTTCTAGAATTTTTATAGTTTCAGGTCTTAGATTTTAAGTGCTTGATCCATCTTGAGTTGATTTTTGTATAAGGTGAGAGATGAGGATAAGACTACAAATTGGGTGCAGTGTACACTGCTTGGGTGAAGGGTGCACCAAAATCTCAGAAATCACCACTAAGGAACTTACTCATGGAACCAAACACCACCTGTTTTCCAAAAACCTATGGAAATAAAAAAATTAACATAAAAATAATACACTTAAAAAAAAACAAAGCAAAGATCTGTGCAGCCAGCACCTGGGGCCATGTTTCCAGACTCCCTGTCCATTTTCCAAGACCTAAGGTGTTCTGGGTCACCCTTCAGGGGTTTCCTGCCAGAGTTCTTCCTGGGCTGTGTATTCTGCCTTTTTCTGTTGCCAGAGAAAAAGATGGGGCCCAGATTGCTGGTTCTGGAAGGATTTCTAGCACAAGGATCCAGTCTGCCTATGGATGAAAGGGGAGAGAGGCTGAGAGAGCACACTGGACTCTTGGGCCCTGGGAGCTGGGGATTGCAGAAGGGATTTGGTAGGCCCAGAGTCTGTGATGGGGATAAAAGCTGTGGTTGGAAGAGGCAGATGGACCACTTACCAGGACCAGACCACCAGCAGTCACAGAGGGTGGGCTTGTCATGCCTGGGGAATACAGGAAACTGGGAGAGAGACACCAGGTCCATCTCTTCTGATCTCTGCCCAGGCAACCTTATGTGACCAACGCATGCTCCTCTCAGGCAGCCCAAGTGTCCACTGTCATATCACCAGACCACTCCCCAGCTGCCAGCTGATGTCTAAACTCCTTTAACTGGTATAAAGCCTTTCATTCTACCATTTGGAAGTTTTAGAATAGTTCTCTAGTTTACTACATGAGGGTCTGTTGTCCAGTAGGTAGGTGTGTCTGTCCCCTCTATAGACTGGGAGCTCTTTTAGTGCAGAGACTATGTCTTTTTCCTCTTTCAGTTTCCTCACCTAAAAGATCCCTGGTACAAAGTCAATTCTCCATAAGTTTTTGTTGACTAGAATGGAAGCGAATAAATGCAGATGCTTCTGTGAGAGGTAGCATAGCAACCAAGATGAAATCCCGTAAAAGCAGATCAATAGGAGAGTGCAAAACTGTGGACATTCACGTGTCCTGAATTCACATCTCAACTGCAGCATACTCCGTCTATGGAAACATAGATGAATCTCTTAGTCTTTCTGCATTTAAATTTCCTTCATATAAAATGAGGCCAAGTACCCGCTCAGATAACTTCAGCATTCCTGCAAATATCAAATGATAAAGAAAGGACTTTGAAAATGTAAGAGTGTTGAATAAAGGTATATTATTTTTTATTGTTCTGTGAGGGCTTAGGGGTTAAAGGGAGCCAGTGCTTGGAGCCGATACAGGGAGAGGTTTTAAGGGATCCCCAACGTTACCTGGGCATGGAGGCATTTCAGGCCATACAGCAATGAAATTGCCAGTTGCAGGGAATTCTAGATTGTTTTTTAAAACTGTGACTGTACTATACAAAACATGAAGTAATCCATGGCTCACATCTCAATAAGCAATTCCCCTCGAGGCTGTTAGGCTTTCTATAAACAGAAATAAATTATATTCACTCAAGACATTGCCTTAATAGTAAAATCGTATAAACAACATAGCCACCCCTTTATTGTGGGTGAGTAGTGATTGACTGATGTAACCTACTCTTGTTTAGCCCTTTATGGCTTTCCAAATATCGTAATGTACATTACCATTTTGATTTCTCAAAATGCTTGTGGAAAAGGAAAAGAATAAAGAGTTTTCATGCCATCTCACCACTTATTAATTTAGAGCTCTTAAAGGAATTCTGCAACAAAAAATTGGATCGTGATTAAAAGTTTGAAGTCAGATAGACCTGGTTTAATCCCAGGCTTTGCATGTGCTAGCTGTGTGGCCATAGGTAAGTAAGTAACCTATCTTAGCCAAGTTTCTTATTCTTCAAAATAAAAGGTTTAACTATTGCTTAAGTGTTTTCTAGATAAATGCAATAGCCCCATATTGAGATTTCAAAGAGGGAAAAGGACTTTGAATGTGGGATGAGCCCCGAGAACTTCCCTATGTAGCGCTGACACTCAGATGAGCTGAAGTGAGGCATGTGGAATTCTCAGCGCAGAGATTGTCACGTACTAAGCATTCAATATTGGGCTTAGGAATCAGTCATTTACAAAGTGTTTTTGCATATTTCATTCAATCCTCCCAAAGACTCCATAAAGCTTCCCTTTACAAATGAAGAAACTAAAGCCCAGGGAATTCATGACTCACCAGTTACAAGGCCAGTCAAATGTCGGAGGCCCTGTCCGCGATGAGCACTGCCTGTCTGAGTCAGGGAAACTTGCCACCGCCAGTGGTTATTAAGAAAAGTGGGAGGGACCCAGCAATGTGGATTACCACTAAAGAGCGAGAAGATGCAGTCTGCTGCCGTAGCATGAGTAGAGTCAAATGGCAAAGACCTTAGTTTCTGTTTTCTCTTTTCTTCAGCTTCAGTGAAAAGATCTATGAACTGAGAGTATTTCTAAGATCTCTGTAAATTTCCCAAAACCCTGATAGTTGGTAATTTGAGGCAGGCATGAGTATCAGGATTAGAAATTAGAGAAAACAAATCCTGTTGCTTAGATGATATTTTGAGTACCATTTAAGCATATTTATTTCCCATTATAGAAGTTATATTATTATATTACCAAAAATTTGAAAAATGATATAGGACCTATAATATTGGTGACAATACAGGTGATTCCATTTTCCTGGCACAATTTCTATTATCCTCTCAAAACATTTGAGATTCCTTCACCCTACCCTCCTTGTCTTTTAGTGGGTGTGATCCTACCATTGTTTTAAACCCAGCGTTATACTCTGGAAGGTGTTTTTGTATAGCAGTGACAGAGGATTCTCTTTGTTGGTTTGGAGGAGCTTGAAGTTTATGTTAACATATGTGCAAATGTGCAAATATACAGGGCAAGGTAATTCAGATGTGGGAGGCTTCATGGTACCACCAGAAAATGGGCATCAGGGGCGGCTGGGAGGTGAGGAGTCATGAAAAGGAGGTGCCTCTGGAGTTCGGTTCGGGATCACTTTCAAAGGCAGGCACAAACCCCATCCACATGGGCGATAACGTGGTGACATGAGAAGCCATGAGCCCTGAATACAAGATAAGATCGGTATGAGAGGTTAAGAGAAAGAATATGGAAGAAAAGAAATTATAGAATTTACTCTGCTTCTTGAAAGCAAAGAAAATACAAAATAATATTTTAAGTCAATGAAAGCCATGGAAGATAGGGAATACATGGTTAGGAAGGAATGAATGCAGGCATGGTCATTTGTTCACTCACTCACTCATTCATTCATCTATCCAGAAAGAATTTTTGAATACCTGCTATATATTTAGCATGTCCCCAGAGTCTTCTTTTTTGGGAGTAAATGATGGCGCAGTCTCCAATGGTAGGAGAGGTATCTAGGTGAGGAGGCAATACAAACCCACTCAGTGATTGGGGGAAGCTTAAACAGCAACCTGTGCACAAATTCAAGAAAGCCTGGAGTCATCTTTGCTGGGAGCCATGAAGAGAAATGATGGATGACAGGCAGGAAGGTGTGAATTTCAAATGTGCTGACAGTTGGCCGAAGGTGTCTGTGTGTGGAGTTCATGTCAACTGCATGCTCAGCAAAACATCTTATTGTCAATGGCCCTGGGAAAATGGTCTCTTGTTAGCATCTTTCAATGACAACTACATGAAGGAGTCACTTGAATTTTTCCCTTGTCTAGATGTAGTGACTTGTGACCTAAGGAGTGCTAGTGAGTAGACAGTTATGGCAAACCTAGTTTCACCAAAGGAAGAATCCTCATTCTTTGCCCTAAAAGCTTGCTAGTTATGATGGAATGAATGAATGTAACACTAGCAGAATGCCGGAAGTCTTTAAGATGCCTGGACTGCAGGACCAGAAGCTCAGAATTCTGGGGGTCATAAACGTTTGACTTCTTCAGCGGAGATGGTTACATATGTTTTATTCATAAGACCCGTTGTCCACATTAGGTTATGGTGTTGAGAAGGGTCAACAAGCCTAGAAATATGTATTGTTCAATTCAGTAAATACCTATTGAATTGAATCAAGGCAGAATAGAAGTGTTTCCAGGTGCCTTGTCTTCTCCAAATGACTTTTTTTGTGTGCCTAGTAAGAGAATACTTGAGTTGACATCATGCCAAGTTTCAACCGTTGGTCATATATTTTCTAGATAAATGACTCTCGCTCCCCCTTTGGATTTCAGAGAGGAAAGACTCTCAAATTTGGGATGGGGCCCCAAGGACCTTCTTAAGTAGCGTTGACAAGTCTCCAGATGGGTTAAGGATATTCCTGATGTTAGGCACTGAGAAGTCTAGCCCCACAGTGTGCGCACACACTACCAAATCTTAGAAGACCATTTGTTAACAATATATTTTCATTATATTTTTAAGATTCTTCTTGGGTGGCCAGAATTTTAGCCATCAGCTGTAGGCTGGGATTGGGTGATAAAAACTCCATGCCTTCAATATTAAAACAGAGATTGGAGTCAAAAGAGGATCCATTCATCCTAGTCCCATTCCCTCCCCCTACTCCCTACTCACATGTTTTTATTGCACTCATGATCGCTAGTACTATTTACATTTTAAAGGCCAGTGGGATTTGAAGGCCTGTGCCTATCCATATTCTATATATTGGTACTGGGAGCTTATGTTAGATTTGAATTTTCTTACAAATAAGGCCAGCTGTCTCTGGGTCTGTAATGCTCTTTTAGGATCTTGGGGAAAAAAGGAGCCAGGCTGATATGAAGATTACTCAGCTCCCTTCCCCACCCACAGACATCTCTACCCATTCACTGAATGATTTGCAAGTGAGCTATGAAGAGAACTTCCCCGCCAGAGGTCTTAAACTATACATAAGGATATTTTGCAAGAGCAGCAGAACAGAAACAAGTTCAAAAGGACAGAGGAAAAATGCTCCAAATCTGTGGCAAACAGGATTTCACTGAAATTTACAGGATTCTTTGGATATGCCTTTGATTCATGCACTTATTTCCCAACACTTTGAAACTATTTCAAGTAGTATTAAAATAAATAAAAACTTTTCTCTGTAATGAAAAATTTAAAATGTCTACTTTTATAGACAAATTGAAAAATGACTATTGCTTAAGTTTGTTTTCTTAAGCTGAGTGTTTTTTTAATTGGGGGGATGGTTATAAGAAACTACATTCTCTCTTTCGCTCAACAATAAATGAAAAACACACTTTGTGATTTAGCCAAAGGAAGTTAAAGATGAATCTTTAGGGAGAGGAAGTCATGCAACTGTTATCATGTTAATCTTCCACTGTAAGAGTGGGGCTAAGAGCCAGATTTGCTGTTTATAGCAAATGAACAGAACTTGAATGGTTAAAGAAATCCTCCAGTTCTCAGATCTGGTGCCTGTAAGCCAGCTTGACATGTTTTCTAGTGTCCTTCTCCTTCACACATACTAAATACTTGAAGTGACTAGAGATGAAAGTTGGGTTATTAGATATGAAATGCCTCCTCATTTATTCCTCTTCAGTAAATGTCTCTGTGTAATCATGACCATAAGCCACCACGAAATTGCATTTCTATGTTAGTTTTACTGGACAATTCTCTCTTCTTAGTCTCTGCCTCAATTTTCTAATCTATTAATGGGAACAATGAAAGGCAAATGGAAGGGGGCATGTGATGACTTTAGTTTGGCATGGAAGCAGGGATGTGGATTAAGTGGTAGGAAAGACCTTTCCCATTTTCTATTTAATTCTAAGCTTCGTTATTTGTTTGAGTGTCTTTGAAATTCCTCTTTCATTGGGTCTCAGTTTCTTTCTTTGAGTTGAGTTCAATACCTTAGCTTAGTGATGATAATGTAAGAATACTTTTTTAATGGTTGAATTATCCTAAGATGAAAGGCATGATTAATAAAGAAGAGAGTAATTTGGGGGAACACTAAGAGAGATGATGGCATATTGGAAGAAAGTAGTCTGGGAGGCTAGCATTCTAGTTTCTACTAGTAACTTGCAGTGAGTTTTCAGTAGATCTCTCAATGGCTCCAAATTGGTTTTCTCAAAGTGACATGATAAAGTTATAGCAAATGACCTCTAAGAGCCTTGAAAGATTCAATTGAATTGGCATTATTCTGCCTTCCAGCTCTTGGTTCACCATAATTTTGTTTTTTGATTCATTCAGCAGATGTCCACTAAATGTGTACCATGTGTCAGGCCTGTTCTAGTAGGTAGAGATTCTGCAGTGAACAAAACTGACAAAGGTCATCTCCTATGGAGCTTACAGTCTAGTGTGCATAGATAATCAGTATAGAAACAAATGTATATGTCAGTGGCAAGAGATGTTATGGAGAAAACAAAGCACTGTATTTGAATAGGGGCTGGCAGTGATGGGGAAGGCAGAACTCTCCTATTTAGGGTGGTCAGGGAAGGTCTCTTTCATAAGGTACCATTTGGACAGGGTCTTTAAGGAAGTGAGGAGTCAGGGCCTGCAGATACCTGGGAGAAGAAAAATCTAGGTGAAAGGAATAGCAGGTACAAAAGTCCTAAGATGGGAATATGCTATATTTGTTCAAGGATTAGCAAAGATGACGGTGGCAGGATCTGAGTGAGTAATAAGAGTGACAGAAGATGAGCTTAGAGAAATGTGGTGGGCCAGGGCAGATTGGGGCAGTCATAGAAAGACTTCCAGCTGTTTCTGTGAGTGAGAAGGGAAGCCACTGGAGGGCTTGGAGCAGAGGGGTGACATGACTTGATGTGCTTTTAAAAGCATCACTCAGCAGCTGTGTTGAGGACAGACTAGTGAAGGAAAGGCAAAAACAGTGAGACCAGTTGGGAGGCTCTACCAGCAATGACAACTGGGGTCAGGGTGGGAGTGATACAGTTGATGGAGGTGATGAGAAGTGACTGAACCTTGGATATATTTTGAAAGTAGAGTCAACAGGATTTACTGATAGATTGAAATGCAGTGAGAGAGAGAGAAAGAAATGTCAGGGATGATGCCAGTGTTTTGTGTTGGGCAACTGGAAGATTGGGCTAGCTATTTTTTTGAGAGGCAGAAGACTGCAGAAGGAGCAGGTTTTGGATGGAAGGAAAATCAAGAGTTCATTTTCAGGCATGTTAAGTTTGAGATGTCTGTTAGGCATCCAGGTGGAGATGTCAAGATGTTAGTTTGTCAAATCTGGAGTTCAGGAGAACACTTCAGGCTGGATGTATACAATTTCAGAATTGTCATTGTATTGATTTAATTTAAAGCCACGGACTAGATGAGAACACCTAGATCCTAGGCCAGTCGTTCTTAACCTTGGCTATGTATTGGAATCATCATGAGAGCTTAAAAAATGCATGGATGACTGGCCCTCATCCTAGACCAATTAGATTGTAACTCTGGGGGAGGGAGGGTCAGTTCCAGGCACTGGAAATTTTAAAAGCTCTCCAAGTCAGTCTAAGATAAACCAGGGTTGAAAATCACTGACCTACAGAGTGAGTGTGAATGGAGAAAGGAAGAGTCCTGCTTCCTGCTTCCTGCTCCCTGCAGTGTTTAGAGATCAGGAAGTTGGGAGGAACCAGCAAAGGAGACTGAGTAGGAGCCAGCAGTGAGGTAGCAGGAGAGTGCTGCATTGCAGCAGTGAGGTAGCAGGACAGTGTTGTGTCCCAGAAGTCCAATGAAGAAACTGTTTTGAGAAGGTGTGAGTGATTGTTAGTGTAAAATATTGCTCAGAGATTAAGCTATGGCATGGGAAGAGATCACTAGGTTAGGTAATGTGGAGGTCACTGGTGACCTTGACAGGAGCAGTTTTGATGGCATGGGAGTGAAGCCTGCTCCTATTGTTTTAGAGAGAATGGGAGGAGTGGAATTGGAAACAGGGAATAGGGGTACAGACAAATGAGGTAGGAGTGGGTTTGGGAGGCTGAAGAGACAAGGGAAAGTGATATAGTTTCGGTGTTTGTCCCCTCCAAATCTCATGTCTAAATGTAATCTTCAATGTTGGAGGTAGGGCCTGGTGGGGTGTTTGGGTCATAGGGATGGATCCTTCATGAATAGCTTGGTGCCCTCCTCCTGTTAATGAGTGAGTTCTTGCTCTGAGTTCATGTGAGATTTGGTTGTGTAACAGAGTGTGGCACCTACCCACTGCTTGCTCTCTCTTTTTCCATGTGATATGCCAGCTTCCCTCTCTGCCTCCAGCCATGACTGTAAGTTTCCTGAGGCCCTCACCAGAAGCCGAGCAGATGTTGGTGCCATGCTTATACAGCCTGAAGAACTGTGAGCTGATTAAATTTATTTTCTTTATAAATTACCCAGCCTCAGGTGTTTCTTTTGTTTTGAAACAGAGTCTCGTTCTGTCACCCAGGCTGGAGTACAGTGGCGCAATCTTGGCTCACTGCAACCTCCACCTCCCACATTCAAGCGATTCTCCTGTCTCATACCCCCAAGTAGCTGGGATTACAGTGTGCACCACCACACCTGGCTAAATTTTGTAATTTTAGTAGAGACAGGGTTTTGCTATGTTGGCCAGGCTGGTCTTAAACTTCTGACCTGAAGTGATCTGCCTGCCTCAGCCTCCCAAAGTGCTGGGAGTACACGAATGATCCACTGTGCCCAGCTAGGTATTTCTTTACAGCAACGCAAATGGCCTAACACGAAAAATTGGTACTGAGGTATGGGGTGTTGCTATAACAATACCTGAAAATGTGGAAGTGGGTTCATAACTGGGTAACAGGCAGAGCCTGGAAGATTTTGAAGGGGTCATCAGAAGACAGGAAGATGAGGGAAGGTTTGGAACTTCTTAGAGACTGATTAAATGGTTGTGACTAAAATGCTGATAGAAATATGGATGGTGAAGGCCGGGCTGACATGGTCTCAGATGGAAAGGAGGAATTTATAGGAACTGGAGCAAAGGTTACTCATATTATGCCCTAGCAAAGAACCTGGCTGCATAGTGTCCATGCTAGGGCTTTGTGGAAGTTTGAACTTGAGAGCAATGACCTAGGGTATCTGGTGGAGAAAATTTCTAAGCAGCAAAGTGTTCAAGAGGTGGTTTGGCTGCTGCTAACAACCTACAATCAAACATTGGAGCAAAGGAATGACTTAGAGTTGGAATTTATAATTACAAGGGAAGCACAGCATAGTTTGGAAAATTTGCAGCCTGGCCCTTTGGTAGAGAAGAAATTCGAGGGGCTATGGAACAACCACTTGCTAGAGACATTAACGTGACTGAAAGGGGGCCAGGTGTAAATAACCAAGAAAATGGGAAAAAGGCCTTGAAGGTTGTTCAGAGATCTTCAAGGCAGCCCCCTTACATCACAGGCTCAGAGGCCTAGGAGGAAAGAATGTTTTTGGGGGCCAGGCCTGGGGCCCAGCTGCCCTGTGCAGCTTTGAGGCATTGCTTCCTGCATCCCCACTGCTCTGGCTCCAACTGTGGCTCAGAGGGTCCCAAATCAGTTCCAGCCACTGCTTTGGAGAGCACAAGCTGCCATAAGCCCTTGGCATCTTCCATGTGGTATTAAGTCTGCAGGCACATGGAATGCAAGAGTGAAGGAGGCTTGGCAGCTTCCACCTAGATTTCAGAGGATGAATGGGAAAGCTTGGGTGCCTAAGCAGAAGTTTGCTGCAGGGGCAGAATTTACACAAAGAGATTACTAGGGCAGTGCTGAGAGGAAATGTGGAGTTGGAACCTCCACACAGAGTTCCCCCCAGGGCACTGCCTACTGGAGCTGTGGAAAGGGGGCTGCAGCCCTCCAGGCCCCAGGATGGTAAAGCCACTGGCAACTTGTACCCTGAGCCTGGAAAAGCTCCAGGCATCAGACTGTAACCAATGAGAGTAACCATGGGGGCTGTACCCTGCAAAATCACAGGGGCTGAGCTGCCCAAGGCCTTGGGAGCCCACCACTTGTACTTCAATATCCACCCAGGGATATGGAAGGGAGACATGGAGTCAAAGGAGATTATTTTGGAACTTTAAGATTTAATGACTGTGCTGCTGGGTTTCAGACTTGCGTGGGGCCTGTTGCCCCTTTCTTTTGGCCAATGTCTCCCTTTTGGAATGGGAATGTTTACCCAATGCCTGTATCACCATTATATCTTGGAAGTAAATAACTTGTTCTTGATTTTACAGGTTCATAGGTGGAAAGAAGTTGTCTTTAGTCTCAAAGGAGACTTTGGACTTTTGAGTGGATGCTGGGATGAGTTAAGATATTGAGAGACTATTGGGAAGTGATGACTGTATTTTGCAGTGTGAGAAGAACATGAGATTTGGGGGACCAGGGTTGGAATGATGAAGTTTGGATGTTTGTCCCCTCCAAATCGCATGTTGCAGTATAATCCCCAATGTTGGAGGTGGGGCCTGGTTGCAGTTGTTCGGGTCATGGGTGGCAGATCCCTCATGAATGGATTGGTCCCTCAAGGTAATGAGTGAGTTCTTGCTCTGAGTTGATGCAAGATCTGATTGTTTAAAACATGGGTCCCCAACCCGTGGGCCAGGGACTAGTACCAATCCATGGCCTGTTAGGAACCAGGTTGCACAGCAGGAGGTGAGCGGTGGGCAAGCAAGTGAAGCTTCATCTGTATTTACAGCCACTCCCCATCACCTGTGTTATAGCCTGAGCTCCACCTCCTGTCAGATCAGCAGGGGCATTAGATGCTCTCTATCGTGAACTGTGCAGTGAAGGATCTAGGTTGCATGCTCCTTATGAGAATCTAATGCCTGATGATCTGTCACTGTCTCCCATCACCCCCAGATGGGACTGTCTAGTTGCAGGAAAACAAGCTCTGGGCACCCACTGAGTCTACATTATGATGAATTGTATAATTATGTCATTATATATTACAATGTAATAATAGAAATAAGGTGCACAATACATGTAATATACCTGAGTAATTCCAAAACCATCCCCCGACCCTGGTCTTTGGAAAAATTGTCTTCCATGAAACTGGTCTCTGGTGCCAATAAGGTTGGGAACCACTGGTTTAAAAGAATGTGGCACCTCTCCTGCCTTGCTCCCTCTTTTGCCATGTGATACACTATCTTCCCCCTTTGCCTTCTGCCACGATCATAAGCTTGCCGAAGCCCTCACCAGAAGCCAAGCAAAGGTTGGTGTCATGCTTACGTAGCCTGCAGAAATGAGAGCTGATTAAAGCCTTTATCTTTATAAATTACCCAGCCTCAGGTATTTCTTCATAGCACCACAAATAGCCTAACATAGCTTTTTAAGATGAGAGATGTTATTTTTGAATGGTGACCATCAGAGAAAGAAAAACCGATGATGCAGGAGAGAGGTGACAATGGCAAGAGTAGATTCCCTGAGAAGTCCTGAGGAAGTGAGATCCAGGGCACAAGTGAGATCCAGTGCACGGTGAGGGGGTTGGTGTTAGATTGGTTCATCCTCTTTGGCAGCAAAGAACATAGACTATGTGGGCACAAATGTGGATAAACTGGTGGATTTGGCAATAGGAGTGTGTGGAAGTTCTTTTTATTCCATGTGTTTGGACTTCTGTACTTGGAGATTTGGAACATGCTAGATTAGTAGGCCACATAGAGCCTTGAGAATATGATGCTTGTAGCCTCTGGAGGTATACAAATAGCCATGTTAGAGAAACAGAAAGTGAAAAGGTGCTACAGTAATATAACCTACCATCACAGAATTATTTGAAAACAGGTTTTAACTCCGGGTGTGGTGGCTCACACCTGTAATTGCAGCACTTTGGGAGGCCGAGGCAGGTGGATCACTTGAGGCCAGGAGTTTGAGACCAGCCTGGCCAACATGGCAAAACCCCGTCTCTACTAAAAGTACAAAATTAAGCTGGGTGTGATGACACATGCCTGTAATTCCAGCTATTCAGGAGGCTGAGGCAGGATAATTGCTTGAACCCAGGAGGCAGAGGTTGCAGTGAGTTGAGATCATGCCACTGCACTCCAGCCTGGGTGACAAGAGCGAAACTCTGTCTCAAAAAAAACCCCAAAAAACACAACAAAACAGGTTTTAGAAGAACCACCATTAAAGGGGAAATGTTTTTAAGCATGTTGTTAAATGAAAAAAGTATGTTTCCCAATGTTATGTATACCAATGGTATACTATTGTATGTTCCAAATTTAAAAATGCATATGTGTATTTACATGTAGAAAAGATAGCAAAATGTTTTCTGTTCCATCTGGATAGTGTGACTCTTGGTAACTTTTCTTCTTTGTGTTTTTCAATATATTAACTTTATAAAATACGTGTGTATTTAGAAAAAATAAATTATATAAAATAGGTTATTTTCAAAGCAAAAATACAAAAATAGAATTATTTTTTCCACTGCAGAGTTGTTCACAATGGAAGTATAAAATTAAAGAATATGACCTTATGGATTTACAATGACTTTATGCCTGGAAGAAAATCTACCCATAGATTCTGGCTTGGCTTATTCATGGAAAATATTTGATGACTAAAGTAGGACCGAGCTCAGTTACCTGTCATCTCAGAGAGGAATTACAACCAAATCTGCCATAAATCAAACTCTGAATCGTAACTGGGGATTGAATTTTTTGTTTGTTTGTTGATATAAAATGTTTGGTGTAGTTGTTACCTTAGCCAGCCAAGGGCATGTTTCCACTTCCTCTTATTACTATGGATTTCAGATTTTATTTTTATTTTTTGAGACACGGTCTTGCTCTGTCGCCCAGGCTAGAGTGCAGTGGCACTACCTCAGCTCACTGCAACCTTCAGCTCCCTGCAACCTCTGCCTCCACGGCTCAAAGGATCCTCCTCCCTCAGCCTTTCAAGTAGCTGGGACTACAGGCATGTGCCACCATCCCCGGCTAATGAGATTTTTTCTGATGTTCTCTCTCCTATGTTCACTTTAGCACTGATTATGACATTGCTTCTGGACTAATTAGGCCACCACAAATAAGAGACTGAGTCTCTCAATTTCATCATCTTTGTTAGTAAAATGGGGCTCACACTCTGAACTGACCTCTCAAGGTTATGTTATGAAGCAAGAGTAGATGTATCAGTCATTGTGGCTCACTGGTTTTTAGGTGTCATTGGTCTTTGGTGACCTAATGCTTGTAAACAATGAACAGTTCTGCCCAGGATAGGATCTAATTGATTCTATAATAGAACGCAAATAAAGTACAAGAGTGTGAAATAGACATGAGAAAGTTTGGAGGACAATATGGAAAGAGAAACCTTTGGAGAACTGACTGGGGAAAAAGTACTTACAGTGGATAAAGTATGACTATTTGGCCGGCACAGGGTAAAGACAGAGAAGGAAGAATAATGGTGACCTCCAATAAAATGAATTATGTTCTCCCTTGTCCCTTCTGTGGGATCAGAAAAGGTTATAGACCTAGTATCACACACTTAAACATTTTAAGTAAGCAGTCAAGTGATGGCATGGGGCCATGGATCCTTCAAAGATGGCACCTGTAATAAATCATAGGCCAATGGTGTGGAGACTGACTGCAGCCAGTAGTGAGGCAGCACTTTATGGATGACATCAAACGGGACAGCAGGGCAATGCTAAGGCCTGACTCAAGAGCCAGCATGCTCCTCCAAGGAAGGGTGCAAGTTCAACTTTGGTTTCTCTCATAGAGTTAACTTAGAAAATTCGGTGCAAATGTAATATTGGACACATAGGTACTATGTAATATATCCCATCAGCTATATGCACATACTTTATAATAGATTCTGTAAGGTTAGAGGGCTGAGCAAAAGGGAAGATTTGGAGATATTGCTATCTTGAGATAAATATTAGTGAATAAAAGGGCTCGGGAGTAGTGAGCTCTGCAGTGCATGCAGTCATCAAAGTTGATTGTGGTGTGTGGCTGCCAGCAGACCTCTCACACTAGCAGGTGCCAGGCACGGAGTGCACCGCTCCCTCAGACATTGACCCCGTGTTAGGGAATATGCTGACGTGTTCTGTTTACTCTAGGAACGAACAGGGAGGCTAATGCTCCACTACTCGAGGAGCAGCCCACGTACCATAAAGGTTTTATAGCTGTTCAAGATAGACTTCAGGTTCATTCTTTCCAGATTCATTCACAGGGAGGGAGGAGGAAAGGGAGGGGATGGTAACAGTAGAGCAATGTTTAACTCAACAGATTCCAATGTCTCAGTGGTGAAGATGATCAAACCCCCTACCTCCCCACCCTGTTGGCTCCACAAACAGAAAACGTCAAGAGTGGGCAACCTGCCAGATGTTCCAGCCAGCGGCTGAATTGAAACAGACCTGCCCTGGGAAGGGAGGGAAAGAAGCACAGCCAAGGAAATTTAAGAAGGAAAAAATGGCAAACTACCCCAAACCTTTGCTGCTGACCCATCTAAGTGTTGGTTAATGTGCAAATTCGAATAGAACTGAAATGTTATTGTTATTTGTATTATTGTAATTCTGTTAGCAAAAATTTTATTATGTGTCAGACACCAGGCTAAGCATTTAAATGCACTTTATCATCTGTTCCCCTCTACTCTGTGAGCTAGGTTCTATTATTGTGCCCATTTTATAGAAGAGGAAACTGAGGTTGAATAATGTGCTATTTAGTGGAGGAGGTGGGATTTGAAGGAAGGTCTGTTATGTGTGAATAAAACTTTATGAGTGTGGTATCAGGGAACAATGTCACACTGAAGTTGTTTTAAGCTGCAGATCTTCAGGATGGAAAGAAGCCAATCCTTTGCTACTGTGTACTTTGCAAAAATTATTTTATGTTTTCCTACAGAGTAGATAATAAGTTTCCTGTTTTAAAGTGGAATCACGAATGAAATTTAGGTTTGCCTGATCCCATAGTTTCCCTGTTTCATGTGACCTGACTGGGAAGAAGTGGAGGTGGAAGGAAATCTCCATTTTTGGTAAAAATGCTGGCGTGATGCATGCCAGAGAGCGGTCCCATTCCCAGATAGTTCAAATTTACATGGTAAGCAGGACTTTCAAATCCCTCCCCATCATTACTGATGAGAAATACTGCTTGATTTGAGGTTCACTTTTCAATTTGAATTTGAAGTTCAGTTTTCTTGATGCTGCTATTAAGCAATAAAAATCATACCTAGAAAAGAAAGAATACAAAGCCTCTTTTTAATTTGTTATTTGTTTTACAGTTTACAAAGCACTTCCTTAATGTAGCAATGGCTCTGCCTGTCCCCTTTGATAATTCTGACTCCATTTTTGTTCAATGAGGAAAGCCAAAGCCAATTCATAAATGTTTATCTCATTGTAATTATAGCAGCCACTACCATTATCAGGGGCTTTAACGCCCTGCACAGCACCCCATGGAGTGGACAGCTTCTTCTGACCAGCAAGGAAATTGAGCTTCAGAGTGTTTCAGTGGCTTGCCAAGGGCATAAAGCTAATAAGTGAAAAAGCCAGGACTCATCAAGCTTGACCGGTGTTCTTTCTCCTACATTACACCAGTTTTCCCCTGGAGGGCCAAAGCAAGAAGGCTGGATAAGGAGCCTCTTGATAAATGAGAGTTGGCTGGAGAAGGGAGGCCCTTAAGGATCACACTGCTCTCCTTCCCAGCTTTTACATATATTGAGAGAGCAAGTGACATGTTTACATTAGTTCTTTCAACAAATTCTTATTTGAATATTGAAAACATTTCCCCCCAGTTTCTAATTCTTGGGTCCTACTGACTGGTTTCCCTGCAGACATGTTTCAGTAACAAAAAGTGAAGGAAATGTGGCAAATTAGAGAAGAGAGAAGAAATAAAAAGACAGCAAGCAAATTCATATAAGCAAGTGAATTACAGTGAAGAGTCTAGAGAAAGGAATTACATTTATACTTTACACAGGGCAAAAACCTGGGCTCAGAGAGATGAGAGAACTTACCAAGTGAATGAAATACAGGTAAGTGTTCTTTTGGGCACTTGACATCCTTAGTTACCCTCAATATAGCTTCTAAACAAGAATCCAAGGTTCCAGCCATTTAAATGTGTACTTGGGAATAAAGTTTACAAATTCCAATGAACTTTCATTGTCCTTGTCCCTCTCTAACGACATACATCTTAATGACTTATATACCTCCCTGACCCTGAAGTCACTGCTCCTCCATTCCCTATAGCTGGAAATACTTCACCTTTTCATGTAAGATCAGTGCCATTCCAGATGCTTAGACCAGTTAGGATTTTGATAAAAGCAAATAAATAAGATAACTCCTTGATTCATGGGTCCACATTGCCTTGTGGGTGGTTCCTCTAGTGTTTGCTTGACTTCTGGATATTAAAACCAAGTTCTCTCCCTGTTCCTCATTTCACCAGGTCCTCTAACTGACCCATTTATTGCCTTTTGTTAAATGCTGACTTTTCAAAATAACACCAAAAACAAAAAACTGAGTTTATTCTTGTTGCAGTAAAAGAGCATGACTTGGACAGAGTCTTAGTAGTGTCTTAAAGTGGAGAGGGCAAAGTCAGGATCTGACTGCAGTCAAGGATTACACAAAGGTGTAAAGACCTAGAAAATGTGGATCATGGGTGGCCAAATTGGAGTTCCTCAGTATACCAAGGAAAATGAATGGTCTTGTTACTAGAGCAATAGGTTGGGATTCCCTAAGTCGGTAACACAATATCAAGTAAGTTTTTAAATTTGCAATTATTAGAGCCATCTTTCTCCTGCAAGGAAAGGGCTCCACCCCTCCCAAGAATAAGCAAGCAATAAGTAGGACACATAACAAATCCACTGCCAGAACAGATGTATGAAATCCATTTGGAGCTATTCAAAGGGGCTCTAAGCATTGGCCCTAAGATTAACTGTTGTTAATCTCTTACTGTGCCTAATTTGTAATTTAAATTTCATCATATGTATGTATGTATAGGAAAAAACATAGTATATATATAGGGTTTGGTGGTATCCAAGGTGTCAGGCATCCACTGGGATCTTGGAACATATCCCCTACAGATAAAGGAGGACTACTCTACTGGGGAATAGTAAAGTTATGTTAATATAGCCAGTGATCCGTGGGGATTTAGATGATTTTGCTTCTAGAGTCCCACTGGTAGTCAATGTTCAGCCTGAGCTGGGCATTTGATTAGTCTGGAGGTGGATGTTTCAACCACCACAATTATCAGGTTTTCTGTTCTTTTTGAGGGATGATTTGATGGAAATCACAAGTAAGATCCCTGGCCTGGTGATCTGATAGTGGTTATACAACAGCATTTAAGACCCTGGACATCACGCCTCTAAACGCTGTAATGCAGATTAGAATTCATCATCCTTTTCTCAGCTAGGAGCCTAGTGTGGCCAAGTTAAACCAAGAGAATGGATTCTATCCCCAGTCCGAAGAGCACACAGAACCAGGAATGGGGAATTAGCCAGATGGTCTAAATTTATGCTTCTTTATTTGCTCTCTAGTCATTTTAGATAATATTAAAAATTATGAGAGGTCTGGAAGGATGTAAGCACAACATTCTTCCCCTAAATAGTACTGTGTCCTTTCAGAAAGTCAATATTGTGTCTAAAGTGGCTCTATTCTGATTTACCATCTGTCCAATTTTATGATCCTTCTAGGCAAGGAGTCCCATGGCCATGGTGGCATTGTATAACTCTTTTGCATTCTCTGAACCATGGCATCCAGGATTCTCCCTGTTTTTTGAGCCTTTCAGAAAAATATAAAGTGAAGGAGCATGAGGAAAGAAGAAAATTCAAAATTCCCCCTTAAGAGTTAGGGCTTTGGTTCTGAAATCATGGCTGAGTTTTCTTCCTAAAATCTGTGACCTAACGACCATTCCTAGAGGGTAAATTGATGGGCAAAAATGGATCCTAGGTAATCTCACTATCTTCAAAACATGCATCTATTTACCAAGGTACCAAAACCCTGTCCAATTCGTAGGTAGCAGTCTGAGGCTTTTATGCTGAAAATTCTATACCAGTCATTGGGAATCACTTATGAACTATCTTTGGCCTAAACAGCACCATAGGATTGAAAAATTGCATTGTAGCATTTTAGCACTACTCATCAAGAATGATACAGTGCCAGGCAATGAAATTTGGAATACTGAGAGAGTTGGTAGCTCTAAAGCAAAAGTGAAGTAGCGTGTCTTACCTGCGTCATCAGTGAAAGTGGTTCAGCCTCCAAGAATATTGCATCTCTTTCCTAGTTCTCTTCCAAGTTCTATTTATTTGAAAGTTCATTTACAAAAGCTCCAGGCTTCAGGTCATAGAAGTGCTATTTAGGATGATGTTGAGGAAAGGCTGCTCATACCTATTAATCATAATACTGGGGGTACTGCATGAGTTCCCTGGGATATTTGGCTTGTCGGTTTGTGATAGCATGGAATCTAGAATCAGAGATGATAATCCTAGATGCATGGGCTGACCAGTTACTGATTCATAAGGGGAGAGTTGATAACCCCCAGGAGGAATTGATCTCACTGTCATTAAAGCCAATGGCAATATCTTAGGTGATGAAAGATTGAGAATCTATGAAAAATTTGCTAATTTGTGTTTTAAAATTCGATCTGCCCTTTCTTCCTTTCTTGATGATTGGGGCTGATATTGATAGTAGAGTTTCTGAGTAAGTGAGAATACTCTGCAAAGCTTTTAAATAATAGTCACAGTGTATAAGTTTTCTTGCTGCACAAGTCACCAGAAACCTAGTGACTTAAAAGCACCTGCATTTATTCTTGCTGTTTCCATGGGTCAGTAGCCTAAGCATGGCTTGCGTTGTCCTATGCTCAGGGTTTCTTAAGGCTGAAATGAAGGTGTTGTCCCAGTTGCATTCTCATGTAAGGGCTCTATTAAGGGAGAACCTGTTTCTTAGCTCACACCATTTATTGGAAGAATTCATTTCCTTGTGGTTGTAAGACTGAAGGCTCCAGCTTCTTGCTAGCTGTTGGCTGGAGGCCACCCTTGGCTGCTATTAGTTGCCTGCAGATCCTAGATGCAGCCTCAGTTCCTTACCTCAGGGGCTTTCCTGAAATGAGTGCTTCATGAAGCCAGGAAAGAGTCTTCAGAGTGTCTTCTAGCAAGACAAGTAATTTATAAAACTAACATAAGCACGGGAGCAATAGCCCATCACCTTTGGCATACTGTGTTAGTTAGAAGCAAGTCACAGGTCCTGACTGCAGTCAAGGATCACACAGAGGCATAAAGACCAACAAATGTGGATCCTGGGTGGCCAAATTGGAGTCTGTCCAATATACCAAGGAAGATGAATGGTCTTGTTACTAGAGCAATAGTTTGGAATTCCCTAAGTTGGTAATACAATATCAAGTAAGTTTTTAAATTTGCAATTATTAGAGCCATGTTTCTCCAGCAAGGAAAGGGCTCAACTCATCCCAAGAATAAGCAAATAATAAGTAGGACACATTACAAATCCACTGCAAGAGCAGATATATGAAACCCTTTTGGAGCTATTCAAAGGGATTCTAAGCACTGGGCTCTTGTCCATGTCTGACCTGAACAGTTTTGTCAGAATCAGTCTAGTGGCAGGTAATATATGCACCAGAAATACCCTCAGAAGTTTTAGTGAAGTTTTCTCACCAAGAAGTTTAGTGGCCAGTTTGTCCTTGCTAATTTGTCTTTGCAGTGGTGGGTATTTTCATGTAAAATTTTTGCAAGATTCCATTTGAAGTTCTTCGGGACTAAACAGCCATCCTTAAAGCCTCGGAGATTATCCTCGTGCAGTTTACATCTGGATTTCTCCTAGTACGACTTTTCTGAACCTGGAGCCGATCACTGACATTCTATAAAAGCCTCTTTGAATTTCTCTAGCAATAGAATCTATTGGATTATCATTAGGGCTAGGATCTAAGTGAGTGCTGACTGTCTGGAACAAAGAGCTGTAGTATACCCATTTGTTTGAGCTCCTGTCTTTATATCTCCTTAAGAAACATTAGAACATGCAAAAATTCTTTAATTCTGCTGACCAATCTGAACTGGAGTTCCTGTTGGGGTCAAGAACCCTTGTTTACAAAACATCACCAAATATGACTACCTTCCAAAATGTATATCTCTATTATCAGTGGAAATTATCCTTTCATTTCTAGTTAACTGATAGGCTCTGGCACATGCAGTAAGTTCTTCAATCTGGACAGATTTTGCTTTTGGTAAGGGGTGATATTCTTACCTTCTATTTTGCAGTATCACTATTAAGATGTGATCCATCAGCAACTAGGATTAAGTCTGGATTTCCTAAAGCATTTTCTAATAAATCCACTCAGGGCATAGAGAGTTTGTGAACAGAGATTAAACAATCATGAGTTTCTTCTGTTTTGGGTAATTAATGAAAAGTAACAGGATTTTAAAGTACTATGATGATAAATGGAAATATATTAAGGAGAAAATAAGGATTCACACAACACAAGTCTTCCTGCTGAGAAGTGTTGTGTATTTCCAGTGAACAGCAAAGACTGTAGGGGATGAGGGCCCATTAAATTTAAAGGAGATCCTAAGACCAAGCTGGAAGATGCCTTCACTTGTGTAGCTGCTGTGGCTGTTGACAAGGCGGGTAGGCTCTTGTTAGACTACCAAGGGCTTGTTCAGATCTCTCAGGTACAAATGAGTAGAAAGAGTGGGAGGTTGTTGGAGTGCTGATAATTCACAAAAGATCTATTCATGTTCAGTGTCCCAGGGAAGAGGTTTGGTATTTGAGAACTTTGTCATATAGTGGAGTGGCAAATAGAAAAGCTGAGAACCCATTGCATTTGGGGCAAGGACTGGAGAATCTTCTTAATTGTCTCTGGCCCAGTAAAGTTTTGAGTGGCCTGTAGTTGGTTAAGAGTAAGGGATTTTCTTCCTTGCAATAACAACTTTTAGTTGTTATGTAAAGGAGCAGATGGTAAATACCTTAGACTTTCAGGGGCATAAAGTCTCTTTCGCAACTATTCAATTCAGTTGCACTTTATGGTAACCATAAACAATAAATAATGAATCAGTATGGCTGTGTCCAACAAAATTTTATTTACAAAAGTAGGCAGCAGGTTGGATTTGCTTAGTGGCTATAGTTTGCCAACTCCCGTCCTAAGTAATGAAGTTACTTTGGCAACATTTTGTATTTGGAAACTTTATGCCTTTACTGAGCTAAAACAGTTATTAGATAGATGAAGTTAGTCTTAGCATTCACCCTCTTTGGGAACACACCAAAAGTTCATCTACATATTGTATAAGAAAACCACAGGGAAAAGTAAGGTCCTTGTGATCCTGATTGAGGATTTATGAAAGGTAGTATGTGCCTCAGTGCATTCCTGGGGCATAACAACAGTCCAGGTATATTGTTAATTTTTCTTAGAGAAGGCAAACAAGCATTGACTATTTTAATCTAAAAGGACACCAAAAAATGGAAAACACAGATCTACAGTTGTATAACTTACAGTCTCAGGAGGCTAACATAAAATGGTATTGCATGTGCTCCTGCAGGGTCGCCTTGAATGTCTGTTTTATTTGTGGCCCTGAGGTCCTGATGAATTCATCTCCTTGCCTATTGGTATTTTTGATTGGGAGAATAGGAATGTTCCAAGGACCAGGATAAAGTATAATGATTCCTTTATCTATGAGGGCTTTCTAGGATACATTTTAGCTTTTCTTCAGCTTCTCATTCAAGCAGTGTGTTTAGTACAAATTTTTGGAGAAATAGGTTAAGATGGATCTTGGGCTGTGGTGGTAAGAATGTCTAGATTGGATTTTGATGGGTCTCCAATATTGTCAAGTGCTAGATCCCTAAAAATATCCCCAAGACAACTTAAAAATAAGATAAAGCTGAATATGTCCCGCTAGTCCGGTAAGGGAGAGTACTACCATAACAAAGTTTTAGTAGTGTCTCAGATGGTGGGAAGGCAAAGTTGGATTTTTTTTTTTAATATTCTCTGAGTATATGGAATCTGGTTTAAGGTGGTTCTGACAATGTGAAGATTTGATTAGAATTTGGTAAGAATCATGACGATCGTTTAGGACTGGTGGACACAAAAAGATGAGGGTTTTAATGTGAGAGGATTCAAAGTGTCTTAAGAAGTAATTATCATTTGATACTATCTACTGTAGAGGTGAACAATTTGATGTTCACTTAATACAGTAATTGTGAAGCAAGTTCACCAACTACTAACTTGTTTGAGTCTGATGAGATAGAACATCCCCACACAGCAAATTCCATGAAATGGACTTTTTATTCACAGATAGGCAGCAAGGGACAACAGAAGCCTAGAATTCATCCTGAGCTGGTCCCCAAGGCTCAGAAAAGCTGCCTGGGGATGGATGGAGCCTTGACTGCATGTATTCCACTTGCACTGCAGCTGTGGGACCTAGAAAAGCAGCTATTTTGGGTTTTATGTCCTGGGAGAATCTGACTCCCTGGGCTAAAGCATTGAAGGGCATCCTGTTTCTAGGGGGAACTGGAACAGAGCATGAACAGTTCCAGCCAGTCCCTTCCTATCTCAGGATATTACATCCCTAGCACATTCTATAGCTATTCCTAAGAACTACAAGAGAGAAATGAGGGAGAACTGGGTTGGTCCAAGGCCACCCAGAGAACTATCCTGTACTCATTTGAATGTTTACCTTCCCAGGCAAGAGTTTCTTTGAATAGTAAGGTCATTTTTGATGAAAACAGTGGATTAGGAAGGTCATGTTAATGTAATCAGTAAGCTGTGTCGGTCTAGATGATTTCTTTTCTCACTTTTTATGCCTGAATTCCTGGTTTGATTTCCTGTTTGCTATTCTTGTCTTTAAAGAACTTGGGTACTGTCAGGCTGCTGGGACTATATCCTGTCTTTTACTCCATTCCTTGTAGTTGGCCCTCAATGGTTTTCCATAGGACTACACTCCCCTCCTTCTACTTGACCCCATCCATATTCAGTTTATTTGCTGTAACTTTGTCTGTTCTTCTTGGCTGCATTCCCTTGTCTTTGACCACTTGACTACAAAACTTCTGCCAAAACCCCTGCTTGTAACCTTCTTCCAGATTCCCTGGCATGGTATAATGGCTTTGAGTCTGGGCTCTGGAATTACCAGCTGCACTGCCCTTACTTTCTGCCTCATTCTTCCTTGTTTTGCCCATGGTGGGACCTTCCGTGATTTTCTGACTCACCCCAATAGATCTGTCTGGTCTCTGACTCATGGCATTTCCACACTGGGTCAGCTTTGCCCCTGACAGAGCTTTTCAGAGGAAAGAATTTCACAGAGAGCTCTGAAGGCTTAAAACTGATGTTTTGCGCAAAATCTAAGCCCTAGCAAAATCAATGTTGATTCGTAAGCTTGCTACATCCCTGGTTTTCTAAATCTGCTTACTTCTGCTTCTTTGACATTTCCCTGGGAAACTCATTCTTCCCTTTCTATGTGAGCTATAAGTCCGTTGTGATATTCTTTAGTTGGAGATAAAAACATGGCATGTCTTCACTAGGATGCATCTTTATAAGAACCTCAGAAATATGAGGTTCTTATATGGAAAATCTTAAATAGAAAATCCAGAAATCCTGCAGTCTAATTAAGAATTTAACACACCCATATTTCTTGTGAGGAATGATTATTTGGACTTGTTCCTTACACCTCACTTTATAGTTTCATCTTCCATTCCATCTTCCTCATTTTTCATCTTCCTCTCCCTTTCTTTTTCTCTTCTCTTTCTTCCTCTTTCTATTTCTTCTCTCTTTCTTGCTTTTTAATTATTTATTTATTTATTTAAATTATATTTCCTTTCCTTTAGTGGTTTGGGAGCTGAATATCCTATACTTATTCTTCTAGCAATTTCACTTAAATTTTAAAGAAATTTAAATTTATCTTATTATCTAGCTACCAGGAATTATTTTGTATTAATATCAGCCTGTTCTCCTGCCTTCTTCTCTGAATCAAAATCAGAAATTTAGCATGCTTTCAGTTCCCTCTTTTTCTTCTCATCTGTCTATTTCCTTTCATGTTGATATTGTGATTAATTTTATGTGTCTGCTTGACTGGGCTAAGGGATACCCAGATTACTGGTGATATATTATTTCTGGGCATTTCCGTGAGGGTATTTCTGGAAGAGATTAGCATTTGGATTAGTAGACTGTCATCGTCCAATTCATTGAGGACCTGAATAGGACAAAAGGCTGGAGGAAGGGAAAATTTGCTTCCTGTTTGATTTGGGACATCTGTTTTCTTTTGCCCTCAGACATCAACAATCCTGGGTCTCAGGTCTTTGAACTCAGACTGGACTTACATCATCATGGGCTCCCCTGGTTTTTGGTTATTCAGACGGGCTGAATTATACCACTGTCTTTCCTGGTTCTCTAGCTTGTAGAAGGCTGATCATGGAACTTTTGTCCTCCATAACTGTATAAGAACAACTCCTATAATGAAATATTTATATATGCATTATAGTTGAATAACCAGCTGACCCTTGAACAATGGGGGGCTAGGGATACTGACTCCCTGGCAGTCAAAAATTCATGTATAACTCTTGAATCCCTAAAAACTTAACTACTAATAGCCTATGATTGACCAGAAGCCTTACTGTTAATATGAACACATACATGTCAATTAATGCATATTTTGTATATTATATGTACTATATACTGTATTCTTACAATAAAGTAAGCTAAAGAAAAGAAAAGGTTATTAAGAAGATCATAAGGAAAAGAAAATACATGTTCTATTCATTAAGTGGAAGTGTATCATCATAAAGGTCTTCATCCTTCTCATCTTTACATTGAGTAGACTGAGGAGGAGGGGAAAGAGTAGGGGCTGGTTTTGTGGTCTCTAGAGTGGCAGAGGTGGAAGAAAATCCATGTATAACTGGATGAACCCACACAGTTCAAATCTGTGTTGTTCAAGGGTCAGCTGTATATCCTCTTAGTTTTGTTCCTCTGGAGAATCCTGACTAATACAGATATTTTCCAAGATAGTTAGTAATAGATTATTACTAATTTTATGTACCAATAGTTATTTTGATAATTATAAAATTATCATTTGCTCACAACCTTTTAATTTCTATTTTTGCATATTTTGAAATTTTTTTTACTGAGTATATAATTAAGTAATTCTTTCAGAGAATGTGCTTAATATGTTTTTTGACTATTAGTGTGCCTATAAATCTTTTTTAAATTTGCACTCCCACTTCAATATGAATTTGGCTGGGTATAAGATGCTATATTCAAATTTCCTTTAAAACTTCTGAAAATAATATTATTTTTACAAAATCCAGCCTCTGATAATAATAATATAATATACAATACATTAATAGCAAAAACATGATAAAAATTTAACTGCCTAAAATTTAAGAGATACCCTTTTCATAGACCCTTGGATCAAATAAGTAATCAAAATTGAGATTCTAAATTAACTAATACATAATATAAAAGAGAATACTTCCTACCAAAATCTATGTTATACAGATAATGCTAAATTCAGAGGAAATATTACAGCCTTAGGTATCCTAATTATTAACAAAATAAGACTGAAAACAGAGGATGCAGTTGGCAGTTGAATTGGAGTTGGAAAAGGAGAGGAGCAGAAATGCAGTGAAGTCACCAGTTTCATTGCTGGTGGCACTTTTACTGTTAATTTTAATATTTACAATTTTGAACTATTTGGAATTTATTTTGATTCAAGGTATCAGGGTGGATCTAACTTTATTTTTCCTCCAAAATATCTAACCAGTTGTCTCAATATAATCCATATTTTCCTCTCTGATATGAAATTCTGCTTTAATCATAGAATGAATTCTCAGATGAACTTTGGTCTATTTTTGCACCAGCCATTCTGTTCTAATCATTTGAGTATACACTTTGGCATAGTTCCTGGATATTTTAATTATTATAGCTTTGTAATACATTTTGATACCTGGTAGAACAGGCTCCTTATCACTTTTATTTTTATATTTTATTGGCTTTTTGTCACATCTTCTAATTTTTAAATGAATTTAAAATAACTTTTTCAATTTCCTGAAAAGAACTAATTGAGAATTTGAATGGAATTGATTGTACAGATTAAATCAAGGGGGAATTAACATCCATTATATTGTTCTGTCCCAAGAACAAGGCGTTCATTCCCATTTAAAAATTTAAATTTCCAGTTTCCACTCCAATGTGTAACCAGCTTAGAAGTCATCACTCCCATCCTTACAACAAGACAAAAGTGGAACAAACTGAAAATCAACAACACTTCTTAGATTCATCAGAGAATTAAGGTCACAGAGCAAACTAGTGCCTTAAAAACTGGAGAGAAAGGAGAATACAGAGAATCACAGCTTAGTGGGAGCAGAAGCTGCTGGAGCCAGAAACTTAAACTGTAATGATGAACTGCTGGAAGCTGAGTGTGGACTAGTTTGAGAGTTAAAAACTTAGTGGTGGGGCGATTCCTCTCACTTTTGGAGTTTTACTTCCCTAAGCCCCACAAGGTGTTCTCTCATAGTGGAGACTGGAGAAAAATCCCCCTGGGCTTCCAGCAAGACAGGGAAAGTACCCATTTTGAAATAAGCTTGGAGTGTTCTGTCCTCTGCCTGCTCTCAAAGGAATTTACATTTCTAGAATCTAAATAATGTAGGGGAAGGAAAATACCCAACTCTCACCCTAACTAACTTTCCTATCTCACCTGAGAGGGAAAAAAATTAAGAAGCATTTATGAAGTTCACAGCCCAAGAGCACAGGCTCATTAAAAAATTGAGACCTAATTATGGAATTATAGAATGTCCCCCGCCAGTTACATATCTCATTGATGTGTCAACTAAACTCCTAAATCATAACAGATGATAATAGTTGAAAAGTCTGCAAGGCTCAGACTCTATTTAAAAAGACATTTCTAGGGAAACCCAAAGATAACTGGAGAGACAAAAACAAGGACAGTAGAAGAAATTGAAGCCTCAGACGCTTATAGCTACAACAAAAAGTAAAGTGTAGCTCCTAACCAGGTAATCATAAACCCTCACACCAAAGACTGACTTACCTCAGGTTCTATTACCTAATATATCATGTGTAACTTTCAACAAAATTTAGGTGCGCTAATGGGCAAGAAAAAACAAACATAGCCTGAAAAGACAAAGCAGGCAACAGAACCTGACTTAGATTTGGCAGAGATTTTAAGATTATCAGACCAACCAAAAATTTAAAATAACTATAATTAATGTGCTGAGAGCTCTGATGGAAAAAAAGGTAGACAACATGCAAGAACATGCAAGATGGGTAATATAAACAGAGATGGGAACTCAAGAAATCATAAAAGGGAAATGCTAGAAATAAAAAACATAGTAACAGAAATAAATGACCTTGTGTCTGAAACACCTCTTTTGAGTCCTTCATATCTCCCAATTTCACCTGTCTCAGCTGCCGTTGGCCATTTGCTTTTTAACTACGGCCTCCACAGCAAACTGTGGGTGGGTTCAGAGTGACTTCAGGAGTGTAACCCAGCAGGGAGCAGTGGCCCATAGTACAGATCTACAAGGCCCCTGAGCAGTGGTGTGAATGGCTTGGTTTATTGGTCAGAGGCCTGGAAGGAATAAGAATAGAAAATAAGGAGCAAATAGGGAAAGGAGTTGTGGGATGGACCCTTGGGAGTGATCATAGAGCATATGGATCTTTATGTCTCATATTAAAACCCCAAAGAGCATCCACTACCAAAGAGGTTCTTGACCTTGAAGCTGTCCACAATTCTCTTTTTCTCACATCTCACCTCCGATCCACCTGGAAATTTTAAAGGGTCTACCTTCAAATTATATTTAGAATCCAACCACCTCTGGCATCTTCCTGCTACTATTCTGGTCCATGCAAGCATAATTTATCCCAACAGCTTCCTAAATTGTTTTAGTGACTCAGATTTGCCACTTCCCTTCATTTTATTCTTCCATTAATAAACAGATTGAGCTTTATTATAAAATGTAAGTCAGATCTGGCTATTCCTTTTTTTTTTTTTTTTTTTTTTTTTTTGAGACAGAGTCTCGCTCTTTCGCCCAGGCCGGACTGCAGTGGCACTATCTTGGCTCACTGCAACATCCGCTTCCCGGGTTCATGCCATTCTCCTGCCTCAGCCTCCCGAGTAGCTGGGACTACAGGTGCCCGCCACCGCGCCTGGCTAAGTTTTTGTATTTTTAGTAGAGATGGGGTTTCACCGTGTTAGCCAGGATGGTCTTGATCTCCTGACCTCATGATCCACCCGCCTTGGCCTCCCAAAGTGCTGGGATTACAGGCGTGAGCCATCGCGCCCGGCCTGATCTGGCTATTCCTTTGTTCAAAATCCTGCAATGGCTTCTCATTTCTTTCAAAGTGAAAGTCAAGCCTTGTAAAGCCTCTATGAGGCTTTACACGCTTTGACCCCTTGTACCCCCTGCCTCATCCCCTACACTGCGCTGAATTCACTCTGCTCCAGCCACATTGGCCACTTTGATGCTCCTCCAGCATGCCAGCCATATGTCTCCCCAGAGTCTCTGCAGCGGTTCTTTCTTCTACCTGGGCCAGTCCTCCTAAGATATCCTTATGGTTCACTCTCTCACCTGCAAGTCTTAGTCAAACACCACCTTTACAGTGAAGCCAGGCCTTAACCCTCTTTCTCTGCCAATACACCAGCATCCTTATCCCTCAAACTGCTCTATTTTTCCATAGTTGTTAACACCTTCTGCATAATTTACCTATTTATGTTGTTTATTTTCCACTTCCCACACTACAAGGTAAGCTGCATGAGAAGAAGGACATTGTCTGCTTTGACATTGCTGGATCCTTGGCATTCAGTGCTTGGCATATAGGACATGTTCAATAAGTGTCTGTTGAATGGTTAAATGTACTTGAGTGAAGCTGGAAGCTTCCAGCATTCCATTTCTTGCTGGTGCCAGCAGATTGTATGAACTTCCTACAAACCAAGTTCAGTCAGCTGCTCATGGAGAAGTCATCAGTGAGCACAGCCTTGGTAGAGGAGGGTGTGTCCTGAGAAGGCCCTTTGAATGAGAGATGGGGGTGCTGCTACCTTCTAGACATAGTTTGCAACCTAATGAAGTGTTACGGTAGAATCAGGAAAGTAGACAGTGAATGAGGAAACTGAGGCCCTGGGAAGTTAAGAGACGTGCCCAAGGCCACATAGCTGTTCAGTAGCAGAGTACAGTATATTTTTCCTAAACAGAGCGTTGATGTACTTCCTTTTGTCAAAGCATGATAAAAATGAAAATGATTTTTCAAATACACACTTAGTGGGCCTGACATGTGGGTGTACATTTAAACATTTCCCAAATGCATGATATTCTTGTTTATCTAGTTTCCAAAAAAGTAAGACATTTCTATCATTCTGAGTGGTATGACACCATCAGGATGGTTGTGGCGGCTAAAAAAACACACGAAACACATAGCACGGAAAAAGACTCAGTCATAACAAAGCCTGGCTTTCCTTATCAGCACGAACCCAGGAACCCTGAGAGCACCCCCAAATATACATTGATGATGATGCTATGAGTCACTGCATGACTCATAGCTCACTGACCACTAGAAAATAGAAATATGAGGAGTAATTCACTGCCTAGGCCAAATGGAACTGAAGAACTTTCCTACCTACCCTACGAGTGATACATCAAATTAGGGATAAGGTGCCATCTCTTTCTTCTTCTTGGAGTGGATTAGTTCCCCCTCTTTGTGCTTCTCCCCAGAGACACAAGGACAGATAAGCCTCTGGTGTTGCTAATAATCTCCCAGTGAGCCATTCTATTACTGTACCTGCCTACTTGGGCTCATTCTGTAAAGAAATTCAACCCATAAGAGTGCCTCAGCACACAAAAATGTACTTCATCACTCCTCAGAGCAAGATGGCTTCTTGGATCAACATTTTATTCCTTCCCTCCCTTGACCGAGACACTAAACAGACCCATAATAAACCGTCCTCAACTGCACAAGTAAGAAAATTATTCTTAGGGCCAAGACACGTTGTTCTCCAAAACTGTTTCTCTCTTTTATTTGTAAGAATCAAGGAACCAGAAACCACAATTTGGGGGCAGAGAAGATTAATGGAAATGTTCATGTTTCTAAAAAAAAATAAAGAGTTCTATTCTCCAATACCTTTCCAGTGGGGCTGCTGTTTCACTCACATGATCTGGGTGGATGGGTCAGTGTTTAATCTTTGCTTTACCAAGGAGGGTCCTGAGGAGGCTGGAAGACACTGGCTAAGGTCACAAGGCCAGTCCTTCCCAGGAGGTGGGATTGCCTGCTCTGAAGTTCCTCCCTCCCCTGCCTGGGCTGTGTCTGACACCCCCGCACACCATCTTTCAGGGCTTAACTGCACCAGTCCACATAGTGAGGCTGATACAGGCCGTCTGGTGACAGGAGGCTGTCTGGCGTGTGGATTTCCTCTCATTCAGAAGATAGCACTGTAAAAATATGATCTTACCTTCACAAAGTGACCCCTGCTTTTGGAGCGATGGGTGCTCTGTAAAGAAACACCCCAGGGATGGGTGTTCTTCCCTGCCCCTTTTATTCCCTCCACACTAATAGAAAGATCTTAATAGCATCAAAAAGGCATCTTCTGTCTGGGGTCTCCAGTGCTGCTCAGGGATCATCTCATAAGACATGAAGTATGATGGGCAACTGCAGGGGGCCCTGGTTCTGCCTGACACAAGGGCCACCGTGGCTTGTTTGCACATCTAAGATTACTTGAATAATCTTGCCGATGAGAAGCAATTGGATCAGTGTTTTCCTGGAGAGAAAAGTAGACACTGAACACTGAAAGGAAAACTGCCGCTTTGGTGAGGTGAGCCCTGGAGCAGGTGTCCAGTATCTCTCCCTTCATTGAGATTTCTTTGCCATTCTCACGGCAACTCATTCCTTAAATAAGCATCAGCTGAATTCCTACTTTGTGTTAGGTATTGAGCTAGGCTTGGAGATACAGAGATAAACATTTCCTGAAATAGAACAAGAAGAACCAGAGTGCTGAGGCAAGTGCAGAGGCAACCTACATCTGTCGAGAGTAGGTTGAACCAGGGAAAGCAAAACAAAGTCCAAGTCCAAAGGGCAGGAGGAAGGCCAAGAGCAGAGTTCAGATACTTGTTGGGGTTGGAGCTGAGGTGTCTGAGGTTTACCTGTCTTGACTCAGATCAGTAAATACACATTTTCATTGAAACATCAACTAGTATCTTCATTATGGTCAGCTTGATAGTACTCACTTCTATCTTTTTAAAACTTTTTACATTTTTGTTTTTCATTTTTTTTAAAATTATGGATTCAGGGGGTACATGTGTTGGTTTGTTGCATGGATATATTGCATAATGGCAAGGTTTGGGCTCCTAGTATACCCATCACCCAAATAGTGAACATTGTACCCAATAGGTAATTTTTCAACCCTCACCTCCTTCTACCCTCTCCTATTTTGGAGTCCCCACTGTCTATTATTTCTATCTTTTTGTCCATATGTACTCATTGTTTAGTTCCCACTTATAAGTAAGAACATGTGCTATTTTATTTTCTGCTTCTGAATTGTTTCACTTAGAATAATTACTTCCAGCTCCTTTCATGTTGCTGCAAAAGACATGATTTCATTCTTTTTTTATGCTGCATAGTATTCCATGGTATGTATATAATATATATTATAGATATTATAGATATAATATATTTATAATATAATATATAATATATTGTATATTTATTATATATTATATAATATATATTATATATCATATTATATATTATATAATATATATTATATATCATATTATATATTATATAATATATATTATATATCATATATATGTTATATATTATATATAATATATATTATATATCATATATATATTATATGTAATATATATTATATATCATATTATATATTATATATTATATTATATATATTATTTGTCAGCTGGAGGCATCACACTACATGACTCTAAACTATACTACAGGGCTACAGAAATCAAAACAGCATGGTACTGGTACAAAAACAAACACATAGACCAATGGAACAGAATACAGAACCCAGAAATAAGTCCTCACATCTACAACTATCTGATCTTTGACAAACCTGACAAAAACAAGCAATGGGGAAAGGATTGCCTATTCAATAAATGGTGCTTGGATAACTGGCTAGTCATATGCAGAAGACTGAAACTGGACCTCTTCCTTATACCATGTACAAAAATCAACTCAAGATGGATTAAACACATAAATATAAAACCCAAAGCTATAAAAACCCTGGAAGAAAACCTAGGCAGTACCATTCAGGACATAGGCCCTGGCAAAGATTTCATGACGAAGACACCAAAAGCAATTGCAACAAAAGCAAAATTGACAAATGGGATCTAATTAAACTAAAGAGATCCTGTACAGCGGAAGAAACTATCAATAGAGTAAACAAACAACCTACAGAATGGGAGAAAATTTTTGCCAACTATACATCTGACAAAGGTCTAATATTCAGCATCTACAAGTGTATTAGCCTATTCTCACATTGCTATAAAGACCTACCTGAGACTGGGTAATTTATGAAGAAAAGGGGTTTAATTGACTCACACTTTCACAAGCTGTACAGGAGGCACAGCTGGGGAGGCCTCAGGAAACTTGCAATCATGGTGGAAGGGTGAAGGGTAAGCAAGCACATCTTCACATGGTGGCAGGAGAAAGGGTGAAAGGGGAAGTACTGCATACGTTTAAACAATCAGATCTCCTGAGAACTCACTCACTATCATGAGAACAGCAAGGAGGAAATCTGCCCCCATGATCCAATCACCTCCTACCAGGTCCCTCCCCCAGTACTGGGGATTACAATTCAACATGAGATTTGCGTGAGGACACAGAGCCAAAAACCATATCAAGAAGGAACTTAATTTAAAAGAAAAAACAAAAAAAAAAACCATTAAAAAGTGGGCAAAGGACTTGAACAGATACTTTTCAAAAGACGACATACATTTGACCAACAATTATATGAAAAAGAGCTCAACATCACTGATCATTAGAAAAATGCAAATCAAAACCGCAATGAGATACCATCTCATACCAGTCAGAATGGCCATTAATAAAAAGTCAAAAAAAAAAAAAAAAAACAGATGCTGGTGAGGCTGTAGAAATTAGTTCAACCATTGTGAAAGATAATGTGGTGATTCTTCAAAGACCGAAAGACAGAAATACCATTTGACCCGGCAATCCCATTACTGGGTATATACCCAAAGGAATTTAAGTCATACTATTATAAAGACACATGGTGTGTATGTTCATTGCAGCACTATTCACAATAGCAAAGACATAGAATCAGCCTAAATGTTCACCAATAACAGATTGGATAAAGAAAATGTGGTACATATACACCATGGAATACTACACAGCCATAAAAAAGAACAAGATCTTGTCCTTTGCAGCAACATGAATGGAGCTAGAGGTCATTATCCTAAGCTAACTAATGCAGGAACATAAAACCAAATACTATATGTTCTTACTAACAAGTGGGACCTAAATGATGAGAAGACGTGGACACATAAAGGGGAACAACATGCACTGGGGCCTGTTAGAGGGTGGAGGGTGGGAGGAAGGAGGGGATCAAAAAAAATAATTAATGAGTACTAGGCTTAATACCGGGGTGATAAAATAATCTGTACAACAAACCCACATGACACTAGTTTACCTAGGTAACAAACCTGCACATGTACCCCTGAACTTAAAACAAGAGTTAAAAAAAAAATCTCATTTGTCTACTTTTGTTTTTGTTGTATTTGCTTTCGAGGTCTTGGTCATTAATTCTTTGCCTAGGCCAATGTCCAGAACAGTTTTCTCTAGGTTTTCTTTTAGGATTTTTATAGTTTCAGGTTTTTAAAAAAAAAATAGTTTTAAGTCTTTAATTAATCTTGAATTAATTATGGTGGGAAACAGGGATCTAGTTTCATTCTTCTGCGTATGGCTACCCAATTTTCCCAACATGATTTATTGAACAGGGTGTCCTTTCCCCATTTTTTGAGGGTCCACTTTGTTGAAGATCAGTTGGATGTACACATGTGGCTTTATTTCTGGATTCTCCATTCTGTCCCATTGGTCTATGTGTCTGTTATTTTACCATTACCATGCTGTTTTGGGTACTGTTGCTTTGTAGTATAGTTTGAAGCCAGGTAATGTGATGCCCCCAACTTTGTTCTTTCTGCTTAGGATCACTTTGGTTGTTCAGGCTCTTTTTTGGTTTCATATAAATTTTAGGATTTTTTTCTAATTCTGCAAAAAAATGATGTTGGTAATTTGATAGAAATTGCACTGAATCTGTACATTGCTTTGGGCAGTATGGTCATTTTAATGATACTGATTCTTCCAATCCATGAGCTTGGGATATTTTTCTATTTGTTTGTGTTATCCATCATTTCTCTCATCAGTGTTTTGTAGTTCTTGTAGAGATCTTTCACCTCCTTGGTTAGATGTACTCCTAGGTATTTGTGTGTGTGTGTGTGTGTGGCTATTGTAAATGGGATTGAGTTCTTAATTTGTCTTTCAGCTTGAACATTATTCATGTATAGAAATGTTACAGATGTTTGCATATTCATTTTGAACCCTGAAACCTTACCAAACTCATTTCTCAAGCCTAGGAATCTTTTTGAGAGTCTTTAGGGTTTTCTGGGTGTAAGATAATGTCATGAGTGAACAGAGATAATTTAACTTCCTCTTTTCCAATTTAGATGCATTTTATTTATTTCTCTTGCCTGATAGCTCTGGCTAGGATTTCCAGTACTATGTTAACTAGGAGTGGTGAGAGTGGGCATCCTTGTCTATTTCTGGTTCTTAGAAGGAATGCTTTCAACTTTCCCCATTCAGTATGATCTTAGCTGTAGGTTTGCCTTATATGGCTCTTATTATTTTGAATTATATTCTTTTGATGCCAGTTTGATGAAGGTGTTAGTCATGAAAAGATGTTGGATTATCAAATGCTTTTCTATATCTATTGAAATAATCATTTGGTTTTTGTTTTTAATTCTGTTTTTGTGGTGAATCACATTTATTGATTTCCTTATGTTGAACCATCCTTGCATCCCTGGAATAAAACCCACTTGATCATGTGGGAATAAAATCCACAGCACATCATATTATCTTTTTGATATGCTGTTGGATTCAGTTTGCTAGTATTTATTTATTTATTTATTTTTATTTTTATTTTATTATTATTATACTTTAAGTTTTAGGGTACATATGCACAATGTGCAGGTCAGATACATATGTATACATGTGCCATGCTGGTGTGCTGCACCCATTAACTCGTCATTTAGCATTAGGTATATCTCCTAATGCGATCCCTCCCTCCTCCCTCTACCCTACAACAGTCCCCAGAGTGTGATGTTCCCCTTCCTGTGTCCATGTTTTCTCATTGTTCAATTCCCACCTATGAGTGAGAATATGCGGTGTTTGGTTTTTTGTTCTTGTGATAGTTTACTGAGAATGATGATTTCCAATTTCATCTATGTCCCTACAAAGGACATGAACTCATCATTTTTTATGGCTGCATAGTATTCCATGGTGTATATGTGCCACATTTTCTTAATCCAGTCTATCATTGTTGGACATTTGGGTTGGTTCCAAGTCTTTGCTATTGTGAATAGAGCCGCAATAAACATACGTGTGCATGTGTCTTTATAGCAGCATGATTTATAGTCCTTTGGGTATATACCCAGTAATGGGATGGCTGGGTCAAATGGTATTTCTAGTTCTAGATCCCTGAGGAGTAGCCACACTGACTTCCACAAGGGTTGAACTAGTTTACAGTCCCACCAACAGTGTAAAAGCGTTCCTATTTCTCCACATCCTCTCCAGCACCTATTGTTTCCTAACTTTTTAATGATTGCCATTCTAACTGGTGTGAGATGGTATCTCATTGTGGTTTTGATTTGCATTTGTCTGATGGCCGGTGATGGTGAGCATTTTTTCATGTGTTTTTTGGCTGCATAAATGTCTTCTTTTGAGAAGTGTCTGTTCATGTCCTTCGCCCACTTTTTGGTGGGGTTGTTTGTTTTTTTCTTGTAAATTTGTTTGAGTTCACTGTAGATTCTGGATATTAGCCCTTTGTCAGATGAGTAGGTTGTGAAAATTTTCTCCCATGTTGTAGGTTGCCTGTTCTCTCTGATGGTAGTTTCTTTTGCTGTGCAGAAGCTCTTGAGTTTAATTAGATCCCATTTGTCAATTTTGGCTTTTGTTGCCATTGCTTTTGGTGTTTTAGACATGAAGTCCTTGCCCATACCTATGTCCTGAATGGTAATGCCTAGGTTTTCTTCTAGGGTTTTTATGGTTTTAGGTCTAACGTTTAAGTCTTTAATCCATCTTGAATTAATTTTTGTATAAGGTGTAAGGAAGGGATCCAGTTTCAGCTTTCTACACATGGCTAGCCAGTTTTCCCAGCACCATTTATTAAATAGGAAATCCTTTCCCCATTGCTTGTTTTCCTCAGGTTTGTCAAAGATCAGATAGTTGTAGATATGCGGCGTTATTTCTGAGGGCTCTGTTCTGTTCCATTGATCTATATCTCTGTTTTG
The DNA here is from genome assembly GCF_000001405.40 of Homo sapiens. Taxonomy (NCBI): domain Eukaryota; kingdom Metazoa; phylum Chordata; class Mammalia; order Primates; family Hominidae; genus Homo; species Homo sapiens. Next base: position 22,661,122 of record NC_000018.10, on the reverse strand, counting down.
GTACCAGTACCATGCTGTTTTGGTTACTGTAGCCTTGTAGTATAGTTTGAAGTCAGGTAGCATGATGCCTCCAGCTTTGTTCTTTTGGCTTAAGATTGACTTGGCGATGCGGGCTCTTTTTTAGTTCCATATGAATTTTAAAGTAGTTTTCTCCAATTCTGTGAAGAAAATCATCGGTAGCTTGATGGGGATGGCATTGAATCTATAAATTACCTTGGGCAGTATGGCCGTTTTCACGATATTGATTCTTCCTACCCATGAGCATGGAATGTTCTTCCATTTGTTTGTATCCTCTTTTATTTCATTGAGCAGTGGTTTGTAGTTCTCCTTGAAGAGGTCCTTCACGTCCCTTGTAAGTTGGATTCCTAGGTATTTTATTCTCTTTGAAGCAATTGTGAATGGGAGTTCACTCATGATTTGGCTCTCTGTCTGTTATTGGTGTATAGGAATGCTTGTGATTTTTGCACATTGATTTTGTATCCTGAGACTTTGCTGAAGTTGTTTATCAGCTTAAGGAGATTTTGGGCTGAGACAATGCGGTTTTCTAAATATACAATCATGTCATCTGCAAACAGGGACAATTTGACTTCCTCTTTTCCTAATTGAATACCCTTTATTTCCTTCTCCTGCCTAATTGCCCTGGCCAGAACTTCCAACGCTATGTTGAATAGGAGTGGTGAGAGAGAGCATCCCTGTCTTGTTGCCAGTTTTCAAAGGGAATGCTTCCAGTTTTTTCCCATTCAGTATGATGTTGGCTGTGGGTTTGTCATAGATAGCTCTTATTATTTTGAGATACGTCCCATTAATACCTAATTTATTGAGAGTTTTTAGCATGAAGGGTTGTAGTTTGCTAGTATTTTGTTGAGGACTTTTGTGTGTGTTCATCAGGAATATTGGCCTGTAATTTTCTTTTTTGTGTGTCCTTGCTTGATTTTGGTGTCAGGGTGATACCAGTTTTATAGAACGAGATGGGAAAGAATCCCTCCTCCTTCATTTTTTGAAATAGTTTCTGTAAGATTGATATTAGTTTGTACACCTGGTAAAATTCAGCTGTGAATTTGTCTGGTCTTGGACTTTTTTGGGAGTGTATTTTAAATTACTGATTTAATTTTATGACTTATTATTGGTTTGTTCACAATTTCTATTTATTCCTGGATCAATTTTGGGAGTTGCATGTTTCCAGGAATTTATCCATTTCCTCTAGGTTTTCTAGTTTGTGCACAGAGGTGCTCATAGTACTCTCTGATGATCTTTATTATTTCTGTGATTATATTCTAGTATCACCTTTATCATTTCTGATTGTGTTTTTTGGATCATTTCTCTTTTTTTCTTGGTGACTCCTAGGTAGCAATCTATCAATTTAGCTTATCCTTTTGAAGAAAAATATTTTTGTTTCATTGATCTTTTATATCTATTTGGTCTCAATCTCATTTAGTTCTGCTCTGATCTTTGTTATTTATTTTTTTCTGCTAGCTTTGAGTTTGGTTTGTTCTTGTTTTTCTAGCTCTATGAAGTGGGATATTAGGTTGTTAATTTGTGATCTTTCTATCTTTTTGTAGGCATTTAACACTATAAGCTTTCCTCTGAGCACTACTTTTGTTGTATCCCAAATGTTTTGATATGTTGTGTCCCTATTTTTATCCAGTTCAAAAAATTTATTGATTTCTCTCTTAATTTTATTATTTACTCAAAGATTGTTCAGGAGCAAGTTATTTAGTTTCCATGTATTTACATAATTTTGAGATTTCCCCTTGGTGTTGATTTTTAATTTTATTTCACTGTGGTCTGAGAAGATATTTGATATAATTTTAATTTTTTTGAATGTATTGAGACTTGCTTTATGGCCAAGCACATGGTTTATTTGGAGAATGTTTCATGTGTGAATAAGAAAAATGCATATTCTACATTTGTTGGGTAGAGTGTTCAGTAAATGTCTATGAGGCCTATTTGCTCCAGAGTCCAGTTTATACCCTGTTTCTTTTTTCTAAATTTTTACTTTTTAAGCTATCTCCTACTGGAAGAAACTCCCAGAGTTTCTTTGTTGAATTTCTGCCTTTATGATCTGTCTCATACTGTTGATGGGGTGTTGAAGTCCCTTACTATTATTGTGTTGCTATCTATCTATTTTCTTAGGTCTAATAGTATTTGTTTTATGAATCTGGCTGCTCCGATATTGGGTGCATATACATTTAGGGTAGTTAAATGGTTTTGCTGAATTGAACCCTTTATCATCATATAATGACCTTCTTTGTTTTTTTCCACCGTTGTTGATTTAAAGTCTATTTTATCTGATATAAGTATCTGATACTTATGTCAAAACTCCTGCTTGTTTTTGTTTTCAGTTTGTGTGATCACAAACTGAAACCACCTTTACTTTGAGTCTGTGGGCATCTTTACCTATTAGATGATACTCTTGTAGGCGACTAATTGTTGGGTCTTGTTTTTTAAATCCATTTTGCCAGTCTATATCTTTTAAGTGGAGCATTTAGGCCATTTACTTTCAAGTTAATATTGATAAGTTTTCCTCCAGTCATAATGTTGATAGCTAGTTGCTTTGTAATCTCAATTGTGTAATTGCTTAATAGGATCTGTGAGCTTTGTACTTAAGTTTGCTTTTATGTTGGTGCATATTGCCCTTTTTTTTCCATGTTTAGAATGCCTTTGAGCATTTCTTGTAGGACCAGTCTAGTTGTGATGAATTCCCTTAATGTTTGCTTGCCTGGAAAGACGTTATTTTTCTTCCACTTATGAAGCTTATTTAGGCAGGATAGAACATTCTTGGCTGGCATTTTTTTTTCTTAAAGAAGGCTGAAAATAGGCTCCCAATTTCTTCTGTTTATAAGGTTTCTTATGAGAAGTCCACTGTTAGTCTGATGGGGTTTTCTTTATAGGTAGTTTGACACTTCTCTCTAGGTGCTTTTAAAATTTTTTCTTTCAACTTGACCTTAGATAGTCTGATGACTATGTACCTTGGTGATGTTCTTCTTGTAAAGTATCTCCCAGGTGTTCTCTGCACTTCTTGTATCTGGATGTCTACATCTCAAGCAAGATCATGAAAAAACTGACTGCTGTGAAACCACCACCAAAGGATCACACTAGGTCTTTAGCAATGGATCCTAACCAAAATAAAAATTCTGAAGTGACAGATAAAGAATTCAAAATATGGATTGTAAGGAAGCTCAATTCAATCCAAGAGAAAGTTAAAAAAACAACACAAAGAAATCAGATAAATAATTCAGGATATGAAAGAAGAGAGAGAGATCTTTTTTAAAAAAACAACTTCTGGAAATGAAAAATTCACTGAAGGAATTTCAAAATACAGTTGAAAGCTTTAATAATAGACTAGATCAAGCAAAAGAAAGAATTTCAGAGCTTGAAGACCAGTCCTTCAAATTAACCCAGCCAGAAAACAAATAAAGAAAAAATAATTTAAAAAACTGAATAAAGCCTTTAAGAAATATGGCATTGTGTAAAGCAACGAAACCTATGAGTTACAGGCATTCCTGAGGAGAAAGAAAAAGTTAAAAATTTGAAAAAATATTTGAATTTTCACTTCTAATTAGGAACATATTTTTCCTAGTTAAAATGTGTTATATGTACTTGATACTACTTAATCTAAACTATTGATTGATTTTTCACCTTGAAAGTTTATCACTTTTGAAGTGATTTTATGTCAGAGATTTGCTTCAAAGTAACAAAATAGAAGAAACAAATGGCGCATGGATGAGGCAAGACAGGCCAAGAATTGAAAATTGCTTAATTTGGGTGATGGGTACATGAGAATTCATTATTTTATTTTCCCTGCTCAGCCAGATACATGCTTAGTAGTGCTATTCCCTTAAAAATGGTCCCAAGCGTATCTAAGTCAATATGAAAGTTCAAAAATAAACAAACCTAGTTCTAAAATGGTCTGATTGCATGACATTTGACCAGTTCTTAACTGTTCTAGGACTCTGTGTTTTTTGTAGATGGTTATTAGTTAGTTACAACCGACTGTCTTGAGGACTTCAGGGGAAAAATATATTATTCTAGAGAAATGTCTTAATCACCATTGAATTTTGAATTTTATTTCACCTTTCTTTATCTGAAGACAAAATAAATTATGTCCTAAGTATGTAAATGCCATCACTGTTTGTTCTTAGAAAGCAGTGATACTGGAAAACATGATCCACAGAGAGACAGGAATAGGAATAAAAATGTGAAATGAAACTTTTTTTTTTTTTTTTTCTGAGACTGAATCTCACTCTGTTGCCCAGGCTGGAGTGCAGTGGCACGATCTCGGGTCACTGCAAGCTCCGCCTCCCAGGTTCACGCCATTCTCCTGCCTCAGCCTCCCGAGTAGCTGCTACTACAGGCGAGCACCACCACACCCGGCTAATTTTTTGTATTTTCAGTAGAGATGGGGTTTCAACATGTTAGCCAGGATGGTGTCGATCTCCTGACCTCGTGATCTGCCCACCTTGGCCTCCCAAAGTGCTGGGATTACAGGCATGAGCCACCGTGCCCAGCCTGAAATGAAACTTTAAAGAGAATCCCCAAACCATTAATAGCTAGAGAGACATTGAAAAGTGATTTGGTGCAGATTTTAATGCACATAATCTACTTAGAAGTAGCTTTTTAACAAACTAGACCAAATAGTCCAGGAAAGGCATGAAAATAGCAGTCACTCAGGAACTTTCACAGATATCAAGGAGATTTTAGGAGATTTGCTACATGAATGCTGGAGCACTAATTAAGGTGTTGAAAAGAAGATAGTTGAACCTGGAAAATCTTTGTATTGAGTAACCTAAAAGTAGAGCTTAAAGGAGTGAGCTTGGCTTCCGACAAAATATAGTGAATTAAGCATATGTTTTTATTTGCTCCTTCCCCAAATACCATCAAATGGCAATAAAGGAATTTTTTTAAAAGATTCACAAGAAAGAGAAGATTGGAGAAGAAGACCAGAAAATAAAATGTTGGAAGTGGGAACGCAAATGGGAAAAGCGAATCCTAAGCCAGCAGTGAGGAAAGCAGAAGTTCATCTGATTTATACAGAAGAATTTGTGTAAGGTGAAGGAATGGGCAGTGCTAGATTCTTCTGGAAGTGGGACTGAAAATAGAGATTAAGTAAGGAGGATTGTTTGAAAGTCTAAGAACTATCCAGATCCCATATTGCTCCCCACAGTCTGATAAACCACCCAGGGACCAGCCATTTTTTGACCCTAGGAAAAGAATATTGTTTAAAAAAGGGAAACAAAGGGAACTTCAGGTTCAGTTGAGGTTGGAGGTACTGAACAGAAAATGAAGATGTGGATAATATTTGCATCCTGGATTCTGAGCCAGCCCTCTTCCTACATTCAGGTCCCAGAATATTGGTCTTCATCCTCCAAAGAAGAGGTTGGGGATTTTTCCCAAGGGAATATGACTGGTTCAACAGGAAATATCTAAAGAGATGCTGAAAATTTGCCATTTAAATATCTCAACCAGATCACAATAAAGCTCAGAATAGACAAACCTCCCCCACTCTTAGAGGGTATTAGTGCCCCTATTTTAAATAAATATGAACCTTCAACCCAGAAACATCAGATAACAGGAAAGTATCTATAGAAATCAAAATAAGCAGAAACAGGCAACGTGGAGAACAAATGTGAGGTTTTAAAAAATGTGTCCACAAATTATTCGGCATTTCTCACATCAAAGGGGAGAGTCTAATTCCTCTATCTTTGAATATGGGCTAGTCTTAGAAACTTGCTTCTAAAGAATATATTGTGATGATGCTGGGCTGTGTGATCTTTTTAGGCAAGGTTAGAAAAAGTGATGTAGCTCTTACGTGATGTTTTCTCTCTCTCTGTCTCTCTCTCATTTTTCTCCATTTACCCTTGGAAACCCAGCCATTATGCTATTAAGAAGTCAAGTGTCCACATGAAAAGATGGCATAAGGTATTCTAATCACAGTTCCAGCTGAGATTTTAGCATTAGCCAGTACCAATGACCAGATATGTGAATGAATGAGAATTCCATCCCCAGTTTTTGAGCCACCTAGCTAATGCCAGGTGGAGCAAAGACAAGCTGTCCTCACAGGGTCTTACCAAAGCTACAGTTCATGAGCAAAATAAATACTATTGTTATATTAAACCAATAATTTTTGAAATGGTTTGTTATGCAGTAATAGAAAACTTGAACACAGATAATTTCCAGGGAGAAGAAATTTTAAAATTTACAGTCAATTCTTCTTCTGGCTGAGATGAAGTAACAGGTACCTGATTTATCATCTTGCCTGAAACAGTTGAAATCTGGACAAAATGTATAAAACAATGGTTATTAAGATATTTAAAGTCAGGCAACAAAATACCTTGATCCCTGAGAAAAGGGAGATAAGTGAAGTTAGCTCTACAGTTGTTCCAGATTACTACTTAGAGAAAGTTTCCAGGCTGTGTTGTAAAGAGAAGGAATTCAGGCAGAGCCTAGTGGTCTCCTTACATTGGGGGAGCAGAGCTGGAAATCTAAGGAGGCCAAAGAGAGTACAGTTTACAGGGCAAAGTACTAGAGAGAAGAGAGCTAGAGGGGTTGGGGGCAGAGGAGAGAGAGAGAGAGAAGATACACAAGCTCTAGAGATCTGAGAAGGTATGTTCCCTCAGCTCAGTATTCAGCTGAGTACTGATCAATGCATGCCTATGAGGAAATCACTCAAGGCCAGGGGAAAAATCACACAAAAGGATTATAGTATTATAGTGACTAACTCTCAGAGCTCACAAAAGGCACTGGAATAGCGACTGTCCCACCAGTCAGAGTGAAATGTCTCATAATTCACAGGACACAAGATAGAGTATAAAGATGGGTGTTGCTTTGGTAGAAGTGCAAAAGTAGCCCTAGATTAAATGCTTCTCTGGTCTCATCTAGGAAAGCTTAAAAGCACAACTTGAAAGGAGTAAACTGTTTCCAAGTAATTTAACTGCATCGAAGATTGGAGCCCAAAATATTTATAGAAATGCAACAATAGGGCAGGGCGCTGTGGCTCACACCTGTAATCCCAGCACTTTGGGAGGTTGAGGCAGGCAGATCACCTGAGGATGGGAGTTTGAGACTAGCCTGACCAACATGGAGAAATCCCATCCCTACTAAAAATACAAAATTAGCTGGGCGTGGTGGCACATGCCTATAATCCTAGCTACTTGGGAAGCTGCGGCAGGAGAATCGCTTGAACCTGGGAGGCGGAGGTTACGGTAAGCTGAGATCGTGCCATTGCACTCCAGCCTGGGCAACAAGAGCGAAACTCTTATCTCAAAAAAAAAAAAAAAAAAGTAATAATATATATCATCCTAGAAGCTAAAATTCACCATGTGTAGCATGCAATAAAAAATTAGCGGGTATGTAAAAAAGCAGGAAAATATGATATATAATAAGGAGAAAACTCAATCAACCAAGATTGACAAAGATAATAAAATTAGTAGACTAGGGCATTAAAATAGTTATTACAACTATATTCTGTATGTTCAAGAATCTGAATGAAAGATTAAACAAGTTAAATAGATACTTGAAAGACATTAAAAAAAAGACCAAAATTGAATCTCTAGGGATGAAACCTACAATTTCTTGGATAAAGAATACATGGTATGGGATTAATGCATATTAGAAATTGCTGAAGAAAAGATTAATGAAATTGAAGATATCATAATAGAAACTATCCAAAATGAAACATACAAAGAAAAAAGATGAAAGACTGAACAGAGTATCAGTGAGTAGTGGGGCAACTTCAAGCAGCCTAGCATACATTTAATTAAAGACTCTGAAGGGAAGGGAAGGGCAGAAAAAAAATTTAAGAAATAATGGTTAATTTTTTTTCCCAAATTTGGTGAAAATTGTAAACTGCACGTCTAGGAAGCTAAATAAACCCCAAGCAGGAAAATCTTAAGAAAACTACTCCAATGAACATTATAATCAAATTGCCTTAAACTAGTGATATAGAGAAAAAAATCTTAAAAGTAATCAGAAAAACAAGACGCATTATGTAATGAAGAAAAAAGAGAAGGGTAAGAGCAGATTTCTTGCCACAAACAACGAAAACTAGTGGCAGTAGAGCACTAGTTTATGTACTAAAAGAAAAAAAAAGGCAACTTATAATTCTTTACCCAGCAAAACTATCTTTCAAAAATACCTGTAAAAACTGAAAGAATTTATCACTATCAGACCGGCACAATAAGGAATATTAAAGGAAGTCCTTCAAGCAAAAGAAAAGTAGTATTAGATGGAAATCCTGATCTAAACAAAACAAAGAAGTGCACCAGAAAGGGAAAATACATAAGAAGAGAAAAAAAAATATGTCTTATTATTAAATATTTAAATCTCTTTAATAGATAATTGGATTGTTTAAAGCAAAAATAATAACAATGTATTATAGACTCATAATATTTGTAGAATTAAAATGTATGACAAGAGCATAAAGACAGGGAAATAAGTAATGAAAGTATAGGCTTGTGAGATTCTTACACTGTATGTGAAGTGGTGTAATATCACTTGAAGGCAGACAGAAATAATAAAAATATGTATTTTTAACTTTGAAACCAATCATTAAATTAAATAATACATAACCCTTATTTTGGCTAATTAGGAAAAAAGATACAAAATGGAAAAAAAAATTCCTTCCAAAGAAAGCAGAAAAAGAGAAAAAGGGGAGCAAAGATTAGAAATAAAAAAGAAAACTCACAGCTGTCCCATGTTTAAACACAACCATATGAAAATATATGTGTGTGTATATACATATAAATGTATGTTTATAGAAAATGTTTATATATGTGTCTAAACCCAACCACATAAAAATTTCATTAAATGTGAATTTTTTAAATACCTCAATTAGAAGGCAGACATTGTCAGATTGGATAAAACAGCAAGAACCCTAAAATCAATGGCAACACAAAAATGTCCACCTTTACCACTTCTATTCAATGTTGTAATGGAGATTCTAGTCAGGACAATTAGGCAAGAAAAAGAAATAAAATGTATCTAGATTGGAAAGGAGAAAGTAAAAGCTATTTCTATTTCAGATGACATAATCTAGTACATAAATAATTGTAAAGAACCTCCCCGAACCCATTTGATCTCATACCTGAGTCCAGCAGAATTGCAAGATACCACATTAATCTATAAAGCTCAATTATATTTCTATATCCTAGCAATAAAGAATCAAAAAATGAAATTATAAAAACAGTATAATATATATGTACATCTTATGGAAATACACAGTTGCTCAAAATTAATTGAATATTTAGGAATAAATTTAACAAAAAGTGAAAAACTTTTATTCTGAAAACTATAAAACATGGTTGGAAAAAATTAAGGAACACCTTATTAAATGGAAAAGTATCCCATGTTCATGGAGTGGAAGACAATATTGTCAAAATAGCAATACTTGCCAAAGTTATCTACAGATTCAATACAATTTTATAGAAATTTTAGCTGACTTTCTTTTGCCAAAATTGACAAGCTGATCCCAAAATTCATATGGAAATGAGGGAATCCAAATAGCCAAAACAATCTAGGACACATACTTTCTGATTTCAAAACTTACTATAAAGCTACAATAATCAAGACAGTGTAGTATTGGTGTGAGGCTGGAAATATAGATCAATGGGATAAAATTGAGAATCCAGAAGTAAACTTTTAGATTTGTGATTAACTGATTTTTCAGCAAGGGTTTCAAGACCATTTAAAGGGGAAAGAATAGTCTTTCCAATAAATGGTGTTAGAATAACTAGATATCCACACATAAAAGGAAGAAGTTGGACCCACTTCATGCCACAAACAACTCAAAATGGATCAAGGACCTAAATGTATGAGTAAAACTATAAAACTTTTAGAAGAAAACATTGGTATAAATATTCATGACTTTGGATTAAGCAATGATTTCTTAGCTGTGACACCAAATGCAGTGAAAGAAAATGAAAGCTAAGTTGCATTTAATCAAAATAAAAAAGTGTTGCACTGCAAAGGACATCATCAAGAAAGTAAAAAGAACCCACAGAATAAGAGAAAATATCTGCAAATTATGTATCTAATAGGGAATATGTCTCCAGACCATATAAAGAGCTCATATAAAAAGACAACCTAATTAAAAATGGGCAAAGAATTTGAATAACTATTTCTCCAAAGATATACAAATGGCCAGTAAACACATGAAAAGATTATAAATATCATTAGCCATCAGAGAAATAAAAATCAATAGTGGAATGAGATACCAATTCATATCCACAAGGGTAGCTATAATAAAAAAGATAAACAACAACAAGCATTGCCAAGAATATGGAAGATTTGGAACCCTCATACATTGCTGGTGGCAATGCAAAATGGTGCAGCTGCTATGGAAAACAGTTTAATAATTTCTCAAAAAGTTAAACATAGAGTTAGCGTATAACCCAGCAATTCCACTCCTAGGCATCTACGCAAGAGAAATGAAACATACATCCACACAAAAACACACCCCAGTGTTTATAGCAATATTATTTTTAATAGCCAAAAAGTGGAAACAACCCAAATGTCCATCAACTAACAAATGGATAAACAAAATATATATCCATACAATGGAACATTACTCAGCTATAAAAAGGAATAAAATGCTGACACATGCTACAACATGGATGAAACTTTAAAACATTATGTGAAGCAAAAAAGTCAGACACAAAAATTCACATATTGTGCAATACCATTTATATGAAATATCCAGAATAGACAAATCCATAGAGACAGAAAGTATGTTAGTGGCTGCCCAGATAGTTGCTAGAGAGGGAGTGGAGAGTGACTACTAATGCCTATGTGGTTTCTTTTTCTTTTAGGGGTAGCAAAAATGTTCTAAAATTAGAGTGTAGACATGCTTGCTCAACTTTGTAATATATACTGAAAATCATTGAATTTGTATACTTTAAATGGATGAATTTCATGGTGTGGAAATTATATCTCATAAAGATGTCAAAATAATGAATAAGCAAAAAGTGAAGTGAAATACGCTATAATCATGTCTCCCAAAAGATGATCAAATATTTTGCAAATATTTATTCGAACTTCTTTGCCTTTATCATAATGTATACATGTTTTATGATTGTTATTTTTAAAGGGGCTTATTCTACAGATACTGTCCAAACATTTTGAAAATCTTATTTTTATGCAGGGAGTACTTTTCATATCAATGTATACATATTTCAGTATTTATAAAGGCTGCAAATTAACCTATTGCATTGGTATCTCATAGTTTATTTAAACATTTGTTTTTTGATGAACATTTAGGGAATTTCTGATTTCCTTTTCAAACAAAGCTCCAGTGAATGTCTTTACACATTTATCTTTGAGCAATCGTGTATTTCCATAAGATGTCTTCCTTCAAGGAGAATTGTCTTCAAAGTTATTTTTTTTTATTTTTTATTTTTTTGAGATGGAGTCTCACTCTGTCGCCCAGGCTGGAGTGCAGTGGCATGATCTCAGCTCACTGCAATCTCCGCCTCCTGGGTTCAAGCGATTCTCCTGCCTCAGCCTCCTGAGTAGCTGGGACTATAGGCGCACACCACCACGCCTGGCTAATTTTTGTATTTTTAGTAGAGATGGGGTTTCACCATGTTGGCCAGGCTGGTCTCAAACTCCTGACCTCAGGTGATCCACCTGCCTCAGCCTCCCAAGGTGCTGGGATTACAGGCGTCAGCCACCGCACCTGGTGTCAAAGTTATTTTTATAAGAAACTAGGAAAAAACTACTTTAAAGATCATATGGCACCAAAAAAGAGCCCGCATTGCCAAGTCAATCTTAAGCCAAAAGAACAAAGCTGGAGGCATCACGCTACCTGACTTCAAACTATACTACAAGGCTACAGTAACCAAAACAGCATGGTACTGGCACCAAAACAGAGATATAGATCAATGGAACAGAACAGAGCCCTCAGAAATAATGCCGCATATCTACAACTATCTGATCTTTGACAAACCTGAGAAAAACAAGCAATGGGGAAAGGATTTCCTATTTAATAAATGGTGCTGGGAAAACTGGCTAGCCATATGTAGAAAGCTGAAACTGGATCCCTTCCTTACACCTTATACAAAAATTAATTCAAGATGGATTAAAGACTTAAACGTTAAGACCTAAAACCATAAAAACCCTAGAAGAAAACCTAGGCATTACCATTCAGGACATAGGCATGGGCAAGGACTTCATGTCTAAAACACCAAAAACAATGGCAACAAAAGCCAAAATTGACAAATGGGATCTAATTAAACTCAAGAGCTTCTGCACAGCAAAAGAAACTACCATCAGAGTGAACAGGCAACCCACAAAATGGGAGAAAATTTTCACAACCTACTCATCTGACAAAGGGCTAATATCCAGAATCTACAGTGAACTCAAACAAATTTACAAGAAAAAAACAAACAACCCCATCAAAAAGTGGGCGAAGGACATGAAAAGACACTTCTCAAAAGAAGACATTTATGCAGCCAAAAAACACATGAAAAAATGCTCACCATCACCGGCCATCAGACAAATGCAAATCAAAACCACAATGAGATACCATCTCACACCAGTTAGAATGGCAATCATTAAAAACTCAGGAAACAACAGGTGCCGGAGAGGATGTGGAGAAATAGGAATGCTTTTACACTGTTGGTGGGACTGTAAACTAGTTCAACCCTTGTGGAAGTCAGTGTGGCGATTCCTCAGGGACCTAGAACTAGAAATACCATTTGACCCAGCCATCCCATTACTGGGTATATACCCAAAGGACTATAAATCATGCTGTTATAAAGACACATGCACGCGCATGTTTATTGCGGCTCTATTCACAATAGCAAAGACTTGGAACCAACCCAAATGTCCAACAATGATAGACTGGATTAAGAAAATGTGGCACATATACACCATGGAATACTATGCAGCCATAAAAAATGATGAGTTCATGTCCTTTGTAGGGACATAGATGAAATTGGAAATCATCATTCTCAGTAAACTATCACAAGAACAAAAAACCAAACACTGCATATTCTCACTCATAGGTGGGAATTGAACAATGAGAACACATGAACACAGGAAGGGGAACATCACACTCTGGGGACTGTTGTGGGGTGGGGGGAGGGGGGAGGGATAGCTTTAGGAGATATACCTAATGCTAAATGACGAGTTAATGGGTGCAGCACAGCAGCATGGCACATGTATACATATGTAACTAACCTGCACATTGTGCACATGTACCCTAAAACTTAAAGTATAATAAAAATTAAAAAAAAAAAGAAACTAGGAGACGCTTATTAGGTGCTGCTAGCTGCCTAACAAACTGGAAGCTTTCCACATTTCCATTTTATCTCTTAAAGCCCATCTGTTGTCTAAAGTTTTTTTTTTTTCATCTTTTAAGTTCCGAGGTACATGTACAGGATGTGCAGGTTTGTTACATAGGTAAACGTGTGCCATGGTGGTTTGCTGCGTAGATAAAAAAATATAGAACGCTTCGCAAATCTGCATGTCATCCTTGCACAGGGACCATGTACATCTTCTCTATATCATTCCAATTTTAGTATATTTGCTGCCAAAGTGAGCACTGAAGTTTTTTTCTTAATACATAAATTACCTTTTTGAAAAGGGGAGGTATTTTTTCATATCCATGAATACTTTCATTCTTGTTGAGTGTATCAATTATTAAATATATTCATCATATATTATCTGACTAACTGATTTACATTTTGGGAATAGCTACTAAAAACAAATCAAAACAAAACAAAACTTGCTAGTCCAAATAGTTAAAGCCCAAAGCTAAGATACTCAGTAATTTTTGGGGGGGGTTAGAGAGTGTACATTATTCAATTGAGGTTATGATAAACTAGTGTACACATACTGCAAATTTAAGCTGTCCCTACCAGCTTGTTAGCCAGTTTGTGTAACCAAACTTTACATAGATGATTTTTGTTAGGAACTCTAGCATTGCCACAGTTTGCAGTCAATATTGAATGAGGCTTCTCAATTCTTGCTCTTTTCTTTCTTAGCTGAGTCAGCTATGATATTAGTCAAATAGCTGCCTAAAATTAATTTCCAAACGGTAATCATACTTGATCTTTAAAGGAAAAGATTAACACTGAAACCAACATGTATGTTGGTCCTTACAACTTTAGATATATGTGACTTCGTGAAAAGAATTCCCATTTTAATTAATTTGCTAAGGGTTATTAATTAATCTGTACTTATGTCTTAAGTTAAAGTGGAGATGATAGAAAATAGATAATAGATAACACACAGTATATGTTATTTCTATTATATAATTAATGCACAAATATATGCATATATAATATATATGCAGACAGAAGTTTTGATGGCATTCTTAGCACATCATAATACTATTGCCCATATAATTAGTAGTCCCCCCATTTTCGACTTAAACTAAAATTGCATTTTGAATTGTGATTCAGACTTCTTTCTGCTTACCAAGAAAGAAAAAATAGACATCCATATTCACCGGAATAGAGAAATTTGTATCAAAGTGTGAGGAAGTAAACTCACTGTATTTGTTTAAAGAGAGAGCAAAGGGTGGTAGATCATTTTAGTCAGGCTGATATAAAAGATGCCTTCCAAGGACACAATTAACAAATACCAAGATGCTTAATTTTAAACTACAGCACCTACCTGTAGCTTGTATATTTTTATACTACTTTATTGACTAAATCCAGTACATATTTTCCTTTAAATTACTTGTATTCATTTTTAGAGTTATTCCAATTCTGAGTATTTTAATTCTATTATAAAGTGTAAAATCTCTTTTTTTTTTTTTTTTGAGACAGCGTCTCACTCTGTTGCCCCGGCTAGAGTACAGTGGCGCGATCTCGGCTTACTGCAACCTCCGCCTCCTGGGTTCAAGCAATTCTCCTGCCTCAGCCTCCTGAGTAGCTGGGACTACAGGCACGCGCCACCATGCCCGGCTAATTTTTATATTTATAGTAGAGATGGGGTTTCACCATATTGGCCAGGCTGGTCTGGAACTCCTGACCTTGTGATCTGCCCACCTCAGCCTCCGAAAGTGCTGGGATTACAGGCGTGAGCCACCGCGCCCGGCTAAGTGTAAAATCTCTAAGCAGAAAATTTATGACTTTTTCTGATAAATGTGTAATAATGATCCAGGCAACTTTGATTTAGTAAATAAATAATAAGCTTTTATTCTATTGTATATAATTCTTTCATAGAATTCTTGCAGAAAGGGAATGATTCTCAGGAAAGAGATTTGAGTTCTTCCCTGGGAAGGTAATGCATTTCACCTACTCTTCAGTTAAGTTATGGATTTACATTCAGCAAGAGTAAATAGTGACACATTTTCTATCTTCTTATTCTGTCACTGTGCTAGGTTGTCTCAAGTAGAAAAATTATCCTCACTTTAAAAATAATTATGTAGAAGCTTGACTTTGGCATAAGTTAAAATTTTCCCAGATCTCAGCTATGACAGTTAGCATTCCTCCAGTTTGAAAGTTAACAAAAGTCTTGGCATTTCTCTGTAAGGAAAAATGTAGGCTCTTTCTTCCTATTCAGTTTTCAAAGTACAGTTAGTTGACCCCTGAACAACTTAAGATTTTGGTGCTGACCCCCCACGCAGTTGAAAATCCACGTATAACTTTTGACTCCTTCAGAAATTAACTACTGATAGCCTACTGTTGACCAGAAGCCTTGCTAATAACATAAACAGTCGATTAACATATATTTTGTATAGGTATTATATACTGTATTCTTACAATAAAGTAAGCTACAGAATAGAAAATGTTATTAAGAAAATCATAAGGGCCGGGCACGGTGGCTCACGCCTGTAATCCCAGCACTTTGGGAGGCCGAGGCGGGCGAATCACGAGGTCAAGAGATCTAGACCATTCTGGCCAACATGGTGAAACCCCGTCTCTACTAAAAGCACAAAAATTAACTGGGCGTGGTGGTGCTTGCCTGTAGTCCCAGCTACTTGGGAGGCTGATGCCGGAGTATTGCTTGAACCCGGGAAGCGGAGGTTGCAGTGAGCCGAGATCGCGCCACTGCACTGCAGCCTGGCAACAGAGCAAGACTCCGTCTCAAAAAAAAAGAAAGAAAGAAAATCATAAGGAAGATAAAATACAGTTACGGTACTGTACTGTAGTAATCACAGTAGTAAGTTTACATCATCTGTTTACAAGACGAATTGTCTGTCTGAGATGGTGGGCAAGTGCAGCGGCAGACCTCATTCTACAGTAATATATCAAGCAGTTCAACGTTTTCTTGTAATGTTATGACTTTTCTTGTAATGTTATGACTTTTCTCTGTTCTTGGGAGCATTTCCAGCATGGCTAGTGGCACTACATATGGATCCCATGGTATTATTCAAGGTTTACAATATTGCACTAAACACAATGAAAGATACCTAGAACTTTGAGAGATCACTTTTTACTGTGGTAACGCAGTATACTGGAGAGATGAACTGTTCACGCAAAGATGATTAGTGTCACACAGGGTTTTAAGTGGATACTTGCAACACTTGAGCTCATCTCAACAGCAACAGGAGGTGGCTATGAAATTATTACAGTAGTACAGTGTGTAGCATGGTTAGCTTTATGCAGTTATGATTTAATACTACATCTTTATATTTATGTGAATGGTGCCATGTAGAGTGTTTGTGTACCTAAGTTTTGGTAAGTTTTAACATTTTATAATAAATTCGTATATATTTTATGGTAGTAAGTGATAAACTAATATCTACATATATTTTGTGCATTTGTGACGTACCTTTTTTCTTAATCTTTTTGATATTTCTAAGCTCTGCTTTTTGTCTGTGAGTTTTTTGAAATTGTCACAAATCTGCAAAAATTTTTCCAGTATATTTATTTAAAAAAATCTGCTTATAAGTGGATGCACACAGTTCAAACCCATGTTATTCAAGGGCCACTTGTAGTCTGGTTTCATATAATCATGGATTTTCAAGTTGGATGGAACTTTAGACATGATCTGGTTTAAAGCTATCATCATACATATGAAGACAGTGAATTTGAGGGAGATGATGTAATGCGTTCTGGGTCAAATGAATTAGTGGCTGAAATAGGACAGGAATCCAGAGTGGTTTTTTAAATTTTTTTTTAATTTCAAGTCCTTTTGATCTTTTCTTTTCTGAAGGATATGTGTGAACTAGATGACTTCAAGGTTCTTTCCAGCATTGGGATTTTGTGGAGGAGATTACAGTTGAGGAATTTTTATAAACTTGGCCTTGTTTCAGTTGTGGTAAATTTCTGAAAAAATGCAGTTGTTTCCTTTGAATTCTATAAAATTCCAGAAAAATTTTTCTACAGTTAGCAATTTGTTATTGTCAATGAGCTGGACCATGCCATTGTGAGGAAAATGGTAGTTTCAGGCTGTAAACGCCACTGGATGGATCTACTGGGTCCTGGACTTTGTGAAAAGATCTCAGGGAACTAATTGTTGTGGGTGAGTTTCTCTTTGGAGCAACTAGTTTACTCACAAAAAACAAAGGTTATTACTATTATGTGAGAAACAGAAAACAATATCAGCCTTCTGGGTCCTGCCTATTTTACAGGGCATAAAAATATAATTAAATATCTCCGAGTTCACGTTCAGATAAATGGCATGGTTCATTAGAGGAGATCAGACTTGTTGAGAGTGGTATGGCCATAAACTGTGACTTGGGTCATTAGGGCAACAACACCTTCAGTTACGTTGCATCATGACTTGCATTAATGGTGGTCACCTAATTAGCTAATACCATTTTTAGCAGCACTGACATGATGGCTCTGGATTATATTGGTAGGACACTGACTTGCATGTTCTAATTCCTCTACCTGCTGATTGGATCCATTCTTGATTTGAACATAGATGTTGATATTTAGAAGATAAATTTAGCCTATTGGCTAAATGCTGATTGGAATTGTGGATTAGAGGATTGGTGATTGGGAAATGCTTTGAGCCCCTGGGAAATAAAAGTTTCTGCTTGGACAGGGTATACACTTTATTATTGATTTTTATCAGAGAGGGGGTTCTGAGAAGTAAGAGAATTGCCTTGCTCAGAAAGTAGTGAGTGAGCAAGGCTGAGCCTCTCAGTGGCTGCCCATTTGTTCCACTCTTGTAACTCCTGAAAGAAACAACTCAAGAAAACCCAGAACACCAAAAATGTTCAGCATGGTACTTGGGAGTTATTTGACATTCTGGCATCTTCTTTTCTGACTCTCACATGCTATTTTAAAGCCCTTGCTCACGAAGAAACCACAGAGGAAGAAGAGGTGGACACAGGCACAAATCCTAGACAGCTATTACCTTTTGAATAATAAATCAATCCACCTGGGTCACCATGAACCTCCAGTGTTTTCCACTGGGTATAAAGTGATGTACTTTCTTTCCAGTTGCTTTGGTCCTTTATAAGACCAGTTTCTTAGTATCTCTTTCCTTGATGCGAGGCTGTCCCTAACTAGTATTTCCCCTTGCCTAAGGAGCTGCAGCTGTTTTGATGTTCCCCAGAACCATCTTCTCCCCATCTCCTCCACTTCTTGCTTGGGAAAGGAAAAGCAACTTCCTTCCTTGGGGAACCCTAATATTTATTTATATTTCAATTTTGAAGCTGAATTCAGTAGGTTTTGTCATGTTGTCACTAACTGTAATAAAGACAGAAGGACCCCTCTCCATATAGTCTTGAAGAGGAGGGGAGCGTGGCCAGAGGAAATTAATTGATTGACATAGACTAGAAGCACAAAAGCCATCTCAGCGCAACTCTTTGTTTTTAATACCTTTCTTCACTCCTTTTGTTGGTCAGGTGTTTTTTTCATGCACTACAGCCTAAGGTTTCTGAACTTAGTGATTGTCTCCCTAACCAAAGGGCCTAAGGAATGACCGTTTGGTATTCCTTGGGACCCTTGGTGAGGGCATCTGGCCTAATCATGACAAACTGATGAGTTGGCATCTTCCATAGAGTGGAACAAGGACTGTTGGCTGAGAAAAGAGTGAATCTGAAGCGAGGACAGAGTTGGCTCATGGAACATGTTATCTGTTCTCTGAGTTTCTTGTCCCAGTACGTCAACAAATTTGTTTTTGCTTAAAGACTTTCCCACACGAATGTCTGCCAAGTTCAGATGACTGCTTTTTTAGATTGATCTTGGTTTTCTTGGAACAAGAGCTGAAATTATATAATAAGCTCAGTTGGTCTCAGTGAGAAAAAGTTGGGAGATTCTATTTTCGCATACATTAGACAGGTCTGGGCATAGAAGAAAGAAAGGCCTGAGAACGAGGTGGGTGAGGGTGGGAGGTGAGAGCAAAGAACTAGTTAAAGGAGATTTCACTTGTGTCTACTTTTACCACTTGTTCTGGGCTCTCTGGGTCACTCAGAAGTGAGGCGCTGGGGCTGCAATGCTCCATGTTGAGATAGACTCTGACCACACTCAGTTGACTTACCCTAGGCCAGTGTGTTAGAAAAGGGTCTTTAGGTTCCTGATTTCTAGATTGGTAGCAACATTGCCAATATCCAGAGCAGCTCCAGAGTGTACATTCATAGACTAGAAGATGCTTTCCTCTGAAACATAAAAAACATGCCATTGTGATGATCTCCCTGCTGGAAACTACAGTCATCCCTTGGTATCCATGGAGGATTGGTTCCAGGGCCCCATAGATACAAAAATCCCTGAATGCTCAAGCCCCCTATATAAAATGGCATAGTATTTGCATATAACCTATGCACATCCTCCCATATGTTTTTTTTTTTTTTTTTTTTGAGACAGAATCTCACTCTGTTGCCCAGGCTGGAGCACAGTGGCTCAATCTTGGTTCACTTCAACCTCCGCCTCTTCGGCTCAAGTGATTCTCATGCCTCAGCCACCCAAGTAGCTGAGACTACAGGCATGCACAACCACGCCCAGCTAATTTTTGTATTTTTAGTAGAGACAGGATTTCTCCATGTTGCCCAGGCTGGTCTTGAACTCCTGGCCTCAAGTGATTTGCCCACCTCAGCCTCCCAAAGTGCTGGGATTACAGGCATGAGCCACCATGCCCAACCCTTCCAGTATACTTTAAATCATCTCTCGATTACTTATAATGTCTAACACCATGTAAATGCTATGTAAATAGTTGTTATACTATATCGCTTTTCTATTTGTATTTTTTTTCCAAATATTTTTGACCTGCAGATATGGAACCTGGGGAAACAGAGGGCCAGCTGTACCTACAGCAAAGCGGATACAGCAACACAAACCTCTACCCCTAAGAAGGAAGGTGTCACTTGATCACTGAGATGCTATGTGTTCCTTGAGATTGGTTTGTAGCCTCAGGCCACAGGGCAATAGGATGAGAGGAACCTGGAGGTTTATTAGAGACAGGAGCATAGGGGACCACAGTGACCATTGTGAATATTAACTGCAGCACGGCTTTCAGGGAGGAAATGGATGTCCTCCTGCCCACATTCAGAGAGCAGCATTGCCTTAGGAGCTTACTAACTCCTGCCAATGCCAGCCAAATGTCTGGTAGCACTGTTGCCGCTGGAGAGGGACTCAGTAAACACTCTCCTTTTCTGAGTAATTTTATGACAAAGACAAACAATAGGTCAGATAGAAACCAAGATGCCAGCTGTTAGAAGCTTGGGTGTGCAGTGAAAATGGGCATCTTTACTTATACAAAATACTTGGACTGAGACTGACCCACCTGGCCTTGGGCAGTGCTGCACTTCTGCAGGCTGCTGTCTGTGGGGCCTGCCCTGGAAAACTTCTAGCACGGAGGAGCACGTTCACCCTGCAGATGGCTGGCTCCCAAGAGGAAGAGGATGATAAGAAGATGCTGAAGTGTGAGTGTCCAGTTCCTCTCCCAGATTCATCAAATCAGGTAATTCACTCTATTTCTGTGGTGAAAAGTAAGGGGTAGGCTGAGAAGCCAGAAGTGCTTAGGGGAAAATTCTTCCTCGTAGAAACCAGAGGAGTGGGAAAATACGTTTGTTTGTTTGTTTGTTTGTTTCTTTTTTTTTTTTTTTTTGAGGCGGAGTCTTGCTCTGTCGCCCAGGCTGGAGTGCAGTGGCGCAATCTCAGCTCACTGCAAGCTCCGCCTCCCAGGTTCACGCCATTCTCCTGCCTCAGCCTCCCGAATAGCTGGGAATACAGGCGCCCACCACCATGCCCGGCTGATTTTTTTTTTTTTTTTTTTTTTTTGTATTTTTAGTAGAGACAGGGTTTCACCGTGTTAGCCAGGATGGTCTAGATCTCCTGACCTGTGATCCGCCCGCCTCGGCCTTCCAAAGTGTTGGGATTACAGGCATGAGCCACCGCGCCCAGCCGTTTCTTTCTTATAATAAGTTTTCTTGGCATAGACACCAGAATTTTCATGAGTGACACCATCTGCCGTAAGAATATTGTGGCTTTTGCAGGCAGCTTCAGGGGACTATAGCATAACAACGGAAAAGATAAATGTTTAAAGGATACTTGCTTTCCTCATCATTGTCAGTGTTTTCTAGCCTAAATGCCAGGAGTGGTTCTGATTACATTAGCCCATGAAAATGATGCATGGGTGGGTTTGGGAGAAAGAGAATAAAGTTATGAAGAAAAAAGATAAATTCATATATAATCACGTATCATCAAAGAATGGTAGCGGGTTAGTCTGAGACATTTTTGGCAGTACTCACAGTTCATAGTCTATAATCTAATGGAAAAGACAAAAGCCAACCAATGCAAGAGAAATAGACATTTGTAAATATATAATTTTGTTGTAGTGAGAGTTAAGTCAGTGATTTTGTTAGTGAGTGGGGTTAAAGGGAAAGTTTACAAAGAAAGTGAACCTTGATCTGTGATGATGAGGAGATGGGGAATGTGAGAACAGGAGCCTTGAGGTTCTGGTTGTATGGTGAAAACCCATAGACACGAGCTAAAGAGTTTCTCTGATGTCATCCAAGGTTGAACATGAAATATTATGATGTTGCTGCTGCTGCTGTTGATGGAAGGAAGATAAATGTTGTGACAGACACCCACAACGTTTTTGGCAAGAAATAAGATTCCATTTGGTATGATGCATTTCAAGGGAATGACCTTTAGCATCATGCAGATGTGGCATGTTTTTGGCTCATTCCTGAACTATGGGGTTTGTGATCTATACAAATGTGGAAGGCATCAGGTTGAAATGCAGTACAATATCTCTTGGCCAATGTAATCGACAAAGTGAAAATTGCAACAATTCCCCACATACATGTTGAAAAGCAGAAACACCACCCCAAAATACAAGAAAGTGGTTTCTCCAAAAAAAAAAAAAAAAAGTAAGGAAAGCATCTAAACATAGGATAAAGGCTCTCTATACTGCTACTGCTCTTTTTAGCCTGATAGCAAATGCATCATTTCTTTGATGTGGTAAGAGAAGTACTTGTGTCCTTATTCACTAAAGTCAATCTTCTTTGGGATTGATCCCAAAGGGTCAATGAGATGCCCCCCAACCAACCCTCTCCACAGGTTATCCTGTTGTCTTTTTAATTCCTCCTATTCTTACGCCAGTAAAGACCTTAGAACATGTGCTTGGTTTCTTGCTTTTAGCTTCTGTTCTTTTCAATTTATCCAACTTGAGCCTCCTGATCAGTATTCCTACAATACTTTCCTTCCTTCCTTCCTTCCTTCCTTCCTTCCTTCCTTCCTTCCTTCCTTCCTTCCCTCCTTCCCTCCTTCCCCTCTCTCTCTTTTTCTTTCATCTCTCTCTTTCTCTTTCTTTCTTTCTTTTTTTTTTTTTTTGGAGATAGGGTCTGGCTCTGTTGCCCAGGCTGGAATGCACTGGCACCATCATGGCTCACTGCAACCTCTGCCTCCTGGGCTCAAGTGATCCTCCCATCTCAGCCTCTTGAGTATCTGGGACCACTAGTACCTGCCACCACACCCATCTAATTTTTGTGTATTTTGCAGAAATGAGGTCTTACTATGTTGCCCAGGCTGGTCTTGAGCTTCCAGGCTCAAGCAATCCTCCTGCCTTGGTCTCCCAAAGTGCTGGGATTGCAGGTGTGAGTGAGCCATGTACCCAGTCATTTGTTTGTATCAATTGCCAATCTAAATTTTAAAATGGCTCTCTATTCTCTACAAGATGAAATCAAATTCATTTACCCAATATTACTATGATATATAAGACAGAACTATTTTTTAACTGCAGTTCTCCCATTTCATCACACAAATTCTTCAGTGAGCCACACTGACTCATTGTTTCCCCAAACAGCTCTTTGAACTTTCCACCCACTAGGTCTCTGCTCATCCTAGTTTCCCTTATCCCTTTCCTCCCACCACCTAAGTCCTTTCCGTAAGTACAAGTTCAGTTAAAATCCACATTCTGCATGAAATTTTGCCCAAACACTGTAGTCAGGATTTTAAAAAATTGTACTACTCATGTCATTCACCATATTTCAAGTGTATTGATTTTTTGGATCTTGTTCATACATCTTACCTCTTCAAAAACATTCTTGAGGGCAGAGACCTTTTCGTGTCCTTCCTATGTCTAGCAAAATTCTTTTACATTATAAATTCCAAAGATGAAGGAAGCATTTCAGAAGTGGAAAGAGGAGAAGGAATGTGCTGCAGAGGTGAGCATGTGGGTTCCTGAGGCAGTAAGCACTTTTATTTATTTATTTACATGTTTTGTATTTTTGAGACCGAGTCTCACTCTGTCACCCAGGCTGGAGTACAATGGCGCGATCTCAGCTCACTGAAACTTTTGCCTCCTGGGTTCCAGCGATTCACCTGCCTCAGCCTTCTGAGTAGCTGGGATTACAGGCACACACCACCATGCCCGGGTAATTTTTGTATTTTTAGTAGAGACGGGGTTTCGCCATATTGGCCAGGCTGGTCTTGAACTCCTGACCTCAAGTGATCTTCCCGCCTTGGCCTCCTAAAGTGCTGGGATTACAGGCTTGAGCTACCTTGCCTGGCCCAGGAAGCATTTTTAAACTAAATAATAATGAAAACGTGCCATCAACTATTGAGGGATGCAGCTAAAGTTCACTTAGAGGGAACTTACTGCCTAAAATAAATACATTAGAAAACAAAAAAGGCTGAAAACCAGTGGCCTTCTATTTCTTGAAGTTAATAAAATAATCATAAATTAAAACCAAAAAAATAGGAAAAATAAAATTATAAATAAAAGAAAATAAATCAGTAAAAGAAAAAACAAAATAAGGAGCTTCTAAAAAGTTAAAATTTCTTTATTTGAAAAGACTAATAAAATTGATAAAGCCATGGCAGGAATGAATGGGAAAAAGAAGGCAAAATAGTTGGTATCAGACATGAAAAAAGATGACATCACTACAGATCCTATAGCCAATACAAAAAAATAAGGTATTACAGAAATCTTTATGCCAGCAAATTTGAAAATTAAATAAAATGGATAGATGAATAGGTTCCTAGGCAAAGTAAACATAGTCATGAGAAAAATTAGAAAAATCTTATCCTTTATAATTATTAGTTAAATAGAACTCATAATTTAAAATTATCCCACAAAAAACTCTAATCCAGATAGTTTTGCTGATGAATTCTACCAAACATCAAGGCAGAAATCCTGTTGATCTTGTGTAAACTTCTCTAGAGAATATAAAAAGAGCAAAGAAGATTCCAATTATTTCATGAGCCAGTATGACTTTATTTTCCCTTTCTTTTAAAATCTTGAAATAATTTCAAACTCACAGAAAAGTCGCAAAACTGACGTAGAAATTTACACATACTCTTTATTTATCTTTTCCTAAAGTTGACAACTTGCATAACCATAATACAGTTTTTTAAAACAAGTAGATTAACATTGGACAATACTGTTAACTAAGCCACAACCATTATTAGAATTTTGCCAGTTTGATCTCTAATGTTCTTTTCATCTCTGGGATCCAATCCAGGATTCCCATATTGCATTTAGTTTTTGCATCTCCTTAGTCTCATCCAATCTGTGGCAGTTCTTCAGTTTTTGCTTGTCATTTATAAACTTGACACTTTTGATGATTAGTGGTCAGGTATTTTGTAGGATGTCTTTCAATTTGATTTGTCTGATGTTTTCTCATGATTCCATGGGGTTATGCATTTTTGGCGAGAATGTATTACAGATGTGATACTGCATCATATCAGGAGGTGCCTGATGTTGATACAACTTATTACTGATGATGGTAAGCTTGATCACTTAGTTACAGTGGTGTCTGCCAGGTTTCCCTGCTGTAAAAATTTCCTATTTTTCCCTTTGTCATTGGTAGATATCTTAGGGGAGATATTTTGAGACTATGAAAATACCTTGATTCTCCTCAAACTTTGTTCATTGGTGAAATGATGTTTAAGATGTCTACACAGAAAATTATAAACCATAATTGAGAACATTTAAAGAATGCATCAAAAGACTCACCATTTTTAAGATGTCAGTTATTTCTCCCAATTGGTCTATAGAGTCAATCTCAGTTACAATTCCTTACAGGTTTTTTTGGTATAAATTGATAAGCTGATTTTCATATTTAGATGGAAAAACCATCTAAAACTTAGCCAAGAATAGCTAAGTTGCTCTTGAAGAAGATGAATAAGGTAGTAGAACTTGTTTTACTGGTTATAAAGACACATTCTAAAGCTAGAATAATTTACACAGTGTGGTAATGATGCCATGAGAGAGAAATAAATGGAGCAGAGTAGAAGGCACAGACTGATTTATTCATAGAGACAGATTTATTCATTTATGACTTAATTTTTGACAAAGATCAACTTTTCAGTGAGTGGTGGTAGATCAATTTTATGACCATTTGGAATAAATGAAACTGAACCCCTGCCTCATATTGGACATGAAAATTAATTCCAGGTAACTTACAAATCTGTGTGTGAAAGGCAAAACAATAAAGCTTCCAAAAGATAATATAGGACAATTTCTTCATGTCTTAGGGGGTAGAGAAAGATTTATTAAACAGAATTGAAAAAGCACTAACTGTAGAGGAAAAGATTGATAAATTGGATCACTTTAATATGACGAACTTCTATTCATTTACAGACTCCCCTAAAAAGAGTGTAAAAGCAAACTACAGTGTAGGATAAAATATTTGCAATGCATGTACTACTGGTGGGAGTGGAAAATGGCATACAGACTTTAGGAAATGGCTTATTATTTTCTATTAAAGTTAAACATATGGATACCCTATGGCCCAGCAATGCCATTCTTAGTTACATACTCAACAGAAATGTTTGCTATATGCACTAATAAATAGGTATAAAAATATTCTGAGTAGTAGTATTCACAATAAACCTACCCTAGAGACACCCCAATTAACAATCAGCACTAAAACTGGTAAATTAATTGTACTCCATTCATACAATATATGAAATGGCAGAGAAAAAAAAAACAAACTACAGTTACTTGCAACAATATGAATCTCACAGACTTATACTATTGCATGGCCTCAAGACCGGGAGCCCATGAGGGCAACCTGTTACTTGTATTTTTCTCTCACTGTTTCTGACCTTGATGGTGCTGGTGACCTGCAGAAGTTGCTACACCCTTTGCCATGGAGCTGCACAGACACCTGGGCTAGCGCTGGGAGCAGCTGAAGGAGGAGGTTTGGTGGGAACTGAAGGAGATGAGGCCAGGCTGCTGTCCCAGGCCAATGTGGGGAGCCAGCAGTATCAATGTGCATGAGCTGGAGCTGTACCTGGTGTCTTGCAGTGACTTTCATAGCTGAACGGCTACTGTTTTATTCCTGCCTTCCAAATCCTGAGCCAATTTCTCTTGCAACCAACCTTAACTGGAATCATAATGGAATTCTGGGAAATGTAGTTCTTTATTAGCTAATTTGACTCAGTTCAAGTCATCGTAAGAGTGATTTTTTCAGGGAAGAGGGCAAGAGAGAGAGACTGAGAGGAGACTTTGAGGGGCATCTGGCCTGAGTGGTGGTTATGTGGAGGGCACTTTGTGAAAATTCATTTGGTGGAACATTTAGATTTTGTACATTTTTTATTACTCATATATTACACCCACCCCAGCAACACTCAGAAAAGGTTAGGAAAAAAAAAAAAAAAAAGAGAACATAGGTTTTGAAGTCAAAGGCATAGCTCCAATGACTGATCCTGCTAATTTCTAGCTGTAAGACTGAAAAAATTATGTATGTGATTTTATTCTTAGTAATGTGGGGATAATAATGCTTTCTACCTCATAGGTTTTGTGAGCATTAAATGAAATGATTATATCAGCACTGTCTGGCATATAAAAAGCATACAAAAAAGTTTCATTATTGCTCTAAACATATTACTAGATTATGTGGCAATATATTTTGGCAATATATTTTACAATATATTTATAATATATTTTACATATATATAGGTATAATGATATATGATAACAAGAATAGCTAACTTTTTGACCACTTACTGTGTTTCAGGCACTATTATAAGCAAATTTTCATTTATTCACTCATTGAAACTCCGTAATAATCCTTTGAGATGGATTCTATCATTACCTCCATCAAAGAGATGAGTAAATTGAGGCTAAAGAGGTTTACCTAACTGTCCCAAGGTCACACAGCTCTTAAATAGTGGGGCCAAGGATTCAAACCCAGGGCACATATGTGTAGGGAGGGATGTCTGAGCAGGTGGATATTGTCATGTAAGCAAGGTGTGTTAGTCAGAACTGTTTTGGTTGGAACTCAGAGAAACCCAACTCCACCTACTAGCTTAGGCCAAGTGGATCATTTAGAGAATAATTATTGGAATATTTCACATAATTATGGCAAAGACAAGGACGTAGTGAGACCCAGGGTCCACTGGAACCAAGATGTCAAAGCCCTTAGGCCTCCCTTTCATGTGTCTTTTTTTCTGCTTGTCTCTATGTTGTTGCCTTAAATACTGCCTACTGCAAATAAGCTTTCTCTGTGTAGCAGAAACCATAGCAGGCAGGCAGCTGCTCCTGGGTCTTGCATCCTGTGTTTCCAACTCCCACAGAGAGGCTGCCTCTCTTCCTTTACTTCTAGACAAAAATATGGGGAAAGGGCTGATTAGTCCAGTTGGGTTGTCCATCAATGTATCTCTATGGCAAGAGGAGCAGACTCTTATAAATAGATTCTTTAATCTTATAAAGAATCTTATAGAATCTGTTCCTCTTGCCATAGAGGAGCAGAATCTATTAAGTCTTATAAACACATTATCTGTGTATGGGATTATTCCCAGAGAAGGAGGAAGCCATCATGAGTTATAGGGCCACAAAGATTGGTGTCCACTGTGCCTTGTATGGAAAAGAAAGCCAAGTAACAAAATGTGTGGGTTGCCCTGGTATAAAGCCTGTATCTCCGGGAAAAGTGTCATTCTTTATCCATGTTCCAGGACGTTCATTTTAATGATTATATTTCCTGGTAGACAAAGATATGAGGATCAGCCAGATCAAGAATGAAAGACAGTCTGTAGCTGTATTACTTTGCTGAATCATTATTCTGATGCAGGATATCTAATAAGCAAAGGAAAAGAACAGATACTAAGGAGTCAACAATCATTCTGGAAAATAGGTTTTGAAAACAGATGTACCCATAAACTGCAGAAACTCTTCCTTTCCAGTTATTCATAATGTATAGCATCTTTGAAAATTAAGGCAGGTAGGATAACAACCTATAACCATTCTCAGACACTTTGCCAAGTGATTTTGCAAAACTATTTAGAGAACATGTAAAAACTAATCTTTAGATTGAAGGCTTTTTTGTGTGTGTGGCTAAAATATCAGTTTCCTGAAACTTTAAGGTCCAACGGGAAAAGAATGCAGTTTGGGTTGCGGGTCAAGTTTGGGGTGTCTGATGAATGAAGAGAGAATGAGGTCACAGTGAAGCATACTTAATTCAGGAAAAAATGTGCCTCGTTTCCCAGAATATTTGCTAGGGAAAGGTGGAAGGAAAGGGGGGAACTCCCCATGCAAAATCCTGCTGGCTTACGCTTGATATCCTATTACCATGCCTAAAAGATGATTTATAACATTGACATTTAATATCAGAAATTTACTTGTAATCAACCTTTGATGATTCAAGGCAAAAAGAGGAAAACATATAATTTAAAAATTATTCCTACTTGGCCTTGGCATCTGGTCTGTAATTTGACACAAATGTTAGCTTGCCCTGTCTGCTATTCTGCATTTTGGTAAAGTTAAAATTTATCTAGGTGATCCATTTATATCAGTATGAAGAAGCTACTTTATTCTTTGGAGAGCTGAAGAGTATTCCAGAGTATCTGAATATGTGGATTATTATAATTAACCAAGAACCTATTGGGCATTTTGTTTATGTTCAATCTTTTGCTATAACAATACTGACACATTCTATTTGCCATGTACACATTCTATTTTGCCCATTATATATTTAGCACATAAATTCATAGAAATAGAGTTGCTTTATCAAAGTGTATGTGCATTTTTAGTTTGAGTAAATTGCTCCTCTCAGAGAATTTATCAATTGACATCTACTCCAGTATTGTGTATGCATACCATGATTAACATAATGTGTTATCAGAGTTATCATTGTCCATCTGCTAGGTTACAAAAAAAGGTATCTCAGGGTGGATTTTCATCTCTTTGCTTATGAGTGAGGTTGAACATATTTTCTTGTGTTTAAGAGCAATTTGAATTTCTGTTCTTTGAACTGTTTATATGCAACTTCTGTCCAGTTTTCTGTTGGGTTCTTTTTTATTGATTCATAGGAGTTCTTTATATATTAAGGATATTAACCTTATGCAATGAAATGAGTTGAAGTTAAAAAATATACAGTTCTTGGTTTATGTTTTGATTTAGTTTATGGTATTCTATTACCATGCATATTTTAAAATTTTTATGTAGTTGAATTTATCAATATCTTCTTTTATGGTTTCCTCACTCAAAGGTTATAAAATATTCCTCCACAGTTTATACTAATTTTGTTATGGTTTCATTTCTTTACATTTAAATCTTTGATCCATCTGGAATTAATTTTGTTGTAGTGCCATACGGTGGTATCCAATTTACTTCATTTCCAATTCTAATACAGTTATTTCAATAAGTGTTGAATAAGCAATTTTGCCACTGATATAAAATGGCATTTATAATAGATTAACACCGTATGTTTGCTGTAGTCTATTCTAGACTTTCTTTAATATTTCTATGATATTTTCTATTATATTTCATTGTTCTGTCTATACATGAATCAGAATCATGATGAAGTAGGCAGAATAAAGTCCTTCCCCTCATCCCTCCACCCCCAAGATGTCCACATCCTAATCCCTGGTACCTATAAATGTGTTTCTTTACATAGCAAAAGGGATTTTGCAGATGTGATTAAACTTGAAACCTTGAGATGGAGGGATTTTCTTAGATTATCTGGATGGGCAAAATCTAATCATGTGGACATAAAATCAGAGACACATTTCCATCTGTGTTTAGAGTAAGAGGGAAGCATGACTACAGAAAAATTTTAGAGAAATGAAACATTGCTGGCTTCAAAGACGATGGGATGAGGCCGTGAGCCAAGGAAAACAATGGCCTTTAGGAGATGGAAGAGGTGAAGCATCAGATTCTCCTTCAGATCCTCCACAAAGGAACACACCCCTGCCTGCACCTTGACATTAGCCCAACGAGGCCCATTTCGGACTCCTGACCTCCAGAACTATAAGCTAATAAATTGGTATGGTTCGAGTTTGTGGTAATTTGTTACAGAAGCCATAGGAAACTAATATATGTGCTATTTGAATAATGTGTATAGCTAGTCCACTCTTGCCCTATAACTTTTGAAATTTTCCTCTGACTTGTCCTGATGATTCTTGTTTATTTTCCATTTGAATTCTAGATTGGCTTATCTAGTCTTCTTCTCCCTCCTTTCAACTGTTGGCGTTTGAATTTAAATTTTATAGAATATATGTATTAATTTGAGGAAATGCTTTATGATTTTGCACCCTCTAGTCCAAAAACTTGGTAGGCCTTTTTGTTTTGTTTTGTTCGGGTTTTCTTTTTCCTTTCTTCCTCAATAGTTTTATAAACATCTTATTATGCAGATATTACTACTTTTCTTTTAAATATTATTTGTCGATATTTTCTCCTTTTCATTTGTTTTTTAATTGTTGCCTTCTCTTCAAATATATCTTCCAGTGATTTTTGTTTGTATGTAGGAAGGTTAATAATTTTTGTGTTAATTTGGTACACGCATCCATCTTGTGAATTATTGTTTGAAATGAGTTTTCAGTTGATTCCTTTATTTTCTTCAGGTGAATAATCACAACTCCTGAAAAATAAGGTAATTTTGTCTCTTCTTCTTGAAAATTTATATTTCTAATATATGTTTACTTTGGTTCCTCCAAGACTATGTGGGAAAAAAGTGATGAAAGCACTCCTCCTTTTCTTGTTCCTAAATCTAATGAGGATTGCTTCTTTCTTTGTTTCCCATATTTGATGCTAACCTTCGGATGAACAAAGATATAGTTTATATGTTATAGAAATTGATTTATTTGAAGGGGATGACCAAGTGTGCATGAAATACATTTTCTCTTTTCTCCTGGGAACGGAGGTAGCTATCCCAGTTTCATCTGCAATTAGGTTTGGCCATGTTGCTAAGCTGTTTCCGAGAAATCATAAGCGTGTGTGTGTGTGTGTGTGTGTGCGCGCGCGTGTGTGTGACTTTCATGCTTATCCAATAAAAATCTCCCTCAACAATTTCTCCAAACTCTGTCCCTTCTGTCTGTCTGGCTGGATGCAGGCAATGATGACGTCCTAGGGGAATGCAAAGTCACAAGAGGGAAAGACTCTTGAGTCTTTTAGTGATGGTGCGGAGAGCTGTGCCGATCAAGGACATCCACCCTACGCTAGTGCATAAATCTTAAGCTTTCACAATAATGCAGCCATTGTCATTTGTTATTGTGGGACTCCCATTCCTCCCATTCGTTCGATCTGAGGGAAAGAACGTGCCTGTGGTCTGTTGCTAGGCTGGAAGTCAGGAAATGCCGGGCCTGGGCTGCCTTCTGTTGGGTGGAGGGAGCGCCGGTTGTAAGATGCTCTGCCGCTCTGCTATTCTTTCATTCTTAGGTTCAATGACCGGTCTGTCTTCCTCTTTCTACCTTTTCTTAATTCTTCAGACACCTGGTAGGATTGCATTTCCCAGCCCCCTTTTGGTAGGGTAAGGCCATGTGGCTAGTTCTAGCCAGTGAGCTATGAATGGACTTGGCAAGGGGAACTCTCCAGGCCTCTCTTCCTTCTGGGAAAGCTCAAGATAGACACTTCAGCTGCCTAAACTGCTGAGTGACAGCAGTCAGCAGATGACTCCAACTCCCTCTAAAGGTGCTAATAGTTGTCAAAGAATAACCTGTGTTGTTTTAAGCCACTGAGGTTTGGGGTTTGTTGGTAATTGTAGCTTTTCTTAGCCTATCGTATCTGATATTAAGTAACGTTTTCAAGAGTATATAGTAGATGTATTTTTAAAAGGCTTGCACATTTCAGAATGTCTTTCCCATGTGAAAAAACAAGTTAGCTGGGGAAGAAAATGTCTGACGGTCATTCTTTCCCCTTTAAAAATTTGTATATGTTCGTCTACTCTCTTCTGATATTTATTTTTCATAGAAGAAATATGAGGCTACCCTTTGTAAACTTTTTTCTTTTCTCCAAATTCTTGCAGCAATTCTTCTTTAATAGAGTACTTTTTAAAAAGTTTTAGCCTTCATTAGTTGTTTTTTTCCCCCTGGAATATGATGAATCTTTTTAAACGCATAGGTCTTTCTGTAGGCCATGCAATCATTTTAGTGCAAACTCCTCGATATTACTCCACTCCCTTATTCATTCACGTATTGAGTCAACATTTGCTAAGTACCTACTATG
This sequence comes from Homo sapiens, assembly GCF_000001405.40. NCBI lineage: Eukaryota > Metazoa > Chordata > Mammalia > Primates > Hominidae > Homo > Homo sapiens. Next base: position 22,628,386 of record NC_000018.10, on the reverse strand, counting down.
TGGCCAGAACTGTGCTGGATGCTGAGATGCAGCAGTGAACATGTCATCTGATTTTTTTAATCTTAAAAATATTTTAACAGCTTTATTGGGATATAATTTACAAACCACAAAATTCACCCATTTAAAATATACAGCTCAATGATTTTCGGTAAATTTAAAGAGTTTTACAACCATTACCACAATCCAGTGATAAAACATTTGTGTCACCACAGAAATAGCTCTTGCACCCATTTGCAGTCATTCCCCTACCCCCACTCATTTCTAGCTCTGGGGAGCCATGATCCTAATTTCCATATCCATAAACTTGTGTCTTCTGAACATTTTATACAAATGGAATCATATATCCTGTGGTCTTTTGCATCTGGTTTCTTTCACTTAGCATAGTGTTTCTAAGGTTCATCCATTTCATTCATGTTGTAGCATGTATCGGTACTTCATTCCTTTTTATGGCAGAATAATCTTCCTTTCTATGGATAGACCACATTTTATTTACCCATACGTTGGTTGAAGTGTATTTGAGTGGTTACCACTTTTTGACTATTAAGAATTATGTTGCCATAAATATTTGCATATGCCTGGGAGTGGAATTTCTGGGTCATGTGATAAGTTTATGTGTAACTTTGTGAGAAATTGCCAAACTGTTCTCCATGGTAGCTGTGTCATATTACATTCTCACTGGCAATGGGTGAGGATTCCAGTTTCTCCACATTCTTGCCATCACTTGTTATTGTCTGTCTCTTTTTTATTGCAGCCATTCTAGTAAGTGGGAAGTAGTATCTTTTGTTATGTTTTTGTCTGGTTTTGGTGTCAGGGTAACACTGGACTCCTAGAATAGGTTAGGAAGTATTTCCTTCTCTATTTTCTGCAAGAGTTTGTGAAGAATTAGTATAGTTTTTCTTTAGATATTTGATGGAATTAGTCAGTGATGCCATCTGGGCCTGTGCCTTTCTTTGTGTCAATACTTTAATTAATAATCCAGTTTCTTTAACTTTCTATAAATCTAATCAGATTTTCTATTTTTTCTTGAGTTAGTTTTAGTAAATTTTGTCTTTCCAAGAATTTGTCTATTATATGTAAGTTGTCCAATTTGTTAGCATAAAGTTTTTGTTCATAGTATTTCCTTATATCCTTTTATTTTAAAGTTAGTAGTAATGTCCTCTTTCTCATTACTGATTTTGATAGTTTGTGTCTACTGGTCTTTTTTTTTTTTTGGTCATTTTAGTTATAGGTTTGTCATGTTTGTTGATATTTTGACAAAATTGACATTCTACATCACCAGGAATATGCGAAAGCTTATCAAAGCCCACTATAGCTTTCCTATTTCCAGTTCTCTCTGTTGAATTTCTGGTTGGTCTCCTGGTCTGTTGCTTACCTCTACCAGAATCGTGACCTCAGGCTAGCTGCAATGTTGACCTTTCCTGAATGTTTGCCACAGAGTTCCTGTTGTTTTCATCAATGCCCTGGGCATGGAGGTGGGTAGGAGAATGGGAGGAGCACAAGTTTCCTACCTTGGTCCAGTAGTTTGTCGTGAATAAACTTCTCAATTTGTTGTATACTCTTGGACAAATTCAAGAGTCCTAAAGTGGTTGTTTTTGACAAATTTTCCCAGCTTTATCATTGCCTTTTGGGGAGAGGATTTGCCAACCTTTTCACTTAGCCATTCTGGAAATCCAGATTTGATCTTTATGGGCTTCATGATCTAGTGGGAAAGACCCACACTGAGCTTCTATTTCATTTGTTCTCATTCCTTCTTTGGAAATCCCAACTGAGTATATTTTGGATCTCTACTCCCTGCTGTCTATTATTTTATCTCATGTCATTTTCTTCTCTTTGTCATTTGCTTTTCATTCTGAGAGAACATCTGAAAAATCACGTTACAGATTTGGTTTCTAGTTTTCTGTTGCTCCAAGTATGATTTTAATTCTGTTGATTCAGATCATGAGGTCAAGAAATCGAGACCATACTGATCAACATAGTGAAAGCCCGTCTCTAATAAAAATACAAAAATTAGCCGGGCGTGGTGGTGCATGCCTGTAGTCCCAGCTACTCTGGAGGCTGAGGCAGGAGAATCGCTTGAACCTGGGAGGCAGAGGTTGCAGTGAGCTGAGATGGCGCCACTGCACTCCAGCATGTCAGCAGACGAGATTCCATCTCAAAAAAAAAAATTTCCTTGAAATTATTCTTTTTATCCCCCCTTCATCTTTCTTCCTCTGTTGTTGCCTGTTCAACCTGTGCTGCCTTTTCTATTCAGCTTCTCTCTCCTCTTATGACTTTCTGGTCTTGGTTTTTGGTGGTAAGGTCATTCCTTCTTGTCCTCTATTGAGGAAACCAAACAATTTTCAACAGTTGTTTTTCTGATTCTGCAGCATATAATTTTGAATGGAATCTTTGGCCTTAGAATCTTCATGGTGCTACTTTCAGACCACTGCTATAATGCTTTCCATACACCTTCTGATGGTTTTGCTTTGTACTCATCTCTTAATCAGGGGAGATCTGTCAACACTTTTGACAAATAAAATTTGTGGATTTTTCTGCCTTCAACCTCTGTATTATGTGATGGTCACAATTCTTGATTTGATCTACAGCTTAGAGCACAGCTTTACAGAGGGTTACTGGTCAAATTTCCAGTTTCAAGCTGGCATTCCCCTATGGCAATTTTGCTTATTCAGGTGACATCTTTTCCTACTCCAGTGATTTGTTTCCTTGAAACTCAGAACTGATGAAGTGGACTAAAGCTCATAGTTTCCACAGTAAAAAGTTACAGAAACACTTCCTACCTTTGTCCTCGGTTGGAAGCATAGAAATGCTAACACTGATCTTCCACCCGACTATTGCACAATTTTTTCCCTGAAAGTTGTGTTCTCTAAATAGATAGAAGAAGATTAGTAGGAGAAAGAGACATAAAATATTTCTCTGCCTACCTCAGAAATCTAGGTCTATTTTGAAAACAAATAGTTATAGAATTTTTCAAGTTAATGCTAAATTTTGGCCCTGAATCAACGGGGCAGAAAACTGAAGTGTAGCATGGATTTTTATCTTTTGCGTTGGACTTTATGTCATAGGCAATCATGGTATACTTTCGTTTATTAAGTAATGGAGCAAGGGCTGGTACCCTAAATCCCAGGTCAATGTTTTTCCTTTCATGTACTGTTTTCATGGTTGAGGTACCCAACCTTTTTTCACTAGGGTACTTATATATATTTTTCTTTATTGGACACCATATTTTGAAATATTTTTCTCCTATCAAACTACAGTTTTAAGGAATAATTAATTTACCCTCGTAATTTATTCATCAAAATAATGTATGATGTCAACCAAAGCTTCTGATAAGTATGAGATAATCACAGTTATTCAAAGAGTTGATAACATTCAAAACCAAAGAAGGCAGCCTGATAGCCTATCACAGTCTTTGTAGCAATGTAAAATTTCCGTAGGCTTTTTGAAACACTGATACTCTTTCCAAATACCCCATTTTTAACTCTGTGAAGGCTTAGGAGTCTGGGGACCTCATGGTTAGGAATTGCCGCATTCTCAAGGATCTGAAGTGGCAGAAGTTTGGCAGAGGCTTGTTGGTCAGCATGGAGAGACAGCAAGCTCCCAGTGTGGTGCTATCTCTTCAACTTTAAAAGCTAGATTAATATAGCATGGGGCATAGCAGTCTGACAGATGATTGTAGATTCTCAGCTGCAGAGAGAAGCATTGTGACTTTGTTTTCAATTTAGCATTTATCTTTATATGTATTCTCAAATATATGTATATATGTGTGTACACACGTGCACACACTCATACACACACACATACACACAATTTTTGAATTAGTTTCAGTAAAACCTGCATTAGTGCAGAGGGAATCATGGAGTGCCTTCAATAAAAAAGTCACTGTGTATTACGCGATAACATTGAACAGACTCCAGACAGCCTCTTATCTTAGATATACAATAATGTAGCATAATTCAAGCCTAAAGGAGAAGTTAAAGCATTAGGTAACAGTAGCAACAGTAGCATGTTAGTGGAGTAATAACTCTCCTGGAGGATAACCCAGGATGGGTTTTATTGAATTCAGTTTATTTAGCTGGGTTAAACCCAGATAGGCATCACATTTACAAGAAGGTGCTAGCAAAAGGGCAGGTTATTACAAGCACATTTAGAAGATAAGCAAATAGAAGATTGAATCAAATCAGAGATCAGGAAGGGAGCAGAAATGGTTCCTGGTTCAACTGCTTGTCTTGGGTAGGTCTATACCTAATCTGACTAAGACGAAGAATAATTACCTTCTTAGACATCTGCAGGGATGCACGGTGCATAAGCTCTCTTGCTGTTACCCTTATTGACAAGCTTTCTTTATGTCCAATTGAAGTTCCTCGCTTTGCAATTTAATTACGTTTTCTTTGTTTCTATGCTGTGTGCAGAATTAAAATAATTATTCAACATTTTGAAATAATGATTCTTTTAAAAAATGTGACAATAGTTGTCATCTATTAATTTCTTCAGCTCCCCACACCAATTAACCAACTGTAACTCCTTCAGTTGATGGTATTTTTCTTCCTCTTTAATTATTTTTCTGCTTTGTTGTCTTCCTTTCCAATTCTGACAGATGTTTACTTGGTTATTTCTACATGGGCGTGCCTTGGAGATATGGCAATTTTGGTTCCAGACCACTGCAATAAAGTGAGCATTGCAATAAAGTGAATCACACAAATTTTTTGGTTTCCCAGTGTATATAAAAGTTATGTTTACCCCGTACGGCAGTCTATTAAGTGTGCAATAGCATTATGTCTAAAAATGTACATACTTTAATTTAAAAATATCTTATTGCGTCAAAGACATAGAATCAACCCAAATGCCCATCAATGATAGACCGGATAAAGAAAATGTAGTACATATACACCATGGAAAACTATGCAGCAATAAGGAGGAATGAGATCACGTCCTTTGCAGGGACATGGATGGAGCTGGAAGCCGTTATCCTTAGCAAATTAACGCAGGAACGGAAAACCAAGCACTGCATGTTCTCGCTAATAAGCGGAAGCTAAATGATGAGAACACATGGACAACTGGAGGGGAAACAACACACACTGGAGCCTACTGGGGGCACCGGGGGAAGGAGAGCATCAGGAAGAATAACTAATGGATGCTGGGCTTAATACTTAGGTGATGGGTTGATCTGTGCAGCAAAGCACCATGGCACATGTTTACCTGTGTAACAAACCTACACATTCTGCACATGTACCCCAGAGCTTAAAATAAAAGTTGAAGAAAAAAAAATCTTATTGCTAAAAAAAAAATGCTAATGATCATCTGCGCCTTCAGCGAGTTGTAATCTTTTTACTGATGAAGGGTTAAGCCTTGATGTTGATGGCTGCTGACTGGTCAGGGTGGTGGTTGCTGAAGGCTGGGGTGACTGTGGCAATTTCTTAAAATAGGAAAACAATGAAGTTTGCCACATCAATTGATTCTACCTTTCATGAAAGATTTTTCTGTAACATACAATGCTCTTTGATAGCCACTTACTCGTAAGAGAGCTCCTTTCAAAACTGAAGTCAGTCCTCTCAAATCCTGCCACTGCTTTACCAACTAAATTTATGTAATATTCTAAATCCTTTGCTGTCATTTCAACATTGTTTATAGCATCTTCACCGGGAGTAGATTCCATCTCAAGAAACCACTTTATTTGCCCACCCATAAAAAGCAACTCCTCATCCCTTAGTTTGATCATGAGAAAGCAGCAATTCAGTCACATCATCAGGATCCACTTCTAATTCTAGTTATCCTGCTATCTCCATCAAATCTGTCCCTACTTCCTCCACTGAAGTCTTGAACCCCTCACCGTCATATGTCAGGGTTGGAATCAACTTTTTCCAAACTCCTTTTAATGTTGATATTTTGATCTCCTTCCATGAATCACCAATATTTTTAATGGCATCTAGAATGGTGAATCCTTTCCAGAAAGTTTTCCATTTGCTTTGCTCAGATCCAGCGGAAGAATCATTATCTATGGCAGCTATGACCTTATAAGATGTATTTCTTTTTTTTTTTTTTTTATACTTTAAGTTCTGGGGTACATGTGCACAACATGCAAGTTTGATACATAGGTGTACATGTGTCATGTTGGTTTGCTGCACCCATCAACTCGTCATTTACATTAGGTATTTCTCCTAATGCTATCCCTCCCCCAGCCCCCCACCCCACAACAGGCCCCAGTGTGTGATGTTCCCCGCACTGTGTCCCAGTGTTCTCATTGTTCAATTCCCACCTATGAGTGAGAACATGTGGTGTTTGGTTTTCTGTCCTTGCGATAGTTTGCTCAGAATGATGGTTTCCAGCTTCATCCGTGTCCTTGCAAAGGACATGAGCTCAACCTTTTTTATGGCTGCATAGTATTCCATGGTGTATATATACCACAGTTTCTTAATTCAGTCTATCATTGATGGACATTTGAGTTGGTTCCAAGTCTTTGCTATTGGGAATAGTGCTGCAGTAAACATACATGTGCTTTATAGTAGCATGATTTATAATCCTTTGGGTATATACCCAGTAATGGGATTTCTAGGTCAAATGGTTCTAGATCCTTGAGGAATCGCCACACTGACTTCCACAATGGTTGAACTAATTTACACTCCCACCTACAGTGTAAAAGCATTCCTATTTCTCCACATCCTCTCCAGCATCTGTTGTTTCCTGACTTTTTAATGATTGCCATTCTAACTGGCATGAGACGGTATCTCATTGTGGTTTTGATTTACTTTTCTCTGATGATCAGTAATGATGAGTATTTTTTCATGTGTCTGTTGGCTGCATAAATGTCTTCTTTTGAGAAGCGTCTGTTCATATCCTTTGCCCACTTTTTGATGGGGTTTTTTTTTCTTGTAAATTTGTTTGAGTCCTTTGTAGATTCTGGATATTAGCCCTTTGTCAGATGGGTAGATTGCAAAACTTTTCTCCCATTCTGTAGGTTGCCTGTTCACTCTGATGGTAGTTTCTTTTGCTGTGCAGAAGCTCTTTAGTTTAATTAGACCCCATTTGTCAATTTTGGCTTTTGTTGCCATTGCTTTTAGTGTTTTAGTCCTGAAGTGCTTGCCCGTGCCTATGTCCTGAATGGTATTGCCTAGGTTTTCCTCTAGGGATTTTATGGTTTTAGGTCTAACATTTAAGTCTTTAATCCATCCTGAATTAATTCTTTTGTATAAGGTATAAGGAAGGGATCCAGTTTCAGCTTTCTACATATGGCTAGCCAGTTTTCCCAGCACCATTTATTAAATAGGGAATCCTTTCCCCATTTCTTGTTTTTGTCAGGTTTGTCAAAGATCTGACAGTTGTAGATGTGTGGTATTATTTCTGAGGCCTCTGTTCTGTTCCATTGGTCTATATATCTGTTTTGGTACCAGTACCATGCTGATTTGGTTACTGCAGCCTTGTAATATAGTTTGAAGTGAAGTAGCATGATGCCTCCAGCTTTGTTCTTTTTGCTTAGGATTGTCTTGGCAATGTAGGCTCTTTTTTGGTTCCATATGAACTTTAAAGTAGTTTTTTCCAATTCTGGGAAGAAAGTCATTGGTAGCTTGATGGGGATAGCACTGAATCTATAAATTACCTTAGGCAATATGGCCATTTTTCACAATATTGATTCTTCCTATCCATGAGCATAGAATGTTCTTCCATTTGTTTGTGTTCTCTTTTATTTCGTTGAGCAGTGGTTTGTATGTAGTTCTCCTTGAAGAGGTCCTTCACATCCCTTGTAAGTTGGATTCCTAGGTATTTTATTCTCTTTGTATCAACTGTGAATGGGAATTCACTCATGATTTGGCTCTCTCTCTGTTACTGGTGTATAAGAATGCTTGTGATTTTTGCACATTGATTTTGTATCCTGAGACTTTGCAGAAATTGCTTATCAGCTTAAGGAGATTTTGGGCTGAGACGATGGGGTTTTCTAAATATACAATCATGTCATCTGAAAACAGGGACAATTTGACTTTCTCTTTTCCTAATTGAATACCTTTATTTCTTTCTCTTGCCTGATTGCCCTGGCCAGAACTTCCAACACTATGTTGAATAGGAGTGGTGAGAGAGGGCATCCTTGTCTTGTGCCGGTTTTCAAAGGGAATGCTTCCAGTTTTTGCCCATTCAGTATGATATTAGCTGTGAGTTTGTCATAAATAGCCTTTATTATTTTGAGATACGTTCCATCAATACCCAGTTTATTGAGAGTTTTTAGCATGAAGGGCTGTTGAATTTTGTTGAAGGCCTTTTCTGCATCTATTGAGATAATCATGTGGTTTTTGTTGTTGGTTCTGTTTATGTGATGGATTATGTTTATTGATTTGCATATGTTGAACCAGCCTTGCATCCCAGGGATGAAACCGACTTGATCATGGTGGATAAGCTTTTTGATGTGCTGCTGGATTCGGTTTGCCAGTATTTTATTGAGAATTTTCACATTGATGTTCATCAGGGATATTGGTCTAAAATTCTCTTTTTTTGTTGTGTCTCTGCCAGGCTTTGGTATCAGCATGATGCTGGCCTCATAAAATGAGTTAGGGAGGATTCCCTCTTTTTCTATTGTTTGGAATAGTTTCTGAAGGAATGGTACCAGCTCCTCTTTGTACCTCTGGTGGAATTTGGCTGTTAATCCGTCTGGTCCTGGATTTTTTTTTGGTTGTTAGGCTATTAATTATTGCCTCAATTTCAGAGCCTGTTATTGGTCTATTTAGAGATTCAACTTCTTCCTGGTTTAGTCTTGGGAGGGTGTATGTGTCCAGGAATTTATTGATTTCTTCTGGATTTTCTAGTTTATTTGCATAGAGGTGTTTATAGTATTCTCTGATGGTAGTTTGTATTTCTGTGGGATCAGTGGTGATATCCCCTTTATCATTTTTTATTGCATCTATTTGATTCTTCTCTCTTTTCTTCTTTATTAATCTTGCTAGTGGTCTATCAATTTTGTTGATCTTTTCAAAAAACCAGCTCCTGGATTCATTGATTTTTTGAAGGGTTTTTTGTGTCTCTATCTCCTTCAGTTCTGCTCTGATCTTAGTTATTTCTTGCCTTCTGCTAGCTTTTGAATTTGTTTGCTCTTGCTTCTCTAGTTCTTTTAATTGTGATGTTAGGGTGTCAATTTTAGATCTTTGCTGCTTTCTCTTGTGAACATTTAGTGCTATAAATTTCCCTCTACACACTGCTTTGAATGTCTCCCAGAGATTCTGGTACATTGTGTCTTTGTTCTCATTGGTTTCAAAGAACATTTTTATTTCTGCCTTCATTTCGTTATTTACCCAGTAGTCATTCAGGAGCAGGTTGTTCAGTTTCCATGTAGTTGTGCGGTTTTGAGTGAGTTTCTTAATCCTGAGTTCTAATTTGATTGCACTGTGGTCTGAGAGACAGTTTGTTGTGATTTCTGTTCTTTTACATTTGCTGAGGAGTGCTTTACTTCCAATTATGTGGTCAATTTTAGAATAAGTGCAATGTAGTGCTGAGAAGAATGTTTATTCTGTTGATTTGAGGGGAAGAGTTCTGTAGATGTCTATTAGGCCTGCTTGGTGTAGAGCTGAGTTCAAGTCCTGGATATCCTTATTAACCTTCTGTCTCATTGATCTCTCTAATATTGACAGTGGGGTGTTAAAGTCTCCCATTATTATTGTGTGGGAGTCTAAGTCTCTTTTTATGTCTCTAAGGACTTGTTTTATGAATCTGGGTGCTCCTGTATTGGGTGCATATATATTTAGGACAATTGGCTCTTCTTGTTGAATTGATCCCTTAACTATTATATAATGGTCTTCTTTGTCTCTTTTGATCTTTGTTGGTTTAAAGTCTGTTTTATCAGAGACTAGGATTGCAACCCCTGCCTTCTTTTTTTTTTTTTTTTTTTGCTTTCCATTTGCTTGGTAGATCTTCCTCCATCCTTTTATTTTGAGCCTATGTGTGTCTCTGCACATGAGATGGGTCTCCTGAATATAGCACACTGATGGGTCTTGACTCTTTATCCAATTTGCCAGTCTGTGTCTTTTAATTGGGGCATTTAGCCCATTTACATTTAAGGTTAATATTGTTATGTGTGAATTTGATCCTGTCATTATGATGTTCGCTGGTTATTTTGCCCATTAATTGATGCAGTTTATTTATAGCATTGATAGTCTTTACAATTTAGCATGTTTTTGCAGTGGCTGGTACTGGTTGTTTCTTTCCATGTTTAGTGCTTCCTTTAGGAGCTCTTGTAAGGCAGGCCTGGTGGTGACAAAATCTCTCAGCATTTGCTTGTCTGTAAAGGATTTTATTTCTCCTTCACTTATGAAGCTTAGTTTGGCTGGATATGAAATTCTGGGTTGAAAATTCTTTTCTTTAAGAATGTTGAATATTGGCCCCCACTCTCTTCTGGCTTGTAGAGTTTCTGCTGAGAGATCTGCTATTAGTCTGATGGGCTTCCCTTTGTGAGTAACCCGACCTTTCTCTCTGGCTTCACTTAACATTTTTTCCTTCATTTCAACTTTGGTGAATCTGACAATTATGTGTCTTGGAGTTGCTCTTCTCAAGGAGTATCTCTGTGGCGTTCTCTGTATTTCCTGAATTTGAATATTGGCCTGCGTTGCTAGATTGGGGAAGTTCTCCTGGATAATATCCTGCAGAGTGTTTTCCAACTTGGTTCCATTCTCCCTGTCACTTTCAGGTACACCAATCAGACGTAGATTTGGTCTTTTCACATAGTCCCATGTTTCTTGGAGGCTTTGTTCATTTCTTTTTACTCTTTTTTCTCTAAACTTGCCTTCTCTCTTTATTTCATTCATTTGATCGTCAATCACTGATACCCTTTCTTCCACTTGATCGAATCAGCTACTGAAGCTTGTGCATGCATCACAAAGTTCTTGTGCCATCGTTTTCAGCTCCATCAGGTCATTTAAGATCTTCTCTACACTGTTTATTCTAGTTAGCCATTTGTCTAACCTTTTTTCAAGGTTTTTAGCTTCCTTGTGATGGGTTCAAACATGCTCCTTTAACTTGGAGAAGTTTGTTATTACCAACCTTCTGAAGCCTACTTCTGTCAACTCGTCAGTGTCATTCTCCTTCCAGCTTTGTTCCATTGCTGGCGAGGGGCTGTGATCCTTTGGAGGAGAAGGGGAGTTCTGGTTTTTAGAATTTTCAGCTTTTCTACTCTGGTTTCTCCCCATCTTTATGGTATTATCTACCTTTGGTCTTTGATGTTGGTGACCTACAGATGGGGTTTTGGTTTAGATGTCCTTTTGGTTGATGTTGATGCTATTCTTTCCTGTTTGTTAGTTTTTCTTCTAACAGTCAGGTCCCTCACTGCAGGTCTCTTGGAGTTTGCTGGAGGTCCACTCCAGACCCTATTTGCCTGGGTATCACCAGCGGCGGCTCAGTTGGAAATACAGAAATCACCCATCTTCTGCGTTGATCATGCCAGGAGCTGCAGACCAGAGCTGTTTCTATTCGGCCATCTTGGAATGGACATAAGATGTACTTCTTAAATAATGAAAATTGAAAGACAAAATTACTCCTTGATCCATGGGCTGCAGAATGGATGTTGTGTTAGCAGGCCTGAAAACAACATTCATCTCCTTGTACATTGCCATCAAAGCTCTTGGGTGGCAACATGCATTGTTAATGAGCAGTAATATTTTGAAAAGAATTTTTTTTCTGAGAAGTAGGCCCAACAGTGGGCTTAAAATATTCAGAAAACTATGCGGTAAACAGAAATGCTATCATTCAGGCTTTGTTCTTCCATTTCTAGAGCACAGGCAAAGTAGATTTAGCATCATTCTTAAGGACCTTAGGATTTTTGGAATGGTAAAAGAGCACTGACTTCAACTTAATGTCACCAGCTGCAGTAGCTCCTAACCACAAAATCAGCCTGCCCTTTGTAGCTTCGAAGCCAGGCATTGACTTCTGCTCTATGAAACGATATCTTCTTGCAATATAAGGCTGCTTTGTCTATATTAAAAATCTGTGGTTTAGAATAGTCACCATCATCCATGATCTTAGCTAGATCTCCTGGACTTCTTGCTGCAGCTTGTCCATCAGCACTTGCTGCTTCATCTTGCACTTTTATGGTGTGGAGATGGCTTCTTTCCTTAAACCTCATGAACCAGCCTGTGCTAGCTTCACACTTTTCTTCTGTGGCTTCCTCACAATTGAAGAGAGTTGGGGTCTTGCTCAAACCTGGCTTTGGCTAACAGGGTGTTGTGGCTGTTTTGACCTCCTACCCAGACCACTCAGACTTTCTCCATATCAGCAAGGAGGCTGCTTCACTTCCTTTTCATTTGTGTATTCACTTTTAGTTTCCTTCAAGAACTTTTCCTTTGCAGTCACAACTGCGCTGACTATTGAGTACAAGAAGCCTAGTTTTTGGCCTGTCTCAGCTTCTGACATGCCTTCCTCATTCAGCTTAATCATTTCTAGCTTTTGATTTAAAATGGCACACATGTAACCTTTCCTTTCACTTGAACATTTAGAGGCCATTTTAAGGTTATTATTTGATCTCATGTCAATAGTGTTCTGTCTGAGGGAATAGGGAGGTCCAAAGAGAGGAATGGGGGGAGATGAAGCAGCTGCTGGTTGGTGGAGCCATCAGAACACACACAACATTTATGGATTAAGTTTTCCATCATACATGGGTGCGGTTTGTGGTGCCCCAAAACAATTACAATAGTAACATCAAAGATCACTGATCACCGAATACCATTAAAAGATGTAATAATAATGAAAAATTTTAAAGTATTGTGAGAATTACTAAAATATGACACAGAGACACGAAATGAGCACATGTTGTTGAAAAAAAAAAAAAAGATGGTGCTAATAGACTTGCTCAAAGCAGGGTTGCCATGGACCTTCAATTTGTAAAAAAAGACAGTATCAGTCAAGTGCAATAAAGTGAGATATGCCGGTATATGAGGCTTCGTTCTTGGCCCTGGTGGTGAGGTGGATAAAATGCAGAGGCTCTTTTCCCTGGAGAAACTCCTGAATCCTGTGATCTTAAGCAAGCTTTGTCCAAGAGATCAGATCAACACCTGAATAGTGGAAATTCTGGCTTGACCATTCTGGTTGGTGGTTTTGGTCCTAGAGGTATCCCTTATGACAGAGAAGACTTGTATTTCAGCTGAGTTATCTTTAAGGTAAAATGCTATGCACTGAGTACTATATTTTATTCATTGATACATACTGATCTGTTGAAGATATGTCCCTCTACTCAGGCATCTGCTGACAATATCCTGTTCTCATGGTTTGCTGGTGTGGCCTTCACCACTAGTGTGTTCTGAGACCATCACTGTCACCCCCATGCCTCACAGCTGCCTCCTTTACCAGGCCCTGTGGACTTGAAGTTCTTCTCAATGCTTACCCGCTGCCTTCTGCTCATAGGCATGGTTCTGATGCATCCTAAATAAGTCTGTATGTGTGTCGAGGAGGGTACTGGTAGGAAGGAAAATTATTTGTGCATAAATGAAGGGATATATTATGATATATCAACAGATAATATTTTGTTTCTGCTGTTTCATTTTCACCCAGATTTCTTCTCTTTCTTTTCTCGAAAAATGCTCTTTCTTAAACAGGCCTTGATTTGGAAGCTGGTTTTCTGGAACGGTATTTATCAAGTCTGTTTGCACAGTATCTAACTCTTTGGATGCTTTATCTTTTCTTGTGTCCCATTTAAACCCTTTTTCTTTTTCTGAAAATCATGTTTTTAAATCAGGAAATATTCATTCAATGTCTACTGTGTGAAAGGTAACTTGCTTGGCACTGTGAAAGAAAATTAAAACAAAAGGTGTGCTGTCTTCTAAGATCCTGTAGTTTAGGGGGAGAGACAGGCACATAAATAACTCCAATATGGGCCAATCATGTGAAGTATTTTAGTGAAGAAAAAAAGTGTGTTTGTTTATTTATTTATTTATTGAGACAGAGTCTTGCTCTGTCACCTAGGCTGGAGTGCAGTGGCGTAATCTTGGCTCACTGCAACCTCTGCCTGCTTTGTTCAAGCAATTCTCCTGCCTCAGCTTCCCAAGTAGCTGGTACTACAGGTAAGCACCACCACGCCCGGCTAATTTTTTGTATTTTTGGTAGAGATGGGGTTTCACCATGTTGGCCAGGCTGTTCTTGAACTCCTGACCTTAGGTGATCCGCCCATCTTGGCATCCCAAAGTGCTGGGATTACAGGCATGAGCCACCGCGCCCAGCCAAAAGTATATTTAGCTGGATTAGGTATAGATCTACCCAAGGAGATTGAAGGGGGCAGTCATACATTTTCATCTAAAATCTTCTTTCTTTCCTTAAAATCTTACAAAATCAAATGGGTGGCTGCTTCTACCAAACTGCCCACTCACTTCTTACTTCTCAATTAGTTTTCTCTCTCTTTCTCCCTCAATAAAGATAGGGCACTATGGAAGATTACACCATTTCAAACACATTCCAAAATGCTGTCTCAGCCCATGCCTGGCTGTTACTGCTTTAGGAGAATCTGATGAACATGTTTAAACACTCTTAGCACCCGAGGTTGTCTGTGTATAGTTGGGGAGCAGGTGGCCCGCCTGGGTAGAAAGTTATTACCTATTTTCATTTTTGCTTTGAAGGTTAAAAAGAGTCTGATTCTAATAATCGATTTACCTCTTAAATAGGGAAATAAGTCTGACTCCTGGGAAAAGGACATAAATTAACCTCTGGAAGTCATCAGAACTTATTAGCACATAAATGCTTCTGCTAAATCTGTCACCTTTCATTGAGCGCTCTGCCCGTCATGGGCTGTATTTGAGTTTTGTGGTATGCACTTAAGATTTTTAAGTGTGAGAGACATTTCCTTCTTTCAGGGTGAGGCAGGGTGACCCAAGGTCTCTGAAAGGTAAATACCAACTCCCCTGTCTCCCGAGCGAGCGAGCGAGCGACGGGCCTGTTTACAGTGTACCACCCTTGTCTGCAGGGAACATGCTTCACATTTTCTTCCAGGTGACGGGCTGCCTGCCAGTGACACCGCACACCTCGAGAGCTGCACAGTTTCTGCAGCAATATCATTCCTCTTCGGCTCCACCCTTTCCCTTTGAGCTTTACATTTCGTCCTTGCTCTGTGCAGTGCACCAATCAACACAAATTCAGGCAACCCCTCATTTCTCCCTCCTTTGATGACCCTGAAGCTCATCATCTGGCCAGCCCATCGCAGCCCAGAGCCATGTGTTGGGCGTGCTTCTGCCGTGGCGCTGGGAAGTCTGTCTGGGTGCTGTATTGTTTTATATTTTTCTCCCTCCTTCCCATGGCACCCTTTCTGCTGTTCCTTTCCCACCTTAAAAATAAATCCAAGGATATGAATAGCTTGAAATGAACTAAATCGGTCATTGTTATTACAGGAAAACTTTATACAGAATGCAAGCAATAATCCGCTTATATACACTGCGCTCTTACACAATAACTGATCCTTCATCGCTCTTCTCTGCTTGGCAAACGGAGTAGCTACCTTCTCATTCCCACAGTATTGTGTAAACATGAAAAGAAGCCAGAAGAGGTTCCTTTTATTTTGTTTTTGTTTTTTTGTTGTTTGCTGGCTTCAGGCTGGGCCCCAGCAGAGGGCGAGTGGCAGGAGGACACTTGAGTGGATTCTGCAAAAAGCCACACAGCTTTCCTCTGATGGATCAAAATGGTAATATTGATTCTATAAAAGTTTAAAGAGGTATTATGGCTGATTGGCAGGCATCCCTTTATTGAAGACATATCAAACCACAGGAAAAACTACTGGAACAGCTACTAGAACCCTATGGTTAATATAAAGTTTCCCAAATTCTGAAATTAAGCCTCCTGGCTGCCACCCTGGAGATATTAAACAAACTGTATATCTTCTATGTGCATCACTTATTTGTAAGGATAATTATATTCTTTTTCTGTTTTCCTACACCTTCTACTTCAGAATACACTAAAAACCCCCAAGTCACTTGAGCCCAGGAGTTCAAGGCTGCAGTGAGCTATGATTGCAGCACTGCATTCCAGCCTGGGTGACAGAGAAGGATCCTCTCTCAAAAAAAAAGGAAAAACAAAAATAAAAATTCCCAAGTCAAACCTTTAGTAAGAATTAGACTAAATTATTAAAAGCAATTTTGGAAAAAGAATTTACAAATGCAAAAAGAATGAGCAATTTACCTAGATACTTTGAATTTGCCAAATGAAGCTGATGCTTTGCAATGAAGCCTTTCTCATGCAAATCTGAAATTGCAGATGAACTCCAAATGGGATCCCTGATCTGTGATAGGAACAGATGAAGAAATGAAGCTTTTTATAGTATTTTGATGAACACTTTAATATTTCTCATCTGTCCTTGAGAAAGACATAATACATGCTAGCCTAGGGCTTGCTACATTTGGTATTGCTGTTTTTAGTCGTTAGCAAATTTTCTCAATGCTTTGGCTCTTTTTTTCTTTCTTTTTTTTTTTTTTTTTGAGACAGAGTCTCTCTCTGTCGCCCAGGCTGGAGGCTGGAGTGCAGTGGCGCAATCTCGGCTCACTGCAAGCTCTGCCTCCTGGGTTCACGCCATTCTCCTGCCTCAGCCTCCTGAGTAGCTGGGACCACAGGCACCCGCCACCATGCTTGGCTAATTTTTTGTATTTTTTTTAGTAGAGATGAGGTTTCGCCGTGTTGGCCAGGATCGTCTCGATCTCCTGACCTCATGATCCACCTGCCTCGGCCTCCCAAAGTGCTGGGATTGCAGGCGTGAGCCACCGTACCCAGCTAATGCTTTGGCTCTTAATTAGGACTAAGAAACATTTAGCAAAAGCTAAAGAGTCAGCTGGGTAATTAGGAAGTCAGGTCAATCAGTTCAACCTTTTCTATGTCCCTGCTGCAGGCAGGGCACTGAGTTGAGCGTCATGTAGGATATAAAGGTGAGTAAGAAATAGATGCTTTCCTCCAGGAGCTAGGAGACTAGCTAAGAATCTAGGATAAGGACACAGCACTTCAATCGAAGACATTAAGATGGTACAAATAAAGTGTGTAGGTTCTATTTATGGTAACCTAGGAAACATAAAAGCAAAGGAGGAGTTTTAAAAAATACTCGCTTGGAAATTAACATTTCTCTAAGATCAATGGTCAGTTCTCTTTATTAGTCTAGAGGCAGCAAACTTTTCTTTCCTGGGGCCTTATCCACAGCAGGTGCTTAGGTTACTTTATTAGAAATAGCAATAGTTTATGAGAACTGGACAGAAAGACTGCCACCTTCTTCACTCTCTCTAGCATCAGTGCAAAATCATGTGGAGGTTTGATTGTTAAAAAGCTACTAGACATGGTTTTGTGGTTTGCATTTGACCTAATCTACAAGATTGTTTTAGAGCTAAATGTTTTGAGGAAGGATCCATAGATCTTAAGAAATAAAAGAACTATAAGCAAATTGATCCAACTCCTTGTTTTTAAATAGATAAGGTGTCTTTAGTCCCCATTTGATGGACACTATTCAGAGATTGAATGCATTGCTGGAAGTTGCATGTGGTATAAGCATAGGAAGACTGGACTCCTGGTCCTTTGCCTCCCAGGACAGCGCTGTTGCACCACCTCTTGTAGATGAGAAAATTAAAACACAAAATTCCTGCGCATTGGTAGAAAACTCTTGTTTTTGTTTTCTTGCCTGTTAATCCAAACCTCTAGCTATAAAATAATATTATTCTTGGAGATCTTAATTGTCATTATTTATGTAAGATTTATACCACATCTATTTCCAAAAAAATTTTTAAATACATTGCAACCTTATATACACTACAGAATAAAACATCTAGAAACAGAACAACACCCTTTTTTTCTGAAAATTAGACAGAGTTAGCAAATAGCTGACGGGCAAGCATATGTTATTCCACTCCAGGATGGAATTTAGTTTTGAAGTTTCTTTGCAGATGAGATAAAATTATAAGTGTGTGAAACTATATTATTCCCTTACCTATTGGCTTTAAATTGGATTTCCAAATTTAGTAGAACCCAAAAATGAGAAGAAAGTGTTTTTTAATAGACCTTGTAGATGATCTTTCAAGTTTTGACCTTGTATAAAGCATTAGATTAAGAAACAAAGTATAAAAAACAATTACTCTTCAGTACTTGTGTGCATGTGTTTTAGAAGGATAATGGCAGTGGGCACATTTCTGGACCTGCAGCATGGGTGGGGAAAGTTTCTCTTTTGTGGGAGGGATGTCTAAAGTTTTCTCTAATTGTTTTTAGAATACCTATTTTTTTTTTCTAGAAAGAACGTCGGTCCTGGCAGTCTTTCAGCCACAAAGCTTTGAGAAATGGGGCTAAATATTAATAATAACTGCTTGGATTATAATGAGGAATCAATCAAAACACATACTGTTGATGAAGATGCCTTGAACACCGTGGATGCTGTAGAATAAGGGATTATGACTACAGCAATTCTTGGCTCCCTTCTCTGTTTGTTTAAGGGTTACACAGGCTTTGTTTAATATCTCCGTGTCTCAGTCCTTTCGGTTGAAGCACAAGGCATGCTTCAGCCACCTGAGATTAACTGCTAAACCCTGCAGCAAGCCAGCATCTCCTCCCTGCTGCCTCTCATCCGTCAGGATCTGCTCTGGAAATGGGCCAGTGGTGACGTGTGGGAATGCAGCCCTTTGTGTTTGTTTTTGGTGTTGGATTTGGTGGCCTTGGTCACGGATTGGCTTCCTTCTTTGAAACTGAACATCTTCCATGCCTTTGTGATTGAGTGACAAAAGTTCAACCTGCACATGCCAAAATGAACAGCCTAGAAAACTGATTATGGTTTCAGGACCAGCTTTAAAAAAAAGCAACAAAACCCTTCCAGTCACCCAGAGTTCTAAACATAATCGGTTGGTTCCCAGAAGTACAATAAAAGGAAGCCAGAAGTATTTTAGTCCCTAGTTGTTTATGAATCAACCTGATTTTCTTTTTCAGACTTTGAAGGTCACAGAATCAAATCATGTGGAGCCATTTCCATCAGTCCTCCTACCCACCCTTTCTCCCCTGTTCTCTGTTGCAAGTAGGGTTTTGCTAGGTTTAAGTAGAACATTGCTCAGAATTTCCAGGGGTTCTTAATTAAAGCAGGTTTCTTTTCCAAGAAAGCTGCCTTGGAAATTACTGGAAGGGAAGCAACAGTGACAAGTAAAGCAGGCGTCAGAATACCTTCAGTGTACCCCAGCCCTGCTCCTCCCCTAGAGCACAGGCTCAGGAGTTCTGCTGGCCTTAGGTAGAAGCCAAGGAAGAGGGGCCTGCACTCATCTTTCTGAGTAAGCCAGGGCACTTCATGTCTGGGATAAAGCCAGCAGGGCATGGGACATGGCATGGAACTGAATTTATATAGGAAGTAGACAATTAAGCCTGAGTCTTAGACACACACAGGAAGGTGACAGAAGAAGAAAGAATGACGTTTATTATTTTCTAGAGATCTAATCTAGAGAGCTTCAGTGTCCTTGCCATAATGTGACCTTTAAGGAACACAGCAAAAATCTTGGCATATTGCTTGCCAAATATTCAGGCACCTATTATGTGCCAATATGAATAGCACATAATAGGTACCTGAATAATGTAAGTTCTCTTCCCCACCTTTCCCCCACTTTTCTGCACATTGAATAGGATGATTTTAATTTTGCTTTACAAATTATTCAGTTATATCTGTTGTTATTTCATAATGTAAACAATTTCATATTGCTTATATTTCTTTTTTAGGACTTAATGAATAGCAAGGAAATATTTTTGTAATTGATAAGCTTGTTATGCAATTCCAGAAACCTCCTTTCAATGCCTCTAACATCCACATGGTACACTCTGGCACAAGTCAAAAAATATATTAAAAATAAGAACTAAGAATTATCAGATGCCAACTATGTGCAAGGCATTGTATTAGGTTCTTTATCTTAGGTTTTCCATTTAACCCTCAAAACAACCCCAAGGGCGAGGACGAGTCTTTCCCATCTCCCTGTGAGAAAGTAGCTTCAGAGAGCTCTTGCCCAGGTCTCACTGTGAGCAGGTGGCAAAGTTGTTGCTGGAGTATTGTTTACTCAAACTCCAGGGTCCAAGTTCCTTCCACCTCACATAATGCCAAGGCTCTACTGTAGGTACAGGAAGCGAGAGCAAGAGATCTTCTCACTGCCTTCCACAATGTGGCTTCCTTAAAAGCATTTGAAGAAGGAGATGGATTCTACCAACTGTAGACAGCATCTCTGCTGGGGCCAGGCTGAGGCAGGACGGGTCTTGGGGGTGGAGTCAGGATACTCCTTTCTCATCCAGCCTCCAGCCAGCTGTTTGTGTTTGGATTTTTCTGGGGGCTAAGAAGTTTCCCGGTAAGAGACGGTGAACTGGGTCTTCAAAGGGGGTCCTGATGTACACCAGCTCATCTGGAGAACAAAATGGGGAGAGCAGGGCAGGGTGACAGAGGTCAAATTGCTGGGGAGATTCTCCGGATGCCTGAGAGAGGGATCGACCTAAGGAAGGGGGATTCAGGCAGTGAGTCCAACTTACCAACAAGGTTGTGGGGCTGAGAGAAGGTGTAGACCTTAGATTTTCTTGAATCTGCCCTGACCCCACCACTTTGCAGGGCTCTGTGCAGCCTGGAGTGGGAACGGCTGTCTGTGCATTAGGAGGTGCCACTCAGTAAGCCAGGCTTCAGCATCTTCCAGCCCATGCTGCCCTGCTGTGGTGCCTACTAGCAGCCGGGACCTCAGAGAGCAGGGAGCTACTCTTCTCACTTTGTAACCAACTGCCTGGAGTACCCAAGTGCCAGGAGGATTGAAACCGGCACCCAAGACTTCGCTAACATATCAGGGGAGGCAGAGATCAGCAGGAATGTGCCATGGCTGTGGCCACAGTGGTGGCGAACAAAGGCAGCAAGAAAGGGCCTGGATCCTTGTGTCAAGGCTGGGTGGTGGTGGCCACGACTTGGTCTAGACAGATTCACAAGAATGTCTGAGACATCACCGGGGACTGCAAGAAATAATTAGGGCTGAGTACATAAAAAGCTCCTGCAGGGAGCAAGTTCCTTTTATGCAGGTAGGGAGCCTTACGCCATAGAAATTGACAATCAGTGTTACTATGTCTGCATAGACAGGGGAGGCCTAGAGTTAAGTTCCATGAGCAATGGAGTTACGCGACCCAGAATAACAAGGCTAGTATGTAGGAAATAGTATTCAATTTTTGTAGGATTAGATCACCTCAGCCCGATAGGCTGGGCAAAAAGCCCTAATGGCTGTGCACATATCCTACCTCCAATAACTTAGATTCCTCCCTGTCCCTGGCTTGGCTACTCCCCCACACTGAGGGCCACAGAGAGGCGATGGAGTTGGTTGCTATGCTGTGCAGAGTTGCCACTGAAATGTGCTGGGAAACCAGGCTTGATAACTGTACATGGAACAGCTTGTCCTGACCACGCTTTCTCTGAAGAGAGCCAGAGGCAATGCTTCAGAGTGCTAGTGGTATGGCTGGGCCTGCCGGGAAGCAGCTCTGAAGCCCTGGCTGTGAGGCTTAGTGAGAAGGAACACTCCAGTGCAGTCATCAGAAGGTGCAGTCCCTGGGATGAGTGTGAGGATGTGAACTGGCTGGGGCAGCAGCACCAGGAGATGACGGTGAGCACAGCTGCCAGGGTCACCCCAGCTCCTCACCGGACATGGCCTGGGCCTGTGTCTCTCTCCCTGCCCAGAGTGGAGTACTAGCAGGCTGTGGGAAGGCTCAGATCGGGTTACCAAGCCCTTTGTACCCCACCCCAGCACTCTGAACTACAGCAAAATCTGGGGCTCTTAACTTTTTGGTTCATGATCCATGGATCCTTTGGGCAGTATGATGAAGCCTGCATTCTCCTTCTCAGACTAATACTTTAAATGCATAAGATAATATATTTAGGATTAGAAAGGAAGCCAGTTATGTGGAAATATGGTCTGAAACATCCCCAGAAACGTCAAGAAATAATTAGGACAGGGTGGAATAAAGGATCTTGAAAAAGGTTAGGGTTCCTTCCGTGCAGCTGGGGGCATGCGTTATCGAAATGTTCAGAAACTAGGTTTGTGATATGAAAATATCTGTGCGTCTGTACAATGCAATGCATAACAAGATTAAGCAGCAGGTCTAATACCATAATTCTCCAATTCTGACACTATAATTCCAAGTAGTGATGAGCATAACTGTTATTTCAAGATACCTGCTACAACTGAAATGTGATTTGAAAAATCTATAGTTTCTAGTGGTAACGAAGTCACAGATATACTGACATACTGATGTGGTGTGCTGTCTACATTCATAAGAAAATGCTAAATTTAAATTAAAGTGTAATGAAAAGAAAGATGTATTTTTTCCCACACTGTTTCAAGGCACCCCCCTAAATTCTATCTATAGACCCCAGATTGAGAACTCCTGTCTTCTGTGCTTGTGCAGAATGACTTCAGGAAAACACACACCTGGTTCCGAGTATGTTTTCTTAGCTCAATACCAGTACCATGTAACTATAGTTGCCTCAGGGTGTGTAATAATGACTAGGCAATGCACAATGCCATTGCAACAATGTGACGAAGGCTAGCCTGTATACCTATGAAATTCATTCCCTGCAAGGCTGTGGAGGGTTGAGCAGGTACAGGCACCACGGCCAGGCACAAACTCTGTGTTATTTTTGTGGGAGCAAAGAAGAATTCTTCTAGTTCCACAAGGTGCGGCAATATGAAAAAATGATAGTTGGACAAGGATGAACTCAGAGGTAATTTCTAACAAGAGTAGGGATAAGGAGAGGAAGCCAGGACTGTGATGTGAGCACAGAGTGGAGTGCTGGGAAAACATGGGATCTGGACTTGAGCCCCAAGTCTACCCTGGACAGCTGAGTGATTTTGGGTAAGTAAAAACGTTCCCTTCTTCATGCTTTTCCCTACCTCCATCATTGGGATTTGTGAGGGACACAGAGGACAGTATGTATATACAAAGGTGCTGTGTGAACAGTAAAGCCCCATCCTCACATCTGCTATTATTATCCTGTTACAAGCCACCTCATGTTTAACTTTACTCCAAATGTATCCCTGGGCAGCCATCACATGCCACACTCTTGCTGCAGTTTGCAAGTTGAGGCAAGTCACTTGTGGTTTTTGTCACTTTTTCCTCTCCAGGGGCAGTACCATGACTGGCAGCTCTGCCAGACAGACTGACTTTATCACTCAAAGGCCAGTAAAAGTGACCTTTGGTTGTCCTGGGAGTCCTGCACCCCTATTTTTCTGATGAAACTCCCTTTGACCTTCGATTCCCCTGGCTTTCCTTTCTCTTAGCTTCCCTCCCTCCTTTGGTCTGGCCTCTGTCCAAACCCTGGGATGGAGGTGAGGGATGGGAGCAGTAGGCACGGGGGTGGGGTGGGGAGCATGGAATGGGGGAGGAGGAGAGGAGAGTCTCCAACCCTATGGCTGCCTCCCTGAGTTCTGCCGGGCACAGTTTCCATAGACAGCCAGCAGCAAGAGCGCATGGAATAAAGTATATTGAAGTCATTCAGCTTTGAAGACTTCCTGTATACTTTTAAGCTGCCCATGACATCATTGCACTGGGTGGCTCAGAACAATAGGCAGGGGTGGGATGAAATGAACCAAATCTACAAAGCATCAAGAACAGAGAGTGAGAGGCTGAAACAGAAACAGCCACAGACTATGTGAACTTTCCTGAACCAACTGGGGAAGAACTGACCCCCCAGTTGTCCAAGATGGCCCAAAACTGTACCCCTCGGCCACCCGCCCCCGTGGACTCGGCTGCTCCTTGTTTTTCAGCTGCACGGTGACCTCGCTCTGTTGCGTGGGACAACGACGGCAGACACACAGGGAAAGTCATGTGACTTGCAAACAGTTCCTCCATCCAAGTTCAATAAATTAGCAGCCAAAAATTTTAATCAGATATTTAATCTTTCCTCCCTGTAAGGGAGATTGAGTGTTTATGGTGGCTGGAGGCCAGGTTAATCTCAGAGAAAGATTACTTGCTGTATCTTTGGTGCTGGGAAGCCCTGAAGAAATCACTGGTGCCTGTTGAGCTCTGCTCAGCCAGTAGATAGCCTATGTCCCTTGTAATTTTCTGTGGGCTGTGTCAGGACTGAACAGTGATGTGACAAGGGATTTCCACATTTTATAAATACAGTGGAATAGGAAACAACCAAAAGAAGTTCTGCAAAAATCAATACATGGTCTTATCTGATGGGTCTACCATGCTGACCTCTTCTTCTCCTTACCTACTCTACACCTTTTCACCTCCTGAAGCCCAAGGATGTCTCAGGGAGAAGGGCTTGAGGCAATCCTACCAGGGCACTCTGAACTCTGGTAGCAGGACTCACCTCTTTGTGAATAATTCACTAATTGCTGACTATGGCTGAAATTTATTAATTTATTTGACAAAGGATGATTGAGTGCCAGGCACTCTTCTAGGATCTTGGAACAAATCAAAAAACACAAAAAGAAAAATGTCTTCCCTAATGTAGCTTATGCTGTAATGATGGGAGACAGATATCTAACAATAAACATAACTAACAAACATATAATGTGAAATTAGAAGGTGACCAGTGCTAGGAAGAAAAGAAATGCACCGGAGAAGGTGACTTGGCATGTCGGGGGAGGGATATTATTTTGTAACAAAATTTATTGCAACATTCCCATGGTGGGCCCCTGAGAACACCACTCCATTAGGATGTTGATAGATGCTATGGAGAAGAAACCCATTCAATAATCGAGGGGTGGAAACGGAACCAGGGGAGAAGGGTGGTAGGCAGAGACATTTTGGAGGATATTGCAGTAGCCATGAAAGACGATGAAGGAGAGAGAAAAGAACAGCCTGGCCCTGGCTGGACAGAGCAGCAACAGCAGAAAGAGGAATCAAGCTTTAAGTGTCTAGACTTTTCCACATGTCTAGTTTTGAGCCAGGGCAACTATGAAAATGAATGGACTTTTAACCCAAATATGTAAGTCAAGAGAGGCAGATATGGGGAACTTGAGTTAGATGTCAAGTGTTCAGATGCAAATGAGCTATGTTTGTAGATGCTATGGATAAAACCATCAGAGTATTAGAAAAATAGCAGTGACAGATACAAAGAAGTGACCGAGAGGTAGGAGAAAACACAGAACAGCAGTCTGTCTCAGGAATACAACAAGCAATGATTTTAAAGCAGCACTTCTCCACACACCTACAACCATCTGATCTTTGATAAAGGTGACAAAAAACAATCAATGGGGAGAGGACTCCCTGTTCAATAAATAGTGCTGGGAGAGCTGGCTAGCCTTATGCAGAAGATTGAAGCTGACCCCCTTCCTTACACTATATACAAAATTCCACTCAAGATGGATTAAAGACTTAAATATAAAACCTAAAACTATAAAAGCCCTGGGAGATAACCTAGGATAGGAAATACCATTCTGGACATAGGCCCTGGCAAAGATTTCATGACAAAGATGCCAAAAGCAATTGCAATGAAAGCAAAAATGGACAAATTGGACCTAATTATACTAAAGAGCTACTGCATCACAAAAGAAACTATTGATAGAGTAAACAACCTATAGAATGGGAGAAAATATTTGCAAAGGCTTAATATCCAGAGTCTATAAGGAACTGAAACAAATTAACAAGCAAAAATAAACAATCCCATTAAAGAGTGGGCAAAGGACATGAACAAACACTTTTCAAAAGAAGACATACACGTGGCCAACAAGTATGTAAAAAAAAAAACTCAACATCACTAATCACTAGAGAAATGCAAACCAAAACCACAATGAGATACCATCTCACAGCAGTCAGAATGGCTATTGCTAAAAAGTCAAAAGATAACAGATGCTGGTGAGGTTGCAGAGAAAAGGGAATGCTTATACACTGTTGATGGGAATGTAAATTAGTTCAGCTGTTGTGGAAAGCCGTGTGGTGATTCCTCAAAGAACTTAAAATAGAAGTACCGCTTGACCCAGCAATTCCATTATTGAGTATATACCCAAAGGAATATAAATTGTTCTACCATAAAGATACAGGCATGAATATGTTCATTGCAGCACTATTCATAATTGTAAAGACATGAAATCATTCTAAATGCCTATCAATGGTAGACTGGGTAAATGAAATGTGGCACATATACACCCTGGAATACTATGCAGCCAAAGAAAAAGAATGAGATCATGTCCTTTGCAGCAACATGGATGGAGCTGGAGGCCATCATTATCTTAAGTGAACTAATGTAGGAACAGAAAACCAAACACTGCATGTTCTCATTGATGAGTGGGAACATGAGTACACACAGACACAAAGACGAGAACAATAGACACTGGGGCTGACTTGAGGGTGGAGGGCGGGAGAAAGAAGGGGATAGAAAAACTACCTATTGGGTACTATGCTTATCACCTGGGTGGCAAAACTGTATGCCAAACCCCAGTGACACACAATTTACCTATGTAACAAAACTGCACATGTACCCCTGCACCTACAAACAAACAAACAAACAAACAAGATTAGCATAACTCTCAAAAAAAAAAAAAAAAAAACAAAACACAGCGCTTCTCAAACTTTTCTCCCACTAGAATCATCTGAGGGATCCAGACATTCCTATTCCCAGGCTACACTCCATACCAATTATATCAGAATCTCTGAGGAAGGGGCCCAAGAATCAGCAGATTTTAAAGTTCTCTAAGTGATGACAATTTGTGGTCAAGGCAGAGAACTAGTGTTTTAAAGCAGGAAGAATGGGTAACAGCTGCAGAGAGATGACGATGGATGAGGACTGAAAAAAGATGGTCGAATGTGGGGACTTGGCGAGCGCTGATGGCCCTTTCTGGAATGTATTACCAGTCTACTGTTGCTGTTTTACAGGGAAAGACATTTAGGCCAAAATGGGTTTAGTCACTTCCTCAAGGCCACATTTTTGGTAAATAGTGGAGCTGAGACTTGGTCTTTCTGGAACCAAAGCCTATATATATTTTTCATTCCGTCATGTTGGGGTAGAGACAGAAAATCAAGGGAGTTTCTACCGGCTGATTTATTTGTTGTTCGTTAAATAGGTGTTGAAATGATAACCCACAACTTGAAGGGTGAGGGCACAGGTGAACTAGGGTGGAATAAGGAGTTGTAGTTTCCCTTTTCTGGGTTATAGTCAGACCTTTATCATTAACTGTGTGACCTAATATCTTGGGCTTTCTTCCATTTCTTTATTTATAAGAAAAAAGATTTGGATTTGTTGGTCTCCAGGATTCCAGGTATTTACAAGATTTAATGATTTAAAGATTCTGTGAGGGTGGAGTTCAATTCTGTGAGGGTGAACATCAGTATGAGATGAATTAAAGAACCAACCAGCAGCCTGGGGAGGTTAGAGAGCTTGGCTCTGAAGTGGATCAATTCTCCAGGTTAGTGATTTGCTCTTGTGAATCCATTGATGGAATTAGAGTGCAGATGTTAGCTGAAGAGGAGACGCTTGCCAGAGAAATGTCCAAGAGGACTTTGAGGACATGAGGCTGGTTCAGTGCCTCATGGAATGTCAGACAGGGCAGGTCAGCAGGGTAAGCTCTTGATGGTTAGCTAGAGCAGTGCCCCCACCACCTGCTGTGGAGGCAAGGCTGGAAATGGGGGAAGTGAGACGCAAAGGGGCTGATGGAAAGAGAAAAGAAGAGAAGCATTAATGGACCAGAGGTCAAATGAGGTCAAACATCAGAGGGAGAAATGATACTCAAGGAAACAGTGGATCCTGTTGAAAAACCACTTTGTGATTCTAAAACAGGAGATTGGACCAAATACTGTACAGACACTTTTAGTTCTATCTAATATTTTATGATGTCAC
The DNA here is from genome assembly GCF_000001405.40 of Homo sapiens. Classification (NCBI taxonomy): domain Eukaryota; kingdom Metazoa; phylum Chordata; class Mammalia; order Primates; family Hominidae; genus Homo; species Homo sapiens. Next base: position 22,600,662 of record NC_000018.10, on the reverse strand, counting down.
TGAATAGTGAATAAATGACTTCCTTGCCACCAAAAAGTTTCATAAGGGAATCAGCTTTAGTTTGGAAATGCCTCCTTTTGTTGGGTCTTCTAAACATGACACTAAAGCATACCCCTTTAAGGGAAAAAGTTTGATTTCATTTTATTTTTTGAAAAAGTGATAAATGATAAAGACTGAATGACTACAAACATTCCGGCCACTTCTACATTTTAGACAATAGAGCCACAACTTTTGAATTAAAATGTTACAACCTCTGCATGTTTCGCTTGTATAAAACATACAATCTTTCGATATTGTTTCCCAGATCTTTGATTGCTACAATCTAACTTTGTTTGTTCTGATGACTTGATTAGGATGATGAATGTCATAATAGGACTGTGGACATTTGTTTACCATGACACTAAATCAACAGTGGTGACAAAGAACAGGTTAAGGCATAATGGACCTGCTTCTTCTGTGGAATTATCCAAGACAGAGTAATAGAACCATTGGGGACTACATTCAATTATTGTGAGACTTTGTTCATCATGATTACTTCTAAAAACTCCATTATAGAAAAGCATTTACTCCGAGTCTTCCTGGTTTGCAGAGAGAAAGGTATCAAATGCACCATTCTTACCTTAGTGCCTCTGTCGACAGGCAAACTGGTGAGGAGCTAAGTGACATCTGGGAAATTTGACTCATAGAGTCAGCAAAATGGAAACTTGCTGTCCTTAAGATCCCTTCTGTTTTGTTTTTGCTTTTTTTTTAACATATTAGGTTTTGTTGGCGGTTTTGGTTTTTTGCCTTTTCTCTCCCTACTCCCCCTACCCCCACTATCAGTTCTTTAGTTAATTACCTTATGTTTTATTAATTTATTCACAAATATTTATTGAGAGCTATTCTGCAAGCTGCTATGTGAGGCACTTGGGGATTTGGCAGATTTAGTGAGAGAGATGCTGAACTTTCACTTGTATTTAACAGTCCAATACAGAATACAGATATTAAACAATAAGTATAATAAAATGATGAGGGTTATCACACAGGGCAAATACAAGGCATTATGAGAGTGTTGGGCAGGTGTAAAACCAACTCTTGGTTTTGTGGGAGACCTCTCTGAGGAAGAAACATAAATTAGTTATGAAGAACAAGTAGATTTTAGGCAGAAATAGTGGCTACGTGGGGCGCAGGGCATCTCTTCTAAGTAGAGAGAAGAATATGTGCAATTGTTCAGATATGAGAGAGAGCACGGCATATTTGAAGAACGTTGAAAGTAGTTTAGTGTGCTGCCGCATGAAGTAGAAATTGGGAAATGGTGCAAACTGATGCTGGGGGAGTAGGTGGGATAAGACCAGGTGGGGTCTGCAGCCCTCATTGCAGCATGGTACTGAGATGATCAGATTTGTGTTGAAAGAATCACTCTGGCTACAGCGGGGAGAATGGATGGCAGATGTCAAAAATGAACAGAAAGGGAAGAGACTTACGCTTCTAGCCATAGGAAATAAATAGGATCTGGAATTATCCTTCCACTGCAAATAATGAAAAAACTGGAAAATTATAAGAAACAACTATTTTCAGCTATTACACAACATGTAGTAAAAGAGCGTAATCTCTGAAAAAAGGGAAACAGATGATGTAAGCCCTACCATCATTAAAGCTTTATGTCCAGAGGTAATTTCCAGTTTTAGGTGTAGGAAACAGGAACTCAAATACAATGCAACAATCTTTCTTAGTTGAGGAGAAGGACATCAAAGTTCTGGGACATTGAGGCATTTAGAATTTTGGGGCAGGGTACCCAGGAGGAGTTATTTGCAGAAAAAGTTCCAGAAATCTGCATAAACGTTCCCTTGAGTCTTTGGCTGAATACCAATACACACATGCACAGGGTGAAAATTCATGAAGCCAACCAAAAATAATTCTTAAGGAAAGCACTATTAGTGGAGAGTTGTGATACAAGTAATTCCCATAGCTCAAACAGAGCTGGGAATTGTCCTAATTCCCTCAGCCAGAGAAGAGACCTCACTAAATACTCCTGGCAATTAACAGAGACCCCAGAAGAGTGTGTCTCAGAAATGGGGCTAAATTATCTCTAGACTACAGGCTACTTTACACCTACCCTAAAAGAACTTAAAAATATGCCCCAAAAGAGTAAACCAATCTATAAATAACTTTCTGCCATAAAAAGTCCAACACTCCTAAAAACTATACATAATCTAGTAAACAACATACAAATCAAAATGACCAGCAATCAATAAACAATTACTAGACCTAAAAGACGCAGGACAATGTGACCCATAACAAAGAAAAAGTGAGTAAATAGAAACAAGAAACAGAAAAAGATACAGCAGCAAATAATGGAATTAACACATAATGATATTAAAATAATTATTATATATTTTCCAGAGTGTAAAGGAAAACATAAGACATAATGAGGAAATAAATGGAAGTTATTAAAAAGAAGATCATATCAAAGCATATGCTTTTATCTTAAGAAACTAGAAAAACAAGAAGCAATTGAAACCTGAAGTAAGTAGAAAAAAATAGGAAGCAATAAAATTGAAAGTAGAAAAACAATTGAGAAAAAGAATAAAACCAAAATCTGATATTTGGAAAAATCAATAACATTATTAACATGCTAGCTAGATTGACAATGATGAAGGAGGTACTTCACTACAGATCTTATAGATATTTTTTAAAATAATAAAATATTTTGAGTAACATTATGTTAATAAATTTTAAAACCTAGATGAGGTGAAAAAATTCTTTGAAAGACATTGTTTATCAAAATTGACTCAAGAAGAGATAGAAAATCTGAAGAGCCCTGTATGTATTAAGAAAATTGAGTTAATAAGTGAAAACTTTCAAACACATGCACACACACACACACACACACACACACACACACACACACAGACATATGAACATACAACCTCAACCCAGGTGGCTTTACTGGTGGTAGTCTATTCAAATTTAAGAAAGACATAATACCAATTTTCCACAAACTCATTCAAAAAAGAGAGGAGAAGAAAACATTTTACAAACAATCTTTGGGATCAGGTTTGCTCTTCTACCAAAATCAGACAATGGTTATTACAAAAAAGAGAAATCTAAAGACCAATATAACACATAGACATGAATGTAAAAATCTTTACAATACTTTAGCAAATAGAATTCTTTACATAAAATTATATTATGCCCATTTGATTTAAAACTTCTCAGCAAACCAGAATAAAAACCTGATACATTATCTACAAAAAACCTACAGTTAACATCATGATTCATTCTGAAAAAACTGAATGATTTCTAACTAAGACTGTGAACAAGGCAAGGATGCCCACTCGCACCATTTATACTCAACATTATACTCAAAATTTTAGTCACTGAAAAAAGTCCAGAAAAAGAAATAAAAGGAATACAGATTGGAAAGAAAGAAAATAGTATGTTTTTATTTGCAATAAAGTGATTATGTCTGAAGAAAATATTAAGAAATCTACAAAAAGCTATTGGAATTAATACATGAGTTTAACAAGGTTGCAGAATACAAGGTCGGTATACAGAAATTAATTTTTATATATGGACAATTCTTTTATATTTGCATTGTATAGAATGAACAATTGTAAATTGAAAATTTAAAATACTATTTACAATAGCACCCAAAATATGAAATACTTAGGGATAAATTTAACAAAGTAAGTACAGACCCTTTACACTGAAAACCATACAACATTTCTGGGAGAAATTAAAGAAGATATAAATAAGTTAAGAGATTTACCATGTTCATGAATGGGAAAACAATATTTTTACAATGTTCATTTTCTGAATGTGATCTATTTAGCATATTTCTAATTTAAATTCTACCAGGATTTTTTTTTTTTGGTAAAAATTGCCAACCTGATTCTAAAAATTTCTATGGAAAAGTCAAACCTGTAGAACTTCTAGAAAAAATATAGAAAATAAAAATTTCACAACCTAGGGTAGGCAAAAAAAGGACATAAAAGGCATTAATCATAAAAGAAAAATGTGATAAACTTATTTAAAATTAAGAACTTCTGATTTTTTGAAAAACATTGTTGAGACAGTTTGTCAGTTTCTTATGAAGTTAAATATACATGTAGCATATAATTCAGCAATCCCACTCCTAGGTATTTACCCAAGGAAAATGAAAACACATGTTTGCATAGACTCATACATGAATGCAGGTAGAATATTTATTCACAGTAGCCAAAAACTTGAAACAACTCTAGTGTCCATCAGGAAGGGAATAGATAAAACAAGTTGTGGTCTTTCCATACAATGGATTTACTGGGATAGGGCATGGGGGAGATTTTGGAAATGTCCTACATCTCTTTGATGGTGCTTGCACTGAGGTATAAATGTGTCAAAACTCACTGAAATGTGCAACTAGGGGGGTGCATTTTATTTTATATAAACTATCTCCTAATGTTCTTTTAAATGAATGGAAGGACCATGTTGGAAATGACAGTAGCCTGGATTGGAGTGGTGGCAGAGGGGATGTGGCAAGAAGCAGCAAGAAGTGGGTGGATTTGAAACAGAAAGAATTTTGCACTTTATTTCCTTTTCATCTGTATAAACACATTTGATTTATTTTATTTTATTATTATTAATTTTTTTTTGAGACTGTGTGTCAGTCACTCTGTCATCCAGGCTGTAGTGCAGTGGTGCAATCAGGGCTTTGACTTGCAGCCTTGACTTCCCCAGCTCAGGTGATTCTCCCACCTCAGCCTCTCAAGTAGCTGGGACTATAGGGGCATCATACCAGGCTCTTTTTTTTTTTTTTTTTTTTTTTTTTTTTGAGACTGAGTCTTGCTTTGTCACCCAGGCTGGAGTGCAGTGGCATGATCTCCAGTTGCTTCAACATCCGCCTCCCGGCCTCAAGCGATTCTCCTGCCTGAGCATGAACCACTGCACCCAGCCCATACCAGGCTAATTTTTAATTTTTTTTGTAGAGACGGGGTCTTGCCATGTTGCCCAGGCTGGTCTGGAACTCCTGGGCTCAAGCAATCCGCCTGCGTTGGCCTCTCAAAGTGCTGGGATTACAGGCATGAGTCACCACGCCTGGCCCATGTCTGATATTTTTTTAAAATGAAGGAAAGTCAGAGTGGAAAAAAGGTTTCAATGAGGAATATTCGATGAGGATAAACAGGTAATTTATTCAGAAAATAGGGAGTTATCTTTACTGATGATTACATTGAGGACACAGTGGTAAAGTTTTAGAAGCCCATCTGGCGATGAAATTGCTTGAAAATGTCAGGTAATACCACCTTACATGGAAAATGCATAATTATCCACATCTACAATAAACAATGGCATGTAGATATTTATGTAATCTAGTTAATTTTCTCCACATTCTGGAACCAGGAATTAGTGACTGTCTTCTTCCATCCAAGAATTCCATTTAGAATCTCCTTATGCACTCCTCAACTCCTGTATGCCAGAAAGAGAAATTGACTACATATGCTGGAAAATATAGAGGAAAACATTTTATAATAAATATTGTGAGATCAAATTTTAATTTTAATTTTGAAAGGAGGAGATTATAGGGGAAGTAAATATTTTTCTCAAAAATTTAAAATATATATTTGAAGTTATACTTATTAAAGAAAATTTGAAAATACAGAAAAGCAAAGAGAAAAAAATCAGATTACTCATAATCCCATCACCCAAATGAAACATTTTGTTTTATTTCCTTCTAAGCCTCTCTTTCTTTAGTGCTTGGTCTTACAAAATAGTTGTAATCATAATGTCCACACAGTTTTATAGCCTATTTTTTTCCATCAACATTTTAACCTGGCACATTAATTCATTTATTTGTTCATTTATACAATAATCTAGTCCACAAAGATTTATTGAAGGTTTGCTGTGTACCCAGTATTGATGAAAACAAGAAAAGACACAATTTCTGCCCTTAAGTATCCAGACTAGTAGGAAGAGAGAGATTAAAAAATAAACAACAACAACAACAAAATAAATATGTATTTACAAATTGCTTCCAAAAAGGAAACAAGTAGGGTACTATGAGGGATTCACTAGGGAAAATGAAATAGACTGGGGAGTCTGGAGAGGCTGGTTCAGGGAAGGTAACTGAAGTGTAAAGATGCAGGATGTGAAGCATTGGCCAGTTGACAGGTGAGGAGAGGAGTGTTCTGGGCAGTCAGCAGGGCATGAGGGAAGAGGAAGAGCAACAGGAGGTCCCTGAGGCCTGGAGCACAAAGTGGGAGGAGACTGGAGTTGAAGGTAAGAATCTGATGAGGTGGGGATTTCGTGGCCAGGCAAAGAAGTTTGCAATGTATTCTAAGAGCAATAGGGAACCACGATGGGCTTTAAAATGCAGCGTCATACTCGATTTATGTTCAGGAAACATTGCTCTGGCTAGAATGGAGGTAAGAGTGGAAAGGAGGCTGGTGATCAGGAGGCCACTGCAGTTGTCTAGGGGAAGAATGGAGTGGCTTCAACTAGGGTGCTGGTGGAAGAGAAATGAATGGGTTTGAGAAATATTTTGCAGGTTGAATTTTATGATACTGTCATTTTTGTAGGTTAAAGAGGTCACATATTGACAATTTCACATGATTCTGCCTAATAATAGGGCTTAGTTTTGCACTGGATATGAGGACTATGGAAAAGGGGACTGAGGGATGATTCCACCTTTTTGTCTTAAGTAATGTCTTAGTCTGTTTTGTGTTGCTATAAGGGATGCCTAAGGCTAGACAATTTATAAAGAACATAGGTTTATTTAGCTCACAGTTTTGCAGGCTATGCAAAAAAGTATGGTATTGACATCTGCATCTGGTGAGGGCCTCAGTCTGTCCATTCATGGCGGAAGGTGAAGGGGATCACGTGGTGAGAGAGAAGCAAGAGAGAGGGGGGAGGTGCCAGACTCTTTTTAACAACCAGCTCTCTCCAGAACTAATAGAGTCAGAACTCACTCACCTTGAAGGGAGGGCAGTAGTCTATTTCTGAGCAATCTACCCCCATGAACCAAACACCTCCCACTAGGCCCTACCTCTCAACACTGGAGATTAAATTTGCACATGATATTTGGTGGAGCCAAACATCCAAATCATATCATGTAACCTGACAGATGCAGGTTATTCCCCACATTGAGGTGAGGAAAATTAGAGAACCAGGTGGGGTGGCTATAGAGATCAGTTCCTCTTATGCATCCAGTTCCTCTCCCCTTGTGTAGCAGGGATGTAGTTTCAGAAATTGACTCTAGCTCTGGAGGTCATTAGGGATTAGTCTAAGCCAGTTTTGGTGTTCCCATTTTCTTTCCAATGGCTGACTTAGAATTTCAGGCTTACCTTGTCTACCTATGCACTGGGCATTTCCTCTGGCCCAGTGATAAGTACATGACGTAAATTGGTTCATTTGGATTAAAGGGAAGGATTTTTATTGTTAATGGATCTTTGGTCATAAAATTTCTAGAAGCTTTTTATGTTTTAGATAAGATGGATTCCCAGGATTAGCAATAGTGAGTGAAATGTCTTAGAAACTTTAAAGGCTCGTGATATATATTATTACATTTCATTAGAAAACAATGATCCAATGAACCCTTACTCCAGGAATGTATGGAAGTACCAATTAAACCATACACTTTCACGGCATGGGCTATCCTCATCAAAAACAATCTTTGCTAATTTGTTCAGCAACAAATATTATTTCATTTATAATTACCCTTCTTTATTAATAGTATAATTGAATATTTTCTATAAGATTATTTCATCTATTTATTTTATTGCATCGGATTACTTTAAAAATAACTAACCAAAAGAACATGGACTCCAAAACTTAAAACTCAAAAATGTAAAACTCTAAAATTTAAAACATTCTTTTCTGGCAACATTTCAAATAGTACTTCAGAATAAATATTTTCTGAGGAGACAACTTGTTATATTTACCCACTTGCCTAACCCCCCAACACTGACGTTGAATTGCAACTGAGAAACTGATAATTTCTACAGCTTTGATACCCCAGCATAGGGGATAGTTGCTAAGACTGTATAAACCAAATCGATATATAAATCCAGGTTCCAAAACTGTCCAACTTAATTCGCGTCTTTTAGGAATTGAAATTACAGTTTTTTCCTCATGGAAAATTCATTGCCAAATTTACAAGATAATGCAAGCAAGACTTCACATTTTTGCTCACTTCTTCACAGGCACAGTCCAGGAGTGTTTGCTTTGCCTTCTAGTTTATCCACTAAGTGAAAGTGCTAAATGTGATCTGAATTATTACACTTTTAGGACGGAGGAAGGAGGTGCTCTGGCCATCATTCTGTCTTTAATCTTCAAAGTTTTAGTTTGTTTTATTTTTGCGCTTTATGCAAATTTAATAATATAAAAAGAAACAATTACTGATTTGTTAGTTTTAATGTTCGTATTCTTCACAATGAAGGGCTTATTTGCTTAATTTACAGTATTCCGAGATATCTATCTTCCATTATTAAAAGAATTTTTCTGGAAGAGCTATAGAAATATATCTGCTATAATATATCTTGGTCCCAACATCAAAGGCAAGCAACAAGAACTAATCCTGTCTCCCCAGCTTCCACTGGTACGAGATAGACTGTTGAATGGAATCAGATAATGGTGACTGTTCTCTTTACTTTTTGCTTCAAATGATGCACAAGTGTACATACTGTGGTAATCTACTTCTGTTTAGACCATTCATGCTTTCTTATTTTATACCATCTTGTCATGCTGCTTGATCATATATCTTTTGCTAGATTATATGTTCTTTGTGATTGGGGTCTTGCGTTATTCCTTTTTATAACCTCCTTAACAGTGCCAAAAGCAGAGTAGGCTCTTAAAAAACACCTACATCTAAATGTACAGACATAGTTGAAAACATCAACAGATTTTTCCATAAAATCTGTTTTGTCAAGGACTGTTTGCACTTCAGTGCTGCAGGATCTAATCCTAGATATTGAGGATGCAGAGTCATAAAAAATATTAAGGAAAAGTATTATAATCAAAGAGTTTCAGACATCCAGTTCTCCTCAACTTGGACTTTCTCTAACATCCTAATGTTGTTGACTATTGCCCCAGTCAATGAGTCAATGAATTCTCTCCCTCTGTATCTTCTAAAAGTTGTAGCAGACAAAGCAAAGTTTTCTGAGAAAAAGCTAGAACTGAGATGCAACTTATCAGGCTTTGAGGTTTACATCACCATTTGGTGTGTTGCCCAAAAAAATATGGTTTGCTTCAAAGAACTGACACAGCTTCCAGAACAGCAAAGGGGCACACGCTGAGAGACTTCTGGTGATTTCTGACAGCTTGACCAGACATGTCCCTTCCTTGCAGAGACTATGTTGTAACATAAGCTTATGGTCTTTGTTTTGCATGAATGCCTTCTAGATTAGAAATTCATGAACATGTAAATCATGCCCCTGCCATCCAAAAGGGAAAGAAACAACAGGTAGTTATAACTACCCATCTACCCTTACTACCTTGGGCTCTCCTCTTGGCATATACTTCATTTCCTTCTTACTTTTACCACAGGATCCTTGGAAAGAATAAGAGAAACCACTTCTCCTCTTTGAGTTACTTAATGCCATGTTTTCTGGTTCTTTCCTGCCCCCTTTTCTCTCAAAAAGAGATTCAAAATTTGAACCACTATGATATCATACTACTAAATTTCTCACTAAATATACAGTCAGTTAAAAAACAACATATTCTTGAATCTAGGAAAAAAGCCACCATTTGAAATTGTCCTTCCTTCCTAGATTTATTAATGCCTGTATATATTTAAGTCTGTCCTGGTTATAGACATGGAGCTACAGGTATTCTGTTCATTATTCAAACCCACCGGTATTTTGTTCAATACATGCATCTTTCTCCCTGTTTTGTAGGTCTCAGTGAAGGAGATAAAAAAGTGGTAAAGTAAAAATAATAGAGAGAGTGAAGCCAAAAAGACTAGAGGTAGTGGTCAGAGAGTGGCCATCCTTAAAACTGTGGTGCTGGAGGAGGTGCTGTTAAGGTGTTTAGAAAGTCTAGGGTGTTACCATGAGGGTGAGTGTCTGAGGACAGAGGGAGAAGATCACTGGATGAGGGGAGGTGGAGGAACAGAATGGCCAAGATGTTGAAAGGATCATCTTTGTGGCTCTTGAAACATCAATAATTATGATGGGCATATTAAAGAAGTGACAGCAAGGGAAAAGGAAAAACATCAGGATATTTGTGACCAGGAGTGGTAGGCAAATGCAACAATGAGAAGGGTGTTAAAGCCTGAAAACAAGACATTCTAGGCTGGGAGTTTCAGGGAAGACAGAAGACAGAAGAAGAAATGACAACACAGGCCAGGCGCGGTGGCTCACGCCTGTAATCCCAGCACTTTGGGAGGCTGAGGCGGGTGGATCACGAGGTCAGGGGTTCGAGACCAGCCTGACCAACATGGTGAAACCCCGTCTCTACTAAAAATACAAAAATTAGCTGGTCATGGTGGCGGGCACCAGTAATCCCAGCTACTCAGGAGGCTGAGGCAGGAGAATTGCTTGAACCCGGGAGGCGGAGGTTGCAGTGAGCCGAGATCGCGCCACTGCACTCCAGCCTGGGCGACAGAGCAAAACTCCATCTCAAAGAAAAAAAAAAAAAGAAAAAAAAAGAAATGACAACACAGAGCTAGGAGAACCCCTAGCTCACCATATGCCTCATGGTAGAAGGATGTGGGGAGAAAGTGTCCCACCAGGAGAGGGCTGCAGGGTCCTCAGGTCCTTTTAGAGCAAAAACTGAAGGGGACTTTCAGAGAAGAAGCTGAGGGTTTGAGGATTTTGCTGGAGACTGTCCAAGAGCCATAGAGGGAACAGTGTAAAGGTTTCAGCAGTTGGAGAGGGATGAGACACAGGGTCAGAAAGAAAGTTAGAGTACAGGGGATGAGAGATAGCTTGTGGGTCCTGGGCTTCTTGTGGCGATGGATGTGAACACATAAAGGTGTAATGAAATTGTTTCTGATGGTCTTTCGGCCTATACTGGCGGTGAGGCTCTGAGAGTTGTAGGGAGGGTGGGGATGGAGTGGGAAGCATGGCCACAAACAGGCAAAGCCTTGGGCCTTCTTTTGATTCCTGTCTATGGTGAGCAGGAACAAGGAGAAGAAGGAAAGGGTGGTCTTATCTGGAGCACGAGGGGTTCAAAAGTATCTTTGTTTTTTTTTTTAAAGTATACTTTATCTTAAAGTGTAGAAATGCATGTAGAAAAGTGCACAAGTCATTGGTATTGTGATTCATAAGGTGGAGAACCTGTGTAACCCAACAACCAGGTGAGAAAAGAGAGCATCATCAGTATCCCAGAAGCTCCTACACAGCCCCACACAGCCCCTCCCAGGTAATAGCCTCCCCAAAAGTAAGCATTATCCTGACTCCTAAAACTATATATTAGTTTTGTCTTGTTTTGCATTCTGTATAGATGGAATTATGCAGTATATATTCTTTTGCTCAACATCATGTCAATGAGATGGATCCATGCTGTATGTAGCCAAAGTTTGCTCACTTTAATAGTGTTTGTAGGGTATTGTAGAAATATACCATAACTTTTTTCTCCCTTCCACTGTTGATGGATGTTTGGTTGTTTTCAGCTTTCAGTTGTTATGATCATTCTGGTACAAGTCTTTTACTGAACATATGTATGTATTTATTGTGGCTTAACCCTAAGAGATAATAGGGTATGTATATGTTCAGTTTTGTAGATACTGTCCGTTTCCCAAAGTGGCTGTGCAGATTTTTACTACCACCAGGTGTATAAGAGTTCCAGCTGTTTTTACAGTAATCTTAAATACCTTGTCAGTACCTATGAAGATGGTTATACAATTTTCCTCTTTTGATCTATGAATGCTGCTAATTAAACTGATAAACTTGCTGATGTTGAAACATCTTTACATTCCTGGAATACATCTACTTAGTTTATGTTGTGTTTCTCTGTTAAGTGGCTAGATTTTATTCACTGATGTTTTATTTAGAATATTTCCATTTATACTCATATCTGAGATTTATCTGTAGTTTTTGGTTGTGTGTTATTTTTGTTAGTTTTTGATACTGATTTTATGCTAGATTTATGAAAATAATTTGGAAGTGCTCCTTCTAAGTTCTGAAACCATTTAAATAGCATTGAAGTAATCTATTTCTGAAAGCCTTGGAAAAATTTTCCTCTGAAACTGTCTAGACCTGGTGCTTTCTTGGGTGAGATATTGGGGGATTAGGGAATTGGATGAAGGTAAAGTTCTTTTGCAACTTGCTATATTTCCTTTATGGTAATTGGTCTGCTTAGATCTTTCATCTCTTCTGGTGTCAGTTTTTGTAAACTACATTTCTTTATGAAAACATTTCATTTCCTTTTGTTTTTCAAATGTGTTTTTTAGTCATGGGCAATGTGGTTTCTTTGGATTCTTTTAGTTTACTTGGTTTTTGTGGTTTGTTTCACTTTTATGATATTTAAATTGTTATTTGTCCTTTCTTCCACGTATCTTGAATAGATTAGCTAACAGGTTATTCATTGTATTTATGTTGCAAAGAATTAGCAGTTACATTTAATGATAAGCTTTATTTTTTTCTATGTTTTCTAATTCTTTAACTTAGAATTCTTTTTTTTCTTTTTTAAATTCTAGGGTATATGTGCAGGATGTGCAAGTTTGTTACATAGATAAACATGTGCCATGGTGGTTTGCTGCACCTATCAACCCATCACTTAGGTATTAAGCCCAGCATGCATTAGCTGTTCTTCTTGATGCTCTCTCTCCCCTAACCCCCTGCCCACACAGACCCCAGTGTGTATTGTTCCCCTCCCTGTGTTTATGTGTTCATATTGTTCAGCTCCCACTTATAAATGAAAACATGCTTTTCCATTTCTTTTTCTTGGTTATTGTTGCTTTCTAACTTCTTGAATGGAATGCTTAATGTTTGTTAATATAAGTATTTCAGGTTTTTTCCTATCAGCACTATCTTAGATGTAACCCAGTGATTCAGACATGTAGTGTTTTTGTTATTGTCATTTTCCATACTTCTGGTAAATTCAGATTTGATTTTCTTTTTCACCCAAAAGTTGTTTATGAGATAGTTAAAGGATTTCTAGGTAATATAATTTTTGTTTTCATATTATTTTCTAGTTTTATTGCTTTGCAATAACAATTATTATCGGTATAATTCCTATTTTTTAAAATTTACCATAATTTCCTTTGTGATTTAATATATGGTTAGTTTTTGTGAGGGTTCCATGAAGGCTTGAGAAAAAAATGTATTTTCCTGTTTTCAAGGTATGGAGTTTAATGTGTTACAATTTAATTTATTAATTTTGTAATTTAGGTTTTCTACTTTTTTACAAATGTTCTATTCACCTGCTTTCTCATGGACTGAGAGAAAAAAATCAAAATGTCATTCATTAATTTTTTTCATGATGTATGATTTTTAATTAAGTATAAAGACCTTTCTAACATGTTTACCTAGAGACCATTTCACCCACTGCTCTCTTCCGCCACGAGTCTCTTCTCTCTTTCTCTTCAGCAATGGTGAGGCAGATACCTTGTCCTCAGGCAAGACAAATCCATGATTTGTTGCTTGTGCCAATAACAAAAATGTTGGAGAGTCAGGTAGCAAAGCTGTTGCTGTTGGCATCTTTTACATGAACCACATCGAAAAATCCAGGATGTTTTTCTCTGTTGGTGATTGCACCAATCCTTCCCAGGTTAGCCCCTCCAGTCACCATACACAGGTTACCAGTGTTGAACCTGATGAAATCAGTAATCTTGCCAGTCTCCAAGTCAGTCTGAACGATGTCATTCACCTTGATGAGGGCCAGGGCAGCAGATGGTGCCAGCATCATGAGCTGCCAGATCAGGGATTTCTTTTGTGCTTACAAAGTTTCTTCTCACTTTGAATAACTTGGCCTCCTCGGGTGTAATAGGTGACCCCTGGTGTCACAGATCAGATGGAAATTCTCTCTGGTCTTGTTAATGCTGACATCTAAGGAACCAGTGGCATAGGTTATATCAGTCAAGACCTTGTCATCGATCTTAATGAACTGCTGCATGCGGATCTTCTTTGCTTCATCTCCTGTCAGTGCATACCTAAGTCTGTTCCTTAGGAAAATGATGACGGGGAGACTCTCAGCCTGTGGAGACTGGTGTATGGGTGGCAAGCAAACACACCGGTCAATGTATTCGGCATCCAATGCTTTGGGGCTCCTACCCACTTCAGATGCTTCTTGGCACCAAGAGCTGTGGCTGCACTGGGCAGGGAAAGAGGATCACCATCTTCCAGTGCACAGAGAAATTGTGGCCAATATATCATTTCAAAGAAAGTGGTCCTCTTTCTCCTGTTTTCTGACACTTTTACTTTATGAATGTTGATTCTAAGTTATTTGGTGCATAGGCATTCATAAGTGTGATATATTCATTGTGAACAGTCCCCTCTTTTATCATTTAAAAAAGTGCTCTGCTGTTATTATTTTTCTTCACCTGAACTCAACATTGATATTAAGATTACAAACAGCCCAGCTATTACTATTGAAATAAAAATTAAAGTCCGATTTTCAGTGAATGGACAAAATATTTATTTCCTGCTCATGCCAAACCCAGTGTGATCTCGGTTGCCTTGTTCCACCTGGTGGCTATGCCACTGGGAGAACATGACAGGGAAAGAGTCAAGTGGAGAGGCACACTGGTTCTTACCTGTCTCAGTGAGGAAATGCTAGTCAATTCTCTGCATAGTCTATTGGCTAGAATTAGTCATAAGTCTGCTTATTCCACAGGGAAGGCTGGAAAAGACAGGGAAGTCAATAAATATTTGGAAAGGACAAACTGTCTCTGCCACATCCCACTTTCTCTTTGTTAACATTACTTAGAATATCTTTTGTCTATGTTTGATGCATTTGCCTTTTTGGTATCTGTTTTGATTTTTGCTTTGTGCATCATAAAAAATCATATATTAGTTTTACCCATTTATATTTACTAGTATGACAGATATAATGGCATATTATTTTATGTAATGCTTTCTAATTTTTAGCCTTTTTCTTAGTCTATCATCTATGATTTTCTTGACTCTTGTAGATTTTTTTCTGATAAATTGGAATGTTTGTATTTTGTTCTAGTGCGTATATCTGCAATCAAAATGTTGCATAATACCCTTAGACTTCTGTTTCTTCAGAGTATCTGAAAATACATATTTCAACTTTACTTGTAATTCTCTACTATGAAAAATGATCTTCCCCTGCCAACTCCTAGTTTACTGTTTTATCTTCCTTAGTACTTACCTTTAAATATTTTATGCCTTTTTATTTCATTAGCTTTAATTTAGTTATTTTAACCTCCCAACTGCAAATGATGAGAGAGTGAGCAGACTTATATTTTTACATTCTCTTCTCTTTCCTCTGCAAATTATTTTAAATTTACATAATTTCTATTTTGTATAGTTGTTAGGATTTTTAACATTTACACTCTTCTCTGTTGCCATACTTCCTAGATTTGTTTTGATCTTGATTGTACAAACAAATAGGGTTAAGTTTCACTGCGAATCTTTTGGCTCTGCGTGAGTGTGTGTGTGTGTGTGTGTGTGTGTGTGTGTGTGTATCTCTTGGTTGGTCAAAGTTCAGGAGTTTAAAAAGGATGCTTGGTCAATCACAGCCAGTGAATGTTACACACATCTTGCTAGACTAGTCTAAAAATCATTGTGTAATTGTTGATTCTAATGACCTGAAAGGTGTTCAGTTTTTGGTTTTGGTTTTGTTTTGTTTTTGATTTCTTGGGGGCAGGTTTTGCTTGTTGCTCTTTTTTCTTTGAGGATTTTGGGGGAAAAAATTTATTTTTGGTTCCAAATAGAAAAACAAAACCTATTTTGATCTTTAGTGCAAATGAGGGCTAGGGACTTAGCCGCCACCACTTCCACATTGCTTCATTCTGTCATTTGCTCACTGCAGCATATGCAAGAATAAAGCAATATAGCTTACTGCATTTTTAATTGAAGGTCAGTCATGCTTTCTGTATTATATTGCATATGAAATTGTTTACAAAAGAAACACCGACTCATACTTCTCTTTATCGATCGCAAGTGGCACGCAGGGACAGAGGGCGAGTGGGGGGTTGGTGGGGGAGGGGATATATATATTTTTTTCTTAAATGTACTTCAGCAGCTAAGCTATCTTCCAAGGAAGGCAGGCAGTGGGTAGAGCAGAGGGACTGAGAGCACACTGAAGAGAGATGCTGGCGGGTTTCCCCACCCTCACCCCAAAGCAGAAACCTGGCAGATGTCAGCTCAGCCCCGTCCTGGGCACAGACACTACACAAGGAGATGCTGGAAGTTAAGCAATATTTTAATACTGTAGTATGTTTGTTTTCTTTTTCTTTCTTTTTTTTCCACCAAAAAAGTAAGTAAACTAAAACACAAAAACATATAAATAAAATCCACCCCTCTTGGGGTTGGGGGGCAACCTTAAACCAAACACATAGCTATCAAATAATCAGAATGTATTATCTCAGACAGGATTTCAGTTCTGGGAGGCAGGGGCCTGATGGGGCAGGGGGCTGGAGGCTGAAAAACAAAAATTCCAGAGCCTCCCTCGAAGGTTCTCTACTGCTGTATTCTGTACGTAATGTACCATCCCGTGTGGAATCTGTGAATGTCTTTTTAAGTAGCATGGGCTAGCCAATCTGCCGTTCATGGTGTATTGTAAACTCCAAATTCCATAGGTAATAGGATGCAAGTCTAAGCGTTTCCTCTGGACATAAATGTATCTAAATAAAACTTTCCCTAGCACTGTGGCTGACCTCACCGTTACTTTTATACTTTAGTATGAAACTGATGAGAACTTTGGTAGTGAGTTTTTTTTACTATGTATACATACATGTCTATCTATCTATCATCTATTTATCTATATACATACATACATACGTATGTATGTATGTATGTGTGTATCTATCTGTCTGTCTATCTATCTATCTATCTATCTATCTATCTATCTATCTATCTATCTATCTCAAGAATCTTTCAGGTCTGTGTGTGTGGCTTTCTTAAAGCCCTGTTGTACAAAATTACTATGTAGATGGCGGTCTCTCACATTACAGATGTGGAAAGTATAATTTTATATTTGTATTTTCAAATAAATAAGTTTGTGAAAGGTTAAAAAGAAAAAGGATGCTTGAGCTCTTGCATGTTCAAAATTGTTTTTCCATTGTCTTTATACATGAATGATAATTTGTCTGGGTATAAAGTTCTTGGTCAGCCTTTCTTTCCTTGAGAATCTGAAAATAGAGCTGTTGACTTCTGCTGTCACTGAATGTTACTGTGCAGAACTGTGAGGCCAGCCTATCTTTCCCTCATAGGTGATTTCCTCCAGGAAACTTACTTGATGTTGACTGTTCTGGGTCTGTTTTTCCTAGAACATGGCATGCCTTTTCAAGCTACAAAGTCTTCTTTTAGCTTGAAGTGATTTTTTGAAAATTCGAATTTAAAATAATTTGTTTCACTATTTTAGTTCTCTCCTTTGTAGTCTTTATTGGCTCACCTTCGCTTGTTTCCATATAAATCATTTTCCTTCAATTGTCTTAAACTTTTCTTTTTCATTTCATTTCTTTTTATTCATGTATCTTAATCCTGCCCTGTATGTTTCTTACTGTGTTTGTAGCAGGATCTGGGACAACCGGTGACATGTCTGGAGAAAAATAAAAACAAAACAAAATTATACCCTACTTCCATCCTATCACACATATCCAGCTGGATTACAATATTAAATGAGAAAAAAAAGAATTTTTTTTTTTTTTTTTGAGATGGAGTCTTGTTCTGTCGCCCAGGCTGGAGTGCAGTGGTGGGATCTCGGCTCACTGCAACTTCCGCCTCCCAGGTTCGAGTGATTCTCCTGCCTCAGCCTCCCAAGTAGCTGGGACTACGGGTGCATACTATCACGCCTGGCTAATTTTTGTATTTTCAGTAGAGACAGAGTTTTGCCATGTTGGCCAGGCTGGTCTCGAACTCCTGACCTCAAGTGATCCACCTATCTCAGCCTCCCAGAGTGCTGGGATTACAGGCATGAGCCATCATGCCCAGCTAAGAAATCTTAAAAGAAGCAGAAAACACACAGCTGATTTTTAAATTTGGTATTGGAGTAAGATAGGCTTTCCTAAGCACAAATGAAAAAGAACTGAACACTGAAAAATATTTGACTTTATGACAGTTTAAATTTATACATTAAATAAACAGTGGCGAAATTAAAAAACAAATAAACTGAAAATAAATGTTTAAAACTTATATGACTAATGGATATCATATCGTTAACATAAACGAAGTGCTAACCAGAAAGACGTACACCTAAATAGGAAAATTGGCAAAAGACGTAAGCAAGTAATTTATAAAAGAAAAAATATAAAAATCCCAAGAAACATATAAAAATACATATTTCAACTTTACTTGTAATCAAAGAAATATAAATTAAAACATTTTCTCCACCAAACTGGCAGAATAATTTAATATCCAATATTAATGAGGAAGAGAATGAACAATCAGCTTTTAGTCTGCTGGTGGGAATGTAACCCAGCACCTACCTGAAGGGCAACTTGGCAATGTATATCCAAATATTGAAAAATTTATATCGTTGGATCTAGTCATTTCACTTCTAGAAATTTATCCAAAAGAACTAATTAGAGATGTGTACAAAGATTTATATATATGGATGTTTTTTGTTGAAATATTTACATTTTCAAATTGGATTAATCTAAGTAACCCAAAATAGAACATTGGCTAAAATAATTTATGGTACATTAATATGATGAAATACTATGCAGAAATTTTTTAAAAAGTATTTTAAGAAACATTTAGCTATGTGAGAAAATGTTGATTAATGTGAAGTAGAAGTACATAATGAAACATTACATAAAATGTAACCTTAATTTTATAAGAAGATACTATTTATAACACTTATATGTACATATATTTACATTATATATGGAAGACTAAAAAAACCCAAAATCTTGTATATATGTATATATTTATCAATCATATATTATACATTTAACAATAAAATCTAAAAGAAATTTAAAATAAAATACACCCAAGTGTTAGACATTATTATAGTTGGGAATTAATTTAATTTTTTTCCTGAAAACCAAAAACTATAAAACGTTGCTGAGGGCATTTAATGAAGACTGGAATAAATGGAAAGATATATGATGTTGATGGGTTGGAAGATTCAATATGGTAAAAATAGCAATTCCCCCCAAATTGATTTTTAGATTCAATAAAATCCCAATCAATTTCCCAGCATGTTTGTGTGTGCATGTTTGTGTATGTGGAAGGAGAGAGGACAATTGGTGTAAAATTTATACAGAAGTGCAAACATCCAAGAATATTCAAGACTGTGTTAGAGAAGAAATGAAGTTGAAGATTTTACATAAGTAGATGTCAAGACTTATTATAAAGCTATAATAATTAAGCCAATGTAATGTTGATGAGAGGAGAGACATATTGGCCAGTGGAATAGACTAGAGTCCAGAAACAGATCCACACATATTTAGTCAGCTAGGGCCACTGGTAGGGTATGTAGGACCCTGGGAAAATATGTTCTGTAGGGCTCCTGACTATATAAATAATTTGATTAAAATGTATTACAAAATGTATGGGCCCAAATGAGACTTAAGAATTTTTGATGAAGAGTTAGAATAATGGGTTGAGTGGGTCTACTTCCCTGTTTGTTTATTATCCAATCAGTGCCTGTGAAGATTCTTCATAGGTCCAGACACTGTCTCTTCCTGTTCAGGGTCAGAAACCATCCATCTGTGATCATTATTGTGATCTCTTTGCGATCACTATTTTCAACTGTGCTATTCTTGGCTGATTTCAGATTTTCTACCACAAAGAAAAGATAGTGACTCTTTTTTTTTTGGACAGTCTCTCTGTTGCCCAGGCTGGACTACAGTGGAGCGATCTCGGCTCACTGTAAGCTCCGCCTCCCGGGTTCACACCATTCTCCTGCCTCAGCCTCCTGAGTAGCTGGGACTACAGGCGCCTGCAACCACGCCTGGCTAATTTTTTGTATTTTTAGTAGAGATGGGGTTTCACCGTGTTAGCCAGGATGGTCTCGATCTCTTGACCTTGTGATCCGCCCGCCTCGGCCTCCCTGTAATCCCTGGGATTACAGGCATGAGCCACTGAGTCTGGCTGATAGTGACTCTTAATATTCATAATACCAGGGTCTTCAGAAACTTCATTGAGACACAATAGATCTTCTTGCCTCTTCAGTTCTCCACTACCGTTTATTCAATGTTGGTTGCATCATCATTCATGATGCTGAATCATTCATGATGCTGAGTCATCCATCATGCTGCTCATGA
Source organism: Homo sapiens (assembly GCF_000001405.40). Classification (NCBI taxonomy): domain Eukaryota; kingdom Metazoa; phylum Chordata; class Mammalia; order Primates; family Hominidae; genus Homo; species Homo sapiens. The sequence continues at coordinate 22,580,366 of NC_000018.10, read as the reverse complement.
CTGTGGACTTCCAACGTCTCTCTCAAAGGTTATTTCTATGTTTCATTGAAGATTACCACAAATTCAGGTCTTATGCAGAATATGGAGGAAATTTTGTTGTCTAAACATGTTAAATTTACCATTCAGAATTTTATAGCTTAAATACGGAACAAAATATCTTCCAATCATGTCTTCTCTTGAACTCCATAAGCTGTAGTAATCAACATTGAAAATGATTAGTCTAGGAATCACTTTCAGTGTTGATTACAGCCTTGCCTTCCATACCCTGTCAGCAGGGAGGAGGGTTCCATGGGTAGAGCAAAAATAAAATCCTCATTCATGTAAAGAATGTCTGTCTATTATCTGGCATGGCTTAAGACCAACCTGGGAGAACATGACATCACCACATTGATCAGAGGCAAAAAAAAAAAAAAAAGAACATGAATCAATCGGAAGTGCCCATTTCCAGTGAGGAGCAGTAGTCCTGGAAGCCCTTGGAGGAGGTAGTTGAGACCACCCCATGGCGACTACCTGACATGTGGCAGGGAAGGGAAGGGGTGAGATGACCACCCTGGTACCACTGCCTGGAGCAGAGTAGAACATGCCTGCCACTGCCTCCACTGCTGCACAGGAGCAGCACCACCGTCCGATCATGGATGAGTGAGCCGACACAGGCCCACACAGGTGCAGCTTAAGACCAATTTAAGGTCAGCAGTGGACCAGGTGCTCCTCAGGGCATGTGATTGGATTCTTATATAGTGGTAGAGGGTCGAAGAATACCTCAAAAGGGAGAACGGGAACAAAGCACATGCAGGTCCCCATCCTGGCTCAGGGCACCCAGACAACACTGTCAGCCACAGGAGCCTAAGGAAAATGGAAGGAAAGCACTTCAAATGGAGGGTGGTGTGGTGGTTCCCTGAGGCATGTGGCCTGGGGCGGGGGTTCTCTTGCCTGTGTCTAAACGTGGTACTGCAGTCATCAAATTTACAAAAAAAAAAAAATGTGTTGTGTTGCAGGATATCCTAATTACCCTGATATAATCATTACACGCTGTATGCATATATCAAAATATAAAATGTACCCTATAAATATGTATAATTATTATATATCAGTGAAAAAAGTTAAAAATTAAAAAGAATAGAAAAGGAAAAATGTGTTGCAGTAATGCCATTGGGGAAAAGATTGGTCTTTCGAACAAATGCTGCTAGAGCAAATGTGTGTACATCTATAAATAAATGAAACTGGACTCCCTCTTCACTTCATTCACAGAAAATCGATTCCACGGGGATTACAGACCAAAATAAAAAGGGTAAAGCAAGAAGATATATTTAGGACCTGGGAGTAGGCAAAGCTTCTTAAAAAGTACCAACCAGAAAGAAAAAGATCGATTAAATAGACTTTATTAAAATTTAGATTGTTTTAATCAGAAAATATCATTAAAGGTGCAGAAAAGCAAGTAGATTTATAGACTTCTGCAACAAAACCTTGGTTTTAGAATATACAGAGAATTTTTATACATTAATTTGAAAAAAGTAGATAACCCAACAATCCAATAACAAAAGAGTAAGATTTTCCAATTGTCATTTTCCAAGAGAAGATATTTAGACTAATCAAGTATGTAAAAAGTGGTCAGTATTGTCATCAGGGAAATATTATTCATCAGTGAAATGCAAATTAGAACCGCAGTGAGAAACCACTATATATCTACCTGAAGGGCTAACTGAAAACAAATCACTGGTACTATAAAAGCTTGCTGAGCATGTCAAGCAACAGAAACCCTCATGCATTAGTAGTGGGAATGTGCACTGGTACAGCCTCTTTTGAAAGCTGTTTGACAGCATCTACTAATGTGTACCCAATGACCCAGCAATTCTACTCCTAGTGGAATACATGCTACAGCAATACACGTCCAAGAATGTTCAGTGCCACGGTATTAACACTAACCCTAAGCTAGAATCAACCCACATGTCCATCAGTGGTGGAATGGAAACATTGTGGAAGATTTATAACTATGGTAGACTACAAACAATGAAAAGAAAATGAACTACTACTACATGCTATCATATGGATAAACTCACAGATATAACGCTGTGTGAAATGGCCAGCCACAAAGGAGTACACAATGTATGATTTCATATATATAAAGTTCAAAAACAGGAAAAAATGTAATCTATGGTGAGAGAAGTCAGAATAATGCTTGCATGTTGGGAGTGTGACTGGGTGAGGGCACAAAGGAGACTTCCAGAATGCTGGTAATATTATGTATCTGTATCCTAATCTGGATGGTGGTCACATAGGTATAAACATTTTATAAAAATTGGTCAAGCTTCACATCCACATGTATGTTTATTGCAGCACTATTAACAATAGCAAAGACTTGGAACCAACCCAAGTGCCCATCAATGATAGACTGGATAAAGAAAATGTGGCACATATACACCATGGAATATTATGCGGGCATAAAAAAGAATGAGTTCATGTCCTTTGCAGGGACATGGATGAAGCTGGAAACCATCATTCTCAGCAAACTAACACAGGAACAGAAAACCAAACACCGCATGTTCTCACTCATAAGTGGGAGTTGAACGATGAGAACACATGCACAGAGGGAGGGGAACATCACACACTGGGGCCTGTCAGGGGGTGAGGGGCTAGGGGAGGGATAGCATTAGGAGAAATACCTGATGTAGATGACAGGTTGATGGGTGCAGCAAACCACTATGGCACTTAGTATACACCTTTTTAACAAACATGCACGTTCTGCACATGTATCCCAGAACTTAAAGTATAAAAAAAAATTGGTCAAGCTTAAGGTCTGTGCACTTTAACGTATATATAAAATGGTATCTATTTGTTATATCTGTGAAATAAGTTACAGAAAAATCAGCTTGGCCTCAGCAGAGCTACCCTTCGGAAATCTGAACAAATATTGTTCATGGGGCCTCTTTCTACATAAACTGCTTGAGTTATTCAAAATAATCTGGAGTCTCAAAAGGAAGAAAAAGGATCAGGGTCCACATGGGTTGCAGCCAGGATTTAGGGGGCCCCTGCTGGCCCCTGACACCAGATGAAGACTTGCAAAATTTGAAGGAAGGCGCTGCAAAGTGTGGGGACCCTCTGAGGGGCGCAGTTTGGGGCAAGGATCTACCACTGAGGTCTAAGAATAGCACTAGCCCTAGGATTTTAATTGTATAACCAACAGCCCAAAGACAGTGGAAAAGTGTCTACTGAGGTTTAAGATGGAAATGATATGACCTAAAAATTGCATATTACTATGTTCTTATTCTCATATGATGACTGTAGAAAAACATTGATATTTAATAATTCAAGAACTGTACCAGCCCTCTGCCCTTCTTAAAGGAATTGCTTAAAAATAGTCTCCATCCAACCTAGAGTTGAATCAGGTTCATGTAAAAAATATATATGTATATATATATATAAAATTAAACAAATGAAGTACAAATAATCAGAAAAGTTACAGCTGTATACTGCTTATGAGTTTTTCATAAATCAGAATATTTTAGAGATGTTTTTAGTATTTTTACTTAAAACATCAATATTTTCTAGAAAAACAACAGGATGGCAATATTAATTTTAGGAAAAACCAAAGAGGATTAAATGAAAGAAGAATTATTAATAAATAAAAATTCCACAAAGAAATATAGTAATCATTATCTTTCAGGTGAGTTTTATCTATACATATACAAAAGTTCTTGGCAGAAGGGAAACAGAAACACGATTGTCATGGTGGATTCCTGTCTTTATAATCTCATATAGAAAAACATAAGGACAAGAAGTTTGAATCATAGTATGAGGTTGGATTAGATTTATATTCAACTTTATATTGTTCAGTTAAAGTACTTTTTCAAGTTACCATGAAACACTTAGTAAAATTATTATATACTCAATCACAAAGAGAATCTCAACAAATTCTATAATGTAAAATTGAACTGGTCATATTCTATGACTGTAATATAATGAATTGAAAAATTAACAAAGTTTAAATAGTAATTCTTCTAATCCTTGTAAATATTTTTCAAAATTTCTAAACATATATGTCAATGAAAACGTCAAGTCCACAATAACAGACTTAAGAAAAAGTCTGTTATTAAGAAAAAGAATAACAAGTCCGGGTGCAGTGGCTCATGCCTGTAATCCCAGCACTTTGGGAGGCTGAGGAGGGTGGATCACAAGGTCAGGAGTTCAAGACCAGCCTGGCCAAGATGGTGAAACCCCGTCTCTACTAAAAATACAAAAATTAGCTGGGCATGGTGGCAGATGCCTTTAACCCCAGCTACTTGGGAGGCTGACACAGAGAATTGCTTAAACCCGGGAGTCAGAGGTTGCAATGAGCTGAGATCACGCCGCTGCCCTCCAGCCTGGGTGACAGAGCAAGACTCCATCTCAAACAAAAAAAAAAAAAAAGAAAAAGAAAGAAAGAAAAAAAGTAACAATATTATATATCATATCTTCAGGATTAAGCCAATGCTCTACTGGAGAAAAAAACTCATAGCCTTAAGGGTTGTCATTATTAATGAAAATAAATGAACTAATCATTGAAGTCAAGAAGCTAGATATATAATAACAAAATACACTTTGGGAAAGAAATATGTAGTAATGATGCCAAAATCAGGAATTACTAAGTTTAAAAACAAATTTTAAAAACCTCATAGGATAAACGTAGAAGATGGTTCTGTGAAGAAAATAGCACTATGAAAAAACAAACAAAGGAACCTGACAAATTGATTTAACCATCATAAAAAAGGCATTAGAATTAAGAAAAAATATGTAACAGCAGATACGGAGGTCATAAAATTATGAGAATATTATGGAATATTCTTTGATGTTAAGTTGGAAAGATACATTGTTCAAGGAAAGTAAAAGGGGCCAAAATTGACACAATAATAAATAGACCAATAACCTTGGAAAAAAATCAAAATAATTCAAAAGACCTTATGCCAAATAATTTTCCAGGTAAACTTTCTTCAAACTTTCAAGAAACAGATAATTTCTATGCTATTCTACTTCAGAATATTACTGATCCTCAATTCATCTTATGAAACTTACATATCTCAAGAACAAATATTAAAAATTTGAAAGTTTAAGAATTACATTTGATTATAAATAAAAAGCTCAAATAAAATTTTAATGAACAAAATTAAACTCTAGTATTGTTCATCATATCCTTGAAATGCATTTTTAATATTAGAAAGTCTATTTATTCAATGAGTGAAATAAAAATTTTAAAAGATGTTATAACATATAACATGTACTTCTTTTTTTTTCTTTTGAGACAGAGTCTTGCTCTGTCGCCCAGGCTGGAGTGCAGTGGCGCGATCTCGGCTCACTGCAAGTTCCGCCTCCCGGGTTTACGCCATTCTCCGGCCTCAGCCTCCTGAGTAACAGGGACTACAGGCTCCCACCACCACGCCTGGCTAATTTTTTGTATTTTTAGTAGAGACGGGGTTTCACCGTGTTAGCCAGGATGGTCTCGATCTCCTGACCTCGTGATCCACCTGCCTCGGCCTCCCAAAGTGCTGGGATTACAGGCGTGAGCCACCGCACCCAGCCAACATGTACTTCTAAAAAAGCAAAACTCTTCAGAGACTTGGATTAAACTGATTCTTCCTCACGGTTAGGAATATTTATTCAAAACCTGTGTTTGCAAATGAACTGAATAAGAACCACTGTTTTAAATTTTTTTGTTTTGGCCTGTACAGTATTGGGAAAATGATTTGTTATAGACATTTTATAATTGGGAGATTTCATATAAAATCAGATATTGTCTCTTACATGCAAAAAAAAAAAAAGATGAGGGTTAGGATGTTAACAGTAAGCTAACATTTCATATGATATAATAGGCTTAAGCTGAGTATCTGCTGTGCAGCTCACATTAGAAGGAGCACTGTCCAGTTTGTCAGTCTCCACCAAGCTCTATTATCTTATAGCTGGCCTGCTTCATTTATTCCTGTTATCTATGCAACCCCCTGAGACATAGGTATTTATATATGTCTATTCCAATATTAAACTTAGTAACCAACATTATGTTTATTGGTGTAATATGTAAGAGGTTATTCTTATTCCTCTTGAGAACAAGTCAAAAATGCCATCTATGACCTTTACAAGGTAACTTTTTGTTATTTTTGTTAGAATCATGTTTTTGGAGACAGGATCACACTCTTGTTCAGGCTGAGTGCAATGGCACGTTCCGGGCTCACTGCAGTCTCCACCTCCTGAGCTCAAGCAATCCTCCTGCCTTAGCTCCCCCAAATAGCTAAGACTACAGGCGCACCACCACATTTGACTAATTTTTCTTGAATTTTTAGTAGAGACAAGGTCTCGCTATGTTGCCCAGGCTGGTCTCAAACTCTTGAGCTCAAGCGATCCTCCTGCCTCTGCATCTCAAAGTGCTGGGATTACAGGCGTGAACCACCTTACCTGGCCGGTTAGTTAACTTTTTGAAAGCTGTGGGCAATAGAAGAGACAAGAACCCTAAGAAAGGAGGTTTTATCACTGGAAAGAAAAAGGCGAAATACAATATTTTTAGCTGGTATGATGATATACCCTCCTTACACACACGCACTCAAACCTCCCCACCAGCTATAAGCTTGTTGTAAGTAATAGGATAGTTTAACAAATTGGCTGATTAGAAGATAAAGATCTCTAAAATTAGTAACCATTTTTCTTATATTCCAGCAATCTCTGATTAAACAATACAATGACAGGATGATTGTATATAGCAACAAAAATTTTAAAATACAATGAATATGCAGGAACAATATGAAAAAACTATAAAAGTTTATTGAGAGATATAAAAGAATACTTGGACAAATGGATATATATATCAAGTTCCTAAAAATCATAAAAATGTCAATTCTTTCCATTTAAATTTATGATTTTAATGTAATCCCAATGAAAATTCTAAAGAATTGTTTTCTAGAATAAAATTTTAAATGAAGTGCATCTGAGGTTGTAAGCAAGTAAGAATAGAGAAAAATTCTGAAAAAGCTGTTTAAAGTGGGAGAATCTTAAAAGTGTTTCAGAACCTTTTCCCTAATAATTCCATTTCTAGCAATGTATTTTAATAAAACAATAAGAAACATAAATAAAGGTTTATTTGTAAGATGCTCTTTACTACAATACTAATAATGTTGAAAAATTAGGTTCATTAAAAACATCCACCACAATGTGGAAATGGTTAAATAAACTATGGTTTGTCCATATGAGAGACTATTAGGCATTTATTAAATGTCATGCTTGTGAAGGATTTTTAAATGACATGTGATAAAGCTCATGATGTAATGCTATATGAAAAAAGAATATATAAAATTCTATGTTCAGCATGATTCCAGTCTAAAAATTCTTAAGGTGGTGGAATTACAGTTGATTTTGATTTTCAATGTTTTATGTATTTCTAAAGTTTATAAAATGAGAATGCATTTTATATTTAGAAAAGAATATAAGTTTTGTCTTTTTGAGAGAAAAATAGTTCTTACCAAGCAATGGCTTTAGTAGTGGGGTGATAATTTTGGACAAAGTCACAAAACACATTTCAGTGAAGGCTGCCTATATTCGCTTTTCCCTCTCCTTATGACCTTTTCTGTTGGTAGGTAATTTGTGTAACAGCTATTTAAGGAAGATAAGCATTAACCCACATTAGTTTTCATCAAACGGGGCCTTTCCTTTATTAGGCCAAATGAGAAAGTACTGTTTACATGTAATGCAAATCCCCTTGTCAATACATCTCCATATTCCTGTATGTAAGCTCCAACTTTTGTATTTTTAATAAGATCTTATCTCCCTCATAGTCTAGCAACTGTTGGATCATTTAGAGACCATCCTGTAGTGTTTATGACAGCACAGTTGGTTGCCATGGAAAGAACTGAGCTGTCCCCAATCTCATAACAAATATGGGTTTGAAGCTGTTGATTTGGCTAAATTCAGAACCTTTGTGAACCCTGGGGGGTCTGAGTTTCTAATTTTCTTAAACTGATGGAAGTTTATTTATTGTTGACCATATAAAACTCTGTTTTGTTTCTTGTTTCTTTCATTTTATTAATAAAAAAATTTTTTTAAAGACTGAAAGTTCTGCTTATATACCACACTATTCTATCACAATAAGTTTGGTGTGTTTTAAAACCATATGTATGGCTTGTTACACATACATACATACATACATACATATAAAAATATAGTTGTATTTTTTCATAAGATTTTATAAAAATCATGTATATGTACATCTACATACATATACTTCTCCATAAAATAAAAACAGGAAAACATAAAAATACTATTTCCCAGATTTATGTCTACAGTCTACTGGGAATATCAGTAAAATTCTTTATTTTGATAATTTCATGAAAGTGGAAAGGATCATATGTAGTGTGACTCCATAATTTATTGTTTAAACTTGGACATTATTGAGACTGGAAATCGCTAAGAATAATTAAGCAGGATTGATGTGTAAACCCAAGCTGTTTTGAACAGAGTGGGATTCTGGGTCGCCCTAATCAGAAGATGTCATATATGGGATATGTTACACGCTGGATTCTGTCATCCAAAAATTCATATGTTGAAGTCCTAATGGCCAGGACCTCAGAACGTGAACTGATTTGGAAATAGGGTTGTTGCAGATGTAATCAGTCAAGATGAGGTAATACTGAAGTATGTTGGACCCCTAATCCAATATGACTGGTGTCCTTATTAAAAAGGGAAACTTAGACATGCCCACAGGGAGAAGGCTGTGTGAAGATGAAGGCAGAGATCAGAGTGATGCAGCAGAAGCCAAGAAACACCAAAGACTGCCAGCAAACCACTAGAAGCCAGGAGAGAACAGATCCTCCCTCACTGCTCTCAGAAGAAAGTAACCTGAGGATATCTTGGTTTCAGACTTCTGTCCTCCAGAACCATGAGCCATTACATTTCTGTTTGGAACACACAGTTGTGTGGTACTTTGTTGAGGCAGTCCCAGCAAACTGATTCAGGATGCTCAGCAACTTGCCACTGAATATCCCTCTAGCCAACACCAACAAGTGTTCAAGACTTCCTCTTTCAAGATGGCCAAATAACAACTTTTTCATTCTTTATGCAAAAGTTATCGACCAACAGCAACCACAGCAAGAAACATGCATACACTCCATTTCTAATGGTACCCAGAACCTCTGTAGTCCTGAGCCATAGAACAAAGAAGAGAGAGAGACAGGAGCACAAACTGTCTGCAGAGGGCTACACTTAGTAGATGAGGCAATTCACTCCACAGAACCTAGGGAAGGTCTGGGGAATAGGGCACCAGGTTCTAGCAAAAGTTCAGGGATGGATGCTAAAAATGGGAGGTCCCTTAAAAGTTCATATAGAACTATAGACCCCAGAATTGTTTCCATCAATTGATGCAGTCAGCTGAATGCACCCACCCCACCCTCAACAGGAGACAGGAGTTTAGGCCCTGAAGAGATTGAATCAGAAAGCTCTGAATTTGTGGCCAATTGGCACAAAGCAGGTAGAGATGGGCTGAGGGAAAGGAAAGCTAGGAACGAAGAGTACACCACCCCAGTCCTCTTTCCCACCATCTCAGAACGTGGCCAGGCCTTCACCCACAGCTAAGACCTTGGAATAGCCTTCTTCGGGTACCTTGAACCACCTGCAGGAGGGATGTGAAGGTACAGTTGCATGGGAGTACCTGACCACAATGCAGTGATGCCCAGTCATTCCACAGCGAGGCACTGCTTCCCACAGAGGTCTCAGTCAGGTGTTCAGTGCCTCATTCTTAAATAGAATTAGACAGCTAGCAACAAATGGCATTGAGGGAAGCCTGCACCAGGAAAGACAGTGTCCAAAATACACAGGAAAGCAAAGGAGCTTGAAGGAGACAGACATTGCAAGAGGAGAAGAAAACTTCTTAAAAGCAAACTATAATACTCTCAGAGACATGGTATCCATGAAACAGATGAGGGAGATATAAAAAGAACAAGAGTTGTAGTCAATTAAAAATATGATAGCAGAAATAAAATATTCCGTTAAAAGGTCAGAGACAAAGTGAAGGAACTCTTCCAGAAAGTAGAATAAAAACACAGAGATGAAAAACAAAAGGGAAAAGATGAGAAAATTAAAGAATCAATTCAATACCATACTAATGAGCATTATGGAAAGAAACAAAACAGGTGCAAATTATCTCTATATACATTTTTTTAATAACTAAGCAACCGGAGCCTTCCAAGTGTCAAACCAGTGAATTAAGAGAAGACTCATGCTATGGCACATCATTTTGAAACTTGGAATACAGGGAATAAAATAATATTCTAAACATTTCCAAAGATAGAGTAAAGCATCATCTGCAAAACATCAGGAATAAGGGCAGTGACCTTTCCATTTGCACCACTGAAAGCTGGAAGACAATGAGCAATGACTTCATGTTCTCAATAAAAATAATATTTTAACTTAAATTTGATACCCAGTGAAACTATCAATCAACTTTGAGGGTTGAATAAAGATATTTTCAGATATGGAAAGTCTCAGAAAAAGTTATGTCCCATGCATTTTTTTTCTCAGGAAGCTCTCAAAGGATGCGACACCAAGGGAATATAAGGGAGTATGCAAAGAAAAGAGAAGAGAGTATGCCAAGAAAAGAGAAGATGTGGAATCCTGGAAAGAAGGGATCTAATACCGCGGAGGTGCCAGGGGAAATACCAGGACAATAGCTGTGCAGGAGACCTACAGAGCAGCTAGGCAAACTGAAGCAGGTGGATAAGGGATGACTCCAGAAAAACAAAATGAAACTGACAGAACAATTTCTAGATTTGACTCTGGAAAATTGTATTGAGAGGCCCTTTACAAAACTGTTGGGGTGTGTGAAAAGATTTGGCAGGGGTGAAAAAAAAAACAGACCCCTAAGTGAATGAGAATACGAGACAACTATTAACTCCAAGAAAAACAAAAAGCTTTGCAAGAAAAATTAAATCATAAAACACGACTTTGCTGGAAAGCCCAGCAATATAGGAAACAACATGTTCATAGTCATAATAATGAACGTTGATTAGGGAGTGAACAAAAAATTGAGGTAGTAGAAAGGAAAGGAAAAGGGGTATGTAGAAGAACTGAAATGTTGTTCACCATAACAGATAATGTCCAAATAGATAAATCAAGTAATATAAGTATGTTCATTAGAAATACAGAAGTAAATATCAAAATAAACAGCTAAAAAAGTTGAAAGTGGTTGCCTTCAGGGTTTTAGAGAGAGAGAGAGAGAAACAGTGTCTCTGTGTGTGTGTGCACGCGAGTGTGTGTAAAGGGGAGGGAGAATGGAGTAGCTGCTGTTTTTTATTAAAAGCTTCTTAGCACAATCTGATTTTTAAATAATGTGTGTGAATTATAGTGACAAAAATTGTTTTAAAGCTATATTTGAAAGAAGAAAGTCTAGAAACATCATGTGTTAGTAGAAGTCTTCATTGACATAAGGTGAATAAATGACTATCAACCAAGAGTGGTTTCTACTTTTTTTCTTTTGGAGACTTTTACTAGCAGGCACCTAATTTCTGTGTTTTGCTTTTACTCATGAGTTGAACAGAGTGATGGATATATATCCATCGCTATAATATCTATGGATATTATATCAAACTTAAAACTAGATAATTACACTGTCTTAATAGGTGGAGTAAGACATTATTAAATCCAAAGACTCTTACTGTCATCATCACTTTAATATGAAGGTAAATAGTTATAAACTGCACTTGTGGTATATTGTGAATTTTTGTTGTAACAAACAAGATTTAATGCAAAAGAGCTCTTTTGCCTCAATCTCTTTATATTTTATTCCCTGTTTCTAAGGGCATTACATTTAAATAGCAGCCATAGCCTAATAATAATTTTGTATGCAGTAAATGTTTTAACATTCTCCTTTAAATTATGAATAAAGATAATCTCCTTTATGAACAATAAAGGAACTCATACATAACCATAAGCCATAAGAATGTTTTCCTTATTTCACTTCTTTCTCAATGGAAATTATAAAGTTGGTAATAGAAACTCTTTCCAGGAGCATCATAATTGCTAAACTTGGAATTGCAGGTACTCAATTGCAATCAGCTGAATGTCACACATGCCATAACTTTACGAGTTTGACTGGGGTCATGCAAAGATAATCAGGGTTATAACGCTAATGCTTTCATTTACTAGCTGGGTGACAATGATCAAGTAGGTCACTGCATGCTTTTCATCCTCCACATGCATATATATTAAAGGAGTGAGAATACCAGCTATAGCAAATAGTTTCTTTACATGCACCAACTTCAGTGAATGGTAGAGGCTACCCAGAGCTCTGTTTTAAGAAGAATTATGAGACTGTATATGTCTGTGTTCAATTAGAAATTGCTGAGATTGATTAGTTATGTCTGGAGATTGATTAGTTATGTCTGCCTTAAACAGTAACTAAGAAAGTGCCTATCCTGACTCCATGTATTTGTCAAGCCTAGATTAGATTGTCTGGAAGATTAACTTCAGGCTCAACATTATTCTATTCCAGCCTATGATTTTTATTTTCTACATTGAGCCAATAAAACTTACCATTCTTTTCTTTCTTCACAGTGCATTTATTAGATTATAGAGCTAATAAATTAGATCTATGGATCTTAAGAAAAATGTATATAGTGCTTTTAGCCACTTAAATGAAGAAAAGTTGTGTCAAATAGCGTTTTTTAATGAACCAAACCTGTTAATTTTGTGAAACATTATACAAGGAATGTTTGCTATATAGACCAAATTTTTTTCTCCATCAACTTTAGTGTTTTTAATGAATCCTCTTTTTAAAACATAGATCATATGTAGTTGAAGAAATCAAGTCTACTACAAGGGGAAAAATGTTAGTTAATTGCACACATCTCTCAACAGGCAGACTTGCTTGATCTGGGATAAGCTGTTGACTTTTAACTATCACAAACGGAATTTCCTGATAGTCCTCTGAAATGGGTTTTCATAAAATTTGGTTATTTTCCTTTTCTTTTCTTTGTAATCATGACAACCTGTGAAACTGAGAAACTGGCCCATCTGAGGTCTTTCTGGGAGAAAAACCATTTTCAGATGAAGCTAGGTTCTTCTGACTCTGATATCTGATTCCAGGCTTTGTTCTAAGATGACGCATGTGACTGCCTTCATGCTGGCCATCTCCAATAAGCCAGAGCCAGCAACTCTAGCCCTGTAGAGATTTCTTTCCAGGAATAGATCTGTTTTGCCTGGTGATGTTAAGCTGAGTATATACATGTCCATTAATAAAATGTGAAAACAGAAAATAAAGGTTCTAACACATGACCTATATCTTTTGCTTTGCCAATATATATATACTTTAAAATTGCAATATATAGTATTTAACTTTCACTATCAAAATGTAGAAGAAAAGCACAAGAATTGGTGCAAAAACAGTAATTCAAACATCTAAGTACAAGGTACAGAGCTTTCCTTGAACATTTCAGCTGCTATCAATTATTGCTAATTGAGCTCTGGTTTTCCTTATCAAGTCTAAATCCGTTTCTAGAGGGAGAAGCTCTCCAGTGATGCTTTGTAAGTTTACAGTGGCAATGTGGGCTGAACTGGAACACTTGCCATATTATTCTGCTTTTGCCACTTAGGTGTTAATAGTGTTTAAAAATAATCACTATTCGAATTATTCCAGCTAGGATTTTATCTGTTCTTCTGCCTGATAATTCTTAGGGAAAACATAGTCCTTTTACCTTCAGTAGTGGCTGCCCAGTACTTTTTGAACACCCTTTTTATATGCAAGAAATCATCTTCCTTACGTGCCCCACATCTCTTAGTGAGAAAATAGGGAACTTTCTTCCCAGCCACCTTGTAGCTGGACACAGGCATGTGACCCACACCCCACCAATCACTATACTTAAATGTGACTTGTGTTACTGTTTGAGGGAGGGGCTCTATGGAATCAGTTTGGTTGTTGAGGTGGTATTCTAGGCATCCAGGACACCAGGGTTGGAAAGTTGGGCTCCTGGGTAGAAGTGGCAGGATGGTTGTTTGGTGCAGTTATGTCCTGGCAGCTGAGCAAAGAGGAGCCCCCACTGCTTGGCATTGGCATAACCTTTGGTGTTTTCCTCCTCGGATCAGTTTTGGACATGGTTTTGGACATTGTTTCTGGAATCCTCAAGCCTGGTTCTCCAGACATTTAGCAATTCCATGAGAGATGCAATATTTTTTCAGTCAACTCTTTTTGGGCTTGGTCTTTTGAATTAGAATTAGTTCCATTATTTGAAATTAAGAACCTTGGCTAATACGTTGTTCTTCCAGGAGAACGTTCTTTCTATATATAAGATTTTTGCCAGGAACTTTTGCATCTTCCTCTGGAATAATCACAGAAGCAGATCATCTTCCTCTGGAATGATTAAGAAAAATCATGACATGAACTTGCTATGTGGAATCTAGAAAAGTCGAATTCATGGAAGCAGAGCAGAAAGGTAGTTACTGGGAGCAGAAGTGGAGGGGAACTGAAGAAACGTTGCCCAAAGGACACAAAGTTTCAGTTATGCAGGATGAATACTGCCAGAGATTTAATGTACAGCCTGGTGACTGTGGTTGATAATACTGTATTGCATACTTGCAATTGGCAAAGGGAGTAGATCTTCAAATGTTCTCTCCCTCCCTCCCCCGGACCACACGTATATACGCAGTAACTAAGTGAAGAGATGGATATGTTAATTAGCTTGACTGTAGTAATCAGTTCACTGTGTAGTAAATAAAATTAACAAAAAAGGAAAAACAATGATAATATAGATTGCCTTTGATTTTTCCTATGCATGACTTGGAAATTTAGCATATATTTATTGAGTACCTACCACATGTGACCCTGTGCTGATGCTAGGATGCCATGGGAGGTGGTAGAGAATATAAAGGTAAGTAAACCAAAGCTCACAGTTTCAATTTAAAATAGTTCTGTGTAAAATTATTAAATTACTCTTTAATTACTCCAGCAATTCCCAGCAGTCTTTTTTAAACAAATATAGCCTCAAGCCTCTTGCAGAGATGCTTTTACTTCTTACATATTTATATTTATTTTTATTGTGCATTTAAAAAATATTTTTCCCAAGTATCTATTGACGGATGAATGGACAAACAAAACAAAGTGTAATACACACACACACACACACACACACACACACACACAGACAAACACAGGAATATTATTTAGCGTTTAAAATGAAGGAAATTCTGACATGCTGCAACATGGATTAACCTTGAAAATATGCTAAGTGAAACATGCCAGTAACAAAGGGGCAAATAGTGTTTGATTCCACTTATATGAGGCACCTACAGTGGTCAAATTCGTAAAGGCAAAAAGTAGAATAGTAGTTGCCAGGGGCTGAGGGTAGGGGAGAATGAGAAATTATTAGATAGTGGAGACAGAGTTTGTTTGGGAAGATTTTTTAAAGTTCTGGAAATAGATGCTGGGGATAGTTGCTCAATTATGTGAATGTACTTAATGCCACAAAATTGTACACTTAAAACACTTAAAATGGGCCAGGCACAGTGGCTCACGCCTGTAATCCCAGTACTTTGGGAGGCAAAAGTGGGCGGATCATGAGGTCAGGAGTTTGAGACCAGCCTGGCCAATATGGTGAAACCCCGTCTCTACTACAAAATGCAAAAATTAGTTGGGCGCTGTGGCGCGTACCTGTAGTCCCAGCTACTTGGGAGGCTGAGGCAGGAGAATTGCTGGAACCCAGGAGGTGGAAGTTGCAGTGAGTTGAGAGCTCGCCACTGCATCATTCCAGCCTGGGTGACAGAGCGAGACTCTATGGGGAAAAAAAAAAAAGTTAAAATGGTAAATTTTATGTTACTTATTTCTTACAACAAGAAAAATGCTTTTTAACCAAACAGAATATAAACTCTTGTGAACAGGGCTAGGGAACTGATTTTCTCCTAATCACTAAGAAAATTCCACCTGAGAGGCAAGGGCCTAGGAGTTGGAGAGCTGGGCTCCTGTTTGGTGCCAGCTCTGTGGTTAGCTAGCTATGTGAACTCCACTCAACCTTGCCAAGCCTCAGTTTCTTCATCTTTCAAATGAGTAAGAGTGGGGAGGGGCACCGCATATCTCAGTGCTCTGATTTCCATTTAACCACAGATTTAGAACCAAGGTGGCTTGGCTTCAAATATTCAACTCCTCTGCTGGCAAATAAACAGATCTTCGGGAAACTGTACTTGTCTTCCAGAGAAAAGGTTTATTTCAGTAGGTTCTCACAGAGCAAATCTAAGCACCAACAATGTAGAGTTTTGAGAATGCAGAGTATTTCCTGAACACATAATCCTTCCCTCCTTGAAACTGTCTATGATGTAGGAATTCAGTTCCCATCCAGATTTACAGATGTAAATCTTCAGTTACCTAATAAAATGGAGAGAAGAAAATCATGTGATTATATTTTGAATCTAGTAATACTAATGAATTCAAAGCCAGACTTCATTTTAGAGGGCTTTTGTAAAAAGTTCTATTTTCCAATCTAATGCTTGGTGTTGAGTCTTGAAAATTTAAGGTAATGCAAACCCTATCATTTCCACCTCTAAAAATTCTATCAGAGTCTCTAAGAATCTATGTTTAGGCTCCTTACACAGCGGCAAACATGGAAACAATATTTATCGTCCACAACTTTCCTAGGTAGATCAAATTGTTCAACACAGAACTGGCATTCTACTGGCAAGTGCCTGGTTACCAGCTAAATAGTTGGGTACACCCAGTAGACCTGCAGATAGAGAAAGCTTTCAAGACCAGTCTGGATACAAACAATATCTGGGAATCAATTGCCTAGGACTATCTCAATGGTAGGAGAAGTCTGCCTCAAGGAAATGTGTATTGTTCTTGAAAATGCCAGACACCAGTAGGAAACACAAACACAGACTCAAAAGAAGCAGGGAATGGCAGACTGAATAAACAGCACGTGCGCACCCATTTTCCTAGGAAATATGTGTCCAAGACTGAAGAGTTGTGGTGCAGTCTTATCTGTCATTTACGTCTTAAAGATAGGTGAGTCTTGGATAATATCGTGCTTGTGCCCCACAGGAGGCTGCCAACTATTATCATAGATCATCCACTAGAGGGTGACAACCACATATGCTTAGGGATGGATGACTGTAGACACAGTGCACATTCCACAGTCCTGAGAAGAGTTTCTTGAAGCTCATCCGCCTAAGTGGTTGGACTTTCACTTTGGAGTCGCCCATAAAAAGGAGAGAGGGAAACTATACATCTTTTCCATACTTATGGCCTAGGTTGTCTCTCCTTTTCAGACTTAGTTAAGAAAAAATTAAATATATATACGAATTTTTTGTAAGTAGAAGGAACACCTCCTATCACATTAAATAGGAGGTGAGTATCTCTAACAGTTGGGAGAAGGACATGCTGAGATTTTTTCCTATTACTATTATGGATCTTTGGGACAGTTTCAGTAAGTACTTTCAGGGGGTACTTGGTTTTTCCAACTTGAAAATGGGGGCTATTCATTATAAATCTTAGAGCAAAATTCTGATAGCAAAGTAGATAGAGGAATATAGAACCTTTTATTAGAAGGTTTTTGTGTCTTTCTAGGATAATTATTACAAGTAGTATCAATATATACCAACTAATATGCATGAGATAAGATGGCGGGTCTGAGTCTTGGTTGGGATGTGGGTCTGGAATCTTGGATTATGGACATAAGAAATATTATGAACACTTAATGAACACCTAGGCAGCAGGCTCAAGCCCAAGCACACACCACAGTAGCTTTCGAATAGTTTGGATGTATTCTAATTTGTATTTCTCCCCAGCTACTTTTGTGGGTAGTCATTTAGGCAGCCCTTCATAGAGTTCTGGGTCTTTTCCTTAACTTTCCACAAAAATGTTTCAGCTTTAGGAAGAGGTTTTGGGAAACCAGAATGTTTCCATTACTGTACGGTTAAACCTTTTGTTCACTACTTAGACAAATATACTGAGCACTCATTTTTGTTTTTTTTTTAAGAGACAGTAGCTTTTATAACAGGCTCGAACATAAGCTCCTGTGAACTATGTACATAGTAAGTCCTCCGTAGCTGTTGCATATATAATCCATGGTTAGTATAAAATTATCGTAATTTTAAATAAGACAAGCCATAGTTCTATGAGTGATATAATTTTAAATAAGACAAGCCATCGTTCTTTGAGTGATGTGTTTGAGTGATGCTTCTTGATACTTCTTTCAGCTTAAACATAGAAATCATGATCACACCACTGCACTCCAGCCTGGGTAACAGCGAGACTCTGTCTCAAAAAAATAAAAATTAAAACTAAAATAAACATAGAAACCAGATTTTCTTTGGTTTCCTCTGTCGGTGACTTTGGCTGGTTCTCTTTTGCATGTTCGTTGATGTTTCTCCTTGCCTTTGTGTTTAGTGTTTTTAGCAGGCGGTGTTTATAATAGACTAAAACTTTGGGAGCCAGACAGACCTGGGTTCAGTGGGTTTACATTGCTGGGTTTTATAAGGATTAGAAGCAAATATATGTACAGTGCCTGGCACAAAATATATAAACAAAATGTTGTTTGTTAGTTATTAGTACTAGCTGTATTAATAATAATAATGATACTATATATAATAATATACATTTGTATATATAATAATATATATTTGTATATTTTATATATATAAAATGATAATATTGGAAAGCTAGAGGGTGCAGCGAAGAGATGGCAGGGTGAGCGTGGTATAAGTCTGAATTTGGCCATCTGGTTATTTGCAAGTTCTCTTCCAGCAAATATTTGTTGTGTACCTTCCATAAGCAGCATTGTTCTAGGCACTGGGGACCAAGTGAAAAACCAGACCCCGTCCTAGGAACAGTATTTGCTGTTTACATTGTCATATAGGAAGGAGCAGTGCACTTAGCAAGAGAATTTTTTAGTGGTGCTGTTTTGGGACCTGCTTCTATTTAACTTAACGGAAACTGTTTTCAGTAACAGATTTATTGAGATATAATTCACATACTATACAATTCACCCATTTAAAGCATGTAAGTCTGTGGTTATTAGCATATTCAGAGTTGTACAATCACCATCACAATTAATTCTAGCAGTCGCTCCCCCAGTCCCCTTACTCCTACCCCCACCCCCAGTTCAAGGTAACAGCTAATCTACTTCCCGTCTCTATAGAGTTGCCTGTTCTGGACGTTTCATCTAAATGGAATTATAGAATATGTGGTCTTTTATAAGTGGCTTCTCTCACCTAGTTTAAAGTTCTCAAGGCTCATCCATGGTTATAGCATGTATCAGTATTTTATTCCATTTTATGGCTGAAAACATTTTTGAAGTTTCCTTAATGCACATTAAATACTCATATGTTGATTGATTCATTCATTTTGTTTTTCTAGTCTGTGTTGTTTCTCTCTCACTCTTTCTCCTGCCCTTTCTTGGACAGGTTTTCTCTCTTCCCTTCTCTTTTGAAAGCAACCACCCTCCTACTGTTACCGCAGACTCCTGCTTTAACTTTAATATCTACTGAGATTTGGAGCCTGTGGCACCTACTCTTTGCAATGACAGAAAATCTGGTTTCTGTCCTTTATTTCTTTCCAGTCCTTTCAGTTTCAATCTGTGTGCCCTCCAAATGCAATAGCTTAAGATTTCTTTAAAGAACATCTTAGACTTGGCCTTGGAATGGAAGCTTCAAATGATATCTAAAGAATACATGAACCAGCCAAAGGAGAAAGTGGAGGGAATTAAAAAAAAAAAAATCAAGAATGACAGCCAGAGAATTTTCACAAAATTCGGACAGGCTGTGGCCGTTTCTTATTCTTATGTCTGATGGATTGAACATTTCCCACAAGGGCTTGGTACCATCTAGGACCTGAAGATACGCTGAAGGTTCCTCGTAAAATCCAGCCTCTATTTTATTCTCACTTCCTTTCTTCTGGGTTTGGCCTATGCAAAGCCCACCGATAAGTTATAAATGACTTATCAAGCATCAGCGTTTGGAGAGTAGACGGCTCCATAAATACCTACTTGGCCTCATTAAAAAGCTACAGCGATTAAAGAGAATGATTAGTGTGGTGCCAGAGGGGAAAGCAGAAAATCCAACATCTGACTCAAAAAGGGCCAGACCTCTTCTCAGGGAAGACCGCGGGTGTCAGGGAAGAGGATCTGGCCCGCGCCCCGGAGCGGAGCGCCGGGCGTCGGCGTCTGCGGAGCCTGCACCAGGGCCTGTCACGGGAAGAGTTATGAAAAGTGCACGCGTTCTCAGAGACGATTACCCTCTTGCCCTCCACGCCTCCTTCCCAACCTCCCCTTCCACTCCCTGCTGCCCCCACTGGAACTCAAAGCATGATTAAAACAGAGAAACCTATAACGGGGATGAAATGACCCTCAAATGACTGCTTAATTACAGCGAAATGAAAGCCGGGGGGCTACAAATAACCAGGAACTGTCCCGGCTGTCACTGAAGAGGAGCCTGCGCATGAGTCATGAGTCATGAATTAGCCACTAAGTGTTCGCCGCCAGCCCCCGGCCGCCCGCCTCTGCCCTGCCCGAGCCGGGCTCGCCGGCCCTCCACGCCTGGCCCCACAGAGTCCCCCGCCCCCGCGGGCGTCCGGGCCGGGTCGGAACCGGGCGGTTGTTGTGATTCCCAGGGTTCCCCAGTCGCCCCCGGCCGCCCGGTGGGTCGCTGGGTCGGGGAAGGCTCCCAGGCTGCGCAGGAGACAGGCTGACTGAAGGAGCGCAGCCAGCGCGGCTGCAGATAAGTTAATGTACACAGAGAGGATGTAAATTACCACGACCCGCAGCAGCAGGACATTGGCCAGGGCCCTGTCAGGGAGAGGACAAGCGTCGGGGGCTGCGCGCTCGCTGACACCCACCCGGGATGGAGCCGCCAGGCGGCCCGGCCGGGGAGGACCTCTTGGAGCCAGGCTTTCCTTGAAAACAGCTGCGTGTCCCTGACACCTCCAAACTAATGCATTTTTAATCAGAGGAATTAGCTCTAGGCGTCCCATATTTTTCCAACCTCCCCCCACCAACCCCTGTCTCTTCCAGCCACGTCCCCCTCCCCGCCCCTAGGTTAGGGACTGGCAGTCCCATTCTGTTTCTTTATCGGGACTCTGCAGAGTCCCCCGCTGCCCCTACACCCCCGAGACCAAACCACTTTTAAAAAAAAAATCTCCCTCCCCACCCCCATCCTCCCACCAGCCCTCCTCCACCGCCGGGTTCGCTCCAATGCAACTTTCGCCCCCACCCTTCCCTCTGTTTATACAGTGACATCACAGCCCCTGGCTCTCTCCAAGACTCAAAGAAAACAGAGTTCAAAAAGGCAAACAGGAAAGCCCGCCGGTCGTGGGCACGGGGTGAGATTCGGTCCACCCGCGGCGGACCGCGCAGACGCGCATGTGCGCGCACCTCGGTGTGAGCCCGTCTCCACTGGGACATCCTCGGGAAAGGGCTGCCCAGGCCGTGCTCCCCGTCAGCCCCGGGGAACTCAATTCCCTTAGGGAATTGAAAAATGTCCAGTAGTCACATAAAAGAAAGTGAAAAGGTAAAACAGGTGAAATTAATTTTAACAATATATTTTTAATCTGATATATTCAAAACATTATTTCAATATGTAATCAATATAAAAATTATAAATGAGATATTTCATATATTTTTTCACAGTGAATCTTCGAAAAATTACACTCACAACACATCTCAATTCAGACACAAATTTTTCATTGGAAATACTTGATCTGTAGTTACATTTCATAAAACTTAGAGTTGAAAAAATTGATTCACATACTCACATTGTTCCAAAAATATTTAAGCATTTTTCAATAACTGAATCCAGTGTTAGTTCTTAAGTGTGAATTTACACTAATGTGAAATAAAATAAAATTTGAATTAAATGAGAATTTGGAGTTAAATAAAAAATTAAGTTTCTTTGTTGCCCATTTTAAATTCCTAACAGCCACTTGCAGCTAGCGGCTATCAGATTAAACAACAGGGATAGAGAGTAATAGAATCTCCAAACTTCAGCTCTTGTTAACATAAAGTGGAGATAATAGTATCTACTTTATGTAGGCTTGTTGTAAGAATTAAATGAAATACAGTAGAACAATGTATATTAAGTACTCGGTACAGGGCCTAGCACATAGTAAGTACTCAATAATGAAGGTAACTCTGAGAATTATTTCTCCACTTTGATTATTTTTGCACCCCCACCCCCCATCCTTAAACTCAGCGATTCATACTTCCTTCCTCCAGAACTTGCTCTTAGGAAGGATTGTTACATGAATTCGCAATAAGCTGCCAAAAATGAACAGAGTATTCAAACACTCAAGTGTCCTTCCGTCCCTATTTATTAGACACCCCTTTCACCCACAACATGCCTTCAGCTTCATTACTGTCTGTGCTGGCCACTCCAGATTTTATACATAGAACAGGTCTTCAATGGTATCTCTCCAGCTACCTAGTAAAGATCTTGCAAAGATATTTTTAACCCAATCCACCAAAACCTGAATTGATGCGTATCATCCCTCATGTGCCTCTCCTGTTCCCGCATTGGGTGGTGTTGCCATTCCCTTGAAAGCCTCAGCCAAACTCTGGCAGTCATTAGAGGTTCTTCTTCTTCCTTCATTGTTCCCCTCACCACATCCCCTTAGGCAATCACTAAGTCTTACAAATTCTACTCCTAAACACCTCCCAAATCCATTGATGTGTCTCATTGTCGACTGTTATCCTTCACTTAGATGTTGTAACTGGTCTTTCTACCTCTGCTTTGCCCCCCTTCAATTCATTCTTCGTGCTTCAGCAAGAGTAACTTTTCTAAAGCGTGAATCCAATTATGCAACAAGCCTGCTTAACACTTAAATGACTTTTGACTCTTCCACAGGGCCTATGAGGTCCTTATGGAGTTTCCTTGCTTAACCCTTTTTTCCTGTCTTTTAAAAAACCGCCTTTACCGCCTTAACCATCCCCCTCCTGCCCCCAATTTCCAGCCTCTCTGAATCTCTTCCAGTTTATCTAACACACCACGTTTCCTGACGGAGGAGCTCCCACGCATGGCCATGCTGGGTGCATCATATTCATGTCTATCCTACAAGTCACAACCCCACTCTGAGATGGTATTTGGTATGCACAGCCAGATACGTCTTCCCATTTTGCCTCATGGCAACCTGTCTGCATATTTGACGGTATCTGTTTCAGAGGATCCCTCAGCTTTTGGCTGAAAATGCCAGCTCCCTCTCAAAACTCTGTGCATGACACCTTTAGAAATCCTTTGAGGTGCTAAACATTTAGGTCATCAAAGGGGCACACTGACTATTACTGATTTTGTCTGGTTCCATTCCACAACACCGATTTTTGTAATGTTTCCTTTCTTTGTTTCACTTTGACTGTAGAAGCTGGCTAAGATGCATTGGCACTAGCACTATCTATTGCATGCAAAAGTTTTGCTCAAAAGAAGTGTTGATGTTGGAGCTGTGAGAAAAGCAGGCCCTACGTTGCAGGACTTGGGGGAAGAATGGAATGTGAAAAGCTCACTTTAAAATGGTAGGGGTTTGGGTGCCAGGCAGGAGCAGTGGTAGAGCATTTCAGAGACCAGTCCGAGCCTAATGAGGTCTGCCAGGGCTCTGGGCAGGCGTCACCAGCTGGCTGTTTGCCACTCCTCTTGCCCTCCCAGACACACACAGTGCTGGGGAGTCAGCACTTATGCTAACACTGGAGACAGGCGGGCAACATGAGACTGGTGGATGAGGGCAGTGATGGCTAGGTATTTTCCCAGAGGACCAAAGAGCAGGATATGTATGTCTGGTTTCTGCCTCTGACACCTCCAGGCCTAGGGATGGATTCCCAGTGATCTCCTTCCATCAAAGGGCTTGATCCCAGGAAAGGCGAGTGAAGATGAAACTTCAGCTCTTTGTCTGCCTTTGGGATAAAGCTATGTGAAACTGTCAAAGCAAATATCATGTTTCCCTGGAAAACCATAAATTCCTTTGGCTCTGGGTCCAGGAGGTTTGTCATGTGGTTAGAGGAAAGATGAGTATGTTGATCACAGGTCATCAGCTGTAAGGTTCTGTAGCTCGGGGCCCGGGTCCACAGTGCCAGCTGCTATAATACCAGGTATAATGTTGGGTTCAAGTAATGCTTAGTAAATACTCTTTAATTACAGCTCAAGATGAAGACAGTGAAACAGCTTGCTGTTTGTTATGTACCTGGCAACTGATGTGTATCATCAGATCAAATAGAGGTGTTGATAAATTTTGTCAAGGGGACTGTAAATTTTAAAAATGGAATAATCATAAATGCTCTTGTGATAGAATATACCTGAAAATCTTCAGAAGGAAATGGAAGATTATGAAATATTTATTTATTTGTTTGTTTTCTGGCTAGTTGGTTGATTTTTGCCAGATTCTTTATATATTAAAGTAGCATTAACATTAAATTCATGCTACAAAATCAGATAGAAAAGAAAGAAATTACCATGAGTAAACATTTTTTTTCTCTTTTATAGTTTTGTAAACAGGGGCTGTGGATGCTTAAATAATGCTTTTCAAAGCTCCATCTTTCTTACTGTGCTTTGGTCAGAAAGAAAAAAAATACATGAGAAAAGCTATTTTGATCACCCATAGTACAGCAGTTGCTGTATCTTGTTAGCCTTTTTGTGGCATATTTAGCATTCTAAATTTCTAACAGTTATTTCACCCATATCATTTAACAAGCACTTCTTCATGTTATAATAAACCCTTTATGAATATAAATTTTAATGTGTACAGACTGTACTATCATGTAGATTTGCAACACTTACTTAACCACTCACATATTATTGGTTATTTGGGTTATTTTATTTTAAAATAAGAATTTTCCAAAGGTTCCCTTAGGAATAGAGTCCCATCAGTTTTAAAGTTATGGCAATATTTAATGTACATAGGGTAATATTTAATCATAAAGTATTGTTTTGGTGAAAATTAAAAGAGCCAGAAGTTTTATGTTAAATTTTTTTTAATATTGGCATAATACTAAAAGCAATCAACCAGCTTCATTGAGCTCCCAATTTCAGAGAAAAACTGGCCTCTTCAAGTAAAGATTCCTTGTTCTTAGAGGGGAGGAGCTGATAATTAAGTAATCACAAGAAACAATGCATGGCAAGGGAACTCGCCCAGTGTAGACCAGAAAATGTCCTCCGGAGAATGTGGCATTTAAACCAGGACTCCTCAGGACAAGGAGGCTTTGAAAGCCCCAGCTATCCTGGCATGCTCAAATACTTTGGGGGGATAGCAGTGGATAAAACCCTTCTGGAAAGTAGTCTGCTAATATCTAAGAAGGGTTTTAAATATTTTCTTATCTTTTTAAAAAATGTAAATATTCAGAAGTAACCAGAAAAGGTGAAAGAAGTCAATGCACTAAGGTATTCATCTTAGCACGATTCATCATAGGGAAGAAGGAAACCATTTGTATGTCTAAGCTGAGGGACTGGCCACGACTGTGCCTACACTGGAATGTATGCATCATTAAAAAGTATACTTAGAGTAATGTAAAACTGGTGAGAAGACCGTTCTAGGATCAAAGAGGCATAACAAAAGACAATGCATGAAATAGTTTGAAAATAAACAGCAAAAAGTCATTGGGGGACAATTTAAAAAATTTAAATATCAACTGGATATTAAATGACGTTAGCGAATAATCGTGAATATCCTCTTGCGATAATGATATTATGATTATGTGGGAGGATGTTCTTATTTTTAGGAGATGCATATTGAAATATTTATAAGTGAAATGCTACGATAATTGCAGTTTACTTTCAAATATTTCAGCAAAAAAACACATATGTATATATGTATGTCTGCTTACCGACTCCCTGGATTTTCTAATTGGAAGTAGTACTGAGGAAGATCCAACACAGGTAATGCATAAGGACACGAAACAGCAAAATCTAAACACATACGCACACACAGAGCAAATATGGCAAAGTATATATAATTATTGACTCTAGGAGGAAAATACATGTGTAGTCATTGCACTTGCCTTTTAACTTTTGTGTGTTTGAAAATCTTCATAACAAAGAAATGCATTATGCAGCATTACCTAGAAAAATTGAAAATCTGCTGTAATGGTTAAGGGATTGTATCAGGATGGTAGATTTATGAGAGATATTTTCTTCTTAATACTTGGATACATTTTCTACAATGAACATAGATCATTTTTATTATCAACAATTAAAGCCACATTCTGTCAAGCACTTACTAGGTTCCATGCTTTGCATGAATTATTCTATTTAATTCTTACAACAACCTTAAGAAGGTAGAATTATTACTGTCTTTTTATAGTTGAGGACACTGATGTTTAAAGAGATCACACTACTTGCCCACTGATATAAGTGGCTATGCCAGGATTTGAACCTAGGCACAAGTGATGCTTTTACAATTCAACAATATCTTGAAAAATATTTTGAAAAATAAAAAAAAATTATCTATATAACTGAAGATTTCACCCCATAGGCAGTGTAACGATATGGATTTAGAAGCCGAAATCACGATTCAAGCCCTGGCTCTGCAGTTTGCAACTTGGGTGGTTGTGTGGTGGGTGTGCAATGCCTGATCTCTCCTCCTTTGGTGTAAATGGGCCAGTGTGCTGTGAATGATAAATTGTCCAACAAAATAAATTGAGATCATTGCTCTGAGGGCCTGATAGTGTAACTGAATATCTGGAAGACCATCACTGTCCAACTTTATGCTTGGCCTTTTACATCTTATTTTAGAGTTTGATTCCGTTGTACTGAAAACATCTTTGGGTGACATCTTTTGTTTTGTCTTGCTTTTTGCTTTTTCTAGAATTGTAAAGGATAAGAATAGAAAATTGTCCTTCATTTGTTGATAAACCCTGGTTGAGATAATCTGCCCTTCTCATTGGTGGCATAGCTGACAACCTAGGAGTGTGTCTAAAGGATGGCTTCCCTCAAAGACAGAGACCAAAAAGTTGTATCAAGATACAAGGCAGATCTATAAAGAGTGGGCTTCCATATCTCACTTTGAAAACCTGAACACCATATCCCTCATTTTCAACATTTGCATCTAGACTCAGGCTAAACAGTAGAAACTACAATGAATTGTTGCTAACTGATGAATGGGTGTTGAGAAAACTTACTCTACTTGTGTAATTTCCTGTCACCAGCATGAAACGGTCAAGAAATTGCCATTGTTGTGAAAACTTCAACTAAATAATTCAGAGATACAGAAAACTGGCACAAGAATGTTATTTCTCCATTTGGACAGAAAAATCTCTGAACTTTCTGAAGTTCACCCATCATTGTTGTAAAACTCTAAAGATCAAGTTTACTTTGGAAGTTCTGCTACAACCTCGAGTATCATGTTAGCCATAGCATGGCAGCTGGGAAAACGGAAAAGAGCAATCCACTATTTCCAAGTACACACCTCTATTATTTTAAAGCTCACAGTGTTTGTTTTACTAATTTGGAGAGAAGAAAAGATCACAGATTATTTCTCAGGTTAGTGTTTAACATTTTGCTTTTCCAAATCAACCTTCCTATTATCAATGCCATTACTGAAGAGCATGGATATAATAAACTCATATCATGAATGTGAATAAATAACATGAGCTAGACAATCTTTGACTAGGGTTGACCATCCTCAATCCTTTCAAAGTTTGTCTATTTGTTTTTTGTTACTGATGTAAGCAATGACAAAAACTTAACCTTTTTTGTTGAAAGAAAAAGAAAGAGAGAAAGCAAGCTAAGATCCCCCGTGGGAATGCATATGGAGTCAGTTCATGTGTAGAGAGCTACATAGTCCCATCATCTCATTGGGACACCACGAAGTAGTGCGACCAAGAAAACAGCTGTCTTCCCTTTGTGTGATGAAAACATCACACAAAAGTGACACAGGGCCCTTGGAAGGTTAAGGTTGTATCACTAGGGACACCAGAAGGCAGTGACTGGCAACAGTAAATAATGGCTCACGATTAATGGTTGGAAACCTACTGATAAGACCATTGGATACCAAAACATCAGAGGAATGTTGGCTCCAGTTGGTTTAATCCTGCAGACCATTATAATCTGAGCACATTGTAAGGCTTATTTGCACTGTTTCTCTTATCTCTTTTTCTTGAAGATTTAAATTAAATTTATATCCTTAGCTTAACAGCTCAATTTCTTTTTTAAATTTTTTGCTCAGTCAAGAAGTATATATTAAGTAATAACTATAATACTAAACTAAGTGTGGTGAGGAACACAAAGAAATACATCTTATTATATAGTTCTCAAGGAACTTAGAGTTGAGTTGGTAGGGTCAGAGAAACAAGAAGCAATGATTAGTATGCGGTTAGATTAGTCAGGGAAGGCTATGGAAAGGCAACTAATGAATCCTGTTCACTGACTCATTTCATTTATCCATTTGCTGTGAAACACTTCCTGAATTCCAAAGAGTGGCAAGTGATTATGCTGGTGAGGAATGCCCATTCTTACCAGAACTTCGCTAAGGTAACAGAACCTCACTAACTATGTGGAAACCACCTAATCCACCCTTTGCATGTGGGTCGGTAGTTTTTCTTTTTCTGTATTTAAAAAATTTCCATTTCCACAGACTTAAAGGTAGTTGTGGAATGTGGCTTTCCTTTTCAGCAAATCCAATGCCAGCATTGTTCTCTCGGGCCAGCATTTATCAAGTTTTGATATTTTAGTTTAGTGGTGACCATTATATTTATTTTCATAGTGAGAAATCTAAGTCATTTTGGGCACTGGTTCAAGGTTACACGATGAAGGTTACATCATGGACTCTTTCCCTGAACTCACTAACAAACTGGAACTATAATTCATGAGCAGTGGTTCAGCCAGGAGGTGAGATGGGGCCAATGTCACACCATGACTGTTGAGAGGACTTACCTAACAGATGGCAACCTTTTGACAATGACTGTATTTCCTAATTTCTAGAAATGGAATTCTAGGCAACTTACTTTTCTTTTCTTGCTTGAAATATTATACTGAGTGATCAAGAGCACTGGGATTGTCAGGGTCACCAGTGTCCTCCATTGATAAATCCAGAGGTCAGTCTCAGGCCTCATCTTAGTTGAATTCTCTGAACAGTTGCTCTACTTGATCAATCTGTTTCCTCTAAAGCCCTTTCTTTACTTGACCTCTGGGTCATCACACTCACTTGGCTTTCCTCCTGCCTCACTGGCTGTTCTTGTTTTCCTTTACTGGTTCTTCTTTATCTTCTCAATCACCTAACATTGAAGGCCAAACCAAGTTCCTCATCCTTTCTTCAAATCTGTTTGTGATCCACCTCAAGAAATGGCAACTCTTGCTTCCAGATGTTCTGGCTAAAACACTTAGAGTCATCTTTGACTCCTCTTTTTCTCTTACACACCACATCCCATCTGTCAGGAAATTTTGTTGGTGCTTCCTTTGAAATATATCTGGAATATGTCCCCTCTTATTACCTCCACTGCTTCTACCCTGGCCAGACCACCATGATTCCTTCCAGGATGATTGCAATAGCTGTATCCCTGCTTCTTCCCTTGTACTTCTAAAGTCTACCCATAACACGGATCCTTTAAACTTATGTCATCTCATGTCACTTCTCTGCACAAAACTCTCCAATAGTCCCCATCTCACTCAGGGTAAGAGACGAAAGTCTTTACAATGACTTCCAAGGCCTTCCATGACCTGGCCCCTATAACTTCTCTGATTTGATCTCCTTCTATGAAATGAGATACCCACTTTTCCTACACCCAGGAGTTCCTATAGGAGAGGAAGGAACATTCCTTTGACACATTTGTTCAACAGGTGTTTTCTGAGCAGCTCTTCTGTCCCAGGCACTGTGCTGAGGTTGTGCAGTGAACAAGATCACTCTGCCCTGACTCACGGTGCTTGCAGCAAATAATGGGGGCGTCTCAACAGTGATGAGGCAAGTCCTGGTTTCTAGTTATGTTATTTCTCTTAGGGAGGGGATGAGCAAGGTTTGGAGAAAGAAGGGAGGTTTCCCCAGTCATGTCATAGAGGAATGGGGTTAAGTTTTAAGGTTTCAACCTCTAATCTGGAGCCTTCTGAAACTTATAGAGCCTTCTGTGTTCTAAGATCCCAAGAACATAGGAGCAGAAACACTTTTCCAAATTGGCTTAAACACTCTCTCTTCCAGGATTTCTCTGTGACTCTGATTAAGAGAGAAAAAGAAGAAAGAGGAGGAAGAAGAGGAAGAGAAAAGTAGGGTAAAGGAAAGGCATTAACCCCCTACCCCGAATTCCAGTCCCCTAATCCAATGTGTTCAGGACATTTTAGCAAAGTTTTCCTAAATACTTTAAATTCATTGTCAGTGGGACTAAATCTAAGACAATTTTGCCGTGGGGACACTTGGCTCACTGTAGAGATATAACGGATCTAGCTCTGAAGGGACTTCACCAGTTTGCTGAGCATAAAAAACTAATTATGGGGCCTGATTAAGAAAAGTAGACATGTATGGCTTATTAACATAAAGTGGAGACTAATAATTGCTGATATGTGACTGATTCTGTGTTAGGTGCTTAACATGTCATGTTATTCCTTTCTCCCACCCTCTCTCCCTCCCTTCCCACATGATTATTGAGTGGTCTGGCACATGTCACTGAAGATACATTGCTGCCAACCCTTGTCCTCAAAGAGTGTGCTCTCAATTGGAAGAGACTGGCAGGTCCATGGGCAAGCCCAGTACGATGACATCCATGTGCTTATGATAGGGAGAGTACAAGGTATCGTGGCAGGACATAAGAGGGACCCCTATTCAGCCTTGTGGGCACAAAGGCTCTGGAGGGGTGATATCTAAATTTGGACCTGAAGCATGAGTAGCAATTAGTCAGATAAGAGGAGAGGAGACAGCAGGAAAAAAGCCAATTTCAGGCAGAGAGAACAACCTCTGCAAAGAACCGAAGATAAGAGCAAGTCAAGAAAGTCCGACGTGGCTAAAGGGAACTAAAGTGCCAGGAGCTGTGGAGACTAAAGATAGGAGGTAGAGTGGTAAGAAAGGAACTGACAAGAGCTTGGCAAGCCAGGGTAAGAAATACCCTGAGGGCACTGGGAAGCCATTTAAGCTGGGGAGAGGACCAAGCCCACTCGCTCTTGCCAAAGATCTTTCTGGAGGGAGTGTGGAGAATAGGCTGGGAGGAGAAGCCAAGGTGAGAGGCAAAGAGACTGCTGCGATGATCTAGGAGGAAATGATGGCACCTGATCTAGGGATGGAGACAGCTAGAAAATTTGAAAGAGTTGCAATCAAAAGGATTTGGCGATTTATTTGAGGTGAGAGTGGTGTTGGAGAAGAAGATATTAGGGAGATGCCTAAGTTTTCTGGCGATGCATGTGGCACCTTAGCTGAGTAGAAAACAGATCTGTGAGGCTGGAGGAAGCAAAGATGATTCTGGTTTTGGACATTTGATTGGAAGAGCCTGAGAATCATGGGAGAGAGTCTATGGATCCAGAGCTCAGGAGAGAAATGTGAGCAGAGAGAAAAATACCTAGAAGTTGTTGGCATAAGGGTGGCGATTAAATTGTGAGATTTATTTTTACAACAATCCTTAAGGCAGATATTACTACCCTTGTTTCCTGAGAAGGAAGCTGGGGTTTGGGAACCATAAGTAACTTGCTCAAAATCAGTCAGGGAGCAGGAGAGCGAAGGCTTTTAATCTGTGCATTTCTACTCTGCAACACTGCTTCTGTGTAAATGCATTTTGGATTTGGCCGTATTGCTTGTATGGAGTAGTTTTCTACCTCTAAGAATTCTGGAAAGCATTCCCTTTTTTTTTTCTTTCTTTCTTTCTTTTTTTTTTTTTTTTTTTTTTACAGGAACTCACATGAAGAAATGTCACTGTTTATAGCTTGAACATTCCTTTTCGGGGGCAAAGACAAAATACATCAACTTTTTAATGGAATTTCTTTTTGCCTGGACAGAATGATGCTTGGTCCTGGAAAGTATTATAAATGTCCTTCCAAGTGAGGCCTGCAGTGATGGCAAGCCTGGGTGTCATACTGACAACTTGCCCCCTTGTGTGTCCCCTCACGCTAGACATCTCACAGGAGTGTTGGCAGAAGCAGACAGCCCATCTCCCTCACTGATAGAGGCTGCCTCCAGGCCTGCTGGCTCCCTGTTCAGCTACCCCTCCTTCTGGGACACCCGCTGATGTCACTTGTCTCCTCTCTACGGGGATTTCCACTTTTTGCCCCACCTGACCCACAAATTCTACCTCCTTTCCTAGTCCACGTAGTGCCATAGTTGAAGGCTTTTCTAGTTTCCCATTCAGAGGGAAGCTGGATGTTTATTGCAGTGACCTCATCCCTCTTGGCGTCCTCCTCCCACCCCCACCCCCCCCCCAGGAACTGCCATTTTCATTTGCATGGCCTCAGGGGTCTTCCACTGTGGCGGACCTGCTTCGTAGCTGACACGAAGGCTCAAGCTCTAACCTCTCACACTTTCTCATATAACAGCTCATCTGCTTGTGGAATACATTTGTTTGTGATTACAGGCCGCATACAATACCACTGCACAGGGCCCATGTGATGGCCCGGCGCCATGAGAAAACACATTAGTAATTTTTTATGACCCTAGTGCAACCATGCAGGATTTCCCTAAAACAGAAAACATGAAGGGATTTTATTGTCTTGCACTATTTAGACATCCCTTATGGCTGATGCGTGTATATTGGAACTAACAGAACACAGGACTTCCCAGACATTTTGAGTTGAGAGGTTTCTGACTTCAGTTAGTGAACACCCCCGGTTTATCTACTCTGGGGGAAGTAAAACGCACAAGGAAATTAAAAACGAAAGGCATCAAGGTCTAGAATATTTTTCTCGGTATAACTAACTTCTGTTCTTAGATGAGTTACTCTTAACAAGTTACTTCTGAGAGTAATGTGAGATGATAAACACTGGAAGAGACTGACCGGTGAATCCCCAGGAATTCTCACTGCTCCTTTTGAAAAACTGTCCATTAGACAAGAGAGGATCTGGCATTCCTATGTTTTCTCTCTTTGTGTCTCTCTCTCTGTCACACACACACTCACACTCACACACATACACACACACACCATCCCGTGGTGATGTCCAAGAAGAAGATAGTAGGCCTTCATTGGGTCTACTTACATGGCCTTAAGAATAAGCATATATAATTCCTACGAGAAACTATTCCATTTTTGGCACTGTTGCTGGTGTTAAACGTCCACCCAGGAGTTTTTTTGACAAACTAGCAGGAGAGAACTCGAGCGATTCTAGCCCTCTCAGAGGAACTACATTGGAATGTTTTACTGCCTATCTATGAAGGACAAACTGACTCTGAATCTGGCTGCTCTGGGAGTGTGTTCCCGAGTGTCCAGGGAATGAATATAAGTCAGCCAAGAGTATGAGAAGGCAGCAGACACCATGGAGAGACAACTTGCCCTAGAAAACAGACCATAGGAAAGGCCTTAGGAAAAATGATGCTGCCTTTTGAATAGATAGCGCTAGTAGTTGGCATGACGGTGCCAACTATTCAAATCACATATAAATTCGGCTGCCTTTTTAAGCTGTATATCAGCCTTCAAAAATATGCATTCCATTCAGTGACAAAGGGTGAGAACCTGGCTGAGCACTTTTGTTTTAAGAGCCATGGGAAAAACATGGGAGACAAAGCAGAATAATAAAGGACAATAATATTTGGTTTTCACGTACAACTATGCTACGGTTATAGTAACAAATTTGCCAAGGTTCAAACAGATTTAACCTCCCTTTAAAAACTAATCTGTTGGTGAGATACTGTGGCAGGAAAAGCTGTTCATGTCATCTTATTCCTAACAGAATGGAAAAGACCGGTTTATATGGTTTTTGCTCCTCCCCCTCACCTGTAGCCTCCACTGGGATTGGGTGTGATTATTGTCTCTTGCTCACAGCTCACAGGGAACATAGGGTGGGCTCACCCTCAAATGTAAAATGATATTGATATGCAACATCAAATGTACCCTTGAAATGAAAGACTGATTTGTGTATTTCCTTTTTAATATTCCGACTCATACATGTTGCCATTTCTACTCACTAGTTACCCTGGAGACTATGTTCTGAATGCTATTATATAAACATTGAAAGATATCTTTATTTAACCAATCAAACATTGGAAGGAAGCACTAGCTCAGTCAATCCTGCCAAGCCATCACAAGGAGATCCTGCTGTAAGAAGGAACTGGGTCGATCTCAGGGGCTAACCCAAGGTTAGGCTTCAGGCTATCTGTGAATTTGCATCTCCTCCTTGGAGAAAGGATCTTGTACTTTTTGGATTCACTGCACTGGGGAGTGAAGTGAATCGCTAAACCTCAAGGGCACATCCAGAGACTAACTAATTAATCCCAGCATTAAGGGAAGACCTGTCCACATTCCGTACACTGGTGAGGCTCATTATATGGTGTATGTAGATGCAATTCATGAACTGGGATATGAAGTCGTGGCAACTTAATCTTGACAGTGTTGTAATGAATAAAGCATGTCCAAAGCTTGGTAGGTTAGGTGATACCTCTGCAAAGCATCACCATGAACCTACCAATGGAAGCACGTTTTAATTGTGTTTGGCTTCTTGTATCTCAGCTTTAGATCATGTAACCTGTGGAGAGCATCCATTGGTTGACATGTTTTGCTGAGTTATTTTGTAGTTTATGAGATGTGGAAGAAAGAAACTCGGCTCCCAGCTATTACCTAAGATTCACAGGGCTTTGCTCAATTTGCAAATGTTCTTTCTGTGGTTGACTTCATTAGCTTCTCTCCACCCCAGTTTTGGCTATTCTTAGAAGGGGAATTAAATCATTGAAATCCAAGCTTCTCAGGTTTCCCTGCCCCCAGGGAGAGTAGATTTAGAGTGTTCATAAGAAAATCAACTCACCCCTAATCAACTGGCTCAAAGAGACTCAAAGTGTTCCCCGCCCCCCGCCTTTGACAATCCTTCCAATAAAACTTCTTCACTTCTTCTGTCTTTAGGTGGGGAGCTCTCTCAGAAAGTTCACACAGTGAGTGTGGTTTGTGCATTCAATATTAAGATCTAATCATTGTCTCTTGAGGGCTGAAGAATGAAAACACTGGATAAGAGCCCACCTCCTGGCTTCACGCTTGTCAGGACCAGGATCTATTAACCTTTTAAAGAAATACTGATAATAAAAAGCAGACAAAGAGAGCCATGTGAATTGGCATCTAATCAATAATGTTCTGAGTTTTTTCCCCCTTAGGTTACTCAGAGCCGCGTGAGCAAACAAGATTTTACTGTTCCAAGCCCTGCTGTCTTGTGCATAATGCATAACTCTCTTGCACGCTCCCATTCTCTTCTGAGACATTTTATTATTATTATCATCATAGAAGAGGTCAGATTCCCTTTAATTAAAGGATATACAAGTCAGAAACTCCCCACCTCACTTTCCCCAAAATTAAAGAATTGCAAGGCTGGGTTTCCCTCCCATTGCCTCCTGGCTGGGCAGGACCCCAGTGGTAGGAGGTTGGGAGGATGTGGTACAAGGATGTGGTGTGAGGACCTGGTGCTGGGACCCGTGCCACCACGCCCAGGCAGCTGCTTTCTTTTTCTGCATTAGTTCCTCATGTTATTTGACCTAGAAACTTTGGATGTGGACTGCATCACATTTTTGGAATGATACATTTTACTCATTAAACCTTTTGCCCTATAGTTGATTTATTTCTCCTGGGCTAAAATTGGACTCATCCTGAAACAGGCGTCTTTGGCACAGCAGAAACTTCAGCACTAGCGAGTCTCCTCATAACTGGTGTCATGGGATGTTCTGGTTTACCCTTAGTTTACTTCCCCTGTCTGCCATCTCATCCACCCCTCCAGCCCTTCTCTCCTGCTCTCTCCAAATTCGGTCCCCACCCTTGACCCCTACTACATATATCACCGAAAGAAGAAATGCATAGATGACTCTTCCTGAGCAAAGTCGATTCCTTATTTCAGCATGGGTGTGCCTGATTTCCTAGGTGCATGCCAGGCAGCCCAAGAGTGGCATTGGTTTTGACCTGTCATCCTTAATCTCCACCGATGGGGTGTTTTGAAGCACTGCCTAGCCAAGTTCACCTTGGTGGACCCTTTAGGGGAGCACTATGATGCCAAAAGAAATCACACAACATGAGGAAGAGGCAAATGAAAGGTAAATGGTAGTTTACAAGGACTTCTATTTTTCCATTAAAAACACAAAAAATCTATGTTCCAAGCTAGGACTTGAAATAGGTGTGGTCAGTGCCATTGGCCAGTCTCTGCGATAAATTCTCCTCTTAAGAAAAAAAGAGTAGGAGATTATTTAAAGCACCCACTTACTCTCACTAAGTTCAGATCCTCTCAAAATTAGACCAAGAAAAATCCATTTCTATATCAAGCATGCCTTCCAGAATGAACTTAAATGTACACAACTTTCCAGGCCCGATCTGAAATCCTGTTTGAATTCCAGCCAGGCCTTGACCCCAGGGGATGTGAGGAACAGGAGTGGCGAAACCAGTTATTGTCTATTTCGTTAGATGCTGGAGTTGAATTTGGGAGCATGATTAATGCTAGCTCCTTCTTCCCCTCCCTCCAGCCAAACGCTCAAATCACCCAGGCTTCTTGCAGGATAAACATGTCTGCTAGTTTGTTCCCAGGAATTCTCCTATAGTTTTCCTTGTAATATATTAATCTGCCCCTTTCATCGCCTTTCCCCCAACTTAACTGGCACCTTGCCCCTCCACTCTTTACCTGTTTGAACCTGGATTTGAAGGCTTGGATCCTCTTGGGAGTCTGTGCACATTTGTCAAAGCTTAGTCAAGGTCCCCCCAAGCCAGAATGGAGTTTGCTTTTCCTGTGTTTATGCTCTATTCCCAGGACCTCGCTTGTCTGTTTCTGGTGCTCAATCATTATTCCTGTGGAAGAAAGTAATTTTTAATAGTTTCAATAACTATTTAAAGAACCTGAACGAATATCCACATTTTAAAAGAACCCAGGCCTAATGTGTCCTCTTTCCCCAACCACTTCCCACAGTCACCCAACGTTTAGGGAGAGCCTTTGATGAGGCAGCAGCTTGGCTGTGTCTTCACTACACGATTCTATTCAATCTCACCACCAGCCTTTATGCAGGACTCTGCACATGGCAGGCTCTCGATAAATGGGCTCTGGTTAAGTGGACTACCTTATGGAACAGAGTTATCAGTATCAGCTGAACCTTTTTATTTTATTTGTTGAGACATGGTCTCACTGTATCACCCAGCCTGGGTTGCAGTGGCACAATCATGGCTCACTGCACCCTCAACTTCCTGGGCTCAAGCGATCCTCCCACATTAGCCTCCCAAATAGCTGGGACCACAGGTGCACACCACCACACTCAGCTATTTAAAATAAATTTTTTGTAGAGGCAGGTTCTCACTTTGTTGTCCAGGCTGGTCTCGAACTCCTGGGCTCAAGAGATCCTCCTGCCTTGGCCTCCCAAAGTGCTGGGATTACAGGTGTGAGCCACCACACTGAGCCAGCCTAACTTTAAAACGGAGAATAATGGAGCTCCAGCGTAATTAAGTGACTTAACCAACATACTGTGATCTGACTGATTTCGCCCTCTGTCCATCCCTTGTTTTCTTTGTCATATCCATGGCCCTTAAAGCCACTGTCCCACTGGTACCATAAAGAGGATTGTCTAACATCGCTCATTGCTTCAGAAATGCATGGTGCTATTTATGGAGACAGCATGGGTGACTGACCAGCGTGGTATTTTTCTTCTTGGCCTTTGGAATGTAGCCTACAGCATTTGCTCCAGAAAACCTCACACAGATTTGTGTTTGCAGAAAAGGGTCCAAAGACTTAATTATTTTTTGGGAGTGCTAGTATTTGTCCTTTGCTAACCAGGTCATCCTTCAGACAGAAAAAAATGCTGTGTATGACCCAGCCAAGGCCGCTGCTCAATGGAGTTGACGGCAGGCCAGAAACTCAAGGCCCTGCCCACAGGCCTGAGCATGTCCAGAGAGTGAAGTGCCAGAGGGCAGCTCTCTGTGTGCACCCCTGCATGCCTGTCTGTCTCCAAAGCCTTTGTTCAAGCCTGAAGGAGACTCTGAAAGCAATGCCCACTTGACCCTTCTTGATGGGTGTTTGCATTGAGCTGAATGAGAAAAAGGCAACCAGCCTCTTCAGACAGAAACAAGCAAAGCACCGTCCAACAGGCAGCACCATGGCCTGGGCATGTCCATGACTTGCAACGTCTCAAAATGTGCGTTTCCATTATTATCAGTGGAAGCTGCCACATCGGTCCCTCCTGGAAAGGGTATGTAGAAGTGTCATTAAGTAAAAACTTTAGAATTTCAACATTTGGTCTTTCTGCCTTCCCAACAACTGTTTTACAGATATGTTCACGTGACTAAGATTCTTGCTCAAAATCCCCGAGCATTTGAGAGTAAATTACCAAGGGCCCAAGTGGTGGGCCCTCTCATCTTCAACAGTGTGTTCTTGGGGGTCTTTGATTGGCCATAGGAGGGGTTTAATCTATGAGTCCATCGGAGCTGCTGGCTGTGATGACCCTAAAGGGAGAAGGGAACTCAGAGTCTGGAGGGGAAGGTGCAGCATTCACTCTATAAATACTTATTATATCTTCATGGTATGCAGAGCAGTGTGCTAGGTAGAGAAGGACTTGTAAGCAGGCCCCCTCCAAGCTCTCTAGATCAATTGACACCTACCAAGGAATCTCTGTTCCGGAAGATGCAACAATTCCAAATGTGGATGTCAGCAGCCCCTAGGGTACCCAGATAGTATTTATGTCAGCAAAACTACATTTAGAGTGACAATAATAATCTGAACTGGTGAGTCCTCTCATGAAATCAAGACTGATTTTATCCTTTCTTACATGTAGAAATTCCCAATGTGTGTTTTTTTTCTAAAAAAATTTTCAGCTTGTTTTAAAGCACACACAGCTACCATTTGTAGAGTTGTTGATAGATCAAATGGGAGAATGCACTTAAAGGACTTTCCTTTAAAAGGCAAAAAGGACTGTGTTTGTCCTCAGTAAATGTTAGCTGCTATGATCACCCTTGTCACGTCATTGTAGTTGTCATCATTGTTGTGTGTATTGCTCAATACTTTTTTTGCTTGCCTTTGAACAAGAGAAAAATCAATGAGATCTGAGAGGTCTGGAGTTAAAAATTTCCTCTTTATATTTTGACTTACACTTTTTGAGGTGTAAAGTGAAGATGAGTTTGCCTCAATTATTTATTTATTTTTTGAGACACAGTCTCGCTCTGTCGCCCAGGCTGGAGTGCAGTGGCGCCATCTTGGCTCACTGCAAGCTCCATCTCCCGGGTTCACACCATTCTCCTGCCTCAGCCTCCCGAGTAGCTGGTACTACAGGCGCCCGCCACCATGCCCAGCTAATTTTTTGTATTTTTAGTAGAGATGGGGTTTCACCATAGCCAGGATGGTCTCAATCTCCTGACCTCATGATCCACCCACCTTGGCCTCCCAAAGTGCTGGGATTACAGGTGTGAGCCACCACACCCAGCCGAGTTTGCCTCCATTTTTAAACTGCTGGCCCTTGTGTGAGCAACAATGGACATCCCATTTTAATGGGATTATCCTGCAATTTAGTACCTTTGTCAAGGAACCTGAAAAATTCAAAGAGCCTGTGTACATGCTTCATATCTTATTGACACTAAACCTTGGAAGTGGAGAAGAGAAGGGACTCAGCATTTACTAAAAGTATAGCATGTTCTAGGTATTTCTTATAGGCTATGGGATGAATTCCCAAGATTCATATGTTGTGTCCCTTCCCAAAATTCCTATGTTGAAGTCCTAATGCCTAGTACCTCAGAATGTGACTTTATTTGGAGATAGGGTCTTTAAAGAGGTAATTAAGGTAAAATGAAGTCGTATGGGTGGGTCTGAATCCAAATATGCTTGGTTTCCCTATATGAAGAG
This sequence comes from Homo sapiens, assembly GCF_000001405.40. Lineage (NCBI taxonomy): Eukaryota > Metazoa > Chordata > Mammalia > Primates > Hominidae > Homo > Homo sapiens. Next base: position 22,540,529 of record NC_000018.10, on the reverse strand, counting down.
AAGATTAGGACACACATACACGCAGAGAGGAGACCATAAGAAAACACAGGGAGAAGGCGGCTGTCTACAAGCCAAGGAGAGAGGCCTCAGAAGAAACCAATCCTGCCAACACTTTGATCTCAGATTCCAGCCTCCAGAACCATGAGAAAAGGGAATTTTGTTTTTTAAGCCACCCAGTCTGTGGTACTTTGTTATGGCAGCAGTAGCAAACTAATACAACATATATTAACTCATTGAATCCTTTGTACAAACCAATGCATTACTACCACCAATTTGTAGGTAAGAAAATTAGTGATTTGAGATATAAGGAACTTGTCCATGGCCTCACAGGTGGTCAACTAGCTTGGCCAGGCTTTGAATCCAGTTCTTCTTGAGAATATCTGACTTAAAAAATATTAACATTTATTATTTATTATTCCTATTGACTTCCAGAAGATAATATCTAATTCAGGTAAGCACCCCACCAAGATGACTAAAGACATGCAGATCCACATAGGTGCTTCAGGTAAAACAGGAGAAAAACACATTGGCTCTTTATAGAAAAAGTGGAACCCAAGTCCCACAAATATTGCTTGAACTCAGCATAATGTTGCCTTTACCTTCCATAAGCCATGGATTTTTATAGAAGCCTTCAAGAAATGGAGCTTATGATGTCAAAAGCACATGGATTGTAGGCAGAATAAGAGGCTTTTTTAAAAAATTATGTTTTGTAAGTGTTGTGTTATGATACATGGACACCCACTCTAAAACCAAAAATGTTTTTCCAAACAAGATCCTAAAAGTGTTTGCCCCAGTTAGTCTAAGATAGCCCTTATGGCAATGCCAAAGATTAAAGTTTGTGCTCACAGTTGTTTTAAACCAAGATATTACTCTCTGGCTTTTCAATCATATTTTTATTCCTTTTGTGCATCTCATCAAAGCATTTCGATTAGAACAAGTCATTGAGAAGGCAGAAGCCAAAATAAACAGTCGAGTTTAAATTACTACAGTGAAGGGACCACAGTTGCACTCAGGCCCAAGTTATGGGGACTTTTAATGATTCTACGAGGTTCTAGTATTTATGGAATTGGCTTGCACATATATTTTTTTTCTTCCTGATTTATTTCTGAGTTCTAAAGCCATCCATGAATTTTAATCCTAGTCTATCTTGTCAAATTTTTTTTCTGATAGGGTTCTCAGAGGTTCCAGTCAGCTGAGGGTTTACTTTTCCTTGGAGCTTATTAACTCCCATCACTTGGCCTGAACCAATAACCTCTGTCCAGCAGCCTGGCCACGTCACCCATGTTTGCTACATGTGAACCAGGGGTGCTTGCCAGCTCCACTGCTTCTATCCCTGCTTTAAGAAGTAAACAAGAAAAGATGTCATCAATTGGAAATAAAGCTAGGGTACAAATTCACTCCCAGATGTTAATATTTGCTGGTGTCTTTCTGGACTGGTCAGGAGACGCTGTGACGTGATTAGAAACACACTTTTTGAAGATGAACAGAGTTGGCTTAAATCCCTACTGCCACCTTCAAGTCATGTGACTTTGAGTACATTACTTGATCAACCCAGGCCTTGGTTTCCTCATTTGTTAAGTAAAGATAACAACCACCTGGCAGTTTTGTTGCAAAGAGTAAATGAAATAACACAGGTGACGTGTGTAGGCTAGCATCTGATGCAAGGTAGATGCATAAAACGAAGACCGTGCATACATGGTTGATGACTTCACTAATGTAACTTCCAGTGCTTTTTGTGTGGTTGAGATTCCATTTTCAACAGGACAAAGTCTGCTTGCAGAGGAGAAATACCACGGCAGCTTGATGTGCAATTGGGACTTAACCTCATACAAGACCCAAGAGTCCCCACGGAGGGCATTCTCCATGTGTTTCAACTTGGTGCATCATTCACCAAGCATGTTCCCTCCGGAAAAGCAGGAGACCGCCCAAGGTTTGGATGAGTTCAGGGAAGCATCTGAACTTTTTGGGAGCTATCCCATCAAAACTAGAGTTGTCTGGGTTTTGACCGCTGGGGCCAATATTATTTTCTGTCTGGGCTTTTAAAAAAGATCAGAACATTGGGTTAGTATTCCCTGTTCTCTATGTCATTAGAAGCTCTTCAGCATGAAGATTCCACTAATTTCAACCAGAATCGAGTGGATAAAAGAGATGAGTAACGTGAGAAAATGAAATGAGGAGATTGGCACTCAGTGGGGGAAGTTAGGGACTCCAAGGAGAAAAATAAAAGCTGTCTTCATCAACTGGCCCAAGACAGTGGGGGGAGTTTATTAAATGTGATTCTTTCCAGCACTCTATTCTAAATCTCTCCTACATTACATAAATCAGAGTCAGAAATATTTGGGTTTGAATTCTATTTCTGACATCTATCAGATGGGGTGACTTCTTACAAACTCCAACAGCCTCAGTTTCCTCATTGGTAAAATAGAAATATTAGTAAATATCATGTAGGATCATTCATTCATTCATTCATCAACAATATTTGTAAAGCACTTGGTCTGGCATATAGCAAGCATCCAATAAAAAGTGGCCCCCCTTCACCTTAAATTTTCTGTGGAATCTTATAATCCATATACTTAGATTTTAAGGATTTCATATTTATACTCCAACTTTTTTTCATTTTGCTTAGGAATATATTCTCACCTTTATGAAAAACACACTTGACCTTTTAGAAACCACATAGAAAAAATTTAAATAAGAGAATGTGTTCTTTTAAAATCAAACCAATATTATCGATCCTCACTAAGGTGTAAAGCTCAATCTATGGAATGCTTCTCTATTCACTTGAATGAATATTCATGACAAATACAACTTAGCTACACCCAAATGTGTATCCAATGCCGCTATGCCATAAAATAGCTTGACAGTTAGGCACCAGGTCAGAATTGTGGTCAGTGACCCGGTGCCCATGGACCCAGCACACTCCCCCTACCCCCAGCTCCATGAGGGGTTCCAGAAACTTCCACTCATGCTGGACTTTCTTCCAGTGCCATGAAGGCCAGCAGAGTGAAGGCAGCCATTTTGCCTTCATAGAGTGTAGGCCTTTGCAGGGCTTTTAATACTTCCCCCAAATAGTATTGTTTGTCTCACAAACTTAAATAACTTATTTGGGAGTAGTGTCCTTTTGTTTCTCCCCCATTTTGATCTTTGGTCCCTTTTTCTTTCAGCTTCCTGGGTATCCTCCTGACTTATCTAGGACTGAATCTTGCAGTACTCTGAAGAAAACTGTGATGTGAAATACCACACATTGCTTTCATTAATATGTCACATTAAATCGAAAATCTCAAATCCAAATCAAAAGTTGGATCTCTTAACGTTGTTCATACTTTAGGAAAGTCTGAGGGCTGGGAATAATCTTTCTCATGGGCCAAACACACATACACACACAGACACACACACACACAGACACACATGCACACACTGCAGATTCTAATGGTTCCCAACACTTCTTTTTTACCTCCTCACCATCATGTATGTAACGTATTCCCATCAGTGACATTTCTCCTCAAGGGCAGTGATTCTGGGTGATTCTGGCCAACTTGTAGCTTGAAAAAGTCCCTCTTCCTGCCCCACAGTCTTGAGAATCACATTTCTAATCTCATCAAGAGAATTGGATTCCTCCCGCCTGCTCTGATGGCTTTATTGAGGAAAGCTTGCCCACACTGTCACGCTTTGAAGGAAACAAAATCAACACCTTAAACTGTTTTGGAGATAAAGGGCCCTTTTGGAATTCCTTCAGGGCTTGCCCAGATAGCTCCACTGACAGCCTCTCTGCAGTCGCCATGTGTCCGCCATAGTGACTTGTTGCTCGGCCTGCCACGCCTCCTGCTGGGGCCAGAAAACTTCTGGCCCCTCCTTCTTGCACAGGAACAGAGAGAAGGATCGCCAGACAAAGGCTTAGGTTTTCCTTATAAAAACACAATGACCTGCTAAGAGATTGTGTAGTGGGCCCAGAATAAAAACAAACAAAATAAAACAAAACAGAAATTTTTCCCCATATTTATAATATCAAGAGTTCAAATTTCCTGACAGCAAATAAGTCAAGGAGACTTACAGGGGAAAACAAAATAAAGCATATCTCCTTGGGAAGAGTTCTCAGAATGTTTCACTTCCTAGAGTTGCCTGAACTGTGACCTGTGAGAATGCACCAAATGAGGCTGTCATTCAAGGCCCCTCCAATCCCTCTCATCTTTTCCATCAAAGAACAAGACTGACACAAGAGAAAAAAAGATGGCCAGCCCGGTGGTTCATGCCTGTAACCCCAGCACTTTGGGAGGCCGAGGAGGGCAGATCGCTTGAGCTCAGGAGTTCGAGACCAGCCTGGGCAACATGGGGAAACCCAATCTCTACAAAAAATACGAAAATTAGCCAGGCGTGGTTGTGCATGCCTATAGTCCCAGCTACTCGGTGTGGGGGCAGGGGGTGCTGAGGTGGGAGGATCACTTGCACCTGGGGAGGTTGAGGCTATAATGAGCAGAGATCCAGTCACTGCAGACTGTGTCTCAAAAAAAAAAAAAAAAAAAAAAGAAGAAAAACAGAAAAAAGAAAGATTGGCACCACTTGCCATGTCAGGAAAGAGGGTAAAAGAGCAGAAAAAAGAAGGAAAGAGATTAACGGACATAATATGCAGGGACTGACACCGAAATGCCATTTTCCTGGAAGGGAAGCCTCTCTCTGCCTGGTTGTGTGTGTGGGATGTGGAACTTTCAGCTACTGAGTCCTGGGGCTGGCATCAAAACCTGCCCTTTGAGCTGGTGATGCATTCCTGCCAATAGCCTTGCTTAAACTAGTTATGCCTTTTATTTAAGTTGGAAGAAAAGGGTATCTTTCTTTTTTTTTTGTTTTCTTTTGTTTTTTTTTTATTATTATTTTTTATTATACTTTTAAGTTTTAGGGTACATGTGCACATTGTGCAGGTTAGTTACATATGTATACATGTGCCATGCTGGTGCGCTGCACCCACTAACTCGTCATCTAGCATTAGGTATATCTCCCGATGCTATCCCTCCCCCCTCCTACCACCCCACAACAGTCCCCAGAGTGTGATATTCCCCTTCCTGTGTCCATGTGATCTCATTGTTCAGTTCCCACCTATGAGTGAGAATATGCGGTGTTTGGTTTTTTGTTCTTGGGATAGTTTACTGAGAATAATGATTTCCAATTTCATCCATGTCCCTACAAAGGACATGAACTCATCCTTTTTTATGGCTGCATAGTATTCCATGGTGTATATGTGCCACATTTTCTTAATCCAGTCTATCATTGTTGGACATTTGGGTTGGTTCCAAGTCTTTGCTATTGTGAATAATGCCGCAATAAACATACGGGTGCATGTGTCTTTATAGCAGCATGATTTATAGTCCTTTGGGTATATACCTAGTAATGGGATGGCTGGGTCAAATGGTATTTCCAGTTCTAGATCCCTGAGGAATCGCCACACTGACTTCCACAATGGTTGAACTAGTTTACAGTCCCACCAACAGTGTAAAAGTGTTCCTATTTCTCCACATCCTCTCCAGCACCTGTTGTTTCCTGAGTTTTTAATGGTTGCCATTCTAACGGGTGTGAGATGGTATCTCATTGTGGTTTTGATTTGCATTTCTCTAATGGCCAGTGATGATGAGTATTTTTTCATGTGTTTTTTGGCTGCATAAATGTCTTCTTTTGAGAAGTGTCTGTTCATGTCCTTCGCCCACTTTTTGATGGGGTTGTTTGTTTTTTTCTTGTAAATTTGTTGGAGTTCATTGTAGATTCTGGATATTAGCCCTTTGTCAAATGAGTAGGTTGCGAAAATTTTCTCCCATTTTGTAGGTTGCCTGTTCACTCTGATGGTGGTTTCTTTTGCTGTGCAGAAGCTCTTGAGTTTAATTAGATCCCATTTGTCAATTTTGTCTTTTGTTGCCATTGCTTTTGGTGTTTTAGACATGAAGTCCTTGCCCATGCCTATGTCCTGAATGGTAATGCCTAGGTCTTCTTCTAGGGTTTTTATGGTTTTAGGTCTAACGTTTAAGTCTTTAATCCATCTTGAATTGATTTTTGTATAAGGTGTAAGGAAGGGATCCAGTTGCAGCTTTCTACATATGGCTAGCCAGTTTTCCCAGCACCATTTATTAAATAGGGAATCCTTTCCCCATTGCTTGTTTTTCCCAGGTTTGTCAAAGATCAGATAGTTGTAGATATGCGGTGTTATTTCTGAGGGCTCTGTTCTGTTCCATTGGTCTATATATCTGTTTTGGTACCAGTACCATGCTGTTTTGGTTACTGTAGCCTTGTAGTATAGTTCGAAGTTAGGTAGTGTGATGCCTCCAGCTTTGTTCTTTTGACTTAGGATTGACTTGGCGATGCGGGCTCTTTTTTGGTTCCATATGAACTTTAAAGTAGTTTTTTCCAATTCTGTGAAGAAAGCCATTGGTAGCTTGATGGGGATGGCATTGAATCTGTAAATTACCTTGGGCAGTATGGCCATTTTCACGATATTGATTCTTCCTACCCATGAGCATGGCATGTTCTTCCATTTGTTTGTATCCTCTTTTATTTCCTTGAGCAGTGGTTTGTAGTTCTCCTTGAAGAGGTCCTTCACATCCCTTGTAAGTTGGATTCCTAGGTATTTTATTCTCTTTGAAGCAATTGTGAATGGGAGTTCACTCATGATTTGGCTCTCTGTTTGTCTGTTGTTGGTGTATAAGAATGCTTGTGATTTTTGTACATTGATTTTGTATCCTGAGACTTTGCTGAAGTTGCTTATCAGCTTAAGGAGATTTTGGGCTGAGACAATGGGGTTTTCTAGATATACAATCATGTCGTCTGCAAACAGGGACAATTTGACTTCCTCTTTTCCTAATTGAATACCCTTTATTTCCTTCTCCTGCCTAATTGCCCTGGCCAGAACTTCCAACACTATGTTGAATAGGAGTGGTGAGAGAGGGCATCCCTGTCTTGTGCCAGTTTTCAAAGGGAATGCTTCCAGTTTTTGCCCATTCAGTATGATATTGGCTGTGGGTTTGTCATAGATAGCTCTTATTATTTTGAGATACGTCCCATCAATACCTAATTTATTGAGAGTTTTTAGCATGAAGGGTTGTTGAATTTTGTCAAAGGCTTTTTCTGCATCTATTGAGATAATCATGTGGTTTTTGTCTCTGGCTCTGTTTATATGTTGGATTACATTTATTGATTTGTGTATATTGAACCAGCCTTGCATCCCAGGGATGAAGCCCACTTGATCATGGTGGATAAGCTTTTTGATGTGCTGCTGGATTCGGTTTGCCAGTATTTTATTGAGGATTTTTGCATCAATGTTCATCAAGGATATTGGTCTAAAATTCTCTTTTTTTGTTGTGTCTCTGCCTGGCTTTGGTATCAGAATGATGCTGGCCTCATAAAATGAGTTAGGGAGGATTCCCTCTTTTTCTATTGATTGGAATAGTTTCAGAAGGAATGGTACCAGTTCCTCCTTGTACCGCTGGTAGAATTCGGCTGTGAATCCATCTGGTCCTGGACTCTTTTTGATTGCTAAGCTATTGATTATTGCCACAATTTCAGCTCCTGTTATTGGTCTATTCAGAGATTTAACTTCTTCCTGGTTTAGTCTTGGGAGAGTGTATGTGTCCAGGAATTTATCCATTTCTTCTAGATTTTCTAGTTTATTTGCGTAGAGGTGTTTGTAGTATTCCCTGATGGTAGTTTGTATTTCTGTGGGATCGATGGTGATATCCCCTTTATCATTTTTTATTGCATCTATTTGATTCTTCTCTCTTTTTTTCTTTATTAGTCTTGCTAGTGGTCTATCAATTTTGTTGATCCTTTCAAAAAACCAGCTCCTGGATTCATTAATTTTTTGAAGGGTTTTTTGTGTCTCTATTTCCTTCAGTTCTGCTCTGATTTTAGTTATTTCTTGCCTTCTGCTAGCTTTTGAATGTGTTTGCTCTTGCTTTTCTAGTTCTTTCAATTGTGATGTTAGGGTGTCAATTTTGGATCTTTCCTGCTTTCTCTTGTGGGCACTTAGTGCTATAAATTTCCCTCTACACACTGCTTTGAATGCGTCCCAGAGATTCTGGTATGTTGTGTCTTTGTTCTCGTTGGTTTCAAAGAACATCTTTATTTCTGCCTTCATTTCGTTATGTACCCAGTAGTCATTCAGGAGCAGGTTGTTCAGTTTCCATGTAGTTGAGCGGTTTTGAGTGAGATTCTTAATCCTGAGTTCTAGTTTGATTGCACTGTGGTCTGAGAGATAGTTTGCTATAATTTCTGTTCTTTTACATTTGCTGAGGAGAGCTTTACTTCCCAGTATGTGGTCAATTTTGGAATAGGTGTGGTGTGGTGCTGAAAAAAATGTATATTCTGTTGATTTGGGGTGGAGAGTTCTGTAGATGTCTATTAGGTCTGCTTGGTGCAGAGCTGAGTTCAATTCCTGGGTATCCTTGTTGACTTTCTGTCTCGTTGATCTGTCTAATGTTGACAGTGGGGTGTTAAAGTCTCCCATTATTAATGTTTGGGAGTCTAAGTCTCTTTGTAGGTCACTCAGGACTTGCTTTATGAATCTTGGTGCTCCTGTATTGGGTGCATATATATTTAGGATAGTTAGCTCTTCTTGTTGAATTGATCCCTTTACCATTATGTAATGGCCTTCTTTGTCTCTTTTGATCTTTGTTGGTTTAAAGTCTGTTTCATCAGAGACTAGGATTGCAACCCCTGCCTTTTTTTGTTTTCCATTGGCTTGGTAGATCTTCCTCCATCCTTTTATTTTGAGCCTATGTGTGTCTCTGCACGTGAGATGGGTTTCCTGAATATAGCACACTGATGGGTCTTGACTCTTTATCCAATTTGCCAGTCTGTGTCTTTTAATTGGAGCATTTAGTCCATTTACATTTAAAGTTAATATTGTTATGTGTGAATTTGATCCTGTCATTATGATGTTAGCTGGTTATTTTGCTCGTTAGTTGATGGAGTTTCTTCCTAGTCTCGATGGTCTTTACATTTTGGCATAATTTTGCAGCAGCTGGTACCGGTTGTTCCTTTCCATGTTTCGTGCTTCCTTCAGGAGCTCTTGTAAGGCAGGTCTGGTGGTGACAAAATCTCTCAGCATTTGCTTGTCTGTAAAGTATTTTATTTCTCCTTCGCTTATGAAGCTTAGTTTGGCTGGATATGAAATTCTGGGTTGAAAATTCTTTTCTTTAAGAGTGTTGAATATTGGCCCCCACTCTCTTCTGGCTTGTAGGGTTTCTGCCGAGAGATTCGCTGTTAGTCTCATGGGCTTCCCTTTGAGGGTAACCCGACCTTTCTCTCTGGCTGCCCTTAACATTTTTTCCTTCATTTCAACTTTGGTGAATCTGACAATTATGTGTCTCGGAGTTGCTCTTCTCGAGGAGTATCTTTGTGGCGTTCTCTGTATTTCCTGAATCTGAACGTTGGCCTGCCTTGCTAGATTGGGGAAGTTCTCCTGGATAATATCCTGCAGAGTGTTTTCCAACTTGGTTCCATTCTCCGCATCACTTTCAGGTACACCAATCAGACGTAGATTTGGTCTTTTCACATAGTCCCATATTTCTTGGAGGCTTTGCTCATTTCTTTTTATTCTTTTTTCTCTAGACTTCCCTTCTCGCTTCATTTCATTCATTTCATCTTCCATCGCTGATACCCTTTCTTCCAGTTGATCGCATCGGCTCCTGAGGCTTCTGCATTCTTCACGTAGTTCTCGAGCCTTGGTTTTCAGCTCCATCAGCGCCTTTAAGCACTTCTCTGTATTGGTTATTCTAGTTATACATTCTTCTAAATTTTTTTCAAAGTTTTCAACTTCTTTGCCTTTGGTTTGAATGTCCTCCCGTAGCTCAGAGTAATTTGATCGTCTGAAGCCTTCTTCTCTCAGCTCGTCAAAGTCATTCTCCATCCAGCTTTGTTCCGTTGCTGGTGAGGAACTGCGTTCCTTTGGAGGAGGAGAGGCGCTCTGCTTTTTAGAGTTTCAAGTTTTTCTGTTCTGTTTTTTCCCCATCTTTGTGGTTTTTATTTACTTTTGGTCTTTGATGATGGTGATGTACAGATGGGTTTTTGGTGTGGATGTCCTTTCTGTTTGTTAGTTTTCCTTCTAACAGAGAGGACCCTCAGCTGCAGGTCTGTTGGAGTACCCTGCTGTGTGAGGTGTCAGTGTGCCCCTGCTGGGGGGTGCCTCCCAGTTAGGCTGCTCGGGGGTCAGGGGTCAGGGACCCACTTAAGGAGGCAGTCTGCCCCTTCTCAGATCTCCAGCTGCGTGCTGGGAGAACCACTGCTCTCTTCAAAGCTGTCAGACAGGGACATTTAAGTCTGCAGAGGTTACTGCTGTCTTTTTGTTTGTCTGTGTCCTGCCCCCAGAGGTGGAGCCTACAGAGGCAGGCAGGCCTCCTTGAGCTGTGGTGGGCTCCACCCAGTTGGAGCTTCCCGGCTGCTTTATTTACCTAATCAAGCCTGGGCAATGGCGGGTGCCCCTCCCCCAGCCTCGCTGCCGCCTTGCAGTTTGATCTCAGACTGCTCTGCTAGCAATCAGCGAGACTCCGTGGGCGTAGGACCCTCCGAGCCAGGTGCGGGATATAATCTCACAGTGCGCCGTTTTTTAAGCCCGTCGGAAAAGCGCGGTATTCGGGTGGGAGTGACCCGATTTTCCAGGTGCCGTCCGTCACCCCTTTCTTTGACTCAGAAAGGGAACTCCCTGACCCCTTGCGCTTCCCAGGTGAGGCAATGCCTCGCCCTGCTTCGGCTTGCGCACGGTGCGCGCACCCACTGACCTGCGCCCACTGTCTGGCACTCCCTAGTGAGATGAACCGGGTACCTCAGATGCAAATGCAGAAATCACCCGTCTTCTTTGTCGCTCACGCTGGGAGCTGTAGACCGGAGCTGTTCCTACTCGGCCATCTTGGCTCCTCCCCCCGAAAAGAGTATCTTTCAACCAAGAAGATGGCTTTGGCTGCCTGCGTGGACCTGTGCTTCTCTCTCTGGGCACTGCCTGTTTCTAGAAGGTGTTTCCTCTCAGTCCAGAGTTATAGGTACAATAGCATGCAAGAGAGGCAGATAGTTAAGAAAAAAAAAAAAAAGAAAGAAAGAAAATCACATACTATCTAATTACAAACTGTGGTCAATGCTATGCCATTTTCTGTGAACAAATGTTATTAATATTATGGTAAAGGCCAGTCTCATCCAAATATCAAATTTATGTTTTAAGTCTTCACAGGTAGGAATAATGGCCACTGACACCTAGTTTCTTTTTCTTTCTTCTTCTTTCTTTTTTTTTTTTTTTTTGAGACAGAGTCTTACTCTGTCACCCAGTCTGGTGCGATCACGGCTCACTGCAACCTCTGCCTCCCGGGGTCAAGTGATTCTCCTGCCTCAGCCTCCGGAGTAGCTGGGATTACAGGCGCACCACCACACCCAGCTAATTTTTGTATTTTTAGTAGAGATGGGGTTTCACCATGTTGGTCAGGCTGGTCTTGAATCCCTGACCTCGTGATCCTCCCACCTCGGCCTCCCAAAGTACTGGGATTAAAGGCGTGAGCCACCCCACTGAGCCCCTAGTTTCTTATTATAGCTAAATTCTATTTTTGTGGCATGAGTTTGATACTAAGGTTGAAATTCCATAAAAACAGAAAGTGGTGATCAGGCCTAAGAAAATACTGCAGCGGCTGGAAAAGTTCAAGGATGAGTCAGGGTCCACCATGGAACCGGTCTCTTTGTCCAGAGGAAAGGAAATCTCCACCTGTCATGAAATGCAGGGAGGAGGTGGGTAGAGTAGAAATAGTGAGACAGGGACATTTGACTAAGTGTCTGGGCACCCTGTTAGATTCAAATTTGGGGGAAAGAATACCACTCATTTGACAATATTGCTAATCAGAAATTCACTACTGTTCAGTGGAATTGTACACACCTAAAGAAGAGTTAAGCTGCTACAGGTGACGGGTTTATAAGAGGTCCCCAGGGGCAGGGGTTGGGCCCATTTGAAGCAGGCGTATGGCAGCAGTTATTTGCCTTGCATAGAAAGAATGTTCTGTTAAATGTGATGTGAATATATCATGTTTCTCTTAGAGCGGGCTGTGAATTGCAGATGTCATCTAACTAATTCTCACAGCATCCCTGGAAAGCAGGACATGAATGGGAAATGGTTTCATTCATCTGTGTCTGGCAACATTTATGAATTATTAACAGGAGAATGTGAATTTCCCTGGGGGGAAAAAAAACTACCCTGCAAAGGTAGGGGAATTGAAAGGAAGAATTAGCAGATGTTAGAAAAGGGTGGAGTAGTAAATAATGATGTGAAATTCAAATTTGAAGAAAGAAGATTTTGAGAGAACCTGACAGCGGACCGGTCTTATTGGGGGTGAAGCAGAAATCTCAGATGCTTTGATGTGGAGACAGAGGAAGAGGATGGGCAATTAATTCTATACGACAATTCTTACACAGTTAGGCATTGTTTACACAGAAAAGTTGCAGTCCCCTGAGACTGGTTGAAGACTCATCTTAAGTCCTGTTTTTTTGTTGTTGTTGTTGTTGTTTTTGAGACAAAGTCTCCTCTGTCACCCAGGCCAGAGTGCAGTGGTGCAATCACTGCTCACTGCAGCCTCAACCTCCTGGCCACAAGTTTTCCTCTCATCTCAACCTCCTGAGTAGCCAGGACTATAGATATGTATCACCATGCCCAGCTAATTTTTTAAATTTTTTGTAGAGACAGGGTCTCACTATGTTGTCCAGGCTGGTCTCAAACTCCTGGGCTCAAGCAATCTACCCACCTTGGCCTCCCAAAGCTCTGGGATTACAAGTGTGAGCCACTGCCCCTGGCCAAGTTCTGTTTTTAATAGAAACACCTCCCTATTTATTAAAACAATGGCTACCATGTAGTAGGTACTCATGAAGCACCAGACAGACTTACTGCATGTAGTCTTTTCAACAACTCGATGACACCTCATTAATTATTCTTGTCTAACAATGAGGGCCTCATTGCCGAATGGCTTTTTTTCGGGGGGACATGGTCTCCCTCTGTTGCCCAGGCTGGAGTGCAATGGCCCGATTTTGGCTCACTGCAACCTCTGTGTCCTGGACTCCAGCGATCCTCCCACCTCAGCCTCCTGAGTACTGGGATTACAAGTGTGTGCCACCACACCCGCCTAATTTTTTGTATTTTAGTAGAGACGGGGTTTCACCGTGTTGGTCAGGCTGGTCTCAAACTCCTGACCTCAAATGATCCACCCGCCTCGGCCTTCCAAAGTGCTGGGATTACGGGTGTCAGCCACCGCGCAAGGCCCTGAATGGCTTTCTGAAATTAAAGGGGTGGTAAAAGTCAGGGCCAGACATCAGACCCACTCCTGCCTGCTGGCAAAGCCTCTGCTTGTGCCCGCGCATCACACGGTCTTCTCTCAGGGCAGTGGGGTCGTAGCAAGAGGGAAACAATGGTCACATTTCTAAGGGGTGAATAATGAGGAAAACTAAAGTTTAGGTTTCTGAACCTTTGAATGAAACCTAGGCATTGCTCTTAGAAAAAGAATGAGATGAAGAAGCGAGAAAATATTCCATGTGCAATCAAAATACCTTGTGTTACTCTTTCCTGCTTCAACTGCAAGGGCGTGGTGTGCAGTAATTGTCTCGAAGGCCACATGTCAATGGGGGACCAGCGTGCTCAGGCAGTGTCTTCCCATAGACTGTCCTCGTGATGTCACCCCTCCCGGCATCCCCAGTGCTCACCTGGTCACCAACATGGTCTGGATTACTTGTCTTGGTCAGCCACTGTGCTGAGTGCAAGAAGGAACCCTCTCCTACCAGCAATCGATTCTTTTTTTAATTTTTATTTTTTAAGATGGAGTCTCGCTCTGTCGCCCAGGCTGGAGTGCAGTGGCAAGATCTCGGCTCACTGCAACCTCTGTCTCCAGGGTTCAAGTGGTTCTCCTTCCTTAGCCTCCCGAGTGGCTGGGATTACAGGCATGAGCAGCCATGCCTGGCTAATTTTTGTATTTTTTAGTAGAAATGGGATTTCGCCATATTGGCCAGACTAGTCTCGAACTCCTGACCTCACGTGATCCGCCCACCTCGGCGTCCCAAAATGCTGAGATTACAGGCGTGAGCCACCGTGCCTGGCCTGATTCTTTTACAGAGATCTTCCCAGTCTGTTTCTCACAAAGTCTCCAGGTGAGCACTCTGTGAACTCACGAGTTCAGATATCACAGTCTTCCTCTTCAGAGAGACTTGGCCCAAGCTGCCAAAGGGGTTGACTGAGAAGGCAGCTCGAGTGTGGCCCCACATGTAGTACCCACCAGCACCCCTTACTGCAAATGTCCCATTCAGTTTTCTCCCATCAGAAGAAGTGCCTCTCCTGAGTGCTGCCCCTGAAGCCTGGAGCTTCAGGGGTGGCCCTCACCTCAGAGTCTAGGTCCTGCTACAGGGCTTGACTCATGTTCCCCCATTGTCTTTTTGTTCACGCTCTTCAGGGCTTTATGAAAAGCAGAAATTCCAGCAGCCTCTCCCTGCAGGTCTTAAGTTCAGATGCGAATCCCGACACTGACAGTTGCTAGCTGCAAGATTTGGGAAAAGTCACTTTAAAACAAATAAACAACTTGTAAAGTCTTGATTTCTTTGTCTGTTCTGTGAGGATGCAGACAACTATCTGAAAATTCACTTGAATGGAAAACTTTGACTCATTTTTTTCCAGTGGCCCCTTACAGGACAAAGAGATAAAGAACAAGTTAGACTCACTTGGGAGGTTTCTTTTATAAATGAACTTTTAGAACCCACCTGTCCCATTTGTACAGATTCAGCCTGGTTTCAGGTGCCTCCAGCTCTTAGAGTTGTGGAGAGTTTGAGGTTGATGGAAATGCTTTCACAGAGGATTTTTGTAATCTTCACATAATCCTGAGAAGTAGGTAGGTTTGCGTCTTATTCTCACTCTTCAGAGGAGGAAACAGATTTAGAGAATTTTGAATTTTTTTTAAAAAGCAATTTGCCTAGAATCTCCCAGCTACTAAGTAGAGCCAATCCTGAAACCCACGTCTTCTGGCTCTAATCCTCAGTCCTTCTCCCAGGGTCCACAGCACTGAGGTCACCGATGACCCAAATGATAATCTAAATAATGACTCTGAGGCTGGACAAGATGCCAGATCTTCAAAGAGAGAGTCTATTTGATCATTCCATTGCACCAGCAAAGTGGGTTTGAAATCTGTAGAGAGATTTCTTTTTCCCCAATAATAGCAGATGAAACAATACTGGTTAAAGAACATTCCATTTCCTAAGCATTCCCATTTTAAGTCTATGTCCCAGTCATTAACATGGCCATACATAGATTCACCATTTGAAGGAAGAAATATGTAGAAAAGCTGTCACAGAAACTTAAAACAGCCTATAGCAGGAAATGAGGAAAAAACACCATATATTGTAATCCTGTTTCTGTCTCCAAGGAGCAAACTCAAAAACAGACACCTATGGCTTTAAGAGAAACAGTTATACTGGGAGAGTGTTACACGTGCGAAGGAAGAGAATGTTTTTCATGCCTTGGTTCAGGGGATTCCCGACAGCCTGGGTCTGCTTCCAACAGCCCCCAGCATTCCATGTGTGTGCTATCTGGTATGTGTTTATTATTGGGTATGAACAATTTAGGGAGGAAAGCACTGGTTCCCTCCAGGGGACCTTTGTACCTTACAACGGCACCACCCCTTCACCTCTGGTGGGGGGAAGGTCATCCAGGCATTCACGGCCTTCCCGCCTCTACCCTTATTCTTCCTTAATCCCCACTTCTTCCTCTCTGGCATCTCCATTTGTTCCTAAATATTTTTCTGTTTTCCCTGCTTCTGAAGAAAAGCTTGGACAAAGGGACCCTAAGGAAGACACACTGAAACTTTTCCTAAATCAGGCACCATCACTGTGGGCTCTCTTCTTTTCCCTTAGAGCTAAGACATGGATTGTGAGATAGACATGGTCTAACTCCTCCTCGGTCTGGTGAACTCTAACGGTATAAAATCAGTCCAGATAGTGAACAGGTGGTTTGGCTCCTCTAAGGAGCTTCAGTTTGGTAGCATTTCACCTGGGCTTCTCAAGCTTGCATATTACCTAGAGCACTACACCTGAGAACTAGAGGCCCTGGGAGGTTCGTCTATTTTTTTTTTTTTTTGGATAGGACTCTTGCTATATTGCCTAAGCTGGTTTCGAACTCCTGGCCTCAAGCTATCCTCCTGCCTCAGCCTCCTTAGGAGCTGAGATTACAGGCAGAAGTTCATCTTACCTCATCTCTCAGTGTGGTCCAGATCTGTGGGGTGGTTTTCCTTAGTCATGCTTATTACTGTGTTATCTTAAAGATCAGGAGTCATACCTTACTTGCCAAATCCAATTTCCTCCGCCCATTTTTCATCTTCCTTGGTATCTTGTGGTAGGTGACCCTGTTGGGAAGACCCTATCCTGGTTCTCCCCCTTCCTCTCAGTGTGATGCTTCAATCTCCTTGGCAGTTCCTCTTCTTTCCTACCTCTGACTATGGATGCGACCCTAAATTTTGCTCTTGATCTTCTTGCCTTCTCTCCCCTCACATTATCCTTTGGTAAATTTACCAACCACTGCTTTATATATCACCTTCATATGAATGATTCCTGAATCTTTATCTCAAGTCCCATGGTTTTCCATGACAACAATATCCAAGTCCGTATGATTCCACTGAAAATGTGAGAGGTGAAAAAAATATTAGAGGAGGATATCAGAGTGACAGTTTAATAGCTGAGTTCATATAATTGAATCGTGGTGGAGAGCTTACTAATGTGCCCTAACCTTCCTTCCCCTTCCTTTTCTTCTATCACCTCATGTCTTTTCACCAGCCAAACTGCTCTTCTGTAAGCTGCTCCTTCCTCCTGACCCCATGCCCACAATTGTTCACTTTGTTTCCTTCCTGAAATGCACACTCCTCCTCCCCTTGCCTTTATCTCTCAAAACCCTACCCTAATTTAGTGCACATGAAATACTGGTGTCTCTCTTCTAGTTCCTTAAAAAGAAAAGTAGAGAGAAGCACCGTTAGTCAAAGGGGCACCAGGATAGCCAAGAGGGTGGGACTCTAATGGGTCAGCATTCTCAGGGGTCTCAGTGGAACCTGCCCATAGATTTTTCTTTTCTTTCTTTCTTTTTTTTTTTTTTTTGAGATGGAGTCTTGCTCTTCTCACCCAGGCTGGAGTGCATTGGTGTGATCTCAGCTCACTGCAACCTCCACCTCCCAGGTTCAAGCGATTCTCCTGCCTCAGCCTCCCGAGTAGCTGGGATTACAGGCACCCACCACCATGCCTGGCTAATTTTTTTGTATTTTTAGTAGAGACAGGGTCTCACCATGTTGGCCAGCTGGTCTCAAACTCCTGACCTCAGGTGATCCACCCACCTTGGTCTCCCAAAGTGCTGGGATTACAGGCGTGAGCCAACACACCCAGCCCCTGCCCATAGATTTAAGGAGAAAAAGGCAAAGAATCTGCCCCCACCCATGCCTTCTTTCCATGACCTACCTCTCCACAATCAATATTTAATAAAATCCAAAATATTTTTAGCTGACCATATGTCAAAAGTTAAGTATTATGTAGGAGGAAATTCAATGAAATCTTTAAACCATTTGTTCAAAAAAAAACCACTCCAAAACAAGTCCAAATGTTTGTTAGTAATTTAAGAGGCATAGCAGATTTTGGCCCTGTTAAAATTCCTTACACAATGACTTATTTTAGGCATTATTACAACTTTTGGTTTAAAGGACAACTATTTTTATGGACATTATGAATTATATGCTGTCTCTTACCATTTATTCTATTTGCCCCCCGACTTTTTCTACCCTGCCCACTCATATGATTGGAATAGTCATGTGGTTTTGCAATTTTCTTTTGCTCTGGTCAAATTTTGGTTAGAATTTAATATCAAATGTAAGTATGCTGGAAATATTTTAATATTTTTTTCTAATTTTGTATTTTTTTCTATTATTTAAATGTCTTGAAGAAAAAAATGAGAAAGTGTGCTGGTGAATAGCATTGCATGGATTCTAATAAATTCTCCACAAATATCTCTTTTAAATTGATTATTAATCATCAGGGATACTGGACAAAGATGCTAGTGGCACATGGCGCTCTATTTTTAGGTCTCCTAAAACTAATCCTTTGATTAGTTGACTAAGCTGTTTTTATTAGTTGAGCAGAAAAATCCACATTTAGTGGAGATTTAAATACTTGCATTTAACTTTTTACACAGTGGCTTATAAAACCATCGTGACATCAGTAAAATTACACAGTCCCCAAACTCAAGTCCCAGTGATACAATGTCTGGTCATGAGAATGAGGCCACACTTCTGAGCTTGATACTGAAGCAAATCAATTATAGTCATGCTGCCCCCAACCCAGTGGCCAAGCGGTGGGGCAGGGAATTGGGACACTCAAGCCATGAGTCTGTGTTCCATGGCACCATGCTGCCCCAAGACCACCAGCCATCTGCCTAGCTGGCAGATTTTATAAGAGACCAAACTTACTCTCATTGCTAGTGAAACAATCCCACAATTATATGGTCCTGAGAGTCTGTCAGTCAGTTATCACATCTCTGCATATAAACAATGGATTATTAGGACAATTTAATAAGGCATTAGCACACTTGAAATCCTGATTCTCATTCTTTTCTTGTGAATGAAAGCATGTTCTGTATCCAAACTTTAAGTAGGGACCCCTCCCGCACACTCTAATTATGGGTCATCAACCTTTCAAAAGTGGAGTGTCAAGTGTCTGACCCTTATTTTAAGTGAGATGATGTATGGGAAGTGCCTGGCCACAAGCATATCATAGAGACCTGGAAAATGGCAACACTCATTCCTGTGATTAATTCTAAGGGTTCCTATTGACTCCTCTGAGGTTCTGCAGATGGATGTTGTGGGAGTCCTTATGCCACCAAACATCGACCAACCCATTTTCCTCTGGGCCTTGTACTTCTCCCTCATTGCCTTGTCACAATTTTAAGGCTATCTCTGATTCTTGGGCAATTCCAAGGTCAGCACTGCCAGGAAGTCACAGTGTAGGCCTACTCCCTTAAATCAGCCTCCTTTGCTAAACCGTGAGCTCCATTCAGGGCTGCCCCGTTGTTGGCCGAGTTCCTCTTCTTATTTCCTGGGGCCTAGGACAGTCCTAGCATTAGTATACAGTACCTTGGCTCCTCATCCAGCCCACATCTTCTCAACCCTCTGATTGCTGCTAGAAACAAAAGCAGTTCTCATGAATTTAAGGTTACTTGATTTATCCTCTTCTAGGTCATATAAGGTACTTACTTCACTGTGGGACAGTGATTTGGCTAAGACTGAGTTTCTCTCCCACACCGTACCTCATGGGAGACACTGCAGGGCCTGTGCACTCAAAAAACACGCCCTTTCCTCACAAGGGACAGTCAAGCTGCTTAGGTAGTCACAGAATTTTCTGGAAAGAGGAAGTTCTATAAATGACCATCTCATTTTACAGGGTTCAGTAAACATACTGCAAACACTAATAGCTATTAGTTAATGTCCTCAGATGCATTACATAGTCCGGGGTTATTTTCACTCCTCTTATTTTAAAGTAATAAAGAGTTTCTAGGATAATTTTAATTGACTTTTCTATTTTTCATCTTTACCTAACCACAGACAAAAGGGAGCCAACAGTTCCTGTATAAAACTTTTCATTGCCAAATACCATTGGGTCTTTCTGATTGTGCAGTGCACACCCATTGTTAATTACCCTGATTGTTATCCCTAATGAGTGAGGCTGGTTCTGAAGCTTGGGAAATCCCCATTTTCAAGACAGACAGGAAATCACAGACTGGGCTTTGATTGACCTGGAGATTTCTTCTCACCTTCCTGGCACCCTCCCTTACATTTAGATGCACCCAACCTCCATGTGGGCATAAGTGACAGTAGGAGAGCTTCAGTGAAAGTGAGAAGCTGTTTTCCCTGCAATCATTTGGAAAATATAGAATGTGGAAGTGGAAAATGATTTAGAGTTCTATTATTTCATCCATCTTCTTTACTCTGGGTTTCTTCTTCACTTCTAAATTTTCTTTAAATTTTTTTAAATTTTTCATGTTTGTGGGTACATAGTAGGTGTTTACATTTATGCGATACAAGAGATGTTTTGATACAGGCATGGAATGTGGGATAAGCACATCATAGGCAATGGGGCATCCATCCCCTCATGCGTTTATCCTTTGACTTACAAACAATCCAATTATACTCTTTAAGTTATTTTAAAATGCACAATTGTTATTATTGACTATGATTACCCTGTTGTGCTATCAAATAGTAGGTCTTACTTATTCTATTTCATTTTGCCAGTAAAGAAAATGTAGCCCAGGGTGGCTAAGTGATGAGGCTAAACAAGGACCAGGATCCAGAAGGATAAGCTGGGAGCTGGAGTTCTCCAGACAAAGCCCAAGCAAGGGTCCCTCTGCCACCGAGTTCTACTGTGCAACTCCAAGCTTATGTGAGGCACAATCTGTGGGGAGAAATAATAGTTAATAATTCTTTTGTATACTTTGACTGGAAGCTTCTGAACCTCTAAGACATATTTTAAAAGTAGAAATAAAGAGAGGAAAAGAGATAAGTACTTAATTTAGATGTTAGATACAGCTTCGTAGCCATACCGTAATTCTTCTTGATTTTATTTAGTTAAATGATGACCAAATTGCCATCATGGGTGATTTTTAAGAGGGGTTGAATGACCTAATTGGCCTGGTTTTTTATAACAGCCTGATTCCCCCTGACTCCCTATGTTTTGACAAAACTCATACACAGTTATAGATCAAAAGGCAGACAACATGAAATCAGGAAGTGTTAAGGGTGCTACACTGAGAATCTCTTGTAAAGGGATAATTGAGGACCTGCTTCCAAGCTGAACTCCTGACCCCAGGGGCTAGAACATCAAGGACAGAGATAATCTCAATCTCGGGTGTTTGAGCAATGGTCGACCCTGCTGGGAGAAATGGATCCTTATCTAAGCACCCATGAGCATGCGATCATCCTGGCAATGATTCAGAATATCAACCAACTGGCATGCCTCTTACAAATGTGCCCTTCAGAAAAGGGTTCTTTTTTTATGCTTAAGATTTTATCGTTTTCCAACATCTCAGCATTCCTTCAAAATTAACCTTCTCCTTCTCTTTATTTATTATTGACATTAATATCAACCACACCAGTTATCAATGTCAAAGTTGTTAATTTTGCTAATATTAATTTAAGCCATATTCAGTACTCTCATTAAACCAATATTGGTTATAAATAATGTCCCGTCTAAATATCATGTGTGGTTGTGTTTGAAACAGGAGACCTTGGTTAAAATATCAGCTGTGTGTCCTTGGGAATAACTCTTCAGTTTTCAGAGTCTCATTGCAAAATGAGAATAATGACACCTATTCCATGAGGCTTTTGTTTCTTAATGATGCTACAGATAGTGTGTTCATTGTACAAAACAATTTTTGAAGAGCAATGTATCTTATATTTTAAAAGAAACAGAGGCATTGCCAGCAGGCACTGTGCCAATTAAAGTCACAAATAATTTCATTAGAATTAGTCATTTGAGAAATTTGCACTTTACTGATATTTTAAATTAGAGTTTATAATAATAAAAATTAAGAATTTTTTTCTTTTGAAAAATCTCAACCAGTAAAGAAGTTTTAAACATCTGACAAACTTCATAAGGCTTTTGAGGTAATCAAATGAAACAATATACTTATTTTTTAGGTGGCTAGATAGATGTTCATGCATAAAATTTCAAATAATCCCCAAAGTTTTGAATTCTCAATTCTTAGGATAATACTCTACTTTGGCCTCTTTCATGAAAATTTACTAAGGTTTTACTAGAATCATTATCAAGATTTTTTCCAAGAGGAGATGCTACCCCGTAAAATATTTCACAATTATACTTAGATGCTACCTGAGTAGATCAAATAAAGACCTGTAGAAGAATTACCCTTTCTTCAAATGTTATCAGTGGGAACAGCTATGAACAAAAAATTTTAGCAAGTGCTAAAAGAGAATACATCTTCAGACCTTTTCTTTATAAGAGGATCTGTCTGAAATCTTTGAGAAATGGTCAGAAAAAAGCCGGACATTCAGACTGTTGTTATTTAAAAACTTCTGCACATGTATCCCAGAACTTAAAGTATATTTAAAAAAACTCTATCAGAAAATCATAAATGTGTCATTCCTATAGCACTTAAGTTTTGCCTCCAAAAGGATCAAACAGATCTGTTACAGAGAGTCATGAGCAACTTATGAATCTTTGAACATATGCGTTTAATGGAGAAGGTGGGATACCATTCTTGGATATACAGTGATGCTATTTAATAAATCAATGGATTTTACAAAGTAGGCACAGGACACTTTCCGGTTTCAACTTGTGGAGGTCAAGATCTCCACTGAATTCGGTTATAGAACCTGATATACCAAGAGCACTTTTCACAGCTTGCTTCAATGTGACTGCTTGGTTTACCTAGCATCTTCTACCACCTGGGTCATGGGCTATGTCTAGATAACCAACCCCTACCACAGCTGAATGGCATGGATGTAGGTACACTCAGAGTCTGATGGATATTCTGGCCTCCCTTAGGGGAGAAGGAAGAATATCGGTCAACTTGTTGAGAAATTTTTTACCAGATTTGAAGAACAATGAGAGTACCCCAACCCACCCACATCCAAACAGAGTATATATCAATTACAGAATAAATCAGGACTACATCTCAGTCCTCCAAGCCTGCTAGTCAGTTCTCAGTTTCCTACCCTTAAAAAAAGACAAAATGGATGGGGAAAAAATGAGAAGGCTGATTCTAAAACTGTCAAGGGAGTGTAAAGAAACTCCAAAATCATAGTACAATTTCTTTTGAAAATTAGTGAGCATATGATACATACAATACTGTGTAAAGAGGCCTTACATATGCTTGCTGGCTCTTCTTATCTCTAGTGAGAATTCTGTTTTGCAATAAGAGAAACTCAAGTGCAAGAGACAAACATGTTCAAGGTCATATAGTACTGAATACATGATGCAAGTTGCTGGGAAGGCATTCCAGTGATGGTGACATTTCCAGTTATTTCTGTGTTATGCGTAACTCTTTTCTCCAGGCCTCAGTAGCTCGGGAGGTAAATGGAGACACATTACATAGGATTGCCAGATAAAATACAGAACATCCAGTTATATTTGAATTTCAGAGAAACAACAAGTACTTTTTTAGTATAAGTATACTCATAGTAAAGTAAGTAGGACATGCTTATATTACAAAATTACTTGTTGTTTCTCTGCAATTCAAATTTAACTAGATGTTCTCTATTTTTACTTGCTAAATTTGACAACTCTACATTAACAACTGTATTTCCCTGATTCTGTTTTCATCTGTTATTAAAGAATCTCTAATCTCTCTTAAGAATCTTTCCTGTCCATGGGAAGACTGAGATATCTTCCCACTGACTTTACTGATACTTTAAATTACAGTTTATAATAATAAAAATAAAGAATTTTTTTCTTTTGAAAAATCTCAACCTGTAAAGAAGTTTTAAACATCTGACACACTTCATAAGGCTTTTGAGGTAATCAAATGAAACAATATATTTATTTTTTAGGTGGCTAGATAGATGTTCATGCATAAAATTTCAAATAATCCCCAAAGTTTTGAATTCTCAATTCTTAGGATAATACTCTACTTTGGCCTCTTTCATGAAAATTTACTAAGGTTTTACTAGAATCATTATCAGGATTTTTTCCAAGGGTGCACACAAACATCACTTATTAGCAGCTTCAATTTCTTCTCTCCTGCTTTGGCTTTTGCTTCTTGAGACCATGTCTTCTGGTGAATCTTCTGATACCCGGGAGGATCCATGAATGTACCCTCATGATGCATTATTTTCCTTTGAAGCTGCTCCAGTTGCATTGCTCCAGTGCCAAACCGGGGACTCAGGGCTGGTGGCTTTTGATTATCAAGGGCTTTCTTCAATATGTGACATAGTAAGTGACAGCAAGAGCTTTGGTGTCAGAGAGATGAGAAATCTGGACCTGGTTTCATCACCTTCTAGCTGTGTAACCTTAGGCAGCTTTCTTCATCTCAATAGGCATCAGTTTCTCATGGTAAAACAAGATACCACCTACAGCTATATCTACTTTAAATTATTATTCAGGAATTATTATTACTATTTATAATTATTATTTGAGGATTAAATCAGATAATGCATAAAGATACTTAGTACAGCATCTAGCATCATGTAACTTTAAGTATTAAAGATAAATTATCTTGAAGAAGTAATTTAAAAGCACATAGATGTAAGATTAGTTTAATAAATAACAGTACGTTCACACAAAGGAGTTTTTTAAATGGAGTTTAAAAATTTAAAATGATCTCTGTAAACTTATATGGAATTATTTCTAAGATATATTGGTAAATTGGGGGAAAAAGCAAGTACCAAAAAGAGTATATATTTTATAGTGCCTTTTGCATGATAAATGAAGGGAAATAAGAGGCAGAACTTCTGCAATGGTGGAGTAAGGACCCCTGAAAACCCTCTTCCCCTAAGAGGAAACAAGAAAAATTATCCAGGGCACAGCCAAGATGGCCGACTAGAAGCAGCTAGGGTGCATGGTTCTCACAGAGAGGAATGAAAGGGGCGAGTAAATGCAGCACCTTCAACTGAAACATCCAGGTACTTGCATTGGAACTAATAAAGGAAACAACTTAAAGAGAACGGAGAAAAGCAAGGCAGGATGATGGCCCACCTGGGAGTGACACGGAGGCAAGGGAACCTCCCCTGCCCAGGGAAGTGGCGAGTGAATGTGCCACCCTGGGAAACCATGCTCCTCCCACGGATCTTTGCAACCCTCAGGTCAGGAGATCCCCTCAGAAGCCACTCCACCAGGGCCTTCAGTCCGGCACAGAGAGCTATGTGGAGTCTCACAGAGCAGCCACTGAGGCATATGTGGAGACCTGGAGCTTTCGATACTCCGGCTCCCGGCTTCCCAGCAAAAGTAACTGCAACTCTAGCAAAGCGGGAGAATAGACCCCCGTACATAACCCTAAGAAAGAGGCTGAATCCAGGGAGTGGAGCAGTCACTTCCATTGCACCTCACAGGATAAGACCCACTGGCTTGGAATTTCAGCCACCAGCAGCAGTGCTGCGCCTCCCTGGGACAGAGGTCCCTGGGGGTGGGGCGGGGGGGAGCACCATCTTTACTGTTTGGGCGACTCAGCCATTCCACCCTACGAACTTTGGAGAGTCCAAACTGATGGAGGGAGGAAGAGATCCCCCAGCACAGCACAGCTGCTCTACCCAAACTTGACCCCACTGCATTTTTAAGCGGGTCCTGGATCTGTTCCTCCTCACTGGGCTTGACCTCCCAACTGGGGCCTCCAGCCACCTCCACTAGTCTTCTCCAGCTGACAGACATTTGAATTCTCCCTGAGACAGAACTCCCAGAGGGACAGGTGGGCTGCCATCTTTGCTGTTTGGGTGACTTAGCCGTTCCAGCCTAAAGGCTTTGGAAAACCCAAGTCGACCAGGGCAGAAGCAGTACCCCAGCACAACACAGCTGCTCTACAGAAGCTTCTTTAATTGGATCCCTGATCCCTTTTCTCCTCACTGGGTGGAACCTCCCAACCAGGGCCTCCAGCCACCCCTGCTGGTGTTCTCTGGCTAACAGAAATTTGAATTCTCCCTGGGACAGAGCTCCCAGCGGGAGGGGCAGGCTGCCAACTTTGCTGTTTGGGCAACTCAGCCATTCCACCCTGCAGGCTTTGGAGTGTCCAAACTGATGGAAGGAGGAAGGGATCCCCCAGCACAGCACAGATGCTCAACGAAAGCATGGCCAGACTGCTTCTTTAAGTGGGACCCTGATCCCGTTCCTCCTGACTGATTGGGCAAGACCTCCCAACCAGGGTCTCCAGCCACCATGTACAGGTGTGTTCGGACCAGCAACAGGTCCGTACCTCCCTGGGTTGGAGCTCCCAAAGGAAGGGGCAGGCTGCCATCTTTGCTGTTTCACAGCCTTCACTGGTGATGCCTCCAGGTACTGGAAAATCCGAGGTGACTAGGGACTAGAGTGGACCCCCAGCAAACCACAACAGCCCTATGGAAAGGTGGCCAGACTGTTAAAAGAAAAAAACGCTCCATCCAAGGGTCAGCAACCTCAAAGATTGAAGGTAAATAAGCCCGCACAAATTTGAAAAAGAAGCAGTGCAAGAATGCTGAAAACACAAAAAGTCAGCATGCCCTCTTTTCTCTAGAGGACAGCATCACCTCTCCAGCAAGGGTTCAGAAGCAGGATGAGGCTGAGATGGCTGAAATGACAGAAGTAGAATTCAGAATATGGATATGATGAAATTGCCAAGAGTAATTGCAACAACAGCAAAAGTTGACAAATGGGATCTAATTAAACTAAAGAGCTTCTGCACAGCAAAAGAAACTATCATCAGAGTGAACAGGCAACCTACAGAGTGGGAGAAAATTTTTTCAACCTATCCATCTGACAAAGGCCTAATATGCAGAATCTACAAGGAACTTAAACAAATTTACAAGAAAGAAAAATCAATCTCATTAAAAAGTGGGCAATCTCATTACTGGGTATATAGTCAAAAGAAAATAAATTGTTCTACCAAAGACACATGCACTCGTGTGTTCATTACAGCATTATTCACAATAGTGAAGACATGAAATAAACCCAGGTGCCCATCAGTGATGGATTGGATAAAGAAAATATGGTGCAATCAAAAAACTCATCCACCACAATGAAGTAGGCTTCATCTCTGGGATGCAAGGTTGATTCAACATATGCATATCAATAAATGTGATTCATCACATAAACGGAACTAAAAACAAAAACCACATGATTATCTTAATAGATGAAGAAAAGATTTTTTATAAAATTCAACATTCATTTATGTTTAAAACTCCCAATAAGCTGGATATTGAAAAAATATACCTCAAAATAATAAGAGCCATCTATGACAAACCCACAGCCGACACCATACTAAATGGGCAAAAGCCGGAAGCATTCCCCTTGAAAACAGGCAAAAGACAAGGATGCCCTCTCTCACCACTCCTATTCAACATAGTACTGGAAGAGGAGGTCAAGCTATCCCTGTTTGCAGATGACATGATCTTATATCTAGAAAACCTCATTGTCTCAGCCCCAAAACTTCTGAAGCTGATAAACAACTTCAGCAAAGTCTCAGGATACAAAATCAATATGCAAAAATCACTAGCATTCCTATACACCGACAACCATCAAGCCAAGAGCCAAATCAGGAATGAACCCCCATTCACAATTGCCACAAAAAGATTAATATACCTAGGAATATGGCTGATTGGGGAGGCGAAAGATCTCTATATGGAGAACTCCAAACCTCTGTTCAAAGAAATCAGAGATGACACGAACAAAGAAAACCTTTCCATGCTCATGGATAGGAAGAATCAATATCAGTAAAATGGCCATACTGCCCAAAGCAATTTATACATTCAACACTATTTTCATTAAACTACCATTGACATTCTTCACAGAACAAGTAAAGACTATTTTAAAACTCATGTGGAACCAAAAAAGAGCCTCAATAGCCAAGGCAATCCTAACCAAAAAGAACAAAGCTAGAGGCATTACACTACCTGACTTCAAACTATGCTACAGGGCTATAGTAACAAAAACAGCAGGCACTTGTACAAGAACAGACACATAGACCAGTGGAACAGAATAGAGACCCCAGAAATAAGACTGCACACCTAAAATGATCTGATCTTCAACAAACCTGACAAAAACAAGCAATGGGGAAAGGATTCCCTATTGCATAAATGGTGCTGGAATATCTGGCTAGCCATATGCAGAAGACTGAAACTGGACCTCTTCCTTACACCATATACAAAAATTAACTCAAGATGGATTAAAGACATAAATGTAAAACCCCAAAATTATAAAAACCCTGTAAGACAACTTAGGCAATACCATTCAGGGCATAGGCATGGGGAAAGATTTCATGACAAAAACACCAAAAACAATTGCAACAAAAGCTAAAATTGATAAATGAGATCTAATTAAACTAAAGAACTTCTGCATATCAAAATAAACTATCAACAAAGTAAACACACAACCTACAGAATGGGAGAAAATTTTTGCAAACTATGCATTCAACAAAGGTCTAATATCCAGTATCTATAAGGAACTTAAACAAATTTACAACAAACAAACAAGCTCATTAAAAAGTGGGCAAAGGACATGAACAAACACTTTTCAAAAGAATACATACATGTGGCCAAAATAATTAGAAAAAAAGCTTAACACCACTGATCATTAGAGAAATGCAAATCAAAACCACAATGAGATACCATCTCATGCCAGTCAGAATGGCAATTATTACAAAGTCAAGAAACAACAGATGCTGGCAAGGCTGTGGAGAAATAGGAACACTTTTACATTATTGGTGGAAATGTAAATGAGTTCAACCATTGCGGAAGACAGTGTGGCAATTCCTCAAAGACCTAGAACCAGGAATACCATTTGACCCAGTAATCCCATTACTGGGTATATACCCAAAGGAATAGAAATCATTCTGTTATAAAGACACATGAACACACATATTCATTGCAGCACTATTCGCAATAGCAAAGACATGGAATCAACCTAAATGCTCATCTATGATAGACTGAACAAAGACAGTGTGGTACATATACACTATGGAATATAATGCAACTATAAAAAAGACTGAGATCATGTCCTTTGTGGGGACATGGATAAAACTTGTGGCCATTATCCTCAGCAAACTGACACAGGAACAGAAAACCAAATACTGCACGTTTTCACTTATAAGTGGAAGCTAAATGATGAGAACACATGGACACATAGAGGTGAACAACACACACTGGTGCCTTTCAGAGGTTGGAGGGTGGAAGGAGGGAGGGGATCAGATAAACAACTAGTGGGTACTAGGCCTAATACCTGGGCGATGAAATAATCTGTACAACAAACCCCCATGACATGAGTTTACCTATGTATTATCTATGAAATAAACCTGGACTTGTACCTCTGAACTTAAAATAAAAGTTCTAAAAAAAGAAACATAAAAAATTGTTGAAATCAATGTTTTCAGAACTCTGGAAATTAAGCAAAGTCTTAATTTTTTTAAAAGGCTGAATTAAGCAAAGTCTTGTTTTTTTAAAAGGCTGAATCTCAGTAAAAACAGCAAGAATTGTGGCATTTTAACCTGCTGTAGTCCTAACTCCCTCTCCTCAGCTCTGGAATAGCCTTGAAGACCAGTAGTTTCATAACCGTGGTACCCATGAAAACCAGCAACCTAATAGCCAATGGAAAGGATCAAATGGCTTTGGGGAGCCTCAAAAAGAGAAAATATTTGACCTCTACGAAAGTTCCCCAGAGAAACTCTGTTTGTAGGGCTTATCAATATTTCACCTGACACAAAGCTTGTTCAGTCTGAAAAGCCTGATCCCAAGGACATATATCAAAAACAATCAGTGCAGTTATCTAAAGTCACAGCTGTCTGTAGCAATGATACCATTTGAGGCCAAAATAAAATAAAATAAAGTAAACGTAAGGGATCTGGGGAATGAGATATTCAAAGCACCAACATATTCCTGGGGTCTAGAAGACCAAGCACATATGTGAGGCTGTGTACATGACCAGGAAAGCACTGAGAAGGCCCTAATCTCTTATCTCTGGATGACCTTGAGGTCTAACACATGCAGGCAATGAAGGCTGTGGCATTGAAGGTGTGACCTAACACACACAGAGTCCCTTGATAAATGGTAGGAGACTTATTGGTTCAAGGCATTTAAGGAAATCTCTGTCAAATCAATAATTGATCATTAAGAGAACTGAGCAGAGTCTTCAGTGGCTGCTCATAATAAGAAATTCAGACTTTACAGAGTAAGTTTAGAAAAGCTACTATACAAACAAATAGTAACAACTACAAAGAAACAGAAAAGAATGATCCGTACTTGGGGGGAAAAAGAAGTAGTCAGTAGAGACTGTTCTTGAGTTAGCCCAGATGTTAACTTACTAGACAGAAAGCAGCTTTTATAAGTATGTTCAAAGAACTAAAGAACCATGTTTTAAAAGTTAAAGGAAAGTATGAGAGCAATGTATCACCACATAGAGAATGTCAATAAAAATATAGAAATTATATTTAAATACCTGGAGTTGAAAAGTCAGTGATATGGTTTGGCTCTGTGTCCCCACCCTAATCTCATCTTGACTTGTACTCCCATAATTCCCATGTGTTATGGGAGGGACCTGGTGGAAGATAATTGAGTTATGGGGGCAGTTTCCCTCATACTGTTCTCATGATTGTGAGTAAGTCTCACGAGAGCTGATGGTTTTATCAGGGGTTTCTGCTTTTACATCTTCCTCATTCTTTCTTTGCCTGCTGCCATCCATGTAAGATGGGACTTGCTCCTCCTTGCCTTCTGCCATGATTGTGAGGCTTCCTCAGCCATGTGGAACTATAAGTCCAATTAAACCTCTTTCTTTTGTAAATTGCCCAGTTTTGGGTACATCTTTATCAGCAGCATGAAAATGGACCAATATAATCAGTAACTAAAACAAAACATTTGGTAGAGAAGCTCAATAACAAATTTGAGTTGGCAAAAGAAAGAATTAGCAAACTTGAAGACAGGTCATTTGGGATTACCTAGTTTGAAGAAAAGAGAGAAAAATGAATAGATTCTCAGAGATTTGTGAAGCAAATATTTTATACCATTAAGTGTGCCAACACATTCGTAGTAGGAATTCCAGAGAAGAGGAGAAAGAAAAAGGAGAAGAAAAAGATATTTTTTAAATGATGGCTGAAAATTTAGCAAATTTAATGAACTGCATTAATCTGCATATGCAAAAAGCTGAACAAGCTCCAAGTAGGATAAACTAAAAGAAATTCACATCTATATACATCATAATAAAATTGCCAAAACCAAAGACAAGGATCTTCAGAGCACCAAGAGAAAGGTGAGTCATCACTTATAAGAGCTCCTCAATAAGATTAACAGTTTACTTCTTATCAGAAACCATGGAAGCCAGAAGGCATAAGGATGATCTATTAAAAAGTGCTGGGGGTGGGGGGGAGGCGGAACCCCTTAGTTAACCAAAAATTTTATATCCTTCAAAAATAAAGCAAACACTGAGATATTACATAGAAAAAAATAACAGAATTTGTTGCTAAAATACATTCCCTATAAGAAATAGTAGGAAGTTCTTCAGGCTGAAATGAGAGAATGCTAGATGGTAATGTGAATCCACATGAAGTAATAAAGAGCATCAGTAAGGATAACTACATGGGTACATATAAAACTATAAATGTATTTTGGAAAAACTTTTCCTATCTGGTTTGAATAACACTAGGAAAGCAACTCACAAAAACTTGGTAAAAGAAAGAACAATGGAATTTAAGTGGTATATTAGAACATATCTGTTTGAGACAAAAAATGCAGTAATGAAAAAATAGAGAACAAAAATGACCTAAGACATGTAGACATGTAACAAAGGGGCAGACATAAATCCTACCTTCTAATTAATTACAATAATGTAACTATTTGTTATATTAAGTGTAAATGGAATAGGTGCTCTAGTGAAAAGCAGATATTGGCACAATGGATTTTAAAAGCAAGCATACAAACAAACAAAGCATATTCCAACTATAAACCACATACAAGAAATATAGTTTAGATTCAAGACACAAATAGATTGAAAATAAAATAACGAGAAAAGGTATACCATGCACACAAAAACCAGTAGACAACTTGACCGGCTATACTCATATCAGACAAAATAAATTTTGAGACCAAATTGTTACTAGAGGCAAAGAACAACATTTTTATAATAAAGAAAAGGTCAATTTATAAGGAAGATTAAACAAATATAAACATACAAACACTTAACAACAAATTACCAAATTACATGAAGAAAAATTGTCAAAATTGAAAGAAGAAATAAGAAATTTTAACAATAATAGTTGGAGATTTCAATCCATCATGTTCAATAATTGATAGAATAACTAGGCAAAATGTCAACGAGGAAACATGAAAGTTGAATAGCACTATAGACCAAATAGTCAACCTAACAGACATCTCTAAGTTACTCTATTAAATAATATCAGAAGATACTTTCTTACCAATAATGCATGAAACGTTCTCCAGGATAGACCATATGCTAGGCCATAATATAAGCATCAAGAAATTTAAAAGAATTGAAATCATGCAAAGTATTTTTTAAACTATAATGAAATATAATTAAAAATCAATAAGTAAAGGAAAATTGGGAACTTCACAAATATGTGGAAATTAAAGAACACACTCTTTCATAACCAATGAGTCAAAGAATAAATTACAAAGAAAATTTGAAAGTACTTTGAGATGACACTGCATACCAAATCTCTTTCTTTCAACTTTTATTTTAGGTTCAGGGGATACATGTGCAGGTTTGTTACATGAGTAAATTGTGTGTCCCTGAGGTTTGGTGTGCAAATGATTTTGTCACCAAGGTAGTGAGCATAGTGTACTGATAGGTAGTTTTTCAAACCCTCACTGTCCTCCCACCTTCCACCCTCAAGTAGGTTCCAGTGTCTACTGTTCCCCTCTTTGTGTCCATGTATACTGAATGTTTAGTTTCCACTTATAAGTGAGAACATGTGGTATTTGTTTTTCTTTTCCAACATAGCAAAACTTAAGGGAATCAGCTAAAGCAGTGCATAGAGTGAAACTTATAGCTACAAATATCTATATTTAAAAAAGAGAGAGAGAATTGTCAAATAAATAACCTAATGTTCCACCTTAGGAAACCAAAAAAAGAAGAATACACTAAACCTACAGCAAGCAGAAGGAAATAAATAGTAAATATTAGAATAGAAAGAAATGGAATAGAGCAGAAAAACAATAGAGAAAATCAATGAATTGAAAAGTTGGCTCTTTGAAAACATCAACAAAATTGACTCACATTCAGGTAAATGGATGGTAGGAGAGGAGTAGTGTGTGTTTGTGTGTGTGTGTGTGAGAGAGAGACAGAGTGACAGAGAAAGAGAGACAAGACTCATTAAAATTTAGAATGAAAGAGGAGACATCACTGCTGATCTTACAGAAATAAAATAACTATAAGGAATACTATGAACGACTGTATACTAACAAATTAGATAACCTATGTGGCATGGACAAAGTCCTAAAAAAACAGATTACCAAAAATGATCAAGAAAACATAGAAAATCTGAATAGATCTATAATAAGAGATTGAATTAGTAATTTCAATTCCTCATTAAGAAAGCCTGCTCCTTTCTGGTGATTCTTTCCTTAGTCTTACTAGTTTCTTCACACAGATGCATAGATTAGCACTCAACAGAAGACTCAAGGGAAATCCTCTTCAGCTCTCTGAGACTCTCTCTCTCGGTGAAGCTCTCTCCTCTCTGGTGCTCTATTCTGAGAATTCTTGCCTCTTGAACTCTGAACTCTGTTTCCTCAACTCAGGGAGACCTCCAGGTTATGCATGGGCTGCTTCTGCTTGTGCTGTGACCTTGACATACTCTCTAGACAGTGAGCTGGGGCATTCGTAGTGCTCACATCATTTGTTTACTTTTTCTCATGGATCATTCTCCTTTGCCACCTCTTGTTCAATATCTAAAACTGTTATTTCATGTATTTTGTTCAGTTTTATAAGTTGTTTAGGGTGGGAGGTAAATTTTGGTTCTCATTTCTCTGTAATGGTTGGAAATGGAAGTCTTCAATGACATTATTTTCATTATAAAATGAGCAAACTTGCTGGGCGCGGTGGCTCATGCCTGTCATCCCAGCACTTTGGGAGGCCAAGGCAGGTGGATCACAAGGTCAGGAGATCTAGACCATCCTGGCTAACACAGTGAAACCCTGTCTCTATTAAAAATACAGAAAATTAGCTGGGTGTGGTGGCGGGTGCCTGTAGTCCCAGCTGCTTGGGAGGCTGAGGCAGGAGAATGGTGTGAACCCGGGAGGCAGAGCTTGCAGTGAGCCAAGATCACGCCAGTGCACTCCAGCCCGGGCGACAGTGCAAGACTCTGTCTCAAAAAAAGAAAAAAAAGAAAAAAAATGAGCAAACTTATTTAAGAAAATTTGGAAATTACTTAACACATAAGGAAATAAAAGCAAAATGCCCATTGATCATTCACCAAACACATGATATGTTTGTCTATTTCTTTCATGTATTGTGTTTCCTATAATTAGCTTGCTTTAATTTTTTTCAAAAATGAATATATGAATATGGTATTTAAAATACAATTTTAATACTTAAATTTTATTTAATTAAAAGTGATTTCATGATCACTTTCCTGTGTTCTTCCTTAGCATCATTTATAAAGCCTGCACAATACTCCAACATGTAGACGTGTGTGGTAGATTACTTAACCTTTTATTTACAAATAGACATTTAACTAGTTCCCACATTTTGTTACTATAATTGATAAATATTTTTACATAGGGATTTTTGTTTAAGATGAATGATTTACTTATGTTATATTAGAAGTAGTCAATATAAGTATTTTAAGGTATTCAATTCATTTTGCCAGATTGATTTCCAAAGGGCTGTATCAATTTAAAATATTTTATTCACCACTCCAAATACAATTATAAAGTACTTATTCTCTACCACTCACTGTGCCAGGTTCTGGTGATGTAAGATGATCAATACCCTAACTCTGAGTTCTACGAGTTTATAGCCTTTTAGTTGTAGAGACAAACATGTAAATAGATGAGTGCTACAAAGCATTATGGGCACTCTACAGACATGTGAACGGGACACAGTGGGTTACGTAGGGCAAATAAATGTGTCTATTTCATCTAGTATGGAATCTGATGAACAGTAGCGATTTAATCAAAAGTTGTTGAAAAAGGCACAGAGAGAGAACAAGCAGTTAAAGGAGTGACTATTCAATCCATTTAGTGACTTGTTTGGGAAAAGTATCTTAGAGGAACCTGTGATTTGTAATTAGCATATCATTTATTCTTTCATATATTCATTTTACATGTACTTTTGGCAGTGTGTCAGGGACTGTGCTAAGTGCTAAGGACATCATTGCTACTGTTACTGTGGAATTTGCTGCCTGGAAAGGAAGACAGAAAATAAACAAGCAATTAAAATAATGGAGGACACAGGATAGTATAATAGAAGTGAGTCACTTAGTGCAGGGGTCAGTAGAGGCTTTCCACAGGGCATGACAGTTAAGGCATGACTTGAAGGATAAATAAAAGTTAGTTAGAAAAAAAGGGGAAAAGACAGAAAAGTGAAAAATGGTTCCAGGCAGAAGCAATCACATCACTCATCTATATGCAAATAAATGTTTGTCTTATGTTTGAGTTGCTTAGAGATAGTTTATTTGCTTACATACTTTTCACATCCTCCCACCCAGCAATGTGGTTTACACGGTTCTTGGCTTTCTAAACCTTTTCTTTTATGAATAGCACAAAAGTAAACTTCTCCCTAGATCTGATCCAGATTCAAGTTTAATGGGGTCCTAATCCAGAGTTTAAATATGCTGCTTTCGAAACCACCCCATTTGATAAGCAACGCTGCATCCTTTCTGTAGTTGAGGAAACTGAGCTATGAGCTGCAACAGAGGTAGAGCTTTGTTGGGACTGAGGCCTTGCCCCTTACTGGATGGAGGACCTGGGGGGAACCACTTCCCTTCTCCAGGCTTCCACCTCTGCATCTGTAAAAGGGTGTTCCTAATACCTCCCAGGATGACTACATGAGTGACTCAGATAATAAATGTCAAGTCCCTAGTTCAGACTAGCAGTTTGCAATCCTGAGTTCTTTTCCTTGTCCTAAAGGGCCCAGGCACGAAAGCATCAATTTTACTTATTTGTTTTCCTGGGCCCCCTCTTCTAGTTAGCTGTGCCTTTTTGATGCTGTTTGATCATTCTGTCATTCATCTAATATGCTTTGAGTGCCTACTGTGTGCTAGGCAATGTCATTAGGTCCATCTCCCAACTCAGCCTCTCCTGAGAATTGACTACTTGTGATAGCTGAGGGCTCAGAAATCAAAGAGCTAAGCATGCTGTACACAAGGCTGGTGTGAACATCTCTGAGTGAGGACTGGCAAGGCCTGCCCTGCCTTGGAAAGTACTTGGCTGTGTGACTGCCCTTTACACTGCTCTGAGCACTGTCCCCAGACTGCTGGGTTCTCACTTGTCATATCCAACTTACCATAAGACCCTGGAGACATGTGAAGCCTTGCTCTCTGCACAGATGGTGGGGCCATACCAGGAGTGCTCTTGAATAAAACAGGACAAGGACCTACCCTGCAGCATTGCCCTAAGAAGACTTGCAAGCAGAAGATGGTGGGAACTGAACTGTCAACCAAAGAGCTGTGGAATCCACTCCTGGGACTGAGCAGACATTTTCCCAGGCTGACTTACACACTATAGCCACTCATCACAACAGAGAGGGATGGCCCACCCAATACCCTGGCCTGGGTCCCCTGTGAGTTCACGCTGTCTTCCGCCTTTGCAGGGAGATTGTAGCACACATCTCTCCAAGGTTACATCATCTCCTGAAGGCAAGGGCCTCTAGTGAGTTTTTGCTGGCTAAGTCCTCAGGGCAGGACTTGGTGTCCTTGATATAAAACATCTGTCTTGGGAGGCACAGTTGGGAAAGAATGAAGGATTTTTCTGGGAGCTCAACTGGCTCACTGAGCAAAGGCCAGGAGACATTTGGTGAAGTAGCGGAAGGCTGTAATATATAAACAAGATGTGAGTGTGCTTTTCAGGAGTGATGCATATCTATGGAAAGAAACCACAGGCCTCCTTTCTCTTCAGGCATGGGAAGAGAAAAGGACCTTTGTAATCTATGTGTGTTTATTTGTTTGACTCAATGGATAAACAGATATCAATATATTGCTATCTATCTATCTATCTATCTATCTATCTATCTATCTATCTATCTGTCTGTCTTGCCCTGGGGTATAAATGAGTATCTATAAATATCAACTTTTTCCCTGTAAAGTTTGCTGTTTGTACAGCATTCACTCTTTGTATAGATAGCTTCCTCCCATCAAACGCCTCAATGCCCTAAAATCAGTTGGGATGTTTTTCCAAAACTGCTGATAGGCTATCTGTATTTCTAAGGAGATGAAGGAGTTATATAATAGACCTTATTCTCTAACAGAAAAAGGAAGAAGCATGGGAATATTCCAACTAACCTGACTGAGGAGCTTGATAGAAACTTAAGGAAACAAGTCAGAGGATAAGAGCTCAGACTGTAAGAGGAAATGTTACTAAAGAATTTAAATGGCAATTCTGTCCTGGCCTCATTAGCTTTTTAAGATACACGATGTTGGGGCTTACCAGCTGGAGAGGACAATAGAGGAACAATATGAGGAAACAGGTGAAAAGGTTCTTCCTACCTCCCTGGACCTCCTGAGATCAGAAAGAAGGAAACAATCTGAAGATGCAGTGGATTTTCTCCCTTAAGCTTCTTTCTTCGTTCTCTTTTGATATTAATCCAGGACAATGGGTAGAGAAAGAATCTTCGAAACGTTAACTATAAGGCAGGCATGGATACTTAGGATTTTGAAAAATATATATGTTGCCGGTATGTGCACAAAAATGTGTGTGTGTTGCCTGCGGGGTTGCGGAGGTGTGGTTAGTCAAGTTGTCCAGGACAACCAGATCACATCATAATCATCTTTTGAGACTTGGCTTAATGGAAATCCCTTCTTCTTCTCTAAGGCCTTTGCCAACTCCTCTTCCTGACACCCACACAAGATGAAATCTATCTCTTTGTGTATGCACGTCATATATTTGCACAACTTTTATCCCACCTAGAACTCTGACTCTTCCTATAATTGTGGCCAAGGATTGTGTCTCAGTCTTTTTGTAACTAAGCATCCAACATAGTCCCTGATACATAATAATCAAATTGAATAAATTAATACGTGTATATAACTTACTTTCTCCATTTATGTATTCATATGCAAACAAAAAATATTTCATATGTTAGAGATGTAAGGCTACATAACCTCTCTGTGAGGCACATTTGTTGCTTTGAAAATCAATGGAGTCCAAACTTTAAGTCAATGTTTCTCAAGAAGATATTGTGATTCAGTTAGTCTGGGATGGGTATTGTGCTTTTATTTGTACATGCTCCAGATGACTTAAATGTGCTGCTAGGATTATAACTACTGATTTAAGAAGAGAAAGATTTTTTGGGGAGACTTAAATTAATTGATCCCCCCCTCTTTTTAGTGATTTTTATGTCCCCAAAAAATCTGCTGACAAAACTCATAAAGATTATTCTCTTGGTTTATTTTTTTTCCCAGAAGTTTGATAGGTTGAATTTACATCTAGATCTATGATCTATTTCAAATTAATTTTTGTGTTTGGTGTGAGATAGGGGTCCAGGATCATTTACATACAATGATGTAATACAATCAGATGCATTCATTTTAAGTATGCAATTCAATAAGTTTTGACAAATTTATGTACCCATGTCACCACCACAATCTAGATATATAACATTTAGATCACCCCTGAAAGTCTTCCTGTTTCACCTTACAGTCAACTCTTTCACCTCTGACTGTGGGCAGTAGTTGATCTGAGGCCTTTGCCAACCCATCTTCCTGACACCCACACCAGGCCTCCTTTTCTGTCACTATGAGTTAGTTTAGCCTTTCTAGATGGAATCATACGCTATGTAGTTTTTGTCTAGCTTCTTCACTTGGTATATTTTTTTAGATTCATCCATAGTGTGCCATCTATCAACAATTTGTTTCTTTTCATTGCTAAGTAGTATTCCATTGTATGGATATAGCACAATTTGTTTATCCATTCATCTCTTATTGGTTTTGGGGGTCGTTTCCAATTTATAGCTATTATGAGTTAGTTGCTATGAATACTCATGTGCAAGTCTTTGTATAAACAGATATTTTTCTTTCTCTTGGGTAAGTACATTTGATTAGATTGTTAAGTCCCATGGTAAGTATATGTTTAACTTTTTAAGTAGTGGTCAAGCTGTTTTCAAAATAGTAATGACATTTTACATTTTGACCAGCAATTTAGCAGCCCTCCTTGTCAACACTTGGAGTTGTCTGGTTTTTTTTTTGTTTGTTCTTAATTTTAGTCATTCTAGTGGGTGTATAGTGGTATGTTATCATCATTTTAATTTGCATATCTCTGATGATTTATCATATTGGGCAACTGATCGTTTGCTCATTGGTCTTTTGTATAATTTCCTTTGAGAAGCATCTGTTCAAACCCTTTGCTCATTTTTAAATTGGTTTTGTGTCCTCTTACTAATGATTTATAAGAGCTATTTATATACTCTGGATGCATATCTTTGTCAAATACATGCATTGCAATTATTTTACCCCAGACTGTGTATTGCCTTTTTCATTTTCATAATAGCATCTTTTGAAGAGAAAGTTTTTTACTTTTTGAAATACAGTTTATCATTTTTTCCATGTTGGTTTGTGCTATTTGTGTCCTAAGAAATATTTTGCTTAATCCATGGTTGCCAAGATTTTTTCCTATGTTTTCTTATAGAAGTTTTATAATTTTAACTTTATTTTCAGATTTTATAATCCATTTTAGGTCATTTTTGCTTATTGTGTGAGGTAGGAATTGGAGACATTTCCTCCCATTTGATATCCAGTTCTTCCAACACAATTTGTTTAAAATACTCTTTCTTCTCATTGAATTATGTAGTCACATTTTTCAAAAGTCAATTGACCATATATGTGTGTGCCCATTTCTGGATTTGCTATGTTCCATTAATCCATATGGCTATTCTTCTTCTTTTTTTTTTTGAGATGGAGTCTCACTCTGTCACCCAGGCTGGAGTGCAGTGGCAGGATCTCAGCTCACTGCAAGCTCTGCCTCCCAGGTTCATGCCATTCTCCAGCCTCAGCCTCCTGAGCAGCTGGGACCACAGGCACCTGCCACCATGCCCGGCTAATTTTTTTTTTTTTTTTTTTTTGTATTTTTAGTGGAGATGGGGTTTCACCCTCCTAGCCAGGATGGTCTCGATCTCCTGACCTTGTGATCCACCTGCCTCGGCCTCCCAAAGTGCTGGGATTACAGGCGTGAGCCACCACACCTGGCCTATATAGCTATTCTTACACTAATGCCACATTATCTTGATTATAGTAGATTTACAGTGAGACTTGAAATTCTCAAATGTTCTTCTTCAAAATTGCTTTGGCTATTCTGTTTCTTTGCCTTTTTCTATGCATTTTAGAATCAGCTTGTATTTTGATTGGGATTGCACTGAATTTATGAATCAATTTCAGAAAAATTGATATTTTAACGATATTACATTTTTCTACCCATGAGCATGGTATATTTCTCCATTTATTTAGGCTTTCTTTAATTCCACTAAGCAACGTTTGGTAATTTTCAGTGTGGAAGTCTTTCCTGTCTTTCATTACATTTATTCTTTGCATTTTGGAGCTATCATAAGTTGAAATATTTTTTTTAAATTTAACTTTTTATTATGAGATAATTGTTAATTCATATATAGCTGAAAGAAATAATACAGAGAGAGCTCATGTACCATTTCCAATGGTAACTTCTTGCAAAGCTATAGCATAGTATCACAACCAAGACATTGATGTTGATGTAGTCGAGTTATAGAACATCACCATAAGCCTCCCTCTGATTGCCCATATTAACTTGTCTTCTGTACCCGTCCACTCCTTAACCCCTGGAAACCTCTAATCTGTTCTCTGTTTCTATAATTTTGTCATTTAAAGAATGTTGTATAAGTGAAATAATAATGTATGTAATCTTTAGGGATTGGCTTTTCTCACTTAGCATCATTCTCTAGAGATTTGTCCAGATTGTTGCATATATCAATAGCTTGTTCCTTTTATTACTGAGACACTTCCATGGTATGAATGTACCACAGTTTGTTTAACCATTCATCCATTGACAAATATCTGGGTTGTTTCCAGTTTTTGGCTAATACAAATAAAGCTGCTATCAACAGGTTTTTGTGTAAACATAAGTCTTTGTTTCTCT
Source organism: Homo sapiens (assembly GCF_000001405.40). Classification (NCBI taxonomy): domain Eukaryota; kingdom Metazoa; phylum Chordata; class Mammalia; order Primates; family Hominidae; genus Homo; species Homo sapiens. Next base: position 22,499,580 of record NC_000018.10, on the reverse strand, counting down.
GGGATAAATGCTCAGGAGTACAACTGCTAGGTTACATGTTTAGTTTTTAAAGAAACTACCAAACTATTTTCCAGAGTGACTGTACCATTTTATATTCCTGCCAGGAAAGCATGAGAGATCTCCATTCTCTGCATTCTTACCAGCATTTAATGTTTCACTATTTTTAAATGTTTGTTTTTCTGATAGGTGGGTAGTGGCACCTCATTATGGTTTTAATTTGCGTCCCTAATAGCTAATGATTTTGGACATCTTTTTCATATTCTTATTTGCCATCTGTGTACACTCTCTGGTGTAGTGTCTCTTCCTATCTTTTATCCCGTTTTCCAATTGGATTGTTTGATTTTTTTAATTGCTGTGTTTGAGAATCTTTTGTATTTTCTAGATACTAGCCCTTTGTCATTTATGTGGTTTGCAAATATTTTCTCCGGTCCATAGCTTGCAGAGCAACCGTTTAATTTTGATGAGATTCAGTTTATCAATTTTTCCTTGTATGGATCATGTGTGTGGTGTTAAGTGTAAGCACTCTGCTTAGAATTTTTCTTTTGTTTTTTCTTCCTGAATTTTATAGATTTATGTTTTGATTTAAATCTGTGATCTACTTTGTATGAATTACTACATGAGATGAAGGTATTTATTTTTATTTTGAGACAGAGTCTTGCTCTGTGGGCCAGCTGGAGTGCAATGGTGCGATATTAGCTCACTGTAACATCCGCCTCCCAGATTCAAGAGATTCTTGTGCCTCAGCCTTCAGAGTAGCTGGGATTACAGGTGTGCACCACCTGTAATTTTTAAATTAGCCTGGCTAATTTTTGTATTTTTAGTAGAGACGTGGTTTTGCCATGTTGACCAGGCTGGTCTCAAACTCCTGGCCTCAAGTAATTCATCTGATTTGGCCTCCCAAAATGCTGGGATTACAGGTATAGCCATTGCGCCCAGCAGAGGTTCATTTATTTCTTTTTGCTTGTGGATATCCAATGGCTCCAGTGCCATTTGTTGAATAAAAATCTTTCCTCCATTGAATTGCTTCTGCACTTTTCTGAAAAAATCACTTGGGCATATTCGCAGGGGTCTATCTTGGGGTTCTCTGTTTTGTTCCATTGATATATGTCATTATCTCTTCAAAGATACCATGCAGTCCTGATTGCTATGACTATATAATAACTCTTGAAATAGATTATAGGCTTTTCTATGTAAATATTCAAGTACTCTTGTCTATTTCTATAAAAAGTCTTGCTGGGATTTTGATATGAAGTGCATTAAACCTATATATCAATTTAAAGAAAATTGACATCCTGCCCCTTCATTTATTTAGATATTTGATTTCTTTCATCGGCATTGTGTAGTTTCAGTATATAAGTCCTGTAGATGTTTCATTAGATTTATACCTAAATATTTTATTTGGAGGAATCATAAATGGCATTGTATTTTAATTTTACTGTCCATGTGCTCATTGATAGTATATCAAAATACAATTGAATTTTGTATGTTTATCTTGTATCCTGTGAATTTGCTGAGTTCACTTATTAGGTCCAAGAGGTCCTAATAGATGGTAGGTTCCTTGGGATTTTCCACTTAGACAATAATGTCATCTGCAAACAGAGATACTTATATTTCTTCCTTTCCAATCTACATGCTTTTTATTTCTTCTTCTTGCCTTATTGCACTGGCTACAACTTCCAGCAACGTGTTGAATAAGAGTGATGAGAGTGGATATGCTTGCCTTATTTCCAATTTTAGGGGAAAATTTAGTCTTTCAACATTAGTATAATGTTAGCTGTAGGTCTTTTTGTAGAAGCTCTTTATGAGATTGAACAAGTGGCTATGTTTTTATGATAAGTAGGGTTTTAGTGTTTTTATGATAAATGAACACTGAACTTTGTCAAATGCTTTTTCTGCAAGATTGACATTATCATGCTGGTTTTAATTTAGCCTGTTAACATAGTGATTTACACTGACAGATTTTGATGTTCAAATGCTAAATTATTTGTGCATCCCAGCGTAAACTCCATTTGCTCATGGTTTATAATTATAAATGTGTGTGTATGTATGATGTTTTATATATTGCTGAATTCTATTGAAGTAGATTTTTGCAACTATATTCTTGAGGGATATTGGTCTGTAATTTTCTTTTTCTTTCTTTCTTTCTTTAAACTTACTTTTAAAAAATTCAGGGTAATTGTATCTATATAGAATGAATTGAAAGTATTCTTTTGTCTTCTATTTTATAGAAAAGATTGTGCATAATTGGTGTTCATTCTACTTTAAACATTTAGTAAAATTTTCCAGTGAAACCATCTGGAGATGGAGATTATTTCTTGGAGGTTTATAAATTATGAATTCAATTTCTTAGTAGTTGTAGTTCTATTCAAATTATGTATGTTCCATACTGGGTGCATTGGTAGTTTGTGTTCTTTGAGAAAGTGGTCCATTTTGTCTAAGTTGTTAAATTTATGTGTGTAGAATTGTTTGTAATATCCATTATTAATCTTTGATGTCTGCAGGGCCTATATTGATATCCTTTGTTTCACTCTTGATATTGGTAATTTGTATTTTAATCTTTTTTCTTTCTCAATCATGTTAGAGATTTGTCAATTATATTAATCTTTTCAAAGAACCAGGCTTTGGCTTTGTTGATTTTCTCTATCTTTTTTCTGATTTCATAGATTTCTGCTTATATCTTTATTATGTTCTTCCTTCTGCTTGCTTTGAGTTTATTTCCTCTTATTTTTCTAGGTTTTGAGACAGGGGCATAGATGATTAATTTGGGACCTTTCTTCTTTTCTAATATATGTATTTAGTGCTATAAAGTTTACTCTCATCACTGTTTTAGCCGTGCTCCACACATTTTGCCACATTATATTTTCATTTTTATTCAGTTGAATGTATTTTTAAAGTTTCTTTGCAACTTTCTCTTTGACCCATGGATTATTTATAAGTGGGTTGTTTAATTCCCAAGTGTTGGAGATTTTCCTGTTACGCTTCTGTTTTTAATTTCTAGCTCAATTCCATTGTAATCAGAGAACACACTCTTAATAATTTCAACTCTTTTAAATGTGTTGGGTTTTGTTTTATGCCTAAAATGTGGTCTATCTTGATATTGTTAGGTAGGGACTTGAAAAGAATGTGTATTCTTCTGCTGTTTGGTGGTAATCTATAAATATCAATTAGATCCTATTTGTTATGGTGTTGACTTCTTCTATATCCTTGCTGATTTTCTGTCTAGTTGTTCTATCAATTGTTAAGAGAGGTAGTCAAGTCTTCATTTATAATTGTGGATTTGCTTATTTCCTCTTTCTGTTCTTTTGGGTTTTGCTTCATCTATTTTTGTGGCTCTTTTGTTTAGTGCACACACATTCTAGATTGCTATGTCTTCTTTGTGGATTGGCCCTTTTTTCATTATATAATGTCCCTCTATATCTATGATAATTTTCTTTGTTCTGAAGTTTATTTTATGTGATATTAATATAGACACTTTTCACATATACATCATGGAATACTATGCAGCCATAAAAAAGAATGAGTCCATGTCCTTTGCAGGATGGATGAAACTGGGAGCCATCATTCTCAGCAAACTAACACAGGAACAGAAAACCAAACACTGCATGATCTCACTCATAAGTGGGAGTTGAACAATGAGAACACATGGACACAGGGAGGGGAACATCACACACCAGGGCTTGTCAAGGGGTGGGGGTCAAGGGGAGGGAGACCATTAGGACAAATACCTAATGCATGCGGGGCTGAAAACATAGATGATGGGTTGATGGGTGCAGCAAACCACTATGGCACATGTATACCTATGTAACAAACCTGTATGTTCTGCACATGTATCCCAGAACTTAAAGTAAAATTAAAAAGAAAGAAGAGAGGAAAAAATACATAGCCACTTTTGCTTTCCTTTGATTAGTGTTTGCATAATACATCTTATTCCATTCTTTTACTTTTAACCTGCCTATGTCATTATATTTAAAATGAGTTTCTTGTACACAGCATAGAGTTGGGTCACATTTTAAAATTTGTCACAGAACGATGTCTACCTAATACAATTGATGTAATATCAATGTTTCCACCTTGAAGCCCCCAGTAGAGCTAAATAACTCTGCAGAACAAGTAGGTGACCTTGGAGCATATTCTCAATGTGTTTACTTCACTAAAGCACTTCTACGAAAACCCTCTGGATTCTTCTCTTGACAAAACAGATACCTTTCCAGGGTGTCTCCAAGATCCATACTTAAAATATCTTAGGCGTAACTTAGTCATCATAATATGGGTGATTGGTTCTAGGAGACACATATTCAGAACTTTTAAGAAGTTTTCTTAAATGTTAGACTTTACAGAGTTGTACTGAGGGGTGGAAAGTTGAATGTAGTCTCTCAGATTAGCTCATTATTCTTGTCTTATTTGCAAGTGTAGGGCCTTACTTGTCTTTAAGGGAATCTTTGTGAAAATCCTCCTTGACTAATAAAAAGTGTTCTATGTGGATTCCCTTCTCTTCTTCTTAATACTCTCTTTTCTCTTTTCCCTCCAGCAGTCCCTGCTTCTCCTCTCACTCCCAAAATATTTGTCTGCCTTTTGTTCCTGGGCTCTGAGCCTTCCCACAGCCTTTTCTTGTCTTGAAAATCATCAAGCTTTCAGCATGGGATATGAGTCATTGCTTTTTTCCTTCCAACCCATTTTAGGGTACAAAGATTTACCAGTCCTGAGGATGGAAGAAGTCTGAAACGACACGAGAACATTTTTAGTCTGGGTAGAAATATGTTGTCATTTTTCTGATTTTTGTTTTAAATGTCCACTCAAAAAAAAATCAGATATCCTACATGAATAGCTTTGGAAACTTGTTATTTTGAAAAATGTGTTTTTCCCTTTTCTGAATTTTGATTTTGTCATTCAACTCTTCTTGACATATTTATCCTTGGGAGAGTCCATGCCCATCCTGACCTTGACTCTTCCCAATTCCTGTTTTGTCTTCCTTGATGCAGAAGGTAGAGACCATAGCAATTTGGGTTCACTTCACTCTGTGTGTTCAGTGCCTTTTCTTATCCTGGTTTTTTGGCGGGTTTTGTTAAGCCATGCTAGACTTGCCTTTATGTCACACAAATCTACACAGTGTTAAAGTAACAATTAAATCTCCCATCTCCTAAAAATGAGTTTTAATTATCAAGAGGGGTGTAAGACCTAGGAGATGAAATGAACCCCTCCACTTGGGGCTACTGCAAAAGAGAGGGTAAGTTTAAGGGATGCAGTGTGAGTCCTGAAAGAGACCCCAGGAAGCCACAGCTCTTGGGTTTATAGCCTCGACTCTAAAATCTGCCCTGAAAATGCCCCATTTTACTCATTCCACCCCCGGATAGTAAGCTGCAAATTACTGGACAAATTCTTAAAATTCCAACCCAACTGAAGCTGCTGCCTGAAATGGAATTACCCAGAGGCCCCAGAAGCAGGAGAGGCAGGGATAGTGCAGAGCAGAGCTGGGAGAGCCTCCAGCTCCAAGGCAGCATCTGTCTTCCTGGCTTTGATGCCCTGACAGCCCCGTAGCTGTCTAGCGTGTGTCCTGACCTCAGTCTTCTTCTCAGGACTTTCAACCATGAGGGCAGTTGGCCTTTTCTTTCTCTAGGCCTCTCATCTCTTACACTATGACCTGGCTCCCCTGGACTTCCTGAAACTCAGTCCCCTTTCCTGGCTCAAGCTCAACAAAGTGTACTGAGCCCATCTCAATTGCTGGCACACTATTCTCTTCCTACCTGAAGAAGGGATTCTAAACTCATATGACACACCTCTCTGGGATATTGTGAGGCTAAAATGAGCTAAAAGGACATTTTTAGTGGTGGCAATAGAGGTAGAGATAATTAGTGGTGGTAGAAGTAGCAGTTGCTAGCACTGAGTAAACAGTAAGTGGCCACCAACCTTCAGAAGAAAGAGCCTTGGGCTCTAAATTTATTAGCTCAGAACCAGTGGCACAGATATAAATTCTACTTCCAGTCCTGGAGTGCAGGAGACTAAAGGTCCTAGGAAACCCTACTCTAATACCCAGTCACAGGCCTGTGTCTATAACTCTTTAACAGTCATTAAAAATGTTTCTGCTTATTCAGCAAGGCACATTTACTGAGGGATTAGGAAAACTCATAAAACATTGCACTCTATTCAAAGTCTTCTTCAGATAAACTCTCTAAAGCTTTGAAGTATCCACTTGCCAAGGGTTTTTCATTACCCCTTATCCCCTTGGCAAAGTGCCTGTGTGTGTGTATGTGTGTGTGTGTGTGTGTGTGTGTATGTGTGTGTGTGTATGGTATTTTTTTGGTAGGGGAGGGTCTTAATAGCTCTAAAGATCTACCCATACCACAGAGATGGGTGGGAAATATTTTTATTTTAGAGTCTATCAATACAGAATATTCAGTCATTCCATGTAGTTCCATCATTTTTCAAGAGCATAGTATGGTGGGAAGGACACTGGGCTGGGATTCGGAGAAGTGACCCCTAATGGTGGCTCTGCCACCAGCTAGTTATATAACCTTGGGTAAGTCACTCCCCTTTCCAGGCCTTGCATTCATCATATATACAGTTAAGCAGGGGACAGATGAGCTCTAAGCTTCACTTAGCTCTAACTGATTTGATTTTCAGCTGAAGACTTGGTCACATGCAGTGCTTCCCCAACTCCCAGCAGGACCTGGGGACCTGCAGAGGACAGCAGAGCATTCAGAGAGAAGGACATCTGAATTAACTTTTCAGCACGATTCATGAAATGTTAATCAATCTTGTTTGTTTTTATAGTGGAGGGTGTGTGTAAGCATGAGAGTGTGTGTTTGTGTGTGTGTACCTAAGCTTGTGAGTTTATGTGAACATGAACCCAGAGGACTTTTTTTTTTTTTTTTAAAGAACTAAGAGTGTCTTTAGGGGTCATCTAATCCTGTGCTTTCAAACTCTTTATAGACAGCATAATCTTTTCTTCAGTGACATTTTAGCAGACCTCGGACACGTATAAAAGACAAAAGTAGAGCTCTGGCTCCAGGGACACGGAACCCCCGTCTGTCTCTTGGTCCTTCTCTCTTTCCACCTGCCTCCCACCTGGACTTCTAAGGCTCCACAGAACGCAGAGCTTCTGGGCACCTGGATGAACGGTTCACATGGGAGTCAACAGTGGCTCAGAGAGGCCGGGATTTGCTCAGAGGAATACACGCAACTGGTTTGGAAGCTGGGGTTTTGATACCTGTCCTGGGATCTTTGAACCCGTCATGTTATATAATTCTTTCTTCATCACTATCATAGGCTCTCTGAGGATGGCAGGAGTTTAAAAGCTAATAGTCATAGTAGCATCTGTGTTAAGATTCAAGGAGCTATGGGCTTGTCATCCTTTGACTCAGTACACAGGATACTCTTTTTGTGCAGACAAATATGTCCTTCTTCCTAAAGTGCTTTTTAAACAGAGCTACATAAAAAAAGGTTTTTTTAAAAGCTTATTTCACCTCATGTCCATTAGGATGATAATCATAAAAGTCAAGAGATAAAAAATGTCAGCAAGGGTGTGGAGAAAAGGGAAAAATTGTACATTGTTGGTGGAAATGTAGATTGGCGCAAGCATTATGGAAAACAATATGGAGGTTCCTAGACAAATTAAGAAAAACCTAAGCCACATGGTGAGTTCACATCTCTACAAAAAACTAAAAAATTAGCCCAGCATGGTGGCACATGTCTGTAGTCTTAGCTACTTGGGAGGCTGAGGTGGGAGGATGACTTGAGCATGGGAGGTTGAGGCTACAGTAGCCATGATCATGCCACTGCACTCCAGCCTGAGCAATGAAGTGAAACCCTGTCTCAAAAAAATTGATTAAAAATAGAATGACCATTTAACATAGTAATCCCTCTTCTGATTATATACCCAAGGAGATGAAATCACCACCTCATAAAGATATCTGCACACCCATGTTTGTTGCAGCATTATTCACAATAGTCAAGATATGGGAACAACCTAAGTGTCCATCAATGGACAAATGGATAAAGAAACAGATATATGTGTCCTCTGACTCAGTACACAGGACACTCTTTATCTATCTATCTATCTATCTATCTATCTATCTATCTATCTATCATCATCTAGCTATCCATCCAATAGAATGTTATTCAGCCTTAAAAAAGGAAATCCTGCCATTTGCCACAACTTGGATGGAACTGGAGGATATTACACTAGATGAAGTAAGCCAGGCATAGAAAGAAAAACATTTTATGATATCACTTGTATGTAGAATCTAAACCAAAATTAAAGTCAAATATACAAACACAGAGAATAAAACAGTAGTTACCAGGGGTTAGGGAAAAGGGGAACAAATGGGAAGATGTAGGTCAGAGGTTATCAAGTAGCATATATTAGAATGAATAAGCCTAGAGCTCTAATGTACAGGAGGACTGTAATTAATAAAATTTTATGCATTTAGGAGTCCTGTTAAATGAGTAGATTTTAGCTGCTCTTACCAAACAAAGGGGCAGGGCAATGGGGATAACTCTGTGAGATGCTGAATATATTTGTTTTATTATAGTAACCTTTTTACTATCTATATGTATCCCATAACATAATGTTGTATACCTTAAATATACACATCATATTTTAAATTTTATTTTTAAAAGTAAATGCTATTGTGTATCTTTTTTAATGTAAAGATTTATTCCATATAAAAACTTTTAAAAAAATGGTTCAGGAAGAGGCAAAATGAAATGTTTTTACTTGCTCATTGGGGAAAATGTTCACGGAACTTCAGCACCACCAGCAGAGTAAGCTGACAGTAGCATACAGAAGTATGAGGGCTCCTTGGTATGACCTCGGTGCACTGAGATTTTCTGGGAAAATCTGTATCAGTAATCATAGTTGTATAGCTCCAGGGTCCAACTCTAGATTGCAAAATATTTCCCCTTTTGGACTTCAACTCAACAATAATTCAACAGTGTGACAACTCAGTAGGAAACGGACCTTGAACAAGAGTGATAGGTATCTTTAGCTTGGCCTGGGCTGCCCAGGAAGCTTAGTGGCAGATAAAGTAATCACACCCTATGGCCTTCCGCTCTCACAAAAGAATCACTTGCATTGTGCAAGCCAAGCATATTTCACACAAAACCTTGTTTCCACTTTTCCTCTAAAGTGGTCTTTGGCAGTTTTTTCAGTTCCTAACATTCTGTTTTGGTCACAAACAAACCTCTGCTGTGCACTTTATGGGTGTGCTGAACCACTGAGTATTAGAGCTGAAATCGGCCTCAGAGATCATCAAATCCAATCCTGTCATTTCATAGCAAAGGAGTCAGAGGTAGAGGGAGAGGAGATGACTTGTCCAAAGTCACACAGTGAGAGAAAAGCAGAACCAGGTCAGGAGCTGAGCTGCTGTCCTGATGTGAAGCACTTTTTCATGACTCTATGCCACTTCTGAATTAGCCACAACACCATGAGGGGAGATGTCTTCCATATGGCTCAGGGGTGTGGTATTTGCCGTCAGACAATAGTTATTTATTGAGCACCCACAACATGCTAGGGAAACCCTTCAATAGGCTTACAGTCTGGAGGGGAAGACATACATTAAACAAAGAATCTTAAATGAGTAAGTGCATTAGTGTTGCCAACCATTCAGTGAAGAATGCATTAGTGTTGCCATGGGAATGTTATCTCCAGGGCTGATTGGGGCTATGTCCAGGGCCAAATCTGATTGGTTGATCCTGTGAGTTAGTAGTTAAATATTAATATGTTGGCTCACCCTAGGTTATGGGCCAAAGATTGTTTACATAATGCACGGGTTACTTCACCCATCTGATTCTGCTCCTCTTGGTTTCTTCTTCCTGATGATTCTACCTCCAGGAAGACAGGTAATGCAAAAGAACTAGAGTTCCTACAAACAGTCTTGTTCTCGCTCAGAACTGCTTTGACAGCTGGAGTAGTGAAGTCAACATTTGAATTATCTGTGAGTCCCATGTATTTGTGCTCTCCTCAGGATGGAGCAGGCTGGATTTTTTAACCTGATATCCCATTTACACAGGTCTTACACTCCTTACATTGATATCAAAACTAAAACAGTGACTTCAAAATTGAACACAAACCTGAATTTTGAATATTAATCACTCCTCGTCTCCAACACTCTCTTCCATCCCTACTAACATTTTTGCAAGCCATTCCTAATTCAACTGCTCTTCCAAATGCAGTCAGCACCGAGGAAGAAGTCCTCTCATGAATCTTTTTGGAAAAGGAGCTCTCATGCCCAAATTCCTTATAATTCCAGGAGCATGTCAAGAAGAAATTGTTAAAGAAAATTTCTACACAGTGGACTTCCCATTGGAGAATGAATCACAGGACATTTTTCTAAATCAAGAATGTTTGAATTTGGGGTGTGGGTCACACCTGGAGAAGCCCTCCTCTTCGTCTCTTCCTGGTTTACTTTCTATCCTGGGAATTTCCCCTTCCTCTTTCTTTTCCATCTAGTTTGTGAGGTTTCCCTGAACCCCTTCCTTATTTCCCCTTTGTCCCCAAGTTCATTCACATTATTCTCTTCTTCTGCAATGACTCCCTCCTGGCCTTTGCTGGCTTTCCCTGCATCTTCATGGGTGGCCTTGTCCCCCTCCTCCCACTTCCCAGTCTTCTCCCTTCCTCCCCTATCCCCAAACATGAGAGCTGCACAAAAGCTGGAACTATGCAGCAAAGGGGGAAAGAGCAAGGCTTCCTCTCCCAGCATTTCCTTCCCCTGGCCAGCAAGTGCCTCAGGGATAGGGCGCTGGCTTGCCTGGCAGAGGACAACGTGTCCAAAGCAGGTTGGCTGTGAATCAGTCTTCAGCTTGGGTCAGTGCTTTCTCTCTGTTGAGAAATTGGGCCAAGTTTGGCCAAAGGCCCATTCGAAGTCCAGTTCTGGAATACGTGTCTATTCCTCATCTCCGTCTACTTTCCCCAGAGATCCCAAGAGGCCAGACAAGCTGTTCCCACACCAGGCTCTCATCAGGGTGGCTTGACATCACTTTTCCTCTCCAGGAAAATAATTACAGTTGAACTTTCCTTTAAGAAAATCCAATGTAGATTTAGAATTAGAGAATAATGTCTCTTTTTACAAAAAGTTTTACCATGGGAGTGGTTTCAATAGAACATGCCTGTGTTACACCGAAAACATGATTCAATCTGCAAATGTTTTGAAGCTACTTTCAGGAATATATTTATTGAGTAAAGTAAGGCACACAATGCAAGCAAGTCATTGTCCAACCAGGGGGAAGACAGAGCCAGCCTTGCCAGGTCACCTTGCTTTTATCCTGACCTTCTACCTCATATTGTCTCCATCTCTTCCTGCTGTTCTTTCCTGTTCTTCCCACAGGTCTAAGGTGTGGCTACAAAATGTAACAAAAACACTTGCTGGACTGTAGCAAGGTAGGCATTAAATACATATTATTAATATTAAAATAACCTGACTTGAATCACACATCTAAAAGAGTATTGTCCTCTAAAGTAATCATGCTTAAATTTATTGCAATGATGCTGTTATTACTTAAAACCCCATTCTGGAATGTATTTACTTGAATTACTTTGGAATTATATCCAGATCCAGTTTATGAGCCAGACAAAAAATTATAGAGAGGCCTTAGGAATCATCTGGGGCATCCTTAATTTTATAAATGAAGAAAGTGAGCCCACAGAGTTTGTGTATTTGTTTTTCTCCAACACCAAGAAGTTGTTACTCACTGGGGATGGTGGCTCATGCCTGTAATCCCCACATTTGGGGAGGCTGAGGTGAGAGGATCCCTTCAGGCCATGAGTTTTAGACCAGCCTGGGCAATATAGCAAGATGTCATCTCTACAATTTTTTTTAAATTAGCCTGGCATAGTAGTACACACTTGTAGTCCTAGCTACTCAGAAGGCTGAGGTGGGAGGCTCATTTGACCGTAGGAGTTCAAGGTTGCAATGAGCTAGGATTGCACCACTGCAGTCTAGCCTGGGTGACAGAGTGAGACCCTGCTTAACAAAAAAAAAAAAAAAAAAAAAAAGAAAGAGAAAGAAGAGAAAGAAAGAAAGAAAAGTTGTTAGCTTATTTTTGTTGTAGAATAAACCAAAAAGTGACAGCATTGTTCATTAATCTTTGATTAATAAACCAAATGCCTTTATTAAGCCTGAAAACATTATAAAACCTACTACTTATTAAACATGTCACCATGTGACAAACCTGTGCCAATCACTTATCACAACAAAAAAGAACACACACCCATGATATGAGAATGTCCAATTTATGGAGGAGGTAAATAAGACTTTGACATTAAAAGTGACATGCTAAGAACCACACAGTTAAGACGTGACAGTCAGTGGTAGACTTGGGCCTGGGTATCTCTGCTTTCAAAGCCTGTGAGCTTTTCACAATTCTGTGTTGCACTAAACAAACCAAGAAGCTGTTGTTTGCAGAATGAGAAACTGTCAGACATTGTTATTATTGTGAAAACTAAGAGAGCTTGCAACTTTAAACAAAGTGTTGCTCACAAATCACACACATAACCACTCTTACATACATAGTTTACAAGAGATAGTCGACTGCTAGAGCTGGAGAGAAGATTGAAAAGAATCTAGATCAAGCATTATTTTGTAAGGAAAGAGACTGGAGTCTAGAGAGTCTCAGACCTTGTCCTGAGTCTCATCAGTAGCAAGTTCTAGGGCCAAGACTGATGTCTTCCATCTGACAGCCAAAGCTTTCTCCATCATGCCAGTTGAGGACTCTCACAGGCACACCCTTGAGCTCTGGGGCAACAACCCAAAGTTGTCACCCAACTCAGTCACATCTTAACTCCTTCTCAATAAATCATTCTCATGTGTTGAAAAAAGTGTCTTTAAGACAACATATTCAAATATTGCCTAACTTCTAAAACTGATAGTTTCTATGTCTTCCCATTGACAACTGGAGCAGAAGCCAACTCATTCAGATTAACTGTCATTCTGGAAAACTAATTATAGACATTTACAAAGAAAATCACATGAAAAAAAACAAAAGGAGAACATAAACAGTATTGGAATCCCATTTCTGTAGCCATCTTCTTTCATGAATTAGGGCCCCAAAGCAGGGAGCAGTTTACTGGCTTACCCAAGTCAAAGCAGTTAGTTGAGGGCAGATCCCAGAAGGTAACTGATTATCCTTTCCGACTGACAGCTCACTGCTTTCCACAATGCTGTCAAGTTCCTTCTCATGCCTTATGTTTCTGAGTGAAAAGGGTCTTTGCCTGCCATGACTGAGATGCCTCATAACTGCTGTGAAAAATCAAGTCCACTCTAGAAAAGCAAAACATTGCCACTATATTGGAGCTTCTTATAAGATTTTGCCTCTTTTGGGGTGTGAGCACAGCAGGAGAAACATGGCCACACAGACGAAAGCCACATTTTAGGGACAGGCATTATACACTGTCACGACTCACACTGTGTATAAAGTGAATTTGGATGGCTCAGAGAGAGATCAGATTTCATCCCCCAGGGTTTGCTATGGAATTTCTCTTCTGGAAGCTAGAATGGATAGTCTGGAAGCTAGAATGGATAGAATTGATATGCTGTTCGTTGAGGCTTGGCTCTGCATGCAGCCTGAGCAAGCCACCATGAGAGTAAACAATAAAGAAGAGAACGAACCTTGTGTTCCTTCAAGGGCACAGAGTAACTTGCTCATGTTGCATCATCTCCTCTTCCAGTGGATAGTCAACTCTTTAAGAGCCGAGACCATGTCTGAGTCATCTGTGTGCCCATCACCTAGCACAGAACGTGTGGATGCTTACACTAAATATTCACTGAATGAATAAGTAGGTGAATTTCACCTATGAGATAAAACAAGTAGATAGCAACATAAAGGGCTTCAAGTCTTTGCTCTAAAGATAATGCAGATAGCAAGTGCTGTTGGAGGTCAGAAGAAAAGTGGGCTACAAGGCCTCTTGGAAGTGTAGGACCTCAACTGGGCCCAGAAAGATGACTCAAGTTTGGTCAGTGCTAGAAGCTAAGGTGGCTATACTCCAAGCAGAAAAAAATAATGGAAGTGAATGAGCATCAGTGGAAACTAATGGAGTGGTAGGCAAAGCTTGGGTATCTCCACCTGGCTGTCCTAGACAGTTTCCTTCAAATCAGCATGCCCAAAAATGGAGGTCTCATATTTCCTCCCAAACTACTCCCTGCCCCAGTTGGAAAACCTACAGCCTAGGCTTGAAACCTGGAAGTCACTTTTCTTTCCATCACAACTAATCCAGCATTAATTTGAGATGTATCTGCCTTATAAATATTTCTTGGTTCCATTTCCTTCTCCCCACATGAATACCCGTGGTCCTAGCCCAGGGTGGCATTGCCTGTCCCATTGCCACTGTTTCTAACTGGTCTCCCTGCCCAAATCACCTACACAATAGGTGATTTCTCATTCCAAAAATGTGATAAAAATTACTATACCATAAGAGAGCACTGTAGAAATATATGCATATAAATGTTCTCTCTATATTTGTAAATGTGGATAGATATATATGCATATGTGTGTATGTAGATATATGTATAGCTATGGTCTGTATTGCTTAAACTATATGTGTATATATACACACTTATGCATATATACACATAATTATACACACACATATATATAGCTGTAGATACACACATACACATACATGAAGGGGGAGTGTATATGTCAGGAAGTCAGGAGAAAGAGAAAATAAGGATAGAATAAGAAAAGGCCAGATAAAAATGTAGGACACAAATATGTGTGACGTAAAGTGCGACATGGTGGCAAAGGAACCTCTCACTTATGCTCTAATTTCCTAGTGGACAATAAAAAGAAGATGAGTTGAGTTACCTAGTTTTCATTGCCAATAAGATTTTTAAAACTCACACTCTCTGATAAAGTAGAAGCAGAACATTTTTTAGCAATAAGATATGAGAAAAATGTGTCTCTTGAGATCCCTTAATGGAGGCATTGTCTGATGTAATGGACAAGACCTCAATAACATCCCTAAAGCAAATATGACAGCAAATGTATGAAAAATGCTATCTCTTAACTCAAGCTTAATACATAACAGTAAAATACAATTCAAAATACAATTTCAAAATAGATTTAAGCAATTCAGACCAATTCTGCTGCTCTCCTGTGGTCTCTCTTGATCTGAGGTCAGGGGCTGTAGATTATATGATTGTATGATTGGCATGTGCTTTAGGAAATATTTTGTAAATATTTGTTTGTATAATTGACTTCCTGTTAAAAGTTGGCCTTATGCTAAAAGACAATGAAAAACAAAAACCTTTATTCCATATCACCTAAGGTATTTTTTTAATTCTCAGGAAAAATAAGACCAGGAAAAAATTACCCCACAATGTTAACAGTGGGACTCTGGGTGGTGGGTGTGTATATTAACTTTTTTTCTTATTGCTATTCATACTTTTCTGAACATTTGAGTAGAATTACTTTGGCTTCTGTGTTGAGAATAGACTGGGGTGGGGAGAGCAGCAGGAAGGAGACCAGGCAGGAAGCTTCTTATTGGCTACATTTTCAGAAAAATGGGAAATGTATATAGTATTTATTTTTATATAAAAACTTTTTTAAAGTACCATAGACCTTGTAACTTCAACTATTTTTAAATATGAACATAAAAAGGACTGGAGGAATATATCCCAAAATGTTGCTAGTAATGGTCTCCATTTGATAAGTTGATGTATAATTTTTTCTTATCGATTATGCCTTTGTATATTTTCCAACGTTTCTACAATGCACATGTGTGAGTTTTACAGTTTGAAAATGTAAGAAAATGTGTTTCCTGAGATAACAATTCTGGAACTGTTTTAACATAAAAGGGGAGAATAATTTATCCAAAGTGTACTCTGTTTCTCCCAAAAAATCATCAATTCATTGACTTCTCATTGCCTATTAAATAAAACACGAGTCCTTTAATGTGAGTGGCGAGGCCCTTTAGGACCTTGTCTACTTCTCCAGCTCCCCACTTCTCGATTTATCTGTCAGCAACACCACACTCCCTGTAGCTCTTCTGTGCTGCAAGCCTTTATTCGTGCTGTACTCTTTCCTAGAGCACCCTCCCCTGACTTTCTTTCCCCTCCTCTCAATGCACACCTCACTTAGCTAATGTAGTCACAATTGAGCCCAGTTGTCCCCTTCTCTGGGAAACCCTCCTGAGCCTCTCTTCTCTGCACAGCCACCTCCAGTCAGTTTCCATGCGTAACACCTTCATAACCCCTATCACAGTGAAATTAAATACATTTACCTCTCTGTCTCCCCTCCAAGTGAACTATGCACGTCATTCATCTTTGCTTACCTGGCATGAGTATTGTTGAATGTCACAGAGGTGTTCCATGATCTTTCTCACACAGATTACAAGAGGATCAAAGGCCCAATTCCCCTCTGTTCTTCTCAACACAGCCTGTGCTTTATTCTGTGGAAAGGCACAGGATGTCTGACAATGATCAAAATCACTTGTGATGAGACCGTGGTAGTCACGTGAGGGGTCTCTTTCTGGGCCTATTGCTGTCCCTCCATGTTCTTGGATGCTGTATGTGAACTCACAGACCCCTGAAGCTCCAACTTCTTTATCTGATGGATGAGGCCCTTGGTGTCCAGAGGCTGTGACTTATCCCTGGCTCCAGAGCTGATGGGCTTTATTTTGTCCTTCAATTTCAGTGCATTTTCCACATCACGGATAGGTAGGCAATTCTGTATGAGAATATAATCAAGTTTTTTACTGATACATAATATTTGTGCATATATATGGAGTACACGTGTTATTTTCTTACATGCATAGAATGTGTAATGATCAACTCAAGGTATTTAAGGTGTCCATCACTTGAGTATTTATCATTTTTATGTCTTGGGAATATTTCAAGTCCTCTCTTTTAGATATTTTGATATATACATTATTGTTAACTATAGTCACCCTGCTCTGTTATCAAACATTAGAACTTATTCCTTCTATCTAACTGTATGTTGGTATGCTTTAGCCAACCTCTCCTTATCCCCCCTTCACACCCACAAAGGTTTCCCAGTCACTGGTATTGATGCAAGATAGGCAAACCCCCAAAACTGGGGCTTAGCCAGGGAGGGTTCTCGGCTTTGCCCAGGAAAGAATTCAAGGGCAAGCTGGTGGTGTCAGACAGCAACTTTTATTGAAGCAGCAGTGTACAGCAGAAGCAGAGGTACTGCTCCTTGCAAAGCAGGGCTACCCCAGAGGCAGTATGCCCAGAATGGCAGCTCAGAGGCAGTTCTGCACTCATATCTATACCCACTTTAATATATGCAAATTAAGGGGCAGTTTATGCAGAAATTTCTAGAATGAGGATAGTAATTTCTGGGTTGTCACCATGGAGAGGGGCAGTAACTACCAGGTGTTGCCATGGCAATGGTAAACTGACATGACATACTAGTGTATATGTCTTACAGAAAGCTGCTTTTGCCACAGACCTGTTTTAGCTAGTCCTCAATTTGGTCTGGTGCCTTAGCCCTGCCTTGGGAGTCATTTCTGCCTCCTACCTCAGTAGCTATCATTCTACTGTCTACATTCATGAGATTAACCTTTTAAGCTCCCATATATAAGTGACAATATGCAATATTTGTCTTTCTGGCTTATTTCACTTAAGATAACGACCTCTAGTTACATCCATGTTGCTGCAAATGACATGATTTTATTCTTTTTTATTGCCAAATAGTATTCCATTGCATATATATACCACATTTTCTTTATCCATTTGTCCACTGATGGACACTTAGGTTGATTCCATAACTTTGCTGTTGTGAATAGTGCTGCCAAAAACATGGGGTGTAGCTATCCCTTTGATATACTCATTTCCTTTCCTTTGGATAAATATCCAGTAGTGAGGTTGCTGGATCACGTAGTTCTATTTTTAGTTTTTTGAGAAATTTCCATACTGCTTTTCATAGTGGCTGTACTGATTTACATTTACCAATAGTGTATAAGAATTTCCTTTTCTTTACTTTCTCACCAACAACTGTTCATTTTTGTCTTTTTAATAATAGCCATTCTAACTGGAGTAAGATAATATCTCATTATTGTTTGATTTGCATTTCCCTAATGATTAGTGATGTTGAGCATTTAAAAATATACCTGTTGGTTATTTAATGTTTTCTTTTAAGAAATGTCTATTCATGTCATTTGGCCACTTTTTATGAGTTTATTTGTTTATTTTCTGTTGAGTTGTTTGCATTTCTTGTATATTCTGGATATTAGTCCCTTGTTTGATTTATAATTTGCAAATATTTTCTCCCATTTTATAGGTTGTCTCTTCACTCTGTTTATTGTTTCCTTTGCTGTGCAGAAACTTTTTAGTTTAATATAGTCCTTTTTGTCTATTTTTGGTTCTGTTGTCTGTGCTTTTGAAGTCTTAGCCATAAAATCTTTGCCTAGACCGATGTCTTAAAGTGTTTCCCCCAAGTACTCATCTAGCAGTTTTATAGTTTTAAGTCTTACATTTAAGTCTAATTCATCTTGAGTTTATTTTTTTGTATCTATGGTGAGAGACAGAGATCTAGTTTCATTCTTCAGCATGTGGCTATCCAGTTTTTCCAGCAATATTTATTGAATAGAGTGTCCTTTCTCCAATGTATGTCCTTGGTGCCTTTGTTGAAAGTCAATTGGCTGCAAATACATCAATTTATTTCTGGTTCTTTACTCTTTTCTGCTGGTCCATGTGTCTGTTTTGATATCAATATCATGCTGTTTTGGTTACTATAGTCTTGTAACATATTTTGAAGTTAGGTGGTATGATGCCTTCAGCTTTATTCTTTTTACTCAAGATTGTTTTGTCTATTTGGTCTCTTTTTTGGTTCCATAGAAGTTTTAGGATTTTTTTTCTATTTTTGTGAAAAATGACAATGGTATTTTGATAGAGACTGCATTGAATCTGTAGATGTGTTTGGGTAGTATGGTCATTTTAATGATATTAATTATTCCAACCCAAGAACATGGGATGTCTTTCTATTTGTTTGTGTTCTCTTTAATTTCTTTCATTAGTGTTTTGCAGTTTTCCTTGTAGAAATATTTCACTTAACTAGTTAAATTTATTCCTAGGCTTTTAGTTAGTTTTTTCTGTAGCTATTGTAGATAGAATTACCTTCCTGATATCTTTTTCATCTAATTCATTATGGGGGTATAGAAACACTACTGATTTTTGTTTGTTGATTTTGTATTCTGCAACTTTGCTGAATTTATTTATTACCTCTAAGAGCTTTTTGGTTTTCTAGATATAAAATCGTATCATCAGCAAAGAGGGACAATTTACTTCCTCTTTTCAAATTTGGATGCCTTGTATTTTTCTTTCTTGCCTGATTTCTTTGGCTAGGACTTCCAATATTGTGTTGAATAGGAGTAGTGAAAGTAGGCGTTCTTGTCTCTTTTCAGTTCTTAGAAGAAAATCTTTTAGTTTTTCCCCATGTTAGCTGTGGGTTTGTCATATATAGCTGTTATGTTGAGATATGCTCCTTCTATGCCTAGTTTATTGAAAGATTTTAATGAAGTTATATTGGATGTTAATAAATGTTGTTTTCTGTGTCTGTTGAGATGATCATGTGGATTTTGTCCTTCATCTGTTGATGTAATGTATCACATTTATTGATTTGCATATGTTGAGCCATCCTTGCAACCTGGGATAAATCCCACTTGATCATGGTGTATTGTCTTTTTGATATGCTGTTGCATTTTGTTTGCTAGTAATTTGTTGAGGATTTTTGTCTCTATGTTCATCAGGGATATTGGCCTGTAGTTTTCTTTTTTGTCACATCCTGGTCTGGTTTTGTATCAGGGTGGTGCTGGCATTATAGATTGAGATAGGGAGAATCCCTTCTTTTTTAATTTTTTTGTAACAGTTTGAGGAGAATTGGTATCAGTTCTTTGTAAGTTTGGTAGAATTCAGCAGTGAATTTATCTGGTCCTGAGCTTTTGTTTTTTTGGAAGAATTTTTATTACTGATTCAATTTTTCTACTCATTATTGGTCTGTTCAGGCTTTTTATTCTTTCCTGATTCAATCTTGGTAGGCTGTATGTGTCCAGAAATAGATCCATTTCCTCTAAATTTTCCAGTTTGTTAGTGTATAGTTGTTTATAACAACGTTTGATGATCTTTTGTATTTCTGTGGTATCACTTGTAATGTCTTCTTTTTTGTTTCTAGTTTGGTTTATTTGGGTCTTCTCTCTTTTTTCTGATTAATCTAGTTAGGAGTTTATTGATCTTGTTTATCTTTTCAAAAAACTAACTCTTCATTTAACTGATTTTTGATATTGTATTTTAGTCTCTATTTTGTTTAGTTCTGCTCTGATCTGTATTATTTTTGTCCTGCTATTAATTTTGGGTTTGGTTTGTTCTTGCTTTTCTAGTTATTTCAGGTGCATCATTAAATTGTTTATTTGAAATCTTTCTACTTTTTAAATGTAGGAGTTTATTGCTGTGAATCCTGTCTTCACAATGCGTTTGTTGTATCTGATAGGTTTTGGTATGTCATGTTTCTATTTTCATCTGTTCCAGTAATCTTTTTTATTTTCCTCTCAATTTCTTCTTTGACCCATTGGTCATTCAGGAGCATGTTGTTTAATTTCCATGTATTTGTACAGTTTCCAAAGTTCCTCTTGTTATTAATTTCTAGTTTTATTCCATTGTAGTCTGAGAAGATATTTAATTTGATATCAATTTTTAAAAATTTGTTGAGACTTTTCTTGTGTGCTAACATATGGTCTATCCTGGAGAATGTTTCATGTGCTGATAAGAATAATGTATATTCTGTAGCTATTGGATGAAATGTTCTGTAAATATATGTCAGGTCCATTTGGTCTAAAGTGCAGTTTAAATCCAAAGTTTCTGTCTAAATGATTTGCCTAATACTGAGAGTGTGGTATTGAACTCTTCAACTATTTTTATATTGAATTCCATCTCTCCCTTTAGATCTAATAATATTTGCTTTGTATACCTCAGTGCTCTGATGCTGCATGCATGTATGTTTAGAATTGTTACATCCTCTTGCTGAATTGATCCCTTTATCATATAATAACCTTCTTTTACTCTTTTTACTGTTTTTGCCTTAAAGTCTGTTTTAACTGATATAAAGGTAGCTACTCCTGCTCTCTTTTGGTTTCCATTTGCACGGAATATACTTTTCCATCTCTTTACTTTCAGTCTATATATGTCTTTACAGGTGAGACATGTTTCTTTGTAGGCAGCATATAGTTAGGTCATTTAAAAAATTTCACTTAGCCATTCTATATCTTTTAAATGGAAAATTTAATTCACTTACATTCAAAGTTATTATTGATATGTCAGGGTTTATTTTTATCATTTTATTAATTGATTTCTGGTTGTTTTGTATATCCTTTCTTTCTCTCTTACGTTTTATCATTGTCACTTGGTAGTTTTCTGTGGTTATAACATTTGCATCCTTTCTATTCCTTACTTGTGTGTTTGCTCTACCAGTGGGTTTTATATTAACGCTTTTGTGTGTTTTTATGGTAGTAGATATCGTCCTTTCACTCCCAGGAATAGGACTCCCTTAGGCATTTCTTGTGGGATTAATCTAGTGGCGGTGAATTCCCTCAGCTTTTGTTTACCTGGGAAAGACTTCATTTCCCCTTCACTTATGAAGTATAACTTTGTATTTGGATGTCTAAATGTCTTAGTAGACTTGGGAAGTTTTCAGCTGTTGTTTCATTAAATAAGCTTTATATTCTTTTGGTTTTTTTCTTTCTTTCTGGCAATCAAATATTTGCATTTTTGCTGTCCAAATACAGGAAGCTCAGAGATCCCTAAACAGATGCAATTTTAAAAGATCTTCTCCATGGCATATTGTAGTCAAAATGTGAAAATTCAAAGACAAACAGAAAATGCTAAAAACAGCAAGAGAAAAGCATCTAGTCACTTACAAGTGAACCCCCATCAGACTAACAGTGGATTTCTCAGAAGAAACCTTAAATGCCAGGAGAGCATGGGATGATATATTCAAAGTGCTGAAAACAAACCTGCCAGATAAGGATACTATACACAGTAAAGTTATCTCTTCAGGCCTCCCAGTGATACATGCAGGTGTTGGTTGTAGTAGGAAGGGGTGGGGTGATCCCCAGGCCCCTAGTGGAATGTTCAGGTGGGGGTGGCAGTGACTGTGTGGCATCCCCACTGCTGGAGAGGGCAGGGTTGTTTTCAGTGGCAGCAGCCACAGGCAGGCAGCTGGGATGCATGAACTTCAGCCCCAGGTGGTGGCTTTGGGTGGAACAGCCTGTCTGTAGAGCACTTGCCTATGTGTAGCAGTCTCGCTACTGTGAGTGGTCATGCAATGACCCCAATGGAGGCAGCCAGCAATGATGGCAGCTACCTATGGGATGTCAATGGGGCTCCAGGGATGTGAAGATGAAGGGGCTGTTGAGCCCCAAGGCAGGATGCAGTTTGGCAGTGGCTGAGCTCTCAAAATGGCACCATGCTGAAGCTGCTTAGGACTTGAGGTGTGCAGGGGGCCCAATGTGAGCTCCATCTCTGGCGCAATGCCACTGTGCAGTTTCCAGGCAGCTCTCTAGGTTTGTCTCAGGGCATGGGAGAGTCGAGGGGCTCTTCCATGGCTCGGAATGCAGGAGCTCAGAGTGGGAATGTGGAGTGTTGGGTGTTGGGGATCACTTACTTACCTTTTACCTGCATTGAGAAGCCTCTTCTGGTTCCCAGCTGATCCCAGCTGAGCAAGCTGCCTGGCTTCCTTCTCCTTCCTTTTTTTTTTTTTTTTTTTTTAGCCCCTCTTTCCTTGCCTTAGATGTTTCCTGACACTTTTCTGTTGAATTCCAGTTTTATCTCTTAGATGATCTATTCAAAGTGTGATTATCTACTTGCAATTTTGGTTCTTCTTTGTGGAAGTGATGAGTACCAGAACCTTTAGTCAGCCGTCTTAACCCCCCTCCCAACAATCGGGTTTTTATCTGCTCTGAATATGACATTCAAATGCTAGCTCTCCTCTTACTAACTCAAATCTCTTTGTCACTACAAAGCAACCAGTTTCCAGTTTTATCCAAGGTTTCTTCTGGTGGCAAAGACTGCTTTGTGTTCACCAGAACCCATTTCCCCTTCTTCCTGGGCCCACAGCTACACTGCCTCCCTTTCAGTTCGGTGTGGCCATGAGACTGAGTTCTGGCCGATAACATAGGAGTGGAAGTGAGGAACATCCTTTCCAGGCCTGGCCCATAAAAAGCTCCCATTGAAAACTCACCATTCGCTCTCTTCCTATGTCTTCCTGCAGGTTGCTGACATCTAGGATGACTTGGGAAGTTACACGTTGAGTACAGAAGAGCCTTTCTCAGCCCAGGTTCCTGAATGTTATGTGTGAAGCAGAGCACTCCTGCTCTCATAACCAATTAGTGACTGGACAAGAAATAAACTTCTCTTGTCTTAAGCCTTAGAAATTTTGGATTTGTTAACACTTCGAATTGCCTTAACTTTTATGACATGCCACACATTTTCCATGCTCTGAACAGTGAAAGACTCATAGAATGTAGTGTTTAACATGATCTCTTTGTGAAGTGATCATCAATGTAGGATTCCTCCAAAGAAGAAACAATGACAACTCATCCCATCCTCACTGATCCTTTTATTGCTTTTATTGTGTGAACCTAGGATAAAAAATTATTATTATTTTTTTCGATAGGTTCTTGCTTTGTCCCCCAGGCTGGAGTGCAGTGGCGTGACTGTGATTCACTGGAATGTCTACCTGCCAGGTTCAAGTGACCCTCCCACCTCAGCCTCCTGAGTAGCTGGGACCACAGGGGTGTGCCACTATGCCTGACTAATTTTTGTATTTTTTTGTAGAAATGAAGTTTCACCATGTTGCCCGGGGTCTTTAACTCCTGAGTGATCTGCCTGCCTCAGCCTCCCAAAGTGCTGGGATTGCAGGCCTGAGCCACTGTGCCTAACCTATCTTCTAAGTACACACCTACTAATTGCTGCAAAGATACTTACTTTCATTCTAAGTGTGGATTTGGCAAAGAGCCAGATCGTAAATATTTTAGGCTTTGTGATCCACATATAGCTTCCGTCACCTATTCTCCTTTGTTTGTTGTTGTTGTTTTTTAAACAAAACTTTACAAGTATAAGAACCGTCCTTAACTCATATGCCTTACAAAAATGGGCTGCAGGCTAGATTTGGCCCACGGGTCATGGTTTGTACCTTACAAAGTAGGCAACAGGCCATATTTGGCACAAAGGACCCCTATACTGTGAGATCAAACAACCTCATACTCCAATGCCTTTGTAGGCCTCTTCTAAATAGTGCATATTCCATAATGTATTGCAAATGAAGCTTCTCAGGCCCACATGTTCCATTGGCGGAACAGCTCCTCCAGCACAGGAATTCTTGCTCACTCCTCTTTCCTCAGGGCCACAGCACAGAGAGAATACTCTTGAGGGATTTTGGTAAGTGAGTCAATACTCAAAGTGTGTGTGTTCTAGAAGGTATTATTTCTAATATTTCAGAACTTGGGTGTCACAAAGGTGGCCGTTTTGGGAAACATATACTATCTACTGAATTACTTTCTCTAGCCAGTTCCTCAGAGGGGATGGACTGTGTATATTAAGATAGGGGAGAACGGGAGTAGAAGGAGAACAGGCTTTGAAGTCAAAAGACCCCAATTTAAATCCTAGTCCCACCATTTGCAAGGCATGTGTTGTTGGAATACCTTGGCTGAGAGTCTTTCTGGGCTTCCATTTCCTCATCGGAATAAAGAGGGTCATTTACTACACATAACAGCTCTATCTCAAGGGCCAAAACAATGTTTGCCATATAATAGGTGTTCGGAAGATAGCAGTGACGGTAAATGTATTAACCCTAGAGACTCCTGCCGCAAGATCAAGGAGATTCCAAGAGACCCCAGAAATGCAGCCTTTGAGCCAATATCTTACTAATTGTCATCAGGCTTGGGCTAGAGCAATGGGTCTCAACCAAGGGTAATCTTTCACCCCACAGGGCATGTGGCAATATCTGGAGACAGTCATTTTGTTTGGAAGGGGTGATGCTATTATCTGGTGGGTAGGGGCCAGGGAAATTGCTAAACATCCTACATGGCACAGGACAGCCCCACACAACAGAGAATATTCCCATCCAAAATGCCAATAGCACGTAGGTTGAAAAACTCTGGAGTGGATGAATGAGTTCTCTCATTTGCCCATAATGGGAAAGATTCCCAGAGCCTCCCACAGGGATCTGCGGGGTCCCCTGGGCATGTCACAGCCCAGGAAAGTCTTACCTTGAACAACTCTGATCTTGGCCATCCAGTAGGAAAATCCAGTGTAGGTACCATCCGAGGAAGGGGTCAGCTCTGGGTACCAGAAAAGTGGAATGTCTTGAAGGAGAGATGGAGGCAAAGGTCATCACCGTGTCATCAGATTATCTAGAGCAGAGTAGAGATCTTGTACTAAAGAAAACCATCATTAAGCCCAAATCATAGATACTGGAAGAGGAAAGGCTTGGTCAGAAGTGGTGACCAGGTTTTGCTCTGTCATATACTTTTACCTCCTCTTCAGGGAATGATAAATGATAATGTGGCCTTCTACTTTTGTCTTTGCAAAAATTAAAAATGAATGTTTAATGAGCTACTGCTTTCTGCTAGACCTCTAACCTTCAGGGATGGTTTTCAGCCTGAGCATCTCAGCTTTCCACTTCACTGGGCTCCAGACTCCTCATGGGGAGTGTCTTTTTTCTCTATAGGAAGAATCCTGATGTTGGAAAATCTCTGCAGGGATCTGGCACCTGGTTTAGGACAACAACAAAAAGATCTCTAAAATTCAACCAACAAAGGTCCAAAGGAACTAGGTTGGAACTTCTGTTCCTGAGTAAATCTTTAAAATTTTGGTAGAGATAAATGTGGAATAATGTAAATAAAGCCACCTTTCATTCATTTTCTAGAGATTAATTAAGCACCTGTCAATGCCAAGCAAGTAAGTACAGAGAGTACAGAAATAAAGACAAACGAGTGAAAGAATGCCTTGGTTTGCAAGGATGACACATGAACAGACAATTACAATTCAGGGCTATGGGTGTCGAGTGGGGGTGCACTTACATCAGGTCGCTGGTCAGAGAGTGAGAGGAGGGGCTTGGAGACTTTCCAGAGTAAAGGAAAACTGAGCTGAATCCTGTGTTTTTCTCCCCTCTTCTTTCATTTCCCTTTTTCTAGATGTCTCAATATTGGCTCCATTCACTGGGAAAATGTGTACATACCTCCAACTTCTCTCAAAGGAGTTCCTTACACTTAAAAGAAGGAAGGAAAGAAGGAAACCTATGGCAGACCCTGTTGGGTCCCTGCCTACATCAGGGTCCCTTGGCCCCTACCGTTGCCATACTGGTGACCCTCACCACCAGCAACTGCAGGTCTCCACACTGGGGACTTTTTTGGTTAAGGGATCTGCTGAGCCTGCAGATAGGGCAGGGCAGGCAATGCCTGGGGGTTGATGTCCCTGGACTAACCCTGAGCCAAAGGTGAAGAAGACTTCATGTTTCAATGTCCTGGCTTCCTTGCCACTAGGGAGGGAGAGCTCTAGATGCATCCTACACCATCTCCCAGATGTCCCCAGTGGGATGGCGCCTCAGCTGCTCACAGCAGTAACCTACACTGCTATACCATGGTAGCGTACCACACCCTACATTAGCTTCCCTCCTCACCACCTGGCTGGTGCTCCCACTCAAATCCCAGCCTAAGAATCTGCTTTCGGAGAGCCCAGATGAAGGCAAAGCAAGTGCTGAGTAAATACACTTGCTCATCCAGGGTTTAACCAGTGTGTGCACCTTTGGTAAGACTGTTCACATGTCATAGGAAATAGATTTTTGGCCTTCAAGTAAACCCATGCAGTTGCAAATGGCTTGAAGACTTAGGGGGCTATCCTGAAATAAGGTCACTGACATGCCCAGGTGCCGGGAAGCTCCTCTGGGGCCAGAGGCACTGATGTGCAGGTTGTGGGGGCCTATTCACAGTGCTCTGCTGGACATTTCCCAGCTGAGGCAGACCCAGGCAGAAACTGTCCCAGAGACCCAATTGATCTGCTGGGGCATCGCGGCTGGCACTTCATAATCCAGCATCACAGCATATGATTCGGATATGACCCACCACAGTAGGTACAATTTTCATTTCCTTCCTCATGTCCCCACTGGCAGTCCAAAAGTCATTTATGGCTAGTTTCAAAATCCATGATATTTTTGCAAATGTTTATGTGCATAATGTGTGTGTCTATGTATGGTGCTTTATGATCTAATGATGCTTTAATTAAGTTGATATTCAAATAAGCTTGAATTCTCAGAGCTCCCTGGAGATGCAGCTTATGGAATAGCAGATGATGGGGAAGGATAGTCCATGATTAAAACATCACATGGGATAAATGCCAAAGCAAAGGTCCCACCCCAGGAGAGTTATGAATTGACTGCACCGCTTCTCATCTCCACCCCCTCAATCATTGCTGATGGGCAGAGGGAAACCATTTTCTGCCATCTGGTTTTTGCAAAAGTCAGGCAGTAAGCTCCTTGGGACAAGGATCTTATCTTGTATAGTTCAACAATGAGCACATGGCTGTGTACACTCCAAAAGCCCTATTAGTACTGAATGCAATCATAAAAATAGCCCAACCGTGGACCTTCGATAACGTCCCTGCCGTCGGCTCAAACCTGAGTCACTGTGTCTGAAGGGCACTGGGTTCCCCAGGCTGATGCCTTATGACTTACAAATAAGCAGCACATCAGCTGATAAAGTGACTGGGCCATTATAAAAATCATACAGTAGTTCCTAGGATGCCAGAAAAACAGCCGTTAAACAACAACTTATTTTTCCCTTGGTGTTTGATTTTGGCAATGTGTTCTTTTCAAATGAGAACTATGCCAAACATCTTGTATGAACCCTTCTAGTCAGCAAGTATGTGAATGACCTCTCTATGGCATGCCAGAAGCAGGGCCAGGAGAGGGGAAAGGAAGAGTTGTGGCTGAAGCATGCTGGGCTCAGAACCCTTGCTCTGCAGGCGGAAGCCACCTCAGAGCAGCATCCAGAAGCTGGGCATGAACGGAACAGCTCACAGTGCACAGCAAGGTGTCACAGCCCTTCTAGGCTCACTTGTACAGGCCCCCTCGTACAGATCTCTGTGATTTTCAGGGTTGGCAGCCACTGATGTTTGCTCCCCGAGGAAAAGTGCACCAACTTTAGGTGAATGCCTCATTGTTTGGGGATCTGGAACTGAATTCTCCTGCAGGACTAGCTATGAAATCACTAGAGGACAACAGGAGAAAGCTCATGTAGTGCAGCTTGTGTTGGTGTGGAAATGGACAGATATGCATGCCATCCTGGGCACATGTGTCCATGCCATGTGGGAATGGTCAGGGGATGAACACAGCAGTCTGGGGCTAGAGGCAGACCTGGCACCAGGATTTCCTGAGGAAGAAGTCCCCCTCCTGAGTACGTAACTTCTTTTCCCAGGCTCTCAGAAGTAGCAACACGCTGATGCCCTGCAGCCTTTCTGGGTAGTAAGCAGGGCACGTGGATGCTGGAAGCTGAGCTCTGTGCTGGGCCAGCCTGAGGGCAGTGAGAGAAAAATCCCTGCAGGAAAGTCATTCCCCAAAACAAGCCCATCCCAGTTCCCAGCCAGCTTCTGGGGCTCCAGCCCTCAGCGCCAACTCCATGTTCATATCTGATGGCAGGGAAATCATCTTTCTTAATTCCCAGGGCAAATTGTTCCTAGGAAAGAGCAGAATCTCAGGAGGAAATCACATCATCCGCGAAGGGAGAGCCAGTTCCTTTGTACTATTTTTCAGGGCTGCCTTTGGAGCCAATAATCTGTCATTCCTTGAATAAACAAGCACCTTATCATATCACAAACATTTATTTAACCCTTTTCTCCTGCACTTTTACCAGCAGGGAGAAGGAAAGCAGTTACCAGGGCAGCCAGAGCCCGTGGCAGAAATGCCAAATTCCCTGAACATTACACTCAATCTGTAAAGTGTCAGCCGGCCCTTTTCTGTGCCTCCATAAAGAACCAGTCACCCAGATTCAAGTATCACATTCCGGCCTCCCACTTCCACATCGTCCCTGCCCCAGCCTCAGCCCCATCTCCATTAATACCCCACGGCCTTTTGCAGACGGGCCCTTAATTCTGTCCAGTGGAGTCTGGGCTAATTTGTTAGTTTTTTTTAGGGGCTGATGGGGGGAATAGAAGGGGGTGGAGGGAAAGGCAAAAGAGTGTTTACATTTCTCCTTTTAATGACAATACACTTGACAGAGCTGTGAGTCCCAGCATTTTGAAATGTGTGTGTGTGTGTGTGTGTGTGTGTGATTTTTTTAAAAAAGGCATATTCTTTGACTCTGACATCACAGGAAAATGGAATGAGCAAAGTATGTAAATTTCTCCAAGCTCTCACAATCTCCATTTTCTCTCGGTGGATGGATTTTGTTTTTCTTTTCTGGTGTTGCTCCCACACAATGGGGCCAAATCTTGTTCAGGACAAAGAAACATATAAATAGAATATGCATGTGGTATGCACGGGAACTCTTGGAGACCAGAGAGAGACTGTTTGGACGGGCGTCTGAGGGCTGCTGGGGGAACCTTGGGGTCTTGGCCTGAAGAGCTTGACAGGCAGTGTCTGTCCCCAAAGTGACAAGTCACAAATTTCAAAATCATTCTTATTCTCTGGGAAACACTAAGAAACCCTGGAATGGGTACAAATTTAAAATGAGAATGTGAAATATCTTTGTGTGAGTGCATCAGATGTAAGATGTCAGTCTGCCTAAGATATTGGATGTGTTTTACAGAGCTGATGGGGTGGGTTTTCTTTTTGATTCACCACGAACAATGCTAAGTCCCGTGCAGCATGTCACCCTCTGCATCTGCATCATCTCAGTGACATCCAGGTACTCGCTGAAGCTTATATCTTTCCTGTATTATGGATTTGCAGTTGTTTCCGTGTCAATCATCCTCCAACCAAACTCTCCCCTCTTAAAAACTGCATACTATAGCTCTAGCCAAAAAGACTTATCAGCGCAAGTTTGAGCAAACTAATGTGTGCAGACCCTGAGTGGTTATTTTTGTTTCCAAGTCTGGACATAGAATCACTTGTTCAATTTCCTGCTGGGTTATATCAAGTGGTTTTAACATGTAAATCTCTGATAAGGAAACTGACTAATTTATGTAGATTACCTATCTGAATTGCTGTCAGGATTGCCTTAATTTTTTCTGCTTCCTTTACTTCTCCACTTTTTTCTCAGTTATCATTATTACCATTACCAGGACTATCAAGTACAACCTTATTCAGTATATGTTTAGAAAATGTTCTTACTAAAACTTAAAAAAAAAAAAAAACAAACCAAAACAAACAAAAACCCTCTGCATTCCTGAAGTGTGTGTGGGAGTTCTGTTGGTTTGGATGTCTGTGCTTTACAACCCGAATTCAAAATATATAGCCTCTCAGACTCCGTCACGTCCTTGACAATCAATCAGAAGATTGTTATTTGTTTTAATAAAAAAATTTTTTAAATGAGAAATGATCTGAACTACTTCCATTTTATTTCTATTCCTTAACCAGCCTCACCCTACTTCAGCTGATGGAGCTTCCCTAATCTCTAAATTGAAATCCTACAAGCTGCTTGAGCACTAGATTCTAGAACCTGCTCTGGCTATAACATGAAGTAAGTTGATCCCTGTGGGATTTTCCATGCAGTAGCTTGATCAAAGCTACTGGTTCCCACCCAAACCTTGCCAAAGGAACACCAAATTGAACCACCATCCACCAAGAAAGCACCGCCATAAGAACCGAAAGTCAGGTGAGTGATCACAGTACCTGTGTTTAACACCATAGCAAGGAAAGAGGCACCGAAGAGAGAAGGAAAGACAGTGTTGAATCGCCGACACCACCCTGCCCCCATCCCCTGGCAGCAGCTGTGTGGCAAGGAGAGAGAATCAAATAATTGTTAATTCTATGCCCAAATACACAGACCGGGGTAGTGTCTTAGTCTGTTCATGCTGCTATAACAAAATACCACAGACTAATTTATAAACAACAGAAATTTGTTTTTCACAGTTCTGGAGGCTGGGAAGTCCAAGATTGAGGTGCTGGCAGATTCTGTGTCTAGTGAGGGCTGCTTTCTGCTTCCAAGATGGCACCTTGTTGGTTCAACTTGTGAAAGAGATGGAAGGGCAAAAGGGACCTAGCTGGTTTTCCCCAGCCCTTTTATAAGGCACTAATCCCATGTATAAGGGCAGAGCCCTCATGGCCTAATCACCTCCTAAAAGCCCCACCTCTTAATGCTGTTGCCTTGGGGATAACGTTTCAATGTTATTTTGTGAATTTTGGAAGGGACACGAACATTCAAGCCATAGTAGGAAGACTGAGTCAACGTAAACCTGTACAGTAATCTCCCTTATCTGCAATTTCACTTTCCAAGGTTTCAGTTATCTTCAGTCATCCATGGTCCAAAAATATTAAATGAAAAATTCCAGAAATAAACAATCCATAAATTTTAAATTGCGTGCCATTCTGAGCAGCATGATGAAATCTCTCGTCATCCTGCCCAGGTCGTGAATCATGCCTTTGTCTAGCATATCCACACTGTAGAAACTCCCCACCCTTAGTCACGTAGTAGTCATCTCAGTTCTCACATGGAAAAAGCATGTATATGTAGGGTCAGTACTACTCGAGGTTTCAGGCATCCACTGGGAGTCTTGGAATGTATCCCACCACTGTAACCAATATCTGATGCTATTCTCACACCAAGCTGGTAAACCTGGCCTAAACAAAGTCCCAAGCTGCCCCCAGACTTGTGAGCTAGGGCTTTTGTCTAGAAACAATCTTTAGTGACCCAAAGTCAAAGCTTAGGTATCCTGTTGACTGGGCACAGCAGTAGAACCCATCGATTCTGGAACATGGACCTCTAACCAGGTAGGGTTCTGCTTCCTTGTTAGGTGCCTTGAGGAATGTGGGGCCAGGAGGGTCCTTCAGGCCTCTCCCTACACCCCAGTCCCACCCCAGCCCCCTCCTGCTGCTCCTGCAACTGCCCTACTCTCTCAGAAGCCTTGTGCTTCAGAAGTGTTTTAAGACAAGAGAGTGTGAGACTAAATGCAAACTGGCTTCAAAAATGACCATTGTTTGTATCCACTGGGAATCCTTCAAGACCTTTCCCTCCCCTCCCTTCTCCCCACGGTGAACTTTAAGCATTTTTATCCATGGAGACTAAAGACAAAGTACTGTGTCTGGCTTCTCTTCTCTTTTCCAGCCAGCCCACTTGCCAGTCTGGCTTCTCTCATCTTTGTTTGGATGCTCTTCTTCATGACTCCTCGCCAATGCACAGATGTAAACTATTGTCTGATTATTAAAAGAAAAACACAAAACACAAAAAAAGCACACATGCCTTCAGTATTAATGACCATAGAGCTGTCTGCATAAGGTGAAGTCTGTGGTCCTGAGCAGACCACAAGCCATCAGCCCCTGCTGCTCCAGGAACTTGTGCTTTTCTCCTAGGTTTTATTAAAAACAAATTTAGGCAAACACAACAGGCTCAGAAAGGAGCACCACTGTGCCCTTGAAACTTTGCTGGGCAGCCTCCAGTGGCAAGCCTTGTCTTTGTCACCTCCTCCCAGTGAAGTTCACTATCTTTTGGCCCCCCTCAGAACTGCTGCCCCATACTGTCCACCTCAGCCTAGTAGCCAGAGACCTCGTGTTTGGTCTTTGCCCTCAACAAGACACTTCTAGCCACACTGAGTCATTGCTAGCTTGTTGGAAAGGTGAGAGCACTGGGTGGAGAGTCAGAGGCTGGCTTCCCTCCTACCCCTGCTGATAGGTTGCATGATCCTGAGCAAGTTTCTTCTCCCTGCTCAGTATTCTTGCCTGCAAACTAAGAGGGCTGGGCTAGACACATTCCTTCCATTTTTCCTTAAGCAAATATTTATTTAGCTCCTGCTCTGTGCAAGACACCGAGGATGGAACTGAAAACAGGACAAACAAGGTCCTTGCCCTCATGTAGTATATGGAACAGCAGGAGAAAGTTAAAAGAAAGTAAAAGAAGACACTCTGAGCATCCTTGTATCTCCAGCAACCTTCAAATGTGTCACTGAGAACAGCCGAATGTGCTGTCGTTCTGATTTATTGGGGATCAAAGTCTTTAACTAAAGATGTGGGATTCTTGTATGGATTTTCACACATCAGCTTCAGGAAATAAGTAATAAGGAGGAGTTCATGACCCTGAAATCCCCCCTCAATGGATACCTGCTACACTTCTCTCCTGAAAGCCAGGTATCTGCAGCTGTCATCCCACTTGCTACTTTAACTGAAGGAATTTTCAGAAGCAGCAGCCAAACATGACACACCAGCAGCCTGTAGCTCCACCCTTCAGTGGAACTGTTATTTTTAGGCCTCTCCTCTCTTGTCACAAGCATCTACATACCTCCCTGGGTGACTCATGTTTGTGGATAGCACCAAGCACACGTGACTTTTTCAATGTGGGGCTGGCTTATTTTGACAAACCCACTCTCCGTTCCATCTCTACTTGCAATACTCAGAATACTGTAGTGTGGGAAAAACTGTGGGACTTCCAGTGCTCCTCAAATGTGTGCCATGCAGCAGGAAAACTACCCCCAGAGAAGCTGGGACAAAGCTGTCCATGAGCCAATGAGTTACTAGTCATAAAGTTGAACATATTGTTTCCATATTGCTTTGCTCCACATTCGTAGCCATATGACTTGACCCCAGAGTTTCAGGTACAGTAAAATGCTCTTATTCATTATGGGGCCATGTTACCATGCATCAAGGTGATATCCTGAAAAATCACACCTCACATGGCTGTTAGACACTTGTGTAAGACGTGGGCTCTCAAAACAGCACATACCGAAATTGGAGTACTTCTAGAAGGTGTTGGGCCTGAATCATCCATTTCTATCAGAATTTTTAGCAATTTTTTGGTCATAGAAAAAAATATTTCTGAGTCTATATTTCAGGCAATATGACAAAAAGGACAAAAACATTGCCATGTGGACCCAGGTCAGTGGCCTATCTGTGTGGTGCCAGGAGGCAGAGAAGATGAAGTTTCCCTTTCAGATTCAGCAAGTGACTCCTTTCGTCATAAATCCATTCGGTGGTGTCATGCCACACCTCTCTCTTATTACCTGTACACCCACTTTTTGTTTGTATATTGGTTTGTTTGTTTTGTTATTTCTGGTCTTCAATGATCTCAGGCTCTTTCTTATCACAAGGTATCCTCAAGGGCTATTACCTCTGCCCAAAATATATTCACCCTGGAATATATTCTTCACCCAGCTAACTCATTCTGGTCTTAGTTTAAAGACCTTTTCTCCAGAAAAGCTGTGTCGACCCCTTTGGGGGAAGGTGGATTTCTCTGTTTTTTCTTTCATAGCATCCTATATCTTTCCACTGTGGCAGTTCTCACAGCAGTATTTAAATGATTATTTGTTAAAATGACTTGCTGAATACATGTCTTTCCCACCAGATTTTAAACTTCATGAAGGCAAGCCTTCTTTATTCACTTCTACTGTTCCAATGTCCAGCACAACACTTTGCACGTAAGAGTATTTTTCTCAAAACCTGTGTCAATTTGATAAGTATCCTTCTTCAAATTTACATAGAAGGAGGACAACTGAAAAGCAATGTGGTCCATTCCCTGTTATATAAACACGTGTGTTGCACTGCAGAAGCAGAAAGAAAGCAGCAAGTGTTTCTGCCCGGAATCACATGAGGCAAGACTCAACAGAAGATGGAACATTTAAGCAGGCCTTGAGGTAAGAATAGTTCAGGTGAAAAGAGTGGAAAAAGGAATTCTGAGGAGATTTGATACAAAAAAAGGCAGAAAGATATGAACATATAGAATGAATTCCAGGGAAGGCACAGCAGTCAACTGTGGTAGAATACAGCATGACTGTAGAGGAATACAGGAAAGGGATCTGGAAAAATGCTGGTGGACTTGTCTTTTATTCTAGAGACTTTCTATTTGAAGCAAACTGAAATCAAACTTCAAATACATGAACATTAAATCATGAGTTTGTGCTCTAGAAAGTTCTCTCTAGTGGCAGAATGACAGATAGATTAGAGTGGGGAGGGGGTGAAAACGATTTGGAAGGTCATTGCAGTGATCCAGGCAAGAGGTGACCTGGCCCTAAACTCAGGCAGGTGGCTGGCATGGCATGAGGGACAGGTGCAAGAGAGAAAGTGGCAGTACAACCTGGAGGGCTTGGTATGTGTTATGGTTTGGCTGTGTCCCCACCCAAATCTCATCTTGAATTGTAGCTCCCGTAATTCCCATGTGTTGTGGGAGGAACCCAGTGGGAGACAATGGAATCATGGGGGCAGTTCCCCCCATACTGTTCTTGTGGTAGTGAATAAGTCTCACGAGACCTGATGGTTTTATAAAGGGAAACACCTTTCACTTGGCTCTCATTGTCCCTTTGTTGGCCACCACGTAAGATGTGCCTTTCACCTTCCGTCATGATTGTGAGGTCTCCCTAGCCACGTGGAACTGTGTGTAAGTTCATTAAACCTATTTTTCTTTATAAATTACTCAGTCTCGGGTATGTCTTTATCAGCAGCATGAAAACGGACTGATACAGCGTGATTAGATATGGGATGTGAGGACAGAAAGTGCGCCAACTATCACTAAGGACCCTGGCATGGGCACTGGCTGACTGACCATGACATTAGCTGTGACAAGGGTATGGGCGGTGTGGGTTGGGGAATCAGGAGTGAGATGAGGGAGGGGAGCTCATTAGGTTTTGAACAAGATGGGCTTGGTGTGTGTCCTTGACATCTTGGTGCAAATGTCAAGAGTAGTGTTTCTCAACCTTCCTTTCATGATCACCCCTTCATAAGGAGCCTTTTAAGAATTTTTTTTCCTAATTGCCCTGCCCCCAGGAGACTCTGACATCACAGATATACCATATGTCTGTTGATATACTATATGTAGTCTGTACTTGTACATTAAAGGAACAGAATTTTTTGCTCCTTCTTCCAAGAACCCATTTTTGCCCCCTGGGGGTTAGTATTACACCCATGAGAAAGCATGGGCAGGGATTGGGAGGTGGGCTGCCACAATCCCAACTGCGAGAATAAGGACGGCTTCATGCAGAGGAAGAGCATTTGCAAGGCACTTTAAAGATTGGGTTAAAAACAGTTTTTAACTGAAAACTAAAATTAGAGATAAAATTCACAGAGAGAGGGTGCTTTGGATTTGGGGATACGGGTGCATTGCAAATGGCATGTGGAGCTACAGGAGCAGGCTACAGCACCAGGAGAGAGGGACTCCAGGAAGAAGACAGAAAAGGAGGGCAGAGCCTGGGGGCCACCAGGAGTGCTGTCAGCAAAGTGGAGACAGGGCATCCCAAGGGGAAGGGGCCCTGGATAGCAGCGTCACACCGTGAGGAGAGAGCCTTGAGAGAGAGAAGGGGTAGCGGTATGGCCACAGGAGAAGAGCTGACAGGATCGGTCACTGCAACAGATCAAAGCTCAGGAATGAGCCTCTGATGGGCTGTTTGAGAAGAAAGAAGGGTGGACCATTTGAGTAGAAGCCTAAATAAAGATGAATGTGCATGTCAGGAGGTTTAAAACACTTGCAAAGATTTTACAGGAACAAAAGGACAGAAATTCAAATCGTGTATGGTATTACAGAACTGTGGTTTTTTAAAGTTCTTTGGATGTTTCTGTACTTTATCTGTCTTTTCGTTTCAGGCCAACAGCTGCCCATTGTCACTGGTTCTACCTTTAGCAGCATCTCTCTCCTCTCCTGATATCCTACAAGCCTGGAAACCTGGGACTGTTCAGAGCCCCGAGAGCTAGAATAAGTGTGCCATGTAATGTGGATGTGAGTAGTAAGACAGAAAAATAAAAAACAAACTGTGGCGGGAGGCTAATAAGACCCCCATAGACAAACGTTTAGGTTGTTTCTAAGCTTTCGCTTTTTACAATGTTGTAATGAATGATTGTGAGCTCATTCCATGTATTTGTGAATATAACTGTAAGATAAATTCCTAGAAGAAAAGGTGCTGGGTCAAAGGGCACGTGATTTAAAATCTTGATCCTAGAAGATAGTGCAAGTTACATTCTCACCAGTGATGCATGAGAGAACACATTTCCTTACATCACAGCCAACACAAGGTACTGTCAAATGTTTTTATCTTTGCCAGTTTGATAATTGAGCAGTAGTACTACATTTTAGTTTAAATTTGCATTTCCCTTTTTATGAATGAAATTGAGTATCTTTTTATATGGTTGGAAGATAGTTTTATTTTATGTTATTTTATTTTGGTGAAATGCTTTAGAGCTTTTGGCCATCTTACATTTGATTAATATTTGCACAGTGATTTGTATAAGTTCTTCACATCTAAAAAGAATTTATCTTTAATCAGTGAATGAGTTGCACATGTTTTTTCCAGTTCATTGCTTTTATTCATGTATAATACTATTATATAACTGTATATTATATAATATTATAATACAAGACACACTTAAAATTTTGGGGGTAGTGAAAGTTATCAATATATTATTTTATGGTTTCTCAGTTTTTTATTATATGTAGAAAAGCCTTTACTATTCTGAATTTATTTTTAAAGTATCTTCTTTTTTTTTCTTCTAGTACTCTTCTGAGGTTTTTTTCTTTCTAAATTTTGGGTTCATTGGAATCTCAGTATATACATATTTTTTCAGAGGTCTATATATTTTAGTGTCCTTTATTGACTTAAGCTGCCTTTTCTCTACTGATTTAAGCTACCAACTTCTGTTATATACTAGTTTACCATATATATTTCTATCTACTTACCCGTATACCAATACCATGAGGTGTTAATTGATACCACTTTACAATGCATTTGACACCTGGTAGGGTAGTCTTATTCATTAATCATCACACTCCACTGCACCCCAACTCTAGCTAGCTGCTTTTTAGATTTTCTCTTTGTTTATGTATTCTGCAATTTCTTTGTGATGTGCCTTGATGCAAATTTCTTTTCACTTATCTTTAATAGTTATTATTGTTCTTTCAATAACCTACCACCTCACTTTTTTCTCATCTTCTGAAATAACAATTACACTTTTGAAAGAGAAGAAAGACCATCTTGGAAAAAAGAGACCTTCTCTCTCTGTCCTCTACGTCTCTTTACCACTCTCCTATATTTTTCATTTCTTTGCCTCTTTGCACTATAATTCTGTATAATTTATTCACATTATCTTCAGTTCTCTAATTCTGTCTTCCACAGTGTCTAATCTGCCACCATACCCATTCACTGACTTTTCAATTTCTGTTACTCTATTTTTAATTTTAGAAGTGCTAGTTGATCTTTTTCTAACCCACAATGTCAATTTTTATTGTTGACTATTTCTTGCAGATATTTTAAAGCTTACCTTACATTTATTTAAATAAAATTAACATAGCTCTTTGTACTCTGTGTCTGGTCATTCAAACAGCTGCAGTTGTCTAACTCGCCTCTGCTGTCTATTTTGCTGACATTAACTATTGGTGCTTTGTTTTCTGAGTTTAGTAATCTTCAACTGTACTGCTTACTGCCCTTGAGAAACCATTTATACAAAATCCTCGAGGCCTAGGATGAAAGTATCTGCCTCCAGAGATGATTAGAGCTTGCTTCTGCCA
This sequence comes from Homo sapiens, assembly GCF_000001405.40. Lineage (NCBI taxonomy): Eukaryota > Metazoa > Chordata > Mammalia > Primates > Hominidae > Homo > Homo sapiens. The sequence continues at coordinate 22,461,008 of NC_000018.10, read as the reverse complement.
GGTGCTTGGGGGTACTGTAGTTGTGTATCACTTTAAATTCATAGCTCAAAGTTTCTTGGCTCATCCCAAAGACATGTATTTGAGCAGCATATGGGCAAATACTGCCAGCCAATGATTCAGTGATGACGTCCTATCAGGGACGGGTTTTCTTTTTCTTTTCTCTGCTTTGCTTAGTGTCAAGGTAACTCTCCCATGGTCCCCTGGGGTAGTGGGAAGGGGAGCAGGTTCACCTTTGGTTTGTCCTTACCCTGAAGGTGAACCCCTTCAGACTCACAGCTTAATGTGAGGCAAGAGTCTCCTATGAGACCCTCCTTCCTACCTTGGGTGAGTCTTGGCCTTTGACTTCCGTATTCTTCATTCTGAGAGTCCATGAAAACCACAGCCAACTCAACTTAACCTGATCAACCACGGGCAAAATCCAATCAGGGCAAAACCTAATCACTTGGGAAGTCCTGATTATCTTGTCAGCTTTTCAGTGCTTTTAAAATCAAGTTTGTTTAATATGTTATCCAAATATTCATTGTTTTAACTGCAAGAATTAATCTAAATAACTAAGTCCATTATTACCAGACATGGAATGTCTGTTGATTTTTCTTATAAGTTTTAGTAACAGCTTATCTAGCTTTTTAAAATCCTATATTTTTATTGGCTTCAAATTCCATTTATAGATATCATTGGGAGAGTTAAATTTTTTGCTTTAAGTCTTCCTACTTAAGAATATGTCATGCCTTTCCATTTCTTTCATTTTTTTCTCCTCAATAACGTTTTAAAGTTACATTTTATATGACTTACACTTTGTGTTAAATTTTTACTCTTACACTTTTCAAAATTATTTTTATCTCTTTTTTTTTGCCCACATCTCACATTCCTTTTTACCAAAATGTTAGCTTTAAAAAATATATACCTAGGTGTTTTCTTTCTTTCAGTTAAATTAATATAAATATTAAACCTTTAAGTTTTTTCCAGAATTCTGCTTTAGCTCTGTCCCATAGGTTCTGATATGTACTAGCTTAATTATTTTCATTTATAAAAATATAACCCTTAATTATTTTTATTTTTAAAAATATATCCCTAATGGAAGAGTTGCACATGAAAGAATATTTTAGCATTTCCAGGTGGTAGAATTTTTCTCCTTCCTTATTTTATTATTAGTTTTTAAATGAATTGCTTTGTGATCAGAGAAGCTTTTCTGGACTCAGTCTAATTTCTGAAGTTTAGTAACATGTTCTTTGTGGACTTGGATATGGTCAGTTTCCAGCAGAATCTGAGTCTCCGTTCTGCTGCTTCCACTGTGGTCTTGGTTTCTAGGTTGTCATTTTTGCTAAGTTCTGCCAACTTATGTTTCACTTCCCATTGTCTTGCTAAATATTTCCTAAACTACTGTATATGTTTTTTTGAGCTCCTGTTTTTTAAAGGCGATTGTTTCACTAAGTTTTTTCTTTTCTTTTTAAATTCATGAAAGTATGTTGGGTCATAAATGTCATCTGTTTTGTGGCAATATTTTTCTAGTGAAGCTTTTTTTTTTTTTTTTTTTTTTTGAGACAGAGTCTTGCTCTGTCAGCCAGGCTGCAGTGCAGTGCTCAATCTCGGCTCACCATAAGATCCGTCTCCTGGGTTCACACCATTCTCCCGAGAAGCTGGGACTACAGGCGCCTGCCACCATGCCTGGCTAATTTTTTGTATTTTTAGTAGAGATGGGGTTTCACGGTGTTAGCCGGGATGGTCTCGATCTCCTGACTTCGTGATCCGCCCGCCTTGGCCTCCCAAAGTGCTGGGATTACAGGCGTGAGCTACCGCCCCCGGCTGTAAAGCTTTTTTAAACCTAATTTATTTGCTTTTCTTGTTTCATTCATTCTCTTTTCATCTATAGATACTGTGTGTGTTCCTTTTTGAATACTACCCATCTCTAAGTCAGGTCCGGGCTTTCTGAATTAGCTATCTGCAAGACATTTGGATGGGGAAGTGGGTGGTGGCCAGAGTTATATTCTAAGCTAGCAGGAATTCTCCTTAAATATAATGTTGTATGGATGAGGGACAACTTTGAGATCTGCTTCTCCTCCTGCAGGGACTGGCCGCCTTAAGCAGGGCTGCACAGGAGGAAATCTGTCTCCTCCCCGCTCTGCTGAAACACTAAATGAAGAACTTTTTAATTGTTACTGAGTATCTGAGTCATTGAATTCCTCAGTTTTCTGGAACTGTGATCACACAAGGCTTCGCTTTAGAACACGGATACTCTACATAGTAAGAAGCTACAGTTGAACTGCACATGCCACCCTCATTACCACTCTCATCAAATGCTGTAGCTTCAACTTCCTCCTTCAATCCAGTTTAAAGACTGGGACATGGAAAATAAGAAAGTGTTCGGACATTTTCAGAATGGAATAACGCGTGTGAAGGGCGGGGTCCTGATGCAGTGGCCACAGGCACACCTGAAGGTGTAGATTTTCTTTTTGGGACAAAGACTCCCTATTGTCCTTCAAAAAAAAAAATCTTATCATATTTTAATTATATCACCCAGGAAAATAGACTGTCCTGGAAAACAAAAGTCACCAGCCTCTGCTAAAGCTGGAGTCTTTAGGGGTAAAATCAGGGGCACAGGTCAAACATAGTTTTCGGTGACCTATGTCTGCAAGGCAGTCAGAAGCAATAAACTGTGCAGGGTTGATTAAGCTTGATGATATCAATGTACTCTATTGAGTATTGAAATATTGAAATATTTGTGATGTTATCTATTTATTTGTATTGTTCCATGGGTATGTATCTCCTATTTGCTTTCATCAGAGATTCAGAGGACAGTCCTCAAAATGAAAAGATTCTTGTAGTTGTTTTCTGAAACATCCAAGAAGTACCTGGAAAGACAAAGGGAACAAATAACTACTACTATTAATCATTGGACGCTGATAATGTGCTAAAGGTGATATCTTATTCACAACTGCACCATGTAAGTGATCATCCAACATTCTTCAGTGTTGTACTCAAGGCTCAGAGAGGGTAAGAAACTTGCCAGAGTCATCCAGCAAGCAAGGATCAAATCTGGGATTCAAAACAGGCCCCGAAGCCTCCAGAGCCTAGAGTGGGAGCTGGCACTGACATGAGGACGGGAGAGTGGAAAAAGAATCCTAGGATTCCTGCAACGAAGCAGGTCTGGTCCCGACAAGGGGCCCCAGGCCTCACAGGGGGACTTGCCCAGTGAACACAGGGTGCCGGGAACTCCGTACCTCCCTCCTGCAGCCCGCAATTTTCCATCACCATTGGAGAGCTGTTTGAAATACTACAGCTCCAATCCCCATGACCCTCTTGAAATTCCTCCACCATCCCTGAGGCCTCCCAGTCCCAGTGTGGGAAATTCTGCTTTAGAGGGATGTTATGAATATTAAGGAACAAGTGATTATTAACCTTTTGGCAAACATACAGTCCTATAGAAATGTTAACCGTATGTTCCCATTTAACTTCATTTATAGCACTTGGACGACACTAAGACATTTGCCTCTTGTTTAGGACTTATACTAGTCAGAATTTGCAAAGAAATCATTAGGCACTTCCTACATAAGGCATAAGAGACGCTGTCTACATCTTCGTGCCTTCTGATCCAGAGGGTTTGGTTTGGTTTGGTTTTTGCTTTGAATAATACCCTGTAGTTGACTGAGTCTGTTACAAATAATCTCTTAATTATGTGACTTACTCCACTCAAAAGACTTCAGCAATTCACCATTCCTCTGAGACCATTTACAGGTTATTAAAAAATCTAAGTTCCGTATAGTTGGCCTTCAACTTGGATGTTAAGCTTGACATGATTCCTTTCCACGTGTTTTCATTTTCTTCTGCGACAGCACCTCCTGCCCCCCAGAATAGTGCATTTATCTCCCAAATTCAATCATCTATATTAACTGGGGACCTGCTATCTGGATAAGTGATATCCACAAGTGTTCCAAGAAACTTTAATATTAATAACTTTATCGCAATCAATAGTTCCAAATTCATCAGACAGGATTTCACTAGAGTTGCCAAAAAGGAATACAATTTAACTGCTCTGAGAGCCTTCACCCTGTTCTCATCCCGTGTTTCCATGGAAGATGCAAAGAACAGAGACACACGAGAAAGGTGGACAGGCAGAGTCAAGAATGAAACGGAATGAGGTCTCTGTCAACAAGCTGGATAATGTCCATTTCCCTGAGCTTGAGTCTGTTCCTCTCTGTTCCTCCTTCTGTTTTTTCTCTCTCCTCACTGGAGTGCTAATGAATACCTTCCACTGCTCTGGAATGCCATTATGTTGTGATTGTCCTCCCTTGCGAGGTCTTTGCAGAGGCCACGATGAGACCGGTCTCATCCACGGCTTTGTGTCCTCCTCCCTGATACAGTCCCCAAAGGCCCTCTCCACTCAGGGCTCAAGTTCCACTCACTGGGTGGGTCATACCCCCAGCCCTGTAAAATGTTTCTGAAGGATTGGGGCTCTGACATACCTCACCCAAATCTTTTGCATCTTTAATAAACGAAGTTAGTACCAAGATATCTTAAAGCAATCAAGTCTTCATTTACACCCTTTAAATATCTGTAGACAGTTATCATGGCCCTCTGTCAAGCAACACGATGACCCGGTTCTGCCCTCTCTCAGAAATGCGAAGGAGCAGTATTCACGCTGTTTCAAAAAATCCTCGGCAGCAGGGAAGACTGACTCCGTTGTTATCAGAAATGGAAAGTAAATTTGTCTCTACCCTGTAAACAGAGAAGTTTTTACACTGTTCTTCACAAGAATTCACAGTGCAGCTTACAAACAACAGGGATGTGGTCATTGGTCATTTGTTTCCTTACTTACCAGAAACAAACAAACAAAAGCCAGGGATGTTGTCAAATGACAATCATGAAATCACATTTTATTGAACAGGCTTTATACTTGTAAGATGTCATCTCTTCCCTTTGTCTCCAAACTGCTTTTATCTCTCCTTTTTCTTTTTCCTCTTATCTTCCGGTAAAATGCATGAATCTACACCTTGGAGCAAACTTTAAACAGATTCCACTTTAAATTCTTCAAGGACAATGACTTTAGTAGTTATTCATGTGTGTGTGTGTGTGTGTGTGTGTGTGTGGGTGTGTGTGTGTGTGAAAGAGAGAGAGCGCCAAATGAGTGAATGAGTGAATAAGAAAATAAATGAATAAAAATTGCAAAAGGGATCAAACAGGAGCAAATATGAGATAGTTTAATTTAAAAAGAAGAAAGAACATCTAGTTACATTTCTGAATTCACTGTTGCTGTTGTATCATGACTAAAACGCTTAGTCCCATAAAATTGTGCTGACTGAGGAAGGCACACAGCAAGGTACAGGCTGTGGGGACAGACAGCCCTGTATTTGCATCCTGGCTCCAACACAGACCTGCCTCCCTAACTGCTCTGAGCCTCAGCTTTCTCTTCTGTCTGAGGCAAGTCACCAGAGCCATAACAGGCACCTTGTGAGATTCACAATAGAATGATGTCATACTGTGCTTGTCACTATGCCTGGCACATGTGCTGAATTTTCTCTGGGTGGCATTCAGGTAAGTGTCAAAGTGAAGAAATTTTTAATTTTTGCTAAATCTGTCATGTGTGTTCCATGGATTTATTCTTTCACATCTCCTACTTCTCATCTCCTATTTTTTAAGTCCTTAATGATGAATTTTACTGAAACAATTTCAGGACTCATTTTAGAATTAGGATTCAGCATTCCACATGCCCCGGAAGTGATAAAGGCCATGTTAAGTAATCCTTCTGCTGTGTCTGGGCCAGTCTTTGGAAGGCAGCTTCCAAGACCCAGGTGGTACAGTGGTCCTGTCTCCAGCCCTCCTCTGAGTTCTCTTCCATTGCAACCCTTCCTCATTTTGGATGAAGCAGCTGCACTGGAAGCATGAAATAAAGGCGGGTGCTCTGAGAGTCAAAGAAACCTCTCTCAGTGTAAATAAGAAACAAGACGTAACAAAGAAGGAGAGAAAAGGCAAAGTGAACATTTTTCTAATCCTAAAGGGTATCGTTCGAACGGCCTCTGTTTTAGAACTTCTTATCTGAAGTGGAAAAAAGGTTCTTAAAATCATTTATGCCAATAAAACTTGGAAGTGTTGAAAGAATCCCAAAAGAGCAGGCATCTTAGACGCGGTGCCACCTTGTTGCCTGTAACTGCAGTCCCGGTTCCACTCTGTTAATCCTTTCAAAGCAAAACTGCACAACTGGGACTCTCATGGATACTACTACAACTGAAGGCTGGAAAGAGGAGCCAGGCATGAGTTTGCTGTGAGTAAAAAAGTAGGAAGTAGCAAAGGTACTTAGCTGAGAGATTTGGGGACTGAGAGCTTAAATTAATATGATCAAGAAAATAATGAGTCTCCAAATGAACAGCTACTGGCCAGGAGACCCTAAAATAAAATGCTGTTATTTATTTAAGGTTCAATCATCTTACCTGGGATTGCAGATATCTGCACAAGATGGGCTGCTTGGCATGGCTGGAAGCCCTGGAGCTGCCACCAAGCAGTGGGCACTGGGTACACGGATGGGGAAATCACCATGTGCTGGGTCCCACATCAGCTTTACAGGAACTGTCTCATATGACCCTCACGGAACTCCAGGAGTCAGGTGCAGTGGCTATCATCCCATTTTATGAAAAGGGAAACTGAACTCAGGGATATGAAGTAACCTGACCAGGGTCATACAGCGTTGGGATTCACACTCCAGCACGGGGACTCTGGGGTCACCCTCCTAGCCTCCTGCAGGTGGACCTCAGCAACCCAGAAAGAGGGCACAGCAATGTGTTGAAAGTGAGCTTGGATGATAGTTACCTGTGCCCTGTCCTGGGCTCAAGATATACCAAGGCTGGGGAGAGTGCATTTCCGGCTTCACCATGGCAGGTGCAGGTGTGGATATTCCAGTAGGTTCCCGGTGAGGGGGACAATGTGGACCAGTAAGGTATGTGTGCAGCACAGACATCCACTTACAGCAACAGGGATGGCCCTGCCTATCCCTACACACACCTCTTTCCTCTTTACCAAGTTCACCTCTTCCAAATTTCATGGCTAAACATTCTTACCTCCCCACTTGCCCTCCCCTCCCACCTGACCCCCTAAATCCTGACTCCCCAGCTAGAGCATCTTCCTTTCTGGTACCTGTGCACCCAGATTTCCAGTTGCAACTTGATCTTACTTTCTCCTTGTTCTGTGAAAGCTGCTGACACAGGGGCTTGCCACTGTCATACCCTTATGCCCCAAATCCTGGCTTCAAGTCCAGCTTTTCTTCAGATAGGACCACAATTAAACTACAATAGAAGAAAAATAACTTAATGCTAAATAGAAGTAGCATTCTTTTTCTTAAAATTCCATCAACTTTAGTGTCAGTCTGACTCCTGAAACTTCTCATGAAACTCGTATATTTTCTGTAGTTGGTATAGTAGTCATTCTGATCGCTTTAGATTTCTCTCTTCCAACTGGGTTTTTGCAACTTGGAGATCAAGATTATTGCACAACAGCATTAACAGCTAATAAATCGGGCTCCTCCTTGCCATTTTTCTGAGCAGGGCTGATGGAGCCAAGGCTCTACAGAACAGGGGGAGCCTTATTCTGAGGCTGACGCTTTACTTGGGTTCTAAGGCCAGGATTCCATGTAAGAGCCATGCTGCTCCTGATGAGGGACGTGGGCCTGAGATTCACCACAGTATAGGTCTATAATCTTTTTTCTGAAACCTTTTAAACCAACATGATTTAGAATTGTCCAGATTTCAGAGAAGAAATGTGTACATACTGCATATTATGTAACATCCCCTATTGGGGTCTGGAGTAGCATCCCCTAATCAAACATATTTATATTTCTGCAGCTAAATATTTAACTATAACTATACAACATAAATAGTCTAGTAGCAATTCAGTTCAGCTTTAACTGTCAAATGAGTTTAGATCCGACCAGTCTTTGTTGTCAAATGAGTTACCAAAACCCTTTCGGTTTTCAATTTTTTTGGATCTGGGATTTTATAGAGAAGAGATTGTGAGCCTGTAAATGCAAATAGCTGCCATTTATTGAGCATGCCTATGTTCTGGTGTAATCCCAAAAAGAGCCTGCACGGGAAGGCACTGTTCTTTGCTTCATGTCACAGATGAGGATGCTTCCATGTAGAGAGGTTGGGAAGATTCCCTGAGGGCACAGAGGTAGGATGAGTTCAAATCTGCTGGAGACCAATGCAAGACATGTGCTCTTGCCACTAAGATGTCCTCTCCCTAAGAAAATAACAAGCTTGGCTGGGCACAGTAGCTCACTCCTGTTAATTCCAGTGCTTTGGGAGGCCGAGGTGAGAGGATCCCTTGAGCCCAGGAGTTTGCAACCAGCGTGGGCAACAAAGAGGCCCAGTTTCTACAAAAAATAAAAAATAAAAAAATGCTGACTCTGGTGGCACATGCCTGTAGTATCAGCTACTGGGGAGACTGAGGTGGGAGGATTGCTTAAACCCAGGAGTTCGAGGCTGCAGTGAGCTATGATCGCACCACTGCACTCCAGCCTGGGAAACAGAATGAGACTGTAGAAAGAGAAAAGAAAAGAAAGAAAAGAGAAAAGGAAAGAAGAAAAGAAAGGAAAAGGAGGGGAGGGGAGGGGAAGGGAAGGGAGGGGAGGGAAAGAACTGGCTTGACAGATGGCCCGTCCCTCTAGGTGACCGCTTCCTTTATCTCAGGCCCCGTGCCCCTTGTTGCAAGCTGTCCTCCCTTAGCGTTAGCTCCAAGGGCTGTCAGGTGGACATGGATCCCCTGCCGTTTACGCAGGGCCTCTCTAGTTTTATTTTTAAAATCGTTTAGTGCCCCAGCCAAGCTGGGGGTGAGACTGGGTCTGGGGGCCTTCTTATTCCAAACCTAGTGCAGCATCTTGTGCCACTTGGCAGCTCCTGGAGGCTTTGTGACTCAATCAACACAAAAGGAACCTGTGGCTGATTTAGCTTCTGCTCTCCAAACCCTCCCTGGAGGAGCCCACCGCTGTTTTCATCTCAGCGGTCAGGAGACTTTGGCCAAAAGGAGAGCTGACCTGGTCTGACTATCGGCTCCCCCTTTGGGTGACCTTCAAGCAAACTTTCACTTACCCTCTTTTTTCTTCCTGTCCTCGCCTATAAAATGGGAGCCATGGGAATACTCCCATGGAGTCGTTCTGCAGAGGAAGTGAATTAGCTGAGCGAACCCCTGACTGCTCATGGTCTCCACTCGAAACACAAAGGCCCCCACCCCTTGGTGCTGCAGTGTGAAGTCCTAACTCCAATAAGGCTTACAAATGCTAGTGGTTTTTTTTGTTTTGTTTTGTTTTGCTTGTTATAATTTCAACTTTTATTTTAGATACAGGGGGTACATGTGCAGGTTTGTTACGGGAATACTGTGTGATGCTGAGGTTTGAGGTACAAATGATCCTGGCACCCAGAAAGTGAGCATGGTACCCAAGAGTTTTTCAACCCTTGTCCCCCTCTCTTCAGCCCCCCAATAGTCCCCAGTGTCTATTATTCCCATCTTTAGGTCCATGAGTACCCAATGTCTAGCTCCCACTTATAAGTGAGAACATGTGGTGTTTGGTTCTCTGTTCCTGTGTTAATTTGCTTAGGATAATGGCCTCCTGCTGCATCCGTGTTGCTGCAAAGGACATGACTTTGTTCTTTTTTTTTTTACGGCTTTGTAGTATTCCATGGTGTATATGCACCACATTTTTTTCACTTTTATTTTAAGTTCAGGGGTACAAGTGCAGGTTTATTACATAGATAATCTTGTGTCGTAGGAGTCTGTTGCACAGACTATTTCATCACCCAGGTATTAAGCCTAGTACCCATTAGTTATTTTTGCTACTCCTCTCCCTCCTCCCACCCTCCCCCCTCTGAAAGGCCCCAGTGTGTATTGTTCCCTCTATCTGTCCATGTGTTCTCATCATTTAGCTCCCACTTATAAGTGAGAACATACAGCATTTGGTTTTCCGTTCTTGTGTTAGTTTACTAGGGACAACGGCCTCCAGCTCCATCCATGTCCCTGCAAAAGACATGATCTTGTTCTTTTTTATGGTTGCATAGTATTCCATGGTGTATATGTACCACATTTTCTTTATCCAGTCTATCTCTGATGGACACTTAGGTTGATTCCATGTCTTTGCTATTGTGAATGGTGCTACAGTGAACATGCACATGCATGTGTCTTTATAATAGAATGATTTGTATTCCTTTGGGTATATACCCCGTAATGGGATTGCTGGATCAAATGGTATTTCTGTCTTTAGGTCTTTGAGGAATCGCCACACTGTCTTCCACAGTGGCTGAACTAATTTACACTCTCACCAACAGTGTATAGTGTTCCTTTTTCTCCACAACCTTGCCAGCATCTGTTATTTTTTGACTTTTTAATAGTAGCTATTCTGACTGGTGTGAGATGATATCTCATTGTGGTTTTGATTTGCATTTCTCTAATGATTAATGATGTTGAGCTTTTTCCCATACGTTTGTTGGCCACATGTATATCTTCTTTTGAGAAGTACCTGTTCATGTCTTTTGCTCACTTTTTAATGGGGCTGTTTTTTTCTTATAAATTTAAGTACCTTAAAGATGCTGGATATTAGACCTTTGTTGAATGCTTAGTTTGCAAACATTTTCTTCCATTCTGTTGGTTGTGTGTTTACTGTGTTGATATTTCTTTTGCTGTGCAGAAGCTCTTTAGTTTAATTACATCCCATTTGTCAATTTTAGCTTTTGTTGCAATTGCTTTTGGCATCTTTGTCATGAAATCTTGGCCCATGCCTATGTCCTAAATGGTATTGCCTAAGTTGTCTTACAGGATTTTTATAGTTTTGGATTTTACATTTATGTCTAATCCATCTTGAGTTAATTTTTGCATATCATGTAAGGAAGGAGTCTAATTTCAGTCTTCTACATAAGGCTAGCCAGATATCCCAGCCTCATTTATTGAATAGGGAATCCTTTCCCCATTGCTTGTTTTTGTCAGGTTTGTTTAAGATCAGATAGTTTTAGGTGTGCAGTCTTATTTCTGGGTTCTCTATTCTGTTCTATTGGTCTATGTGTCTGTCCTTGTACAAGTACCATGCTGTTTTGGTTACTATAGTACTGTAACATAGTTTGAAGTCAGGTAGTGTGATGCCTCCAGCTTTGTTCTTTTTGCTTAGGATTGCCTTGGCTATTCAGACTCTTTTTTGGTTTCACATGACTCTTAAAATAGTCTTTACTAGTTCTGTGAAGAATGTCAGTGGTAGTTTAATGGAAATAGTATTGCATGTATAAATTGCTTCAGGCAGTATGGCCATTTTACTGATATTGATTCTTCCTATTTATGAGCATGGAGTGCTTTTCCATTTGTTTGTGTCATCTCTGATTTCTTTAAGCAGAGGTTTATAGCTCTTTATGCAGAGATCTTTCACCTCCCTAGTTAGCTGTATTCCTGGGTATTTTAATCTTTTTGTGGCAATTGTGAATGAGAGTTCACTCCTGATTTGGCTCTTGGCTTGGTTGTTGCTGACGTATAAAAATGCTAGTGATTTTTGCACATTGATTTTGTATCCTGAGGCTTTGTTGAAGTTTAATCAGCTTCAGAAGCTTTGGGGCTGAGACAATGAGTTTTTCTAGATATAGGATCATGTCATCTGCAAACAGGGATAACTTGACTTCCTCTTCCAGTACTATGTTGAACAGGAGTGGTGAAAGAGGGCATCCTTGTCTTGTGCCTGTTTTCAAGGGGGAATGCTTCCAGCTTTTGCCCATTCAATATGATGTTGGCTGTGAGTTTGTCATAGATGGCTGTTATTATTTTGAGGTATGTTCTTTAAACATTTTGTTTACTGAAAGTTTTTAACATGAAGGGATGTTGAATTTTATTAAAAGCCTTTTCTGCACCTATTGAGATAATTATGTGGTTTTTGCCTTTAGTTCTGTTTATGCGATGATTCACATTTATTGATTTGCCTATGTTGAACCAACCTTGCATTCCAGAGATGAAGCTGACTTAATTGTGATGGATAAGCTTTTTGATTGCACCACATTTTCTTTATCCAATCCACCATTGATGGGCACTTAGGCTTATTTCATATCTTTGCTATTGTGAATAATGCCATGATGAACATATGAGTGAATGGTAGAACACTTTATTTTCTTTTGGATATATACCCAGTAATGAGATTGCTGGGTCAAATGGTATTTCTGTTTTCAGTTCTTTGAAAAATCTCCAACTGCTTTCCACAGGGGCTGAACTAATGTACATTCCCACCAGCAGTATATAAGTGTTCCCTTTTCTCCTCAACCTCATCAGCATCTGTTGTTTTTTGACTTTTTAGTAATAGCCATTCTGACGGGTGTGAGGTGGAATCTCATGGTGGTTTTGATTTGCATAAATGCTAGTGTTAAGATTGTCATCTCTGCTAGTTTCCCCACCATCCCTGCTGTTGCATGGCCATATTCTTCATTTTATAGAATATTGAATGTCATTTATTTCAGACCTGACCATTCCTTGATTGGCCTCATTGTACAGATCAGGGAAGAGGATCCCATAAAGTTGCCCAGGGCAGGCCTAACCTACAGGCAGGGCTGGGATTAGACTCCAAGGGTGGGGTTTTCCAAACAGTGCTGTGTTCTGTGGTAGCCAGTCATCTGGGTTTGCTGGGGTCTCTCACAGTGTTAACACTGAAAGTCCCTCTCTCAGAAAACCCCTTAGTCCCCAGCAAATCAGGACAGTTAGTCACCTTAAGCCTCTGGTATTTGTGAGCTTTGTCACTTTATTAATCAAAAGAGTATATTTGCTGTGCTTTTTACACAGCTTTTTACAGTGGGGAAGAAACTACCAATGCCAAGCTTGCATATCGGCAATTATTTTAAGCCACTGCCATCTAAAAATTCATAAAATAAACATTTTCAATTAGCCAAGCTGCTTTATTTTTAATACTTTACTTACATGTCATATCTCATTAGTTTATTCCAAATCTAATGAGTAATCTGTTGCTGGCTGTTCAGAAGAAGGAAATGCACTTTGAAGTTGACTGAGAGTGATTTCAACACTGTTAATAAAGAAATTCCACAAAGTTCTAACTAACTTTTGGGAGTAGCTTACAATCCATCAGACTTAATCCTCTATGTTTGAAAATGTTTGGCCCTCTGGAAAACATTATGAGGAGCTTTTGTGGTAGAGCGCACCGATGGAGTGGAAGTGCTATGCAAACTAAAACATCAAACGATGCATTAATCCTAACATCTTACTACAGTGCTCGTTTTTTTTTTTTTTTTTTTTTTGGAAGGAAGTGGATAAATCTAAGACTTCACTTAGACTGAAATATGCAGATACTCAAGAAAAGTGATTATTGTTCCCCTTGTTTCAATCTGTAATGAATGTTTATTGCATGCTTAATAGAGGCTTGTCCCAGGTATTGGCCATTGAAGTAAATTATATTGAAACAGACAGAGAATGGCTACTATCCTCATGGAGCTCCAGTCTAGTGGAAAAGAGAAAATTATATAATTACACAAATAGGGATGGCATTATAATGGTGATAAGTGCTTTAAAGCAGAGTGCTGGGTGCCCTGGGACTGTCTAGCAGTGTACCAAATCTAATCTGAGAAAATGACATTTAAATATAAATCTCAAGGATCAGTTAACCAGGTTCAGACTTTGGAAAATGGCATTCCATGTACAGAGACTAGCATGGATAAAGGCCCTGAGGTAGAGAAAGGGGTTGGCATATATTAAGATACTGAAAGAAGGCCATTGGGCCACTGACTTGATAGTAGCGGGAATAACATTTTAATTCTACAGCTGGAGATAACAACGACTTTGTGAACTCTACAAGCAATCAGAGCCTCTTTGGTAGTTCCACCAATGCCACACCCTTGCAGTAAGAGCTTCCAGTCAGTCCCAGTGACGTCATGGTGTTACCATTCCTGAAGACCTTGACATTATCAACTTCCTCAAGCTGTAACTGAGGCTCAACAGGGACAAGGCTTACCAAAACGCACACAGCCAGTCAGAGGCAGTGGAAATTGTGAGTGAGGTCCCTTGATCTGAAGTTCAAAGGCCTTTCCACAGCTCCTCTATTGCCCTCATCTTAAGACAAATTTTTCTTCTGGAGTCTTCCACTCCCAGAGCCCATTTGGATTTGCTGACCAGAAGAACACCTTTTCCCTCCTTTTCTCAGTGCTCCCAGCACCATGAGAGTCTGCCATTGGTGCAGTTCCTTTGCTGCCCGAGATGCTGTCCTCCACAATTGGTAGCAACACCCCAGCACCTGCAGGGGTGGTTGCGTCTCCAGTGGGAGCCTCAAAAGAATTTCTTGCAAAATCACCATCCTTGGTTCTCCTCCCGGCTACTATTTGGAGGCCGCCATTCATTTCGTTTGTAGTAGCCACGATGGGAATTGTCATAAATTCATTTGCTTTGAAAATCACTCACCACTTCATCATCCTCTGGGGCTCTGCTGCTCATCAGAGCCCAGTCTCAATGTTCCTCCTCACCCTGTTGCCATGGGTGACCCAACCACACAGTCACCATACACTGCGTTAGGATAGTCCCTTGTCATTCACTATCACAGAATGGATGGCAGGAAAACTCCACAGGCTCTCAGACATACGTCACTGGGAAAGCTTTGAGCATCAGATTAAAAAAAATTTTTTTTTAAAAAAAGAACAATCTTGCCTTTGAATGTAATGTATCCCTGCAAGGAAACCCTGGTACATGTTGTCCCACCGAGAGAGACAGGTGGGGGCCACTGCACTTTCTGGTTGGAAAGGGCTGGCTGCCAACACTTCTTAAGGATATGTGTCACTTTGTGGTATCCCTATTTCCCTCCCCAATAAAATAACAATTTGGAAGGGTTTGAGATGAAGAGAGTAAATCAATACCAGATTACAAAAGTTGCAAAAATGTTCCACCAATTCATCAAACTGCATCTGAGGGCTTGAGAACTGCCCTGGGAAAGAAGCACCCCCATACTTTGGGAAATCAATGGGCACCCCAACATTCTTGTCAAGTAACAAAAAGCCACAGAGGAGCAAGATTTGTTTTTAATCTTCAAGGTGATTATGTAAATGTTATGAAAGTAAGAATATTTCTGCAAGACTGTGCTTTTGAAATTGCTCTTTCAGCAATCTTTCAATGTTGCCATGCTGGGTCTGGAGAGTCAGGGCCCTGTTGGAGTTTCCTTATAAATCTTAGAAATAGAGGGCAAGGTGAGTAATGTCACTAACACATTCTTACTATTCTTACTAAACTTTTAAAGTCAGAATAATTTCTAAGTGTAAGATCAATTTATCTTTAAGCCATCACTATAAACAAGTTGATTCCCATACAACATGGACCCTTATTGAAAAGAAATAATACCTCCTTTCAAGGCTGAATTTAATTTTCAAGGTAAGACAGAATCTGTGAATATAAACAACTGCTATTAAGGAATGATGCACATCCCAATTTTGAGGAATTTTGTAATAATCCTTATAGAAGAGCTGAATGAGATTCGCCTTGTAGTAACATGAATACCTAGTGGGTTCATTAACTTACTATAAAGCATCTTGGAGAAAAGCAGCAAAAAATTGCTACTGGAAAGGAAATTAACTGGGCCATAGCCACACAGGGCTGTCAATGGCCACTCACAGTAAGCTGGCTTGAGAACTGACTGCATCTCCAAACCTAGGCTATCTAGCATAATGGCACATCCACCCAGAAATGTCCAACACAGTCCTATGATGCCAGTCTGAAAGAGAGATTTTCCGTACCTATTCTCATTTATTTTCTTCATTCTCATTATCTTTCTTCTCCTCATTCTTCTCACCTTCAAAAAAGTTTTAGAAGTTGCTGATTTTCTTATTGATTACTGAAAATATAAAGTGGTTCTCTGAAATAATATTTTAATATTGTACTTCACATTATTTTTAATGTTTAGCATTAGTGCATACCTTTTCTTCCAGATTAACTTTAAAATTACTTCTGCAAGTTCCTCCTCCAATGTCATGGGATATCAATCTACTTTTATGGATATTAAGTTAAATACATAATGTAAAGATACACATTTATTCATCTAATATATAGATATCTATTTTTTAGATGAATTAACTGAGCCTCAGAGAGTTAAAATTACTTCTTGCTAAAGATCACACAGCCAGCATTTTCAGAGCCAAAATTTAAACACAGGTCTGTCTGATGCCAATTAAAATGAGCATATAAATTATTTTTAATATAAAAATCTGAAACCATTTTATTATTTTAGATAATTACAGAGTTCTATGTATGATTGAGTCATAAGGAACAGATTTGTCATTGACAATTACTATAATCATACCAGTAAGGCACTTAAATAATCTTTTAATTAGTAAAATAGAGAATCATCTTGAAATGTGTCACATAAAAATGCACATTAATATATTCTGATTATGATTTTGGTGAAATAAGAAAGTACTGGCTGGGTGCAGTGGCTCATGCCTGTAATCCCAGCATTTGGGGAGGCCGAGGCGGGTGGATCACATGAGGTCAGGAGTTGGAGACCAGCCTGACCAACATGGTGAAAGCCTGTCTCTACTAAAAATACAAAAAATTAGCCAGAAGTGGTGGTGGGCACCTGTAATACCAGCTACTCAGGAGGATGGGGCAGGAGAATCACTTGAACCTGGGAGGCGGAGGTTGCAGTGAGCCAAGATCATACCATTGCTCTCCAGCCTGGGTGACAAGAGTGAGACTCCGTCTCAAAAAAAAAAAAAAAAAAAAAAAAAAAAAGTATTGAAATATTCACCAAAACTAGTTTTTAACAAAAAGTCAAAACAAAACAAATGACCAGGTAAGGCCATCTGATTTCAGCTTAGTATGTATTCATCTAGGTAAGAATATACCAAAAGGACAGTAGAGTAGAAGTGATTCTGTTATTATTGTGATTACATTAATGTTCATATTTACAGAATACTTTTGTTCACATTGTTTCATTTGATTCTGTTTTACAGATAGATAGTAAAAAGACTCAAGAGAAGATTAGTTACTCCTGAAAGGTAATGGTACCAGTAAGAGGAAACTGATATCAAGACTTGTACACTGATCTTCTTACTTTAAAATTGTCTTCAAACATAGATTTTTTAAAAAAACAGACAGTATTTTTTAAAGCAGTTTTAAGTTCTGCAAAATTTAGCAGAAAGTACACAGTTCCCATATACACACATGCGCACCTTTCCCCCTGCCCCTGCCTTCCCCCGCGCACTATCAGTATCTCTCACTAGAGTGGTACATGTGTTACAGTGGAGGAATATTCATTGACACATCACTACCGAAAGCCCATCATTTACCTGAGGGTTCACTGGTTGTATTGCACAGATTTTTAGATTTTGACAAATACATAATGGCATGCATCCACCATTGTAGTTTCACACAGAGTAATTTCACTGCCCTAAAAATCCTCAGTGCTCCACTTACTCATTCCTCTCCTTTTTCCCTTTCCTACCCCACCCAATCACCTTGTAACCACTAATCTTTTTGCTGGCTCTATGGTTTTATCTTTTCCAGTATGTACAATCGTACAGTATGTAACCTTTTCAGACTAGCTTCTTTCACTGAGAAATATGCATGTAAGTTTCCTTCATGTGTTATCATGGCTTGATAGCTCATTTCCTTTTAGCACTGAATAATATTCCATTGTATGGATGTACGACAGTTTGTTCATCTGTTCACCTATTTAAGAATGTTTTGGTTGCTTCTGATTTCTGGCAATTATGAATAAAGCTGCTGTAAACATCTGTGTGCAGATTTTTGAGTGGACATAAGTTTTCAACTCATTGAATAAATACCAAAGAGCATAATTGCTGAATTTTACATTAAGAGTATATTTAGTTTTGTAAGGAACTGCCAAACTGTTTTCCAAAGTGGCCATACTATTTTGCATTCCCACTAGCAATAAATGAGTGTTCCTGTTGCTTCACTTCCTCACCATCATTTCATGTCAGTACTTTGGATTCCTGCCATTCTGATAGGTGTGTAGAAGTATATAATTTTTGTCTTAATTCACAATTCCCTAACAGCATATGATGTGGAGCATCTTTTCATATGTTTATTTACCATCTATATATTTTCTTTGCTGTAATGTTTGTTCAGATCTTTTGCCCATTTTAAAATCAGTTTGTGTGTTTTCTTATTGTTGAGTTTTAAGGGTTCTTTGTATATTTTGGATAATAGTTCTTTATCAGATATGTCTTTTGCAAATATTTTCCCCCAGTCTGTGGCTTGCCTTCTCATTCTCTTGACAGTGTCTTTTGCAGAGCAGAAGTTTTTAATTTGAATAAAATCTAGCTTATCTGTTATTTTTTTCATGAATCATGGCTTTAGTGATGTATCTTAAAAGTCATCTTCAAACTCAGTATCATTTAGATTTTCTCCTGTTATCTTCTCAGAGCTTTATAGTTTTGTATTTTACAGTTAGATCTGTGATTTTTTTTTTAGTTAATTTTCGTGAAGTTTATAAGGTCTGTGTCTGGATTCTTTTTTAAAATTTTTAAATTTTTAAAAATTTTCCCCTCCTCTCCTCTATTCTTTTTTCTCTAAAGAGGATTTCCAGTTGTTCCAGCACCATTTGTTAGAAAAACTATCTTTTCTGCATTGTATTGCCTTTGCTTCTTTGTCAAAGATCAGTTGAATATGTTTGTGTGGGTCTATTTCTGGGCTCTTTATTCTGTTCCATTGATTTATTTGTCTCTTCTTTCACCAGCACCACACTGTGCTGATTACTGTAACTTTACAGTAAGTTTTCATGTTTGGTAGTGTTAGTTCTCCAATTTTGTTCTCCTTCAGTATTGTGTTGTCTATTCTGGGTCTTTTTCCTCTCCATATAAACTTTAGAATTAGTTTTTTGATAGCCACAAAAAATACTTGCTGGGAGTTTGACTGGGATTGTATTAAATCTGTAGATCTAGTTGGGAAGAATCAACATCTTGATAATAGTGAGTCTTCCTATCCATGAATATGGGATATCTCTCCACTTAGTTCTTTGATTTCTTTCATCAAAGTTTTTTCTCATATAGGTAATAAATATGTTTGCTAAATTTGTACCTAAGCATTTCTTATATTTTCCTCTGTAAATTTTTGTAGTTTTTCTCATATGGACACATTTCTTTAAGCTTATTCATAGGTGCATTATATATTTTGGCTGCCACACATTCACTTTTCAAATATCCAATAACTTACTTGGTAGCAGGCCCCCTATTGGTAGCAGGTATTGGTGATTCTATGGGAAACAAAAATAGATTTGGTAACTGCCCTTATAACATTTACAGTCAAGTAGAGGATGCACATACTAACAAATATCACATAATGTAAAACATAACTGTGATATAAGCTGTAAAGGAGAAGTAAATAGTAATATAAGATTATATAATAAGGAAATTTGACCTGGGAAGGTCAACACAGATTTCTCTGAGGAAAGGACAATTGACCTTTGAAGGATCAGGCTTCAAAGAAGAAAGAAAACTATATTCCAGGCAGAGGGAAGAGTTACGTGCAAAGGTGAGGTGGGAAAGCAGTACAAGTTTCTGGGGGAAAAAATGAGAGCACATAGAATGAGAAGGAGTGTGCTACTGGTTGAACTTGGTAAGGATAGCTTAACCTTCTAGGGTCTGGGTGTGGGTCTTTAATCTAGGAGTGATACGGAGCCACTGGGGGATTTTAGGCAGAGATCACTTGATAAGATTTGCTTTTCAAAAAATTTCACATTGCTGGTGGATGAAAACTCATCAGAGGTGGCATGAGTAGATGTGGCAAGACACAAATGAGGCTGTGGCCTTGTATGTGCATAAATATGTACATGTATATGTGTTGAATTTCTCAAATCAATTAGAATGCCACCTTATTCTTTCCCACAACAGGCCCTTCAAATCTGTTCTTTTGACTTGTTTTTTTCCATTGCTAGCTTAATCACAAGCATGTCTATAGTTATCTGGTCATTTTTTACATAATAGAAGTTCAGCCCTATAAAATAAATGCATAGCTTAAATTTGTGGTCTAATCAAAAACATGTTGATATAATTTGGGTGTTTATTTGTCCCTGCCCAAATCTGATGTTGAAATGTAATCCCCAGTGTTGGAGGTAGGGCCTGGTGAGAAGTGTTTGGATCATGGGGGTGGATTCCTCATGAATAGCTTGGGCCATCCCCTGGATGATGATTGAGCTCTTGTTCTGAGTTCGCATGAGATCTGGTCATTGAAGTGTGTGCCCCACCCCCACTCACTCTCTTGCTCGTGCTCTGCTTTCTGAGGCACTGACTTTCCCTTTGGCTTCCATGAGTAAAAGCTCCCTGAGGCCTCCCCAGAAGCTGAGCAAGTTCTGTCACAAAGCTCCCTGTACAGCTGACAGAACCATGAGCCTATTAAACCTCTTTTCTGTATAAATTACCGCAGCCTCGGGTATTTCTTTATGGCAATGCAAGAATGGCCTAATACACATGTCTCCTTCCCCAGTGGTTTGGAAACCTGCAGTGGAAATAGGCACTTTGGCCAACTTCTTTTCCCATGTCTGGCTCCACCAACTCACCTATTTGCAAGCTATTGTTTTAACCATCTCCAAGGTTGGGCACAGGCTAGGAGTTAGGGGAAAGTAGGAATAGAGAGGACAGCTAAAGGACAGAAAAGTCTTACCTGGCTGGTGCAGTTGTAACCTAGAATAGATGCCCTCTGCATATAGCAGACTCCTTATGAAGATGCACTCTTTTTTGGGGTGTTCCTATGAGGTCCTTAGGGTCCTCTCCTCTGTAATTCTCCTTGACTATTGCTAGGATCTCTCACATACAGCTACCTTCACATAGGCAGTGCTCCTCTTACTGGCTGCTAATGACTAGCACCATGAATTCCAGGAGTTTGTCTCTCTGTTAGGAGTCACATATGACCAACATAGTTCCTCTCAAAATGATATAATCCAGCTTCATTCTTTGGACCCAATATTTGGCCCATAGGAAATTTACACGTTCTTTCCCCTTCCCAACTGAGGAAGTCAAGCTTTTCTAATCAACTTCTTCCCTTGGCTTTGTTATCTTGGAGCTCCTGGCCAGTCATAGCCTCTTACCTTTACTCTTTTCAGGGATCAATCAGATACCAGGCCTGTCTCTCTCTAACCAGGGGACCCATGTCAAGCTTTTCAAATAGTACTCTTAAAACCCTACTTCAAAGACTCTCTCTTTTTCTTCCATGGGTGAAATACATGGCCCATTAGCCATTCTTTAAAAAGAAAAGAAAAGAAAAAAAAAACCTCAACACAGACCTCTTTAATTACAATGAATTCTTTGTCTTCTCTTTTATATCCTAGAGGGGAGTGATGGGCCAATTCTGGCAGAGGGTTTCACAATTTCTTAGCCTGTCCTGCATGGACAGTCTAGTGCCACCCAAGAGGTGCAGGATGGGGAGATATTAAACAACTCTTGTATTTGTTCTCAGATTTGGGGGACATAGCTGAAACTCTGAGTCAACAGGAAAGTCCCATCTTAACATAGTATTATACATATGTCATGAGCTCCTACTGGTAGCTCTTCAGTACATTATAATTTAAGTTATGTACCTTGGCAAAATAAATTTGGAAAACACTCTATTGTTTTGCTTTTAAATATGATGTAAGCTACT
The DNA here is from genome assembly GCF_000001405.40 of Homo sapiens. Lineage (NCBI taxonomy): Eukaryota > Metazoa > Chordata > Mammalia > Primates > Hominidae > Homo > Homo sapiens. The sequence continues at coordinate 22,439,432 of NC_000018.10, read as the reverse complement.
GGGTTGAGATAATTTTTTAATCATTTTGAGAGACTATTCTATATGTAATTTGTTTAACTTCTATCAGAAATGGATGATGAATTTTGTTAAATGTCTTTTAACATTTATTAAGGTGAACATAAAGTTTCTCTCTTTTGGCCTATTGATGGAATCAATGACATTTCTAGATTTTCTAGTATTAAGTCATTCATGGTTTTCTAGAGCATTAATCCTTTAACGTGATGCTAGATTAGATTTGCTAGTGTTTTTTAAAAATGTTTTGTATCTGTAGTCATAAGCAGGCTTGGCCAAAAATGTTTTGTGCCATCTTTGTCAGGTTTCACTATATGCTAGCTTTTTAAAGAAAATGTAAGGAATTCCATATTTTATTTAAATTATAGCTCTCTTTACAATTTTTTAGTTGAAGTCATATATGTATAGAAAAGTATATATATCAACTAATTTTCACAAAGTAAACACAGCTGAGTAACAAGTATCTCCAACACTCCCTCTTTTACTACCTATCCCCCAGAAGGGTAACCACTACTCTTATTTTTAACAGCATAGGCTAATTTTATCTGTTTTTATATTTTATCTGAAGGGACTCATACATATGTATTTTTCTGTGGTTTTCTTTAACTCAATATTATGTTTGTGAGATTCAGTCTTATTATTGTGTGTGACTGTATATAACTCATTCTGTTCAAAATATAATATTCTGTTGTGTGAATATACCAAAAATTACTTCTTAATTCTGCTACTGATGGCATTTGGGTTGTTTTCAGTTTGAGGCTATTACAAATGCTGTTTTTGGCCGGGCGCGGTGGCTCACGCCTGTAATCCCAGCACTTTGGGAGGCAGAGGCGGGCGGATCATGAGGTCAGGAGATCGAGACCATCCTGGCTAACACAGTGAAACCCCGCCTCTACTAAAAATACAAAAAATTAGCCGGGCGTGGTGGCGGGCGCCTGTAGTCCCAGCTACTCGGGAGGCTGAGGCAGCAGAATGGCGTGAACCCTGGAGGCGGAGCTTGCAGTGAGCCGAGATCGCGCCACTGCACTCCAGCCTGGGCGACAGAGCGAGACTCCGTCTCAAAAAAAAAAAAACAAAACAACAACAACAACAAAAAAAAACCAAATGCTGTTTTTATGAACATTCTAGTACATGTTGTTTCTTTAAATATATGCACATATCTCTGTTGGGTATATACTTAGGAGTAGAATTGCTCTTAACTAATGCATATTGGTTGTTGGTCATTTTCTGATTGTTTTGTGGAAGTCTTGTGTATATTTAGGATGCAAAGTAAAAGGATGAAAAAGATATATCATAATATATCATACAATCAGTAACCATAAGAAGCTAGAGTGGCTATGCTGATATTGGAGAAGACAGACTTTAAAACAAAAATTTTCACTAGGGACAAATAAGAACATTTTACAACACTTAAAGGGTCAATTCATCAGGAAGATGTGACAATTTTAAACATACGTGCACCTAACAACAGAGCCCCCAGATATACAAAGCAAATATAGACAGAATGGATAGAAGGAAAAATAGATAATTCACAAGTAATAATTGGAGACTTATACACCCCACTTTCAGAAATAGATAGAAAAACTAGAAAGAAGATCAACAAAGAATAGATGACTTTGATATAGGAGTGAACCTTCATGACTTGAGGTTAGGCAAAACCTTCTTAATTAAGACACTAAAACCACAAGTGACAAAAAAAGGCAAATTAAGTTTCATAAAAATTTAAAACTTTATTGTTTCAAAGAAGATCATCAAGAAAGTGAAAAGATAACCCGCACAATGAGAGAAAATATTTGCAAATCGTATATCTGAAAAAGGGCTTGTATTTAGAATATATAAAGAACACCTACAACTCAATAATAAAAAGAAAAAATAACCCAGTTGAAAAATGGGCAATGAATCTGAGCAGACATCCCTTCAAAGGTGATATACAAATGGCCATTAAATACGTGAAAAGACACTCAACATTCTTAGTCATAAGAGAAATGCAAATCAAAACCACAATGAAATAACACTTCATATCCACAGAAATGGCTATAATTAAATAAAAATATAAATAATAGCAAATGTTGACAAGGATGTAGAGAAATTAGAGCCCTTGTATATGGCTAATGATAATGAAAATAGTGCAGCCACTTTGGAAAACAGTCTGGCAGTTCCTCAAAGTGTTAAACATATAATTACCATGTAACCCAGCAATTCTACTCCTAAATACACATGTAAGAAAAATGAAAACACACATGTACATAAAAACATAAGTTTTATGTACATTGTTCATAACAGCACACAACCAAAATGGCAATCAACTGATGAATGGATAATTTGTTGTATATCTATGCAATGAAATGTTGTTCAGCAATAACACAGAATGAAATACTGATACATGCTACATCATCAATGAACAAAACCTTATGTCCAGTGAAAGAAGCCAGTCACAACTGACCACATATTGTATAATCTCATTTACAGGCAATGTCCAGATTATGCAAATCCGTAGGACAGAAAGTAGATTCATGGTTGCCTGGGTTTGGGAAGTTTGAGGAGGGGAAGATGGAGAATGATTGCTAATTGCAAGATTTCTCTTATGGGTAATGAAATATTCTAAGCTTGATTTTGATAATGGTTGTACAACTCTGAATACACTAAACACCATTGAATTGTACACTTTAAATGTGTGAATTGTATGATATGTGGATTATAACCCTTTAAAGCTGCTAAAAAAGAACAATTTTGATCTTAAGCCATTCAAGCTTACATTCTTTAAAGGATTATTATTCTTTTATATTTCCCACAGTGCTCAGAATACACTGCTAAGTGGTTAATAAATGCTACTGAATTGAGTAAAACGTTTAGTGAAACTGGACTGACTGATTCAACAGGGTGCTTTTAGATTTCTCCTGTGCACAGAGAATTAGACCATCCCATGGGCTTGCTATGATGAAGAACAGAACCCTTCCCTGGGATAGATGAAAAGGAGAATCACCCCAAACAACAAGACAACCAAGCTACGAGCAGGCACGCTCCTATCTGCATGACTGATAAAGACCATCTGATGCCGCCAGTTACTCAGTGAGGCCATTCTCTAGGCAAAGTCACAATATTTATTTTAACACCAGTGACTATTGAGTGTGTGTGTATATCTATGTAGTGATAAAACACTGCTGTAATATGTACACAGGATCTGAACAAGATCAATTCATCAGGACCATCATGCAGTCTACATATGAGAGAGGTTGTTTATGTAGTGGGTTGATAGAATACCGTGATACAAGCCACAGAAAAGCACTGTCTGATGTTCATAATGCATGCTATGTATTTCACAATATGGGCATTATGTAAATAATTAATAGCATGGACTAGAGATAGCATTGATAGGAAGGAGAGAGACAGCATGCAAGAAAGTCTGCTCAAATACGCTAATGAGTAGGATAGAAATATTTCACCAAGCACATCACACATTTTAGGGACTCTTGTTATCAAGCATTGTCTTGTGGGATGGCTGATTTTTCTTCTCAATGACTGCCAGTCCTACAGATACAATTTTGAAGTATTTTATTTGTAAATTTAAAAAGCTGTTTCCACTGTCTATGTGTATGAAAGTCAATGTGGAAAGAAATTGCCCCATGAAATAGGACAATAAAATGCAACTATTTGAACTGCTTAGATGCCAGTCTTTTTCTCAGAAATGTTCTATTCAGGAATACAGTAAGCTTAATTGGCAAGATATTGACTAGCCTATATGTAATTTATCTTTCAACCATTACTCAGTGTTTCCCCAAGTACCCTGTTGTCTACCTAGAGAGGAGCACTGTACTGATGAGCTGGAGCTCAGGTCCCCAAGGATGTCTCCTTTTCCTAATACATATATATTAATTCCCATTAACCTCATTTAGAGTAAGGAGTAATGTGGGCATGAAGAGGAGGCCAGACAGCCAGATGGCTGTGAGTGTCTGTTACGGTATATGAGTAACTCTTCCCACTATTCAGCCTTTATTTAACCAATGAATTCACATGATGAGTAACTCATTTTTGAGGACTGGTTTGCTTTCCTCCAGGATAACTGACAAAGACATGAACTCTCTCATACCCTTTCCTAGAGCTAGAAGTTACGAAAGCTGTGAAAGACACTGAAAAAAGGTAACTCTCCAAGTGAAGGCAGCCATTTACAGAGGGAAAGTGCACCGGAGGAGCATTTGTGAAAGTGCAGTCACCAGCAATAGCCCAGTGAGCTTCCCTCCCAAAACGGAGAGGCCAATGAATCATGGCTGCTCCCTGTCCATCAACACCCCGCCTCACCCCCACCCACTTAGACCTTGGTGGAAATGGCAAGAAAACCAAACAGCTATTTATACATTTCTTTTTGAAGTCCTAAAACTCAGTGGTGGCATCAATTGACTTCTCTCTTCAACTCTCAACCCTTAAGGAATAAAAAAGAGGAATCAGCTGATGGCCATCTCTGAGGCTGACCCAGAGAGTTAAGGAGACTGCTGGCCTCACCTCCTCTGTCTTTAGGTGTTCAGGGAACACAGCTCTAGGGCTTCAGGATTTGCAGTGATTATTTAGGTCCTCTGATTAGAGGCAGGGTTGGAGTCTCTTCAGTAAAATCATCGTGTCCGGCTTCTAGAAAAATTATTATTGCAACCCTTTGAACAAGAAAAAAAACCCCTCTATTTTTAATTTAAACAATAAAGCAAAGAACTTGAAAGTATATCTCAGAGTGGTGTTAAGAAGCCAAGAAGTGTTAAGAAGTGGTGGTGGTGTTAAGAAGCCAAGAAGATGGTGGCCGACTGGGTCAAACGGCACTGTGAGCACAAGGCAGATGCAGGTGGAAAAGTGTGTTTTGTGATCCTGTTGGTATGAATGATTTCTCTCCCAGAAGAGTAGCTTGGTGGATCCATCTTAGGCTGGGGGTTTCCAGGCAAGTACAATGGAGGGAGAGAAACAAGAGAGCTTTGAGGGTGCTTGTGAAGATGGAGCCAACCATTAATTAAGCCATGAATTAATTAAGCCATGAAAGGAAGGATGAGAGAACATGGGGACCTGATGAGTAATAAGAAAATTAGGGAGTTAGTGAAGTGGCCGTCGTGGGTTCATTTAAACCTCAAAATAACCCCACAGTGTTACCGGGGATTAAAGAGATTAACTTGCCCAAGGTCACAAAGCTAATAAAAAGCAGATTGCAGATTTCAACTTGCTTTGTCTGACATGAAATCTAGTGTGTGAGGCACCACTATACATATCCACAGACACTGTAACTTCCCTTCCGCCTCTGGGTAATGTGCCAATTCCAGTCTACCGTAACTGAAACCAGCAGGGGAGAGTTCCAAGTGTGGACTAGGCCGAACTGATCCAACTACAAGACAATCTCCCTTTGGGGTGTCCCGATCCCACTGTGAGGTATGATCCTCTCACCCAGAGCATGTCTACAGAGCATCAAGTAACAGGATGGCTGAGAAAGTCCACATTTTATATGAAGCTTTTCTGTTTTAAAAATCTTTCAGCACTGTGTGTGCATACAATCATTTTTAATTATAGTTTTTAGCTCCTAAAAACTATAATGCATATATATGCTTTGGGATTATAGCCATCTGTTCTAAGTCTCACAATATATTCCAGATATAAAAAATAAAACATAAAACAAAATTTGAAGAAGTCAAGCCAGAGTTTGTAGTTGCATAAAAAGTCTCTTACTTGCTTGATGAATGATAGTGACTTATGGAATTATTTAACATCTTCATCCAGGTGTTTTTTTTTTTCCCATTAATAATAGTATAGCAGCTCAGATAGTTTACCAATCTAAGATCATTTTAATGGTGATGTGTTACTTTTCTCTTGCTTTGGATATTTAAAGCAAGATTTGCAAAGTTGTTTGTTCGTTTGTTTTTGCAGTTCCGTACTTTTTAGTCTTTGGGATGCCCCTCATGAGCAAAGTGTTAAAGGAGAACCCTGTTTCTCTATGTAATTGTAAATGCATAAGCTTGTAGCATCTCAGACTTAGAACCACATTGGAAATCTGGTCGGCGTCCCACGGGGTACAGGAAGCCTCCAGGAGGGGTCCCTGACAGCAGTTACCAGATTCTTCTTAGCCACTTCTGACAACAAACTGCGGAGGCTTAGCCCATCTTTTAACTGCTCTGATTACAGCTCCCAGGGAGGAGACAAACCTTTAAGAGGTCTTCCTAAACCTAAGTGTCCCCCTTGCAGGTCACTTCAGGATATAACTGAATCCAAATTATTAACTAAAGATGTAACGTGTTTTCTCTACTCCCAACCGCTCTCCAAGAAATGTCTTGACTTGCAGCTGCTACCAGAAAGAAAAAGCGAGAACGCCGGTGGCGCCTTCTCACGGACTCTATCAGAGCATGGATAGATTGTGTGCCCTGGGGGGCTGATGTGGACAGGAACACCAGGTTCTCCCTCGTTTGTTCTTTATCTGTACTTACTGCACGTTTTTCTGCCATGGACTTTTTATTATTCTAAATTGTGAGTGAGATAATAGTTGGTTTCTCAAAGTGCAAAGGCTAAACCTACTGATAAACTTCAGCCGCTACCAAAGGATAAACGCCACCCAAACTGCCAAAACAATCATGACCTCACTTCCTGCATGGAGTCTGAATGCTTCACCAGAAACTCAGAGAACCCGGCAGGCAAGGCTCTGGCACGGGTCACAGGCAGAGATCAATGAGTCATCCAAGCCGTTCCTTGGCCAATTCTTTTAAGGAAGGAAGATATGGAGCAAGTTATTTTGCTCCATCTCCCGTATCACTACTTGTGTCTCGGGAGACTTTGCTATCATCAAGCCTTTCAAAGAGATGAGTTTGATTCCCACTGTTCCTACCAGTAAAATTTACTTGTGGGATTTTCTAAAAGTCTGGGCCAAACATCAAACAACTTAGACGTTCCTATCCTCCCCAACGAATGGATTTTCAGGTCTGGTGTGAAAAACCTCCATTTGGGGCCAGGCATGGTGGCCCATGCCTGTAATCCTAGCACTTTGGGAGGCTGTGGCAAGCAGAACACCTGAGTTCAGGAGTTTGAGACCAGCCTGCCCAACATGGCAAAACCCCCGTCTCTACTAAAAATGCAAAAATTAGCTGGGTGTGGTGGTGCATGACTGTAATCCCAGCTACTCAGGGGGTTGAGGAAGCAGAATTGTTTGAACCCAGGAAGCAGAGGTTGCAGTGACCTGAGATCGTACCACTGCACTCCAGCCTGGGAGACAGAGCAAGGCTCCATCAAAAAAAAAAAAAAAAAAGTCCTCCATTTGGGGTGTGGTGGTGCATGCCTGTGGTCCCAGCTACTCCAGAGGCTGAGGTGGGAGGATCACTTGAGCCCAGGCAGTCGAGGCTGCAATGAGGCATGATCACGCCACTGTAATCCAGCCTGGATGACAAAGTGAGACCTTGTCTTAAAACAACAACTGAAAAAACACCTCCATTTGTATAATAGCCAGACCAGAAAAGGATACATTTAATTTGCAATACTAATTAGAGTTTTCTAAGATGAATATTTAAGACTTCCTGAAAGCATTGGCTTGGGAGTTTCTGAAGGTCTGAAAAAAAACCAGTAGCATTTGTGCGATTCTTGAAGTTCTAATGGTCCTAAAACAGATAAAACCGTTCCCAATGCCCGATGGGCTGTCAAATTGCTCCAGGGAAACGGAACAAATATTGTTGGAAGGGCCACGATGGAACAAGTCTTGTTGGTTCTACAGACACAAAGTTACTAAGGCCTTGACCTATCTGTGATTCTCAAACACAGTGGGAAGGACTAAAAGAATGCACAGGATCCGAGGGAAGCCCAGAGGAGAGCCCTGAGCCCAGCCCCGCCTTGGAAAACAGGGTCTGGAAGGGCTTTTCACGGTGGGCACCCTGACTGGGTTTTAGAAGGCAAGTAGGAATTAATGAATCCAGCTACAGTGTAGCAGGATAAAAGGAAATTAGAAATTGAAATGAGAAGGCCTATGTTTAAGACATGATTATTGTTATGTACTGAACGTTTGTGTCCCTCCCTCATCACTCATATGTTGAAGCTCTAACCCCCAATGGGATGAGACCTTGGGAGGTAATGAGACCTTGGAGATGGACCTTTGGGAGGTAATGAGAGTTACATTAGGTCTTGAGGTTGGGTCCTGCATGATGGGATTTGTGACTTTATAAGGAGAGGAAGCACCCACTGAGGAAGGGTCATGTGAGGACGCAGCAAGAAGGTGGCCCTCTGCAAGCCTGGGAGAGAGCCCTCCCCAGCACCCAACCCTGCCGACATCCAGATCTCAAACTTCCAGCCCCCAGAACCATGAGAAAACAAATGTGTGTTGCATAAGCCACCCAGGCCATGGTATTTTGTTATGGTTGCCTAAACAGACTAATATAATTTTTCTCCCTTATTACCTGTGTAACCTTCTTAGAGAAAATAACTTTATGTTTCTAAAACTGTTTCCATTTTATAAAATGGTGATGCGAATACCTAGTTTGCAGCATTGTTTAAAAGTTAAATGAGATAGTATTTCCATTCCAGCCAGAAACTGTGTGCCCATGACCTGGGGATGAGAGAGACTGAAGAACTGAAATCTCACCATCCTAAAACAGATCTGTTTGCACTTTGATCATTTCTTAAATACAAAGATTTCTCCCAATGACTGCATACATTTCATGTGGTAGTGTTGTCTTTCTTCTAGAAATCTGTTATTAAACATTATTGTCTCTTCAACAAATGGGATCTTAGAATCAGGGAAATATCTGGTCATGGTTTTGCCTGGAACAAGGAGCAAAGAGAGACCAGGCTGTGGCAGGAGAGGGGGCTGCAGAGGTAAGCATGGGACATAATTCATGGGGGCAGCCAGGCTTGGAAAAGAGCAAGGACAGGATAGAGTTTATACGTTGGTAGCTGGGAAGACAGGCTGAAGGCTTGGGAGTCTTACGGAGGCAGGAAAACACGTGGTGCAAATAACTGGAGCAAGAGTCCAACAGACCCAGTGCAGACAGAAAGTGGTCATTTGAACATGGGAATTCTCATATGGGGGAGTTTTGGGGAATGCATGGAACAAGCATAGCCAAGAGGGTGGCTGGTTGAAATGGAATCCAAGTAAAGGTCACTGGAGTCAAGGGGGTCAGGAAAATATTGTCTGGAGTGTTGGACCCATGTGTACATTGGCCTTTGATGTTCTGCAAGATGACAGGACACAAAGTGCAGAAGGCTGCTGCCAAAGCCTCCACAGCTTCTTCTCCTGAGTTGCTAACATGGGTGAGGGGTACCACTGTCTACCCAGTGATCCAAGCCAGGAACCTGGTATTCATCCTCATTTTCTCCCTCCCCTTCACCCCTCCATCCCACCAAGGAGGCCCCTCACTCACAGTGGCTACTTGTACAGCAGCTCTGCACCTCTTGCCAAAGGAGAGGCCTCACAAACACTGGCTGTGAGCTTGTGTGGTGAGGCCATGCAGGCCTTGTGGAGTCTTGACTCTTCCTTTTGTAGCTTGGTCAATGAGGGCTGTTGACCCAAGCACTGGGCTTCATCTGCTTCACTTGTAAGAGAGGATAATAATTGTACCTGCCTCAGAGGTAGTCGTGGCGGATTATGAGATTACACAAACATGGCATTGTGTGTGCATGTTGCACAGCCTGGCATACAGGAAGTGCTCACTAGGTGCTAGCTGTTGATGAGGTGGTATTAGTGGTGTTTTAGAATGCAGAACCAAACACAGGAAAACCCAGTTCTTCTTTGGTGGTAACAGAGGAAGAATGCATATCTCAAGTCAAAACTTAAGTGTAGTAAGAAGACAGTACAAGATTGAATATAAAGAACGGTGGGAATTGAGGACTGAACAGACAGAGGGGACCTTTGAGAATTCACTGGGGGTGGGAACTGATGTCAGCCCACATGGGAACCCTAACAGATGGGAAACAGAAAGGTTTGGCCAGCAGGGCAGAAGGATGGAATTCATGTGCCCTCTGGAGACCCTGTCCAGGAAGGGTGGAGGGGGTAGTGGACCACCGCTACTGCCCAGCCTGAGCAAGCAGAGGGCCCAGAGGCAGGGTGAAGCCCAGGGGTCTTTCAGGCTTCCTCAAACCAGCTCATGTGGAGGAGTCCTGGGAAAGCTGGAACTCGAAACACTGATGCCAGCGTCCATGAAGCATTGTGGGGACTGGTGAGATGAATGGGCTCTGCACCACAAAGTTACCAGGGAATTCTCAGTGTCTACAAGCACTCACTTGGTGTTTGACATCCCGAATTTCCTCAGCTCCATCTTGTAAAATTTTCCACACATTCCTTTTCTGAAATTGGAACATGTCTTGTTGTGGTTGTTTTCTTTGTCCCCAAAATGCTATGCATTCAGTCCATAGTGCTACCATTAATGGCACCATAGACCCAAGGAAACACAAAATGTCTCATGATAGTATTGGTGAATGAAATAAGAAATGCTAGTTAAACTTCTTACGTAACCTTATGGTATTTGACCTGTAAGTCACTTACTCTGATGCATGCTAGGAAAAGTAAATACTCTGACCAATGATACACGATGCAGCTCATTACCTAGGGAAACTCACGTTCAAATAAATTGATTGGGAGGTTACACACAGTCAGGAAATTGGCTCATTGGAGGTAATCATAGCTGAGGCCCACACTGCCTGGCCAGCTGGAGTGGATGTCTGACTGCTCCCAGCCCAGGGCAGCCTTTCCAGTAAGCCCTTCTGAGTATCTCCAAGTTCAGTGCTCAAAAGCTTTCCACATTCATCCCGAAGCCTTGACAAATGTGCCTTTGCTTACTGAAGCTTCCAAAAGAAAAGGTTACATGAAATCTGAGTGGAATACAAATAGTTCTTCCTTTCAGGGACTTCATTCTCTGGGAGCTCATGTCAGAAAACGAACTTCCTCCGTGACCACTAGGGAGCTCCCATTGGTGTTTGGTGTTTTAATGGCTGGAGACGTCCCTTAGGTTCCCTCTATCATTTCATATGATTGCATCTATATTTAATCAGTTTTCACCATGTTCCTGGAAAGGCATTTAACCGGCTGCCAGCAGACTCCTCCTCCTGCTCCCCTGCACCATGAAGTCAGTTGGCAGAGCCCTTCATTCAGCCCCAGGGCTCGGTCACCCTCCCTGCATTCTCTGCTGGACAAGCCTGGCTTCTCCTCATGTGTTAACTCCTTGTTCTGAGAGGGGTTGCTACCTTTCAAAGCTTACCTACATAAAGTCACTCATACCCTTTTCATGCATAGGCTGACCAAGCCAAATATTTAAAAAGAAAAAAAATTCACAGAGGCTAGCACGGTTCAGGAAATAGAAGACCCTGAGTAGAAATGAAGTGAAACACAATGAATCCTGGCTGAGTCTGCAAATGGGATTGTGTTGCAGCAGGGAGACGCAGCCCCACAGAAAAGGAAAATCAATTTTCATTAATGATTTTGAATGTGCTATTGGCCTTGGGTTAATTATTTATTTGCATGAGGGTTTAGATTTATCTCACGGATATGCCAGATTATTTGAAAGGGTTTTAGTGTCTTTGACCTATGCTCAATGAATCCTCTTGACCCATATTTTATTTCACATGCAAAAACAGTAGGCAGTATATTGGTCATTTGTTTTCTAGTTTATTCATGATTTCAATCAACTAATAATTAATGAGGCTCTGTACTGGATGCTATTCTAGGTTCTGTGAATAAAACTATGAACAGAGCAGGCAATGTTCCTACCTTCATGGAGCTTAATATTCTAACAGTGGGAGGGACAGGTAAGCAACAAATAAAAAATGAATGTGAACCCTTGATAAGATGCAATGAAATGGCACTTTACCTCTGTGCTCTGTCTCCAAAACACCCACAGCTCCAGTCTAATCGTGAAAAAAAAAAATCAGACGAATTCCAATAGAGGAGCATCCCACTCCTCAAAAACGTCAAGGTCATCAAAACAAAGAAAGTCTGAGAAACTGTCACAGCCAAGAGGGGCCTAAGGAGCCAAGACAAGTACATGTAATATAGTATCCTGGGTGGGATTCTGGAAGAGAAAAGGACATTGGGTAAAAGCAAAGGAAATCTGAGTAAACTATGGGCTTTCATTAAATTTTTAAAAATGAATGTGTCAGATAGTGATCAATGAGGTAAGGAAAGTGAGAAGGAGGAGGTTAAGGAGCAACAGTGTCATGGGGGGCTGTCTCGGCCAGGGAAACTCACTGAGGAGCGGACAGCTGTGGTGCAACTTGAATGTTGGGAAGGCACCAATCTGCCAAGCAGGAAACTGCATCTGAGGAATGGGAACACATGGAAAAGGCCCTGAAGGAGGAATGAGCTGTTGTGTCCAAGAAACACACAGAGGTCTTGTGTGGACAGAACCTCGCAAGCAAGTGGGAGAATGGTACCAGACAGCACTGAAGACAGGGACTAAATCGTGAATGGTTTTCTAGGTCAGGCTAAGGAATTTAAATGTTATTCAAAGTCATTGGAGAGTTTTAAGCAGAGAAGTGGCATGATCTGATTTATCTTTGAAAAATATTACTCCAACTGCTGTGCTCAGAATAGATTGTATTAGTGGTTGTCTGAGGCTGGGGAGAGGAGAAAATGAGAAATGATCATTTACTGGATACGGGGTTTTGCGGGGGTGATGATAATGTCCTGGAAGTGGATAGTGGTGATGGTTGTGGAACGTTGGCAATATACTAATAACCACTGAATTATACACCTTAAAATGATTAAAATGGTAAATTTTATATTATGTAAATGTTGTCTTAATTTAGAAAAAGAACTGGCTGTAGAAGTTCAGGCAAGCATGAAGGGTGGTAGTTTAGCTGTGAGGCTATTGCTGTGATACAGGAGAGAATGATGGTGGCTTGGATTTGGGTGACAGCAGTAGGGATGGGAAGAAGTATTTGGATTCAGAGATATTTTGGAAGTAGAGCTGATAGGATGACTTTAGAGATGAGGTAAAGAGAGGAGGTTATTGAGGGAAATTAAGGGTGATGTTGGGACCATATAAAAACATGCCTGACTTTTTCCAGTTTATTTTAAGACATTTTAATGTGGATTTAATATGCTGGGTATTAGTACACTTTGGGCTATAAATAATACAAAGCCCCAACTCAAGCTGGCTTAAATAGTTGGAAATTTAAGTTGGATCTCACACAAGAATCAGTCCAGCAGTGGGCATGGGCTTTATGCTGGAGCAATCGGGAGCTTCGCATGTCATCAAGGGCCCAGGTTTGTGACATCCTCCCACTATGCCACCCTCAGTTTTGCCCTGACAACATGGTCTATGCTCATGGTTTCCAGATGGCAACAGCAGTTCTAGGTGTCACATACAAACAAAACTATGATGAAAGGAAGAAATGGCATCCCATCTAACGTATCCTTCTTAGAAGTGAAGAAAGTGGAAGATCCAGATGACTTCTCAGCATGTTACGTGTCTGTTTCTAAATTAATAGTCAGCATGGGAAATGGGTTTACCATGGTTGGCTTAAACTACCCAGGATTCATTCCCTATACCTGAGGCTGAGGTTCAGTTTTCCCTGAAGTACACAACAATGAGAGGATGATCAGCAGTTCCCTTAAGAAGGGCATAGGGATTGTATGCATGTTGGATAGGCAACTAACAGTATGTACTCCATGGTGGTGAACTAAACATTTTTTTTGTCCAAACATTTGTTCATTATAAATAGGGAGGAGTTGAGAGAATATAAGATATATTATTATATCACCAGAATTTTGTCTGATGGACTTTACTATCTTAAATCTTCATTAGAACTAAAGCCAGCTTGGTGACATGAGCCAGCTTTGGCTACTTGGGAGGCCAAGATGAGAGGATTGCTTGAGCCCAAGAGTTCAAGATCATCCTGAGCAACATAGTGAGACCCTCCCTCTTAAAAAAAAAAAAAAAAAAAAGAAAGAAAAACTAGAGAAAACACATTTTGAATACCACTGAACATTTTACAAGAACTTGAAGTGCCAAGAACCTGAAGTTCCTAGAAAGATTTAATAGAACAAGGAAAAAGTGGGACGTCAAAGGATGGTGTTTAATAATAGCTACCATCATTGCACATTTCTTATGTGTCTGACACTTTTCTACTTAACATAAATTATATCATTTAATTCCCACGATACCTTATAATGAGGTCTTATTAAGACATCTTTACTTTACAAGTGAGGAAATGGAGGTTTAGAAAGTTTAAGGCAAATTGCCAATGTCACAGACAGTAGAGCCAGGACTTGAACCCAGACAGTCTGGCTCCAAAGCGTGCAAGCCTAATCTCTATGCTTCCTACACACTGTGTTCAATCTAGACTTGAAAATTTAAACTTTATAGCAATATTTCTCAAATCAGCAACTCCCCCTTTTGAAAAAACAAAAATGTCCTGCTATCCTCAAAGAGATTTTGATTACTTATCTTTATGTGTGAAATCAATAGGCATTTTCTTTCCTTTTTCATATGTAAAATCGCATCATGAAATTGACTTGCATTTTCAAACTTTCCCCCTTTCCCAGATATTCTGATATGCCTAGACCCCAAAGTAAGTGATCTTCTGGAGTGCAAATCACTCTTCTGGAGCATTTGGAGGGATGCCAAAGGTTTGAGGTTCCAGTGGAATTCTGGTCCTGATGGCGTTCTGGCCCCAGTGACCTGTACTGGCTGTCTGTATAGTACCAATGCAAGCTAGATCGTTGCTCAACCTTGCACGAAACTTTAGCTGAATAGGTCTGGTTTTGGGGTCAATGAACTGCTGGAGCTGACTTTCCGTTGTGTAAGGGAGGTCACGCCAGTAAGATTCTCATTTGTTAAGTGGGAAAAACACATAACATGTAACATTCCCCCCAAATAAATGGGATTAATTATGGGTCAACTACCATTTGGAAATAGAGTTTTATTTCTCAGAAAATCACCCCCAAAGGATAGAAAATACATTTTTATTTTCTGCAAGACGACAGGTGAGATGGAAAGAGTACTTTTGTTTGTTCCTTCCCTCTCTTTTTGCATAATTATTTCTTCAGGGCAAGGAGCACATTGCTAATAGTCAGCACTTGTGTGGAGTTGAATCATAAATACGACAGATAAGACATGCAGTATTAGATTGGTGAGTTTCCCCCACTCAGTGTAGAAGAACCACATGTACCCACAGGACTGACCCCTGCCTCGAGATCAGCAATTTTTCTGTGTCCCAGTTAAAGATCATTCAGAATTGCCATCCAGCCTGCAAATGTCAAGGGGGGCAGTAAATATTAATATCATGGCTGCTCGTCAGCCTCCACAGACTGGGACTCAGCACAAGCCCCTGTCAGGCAGAGATGACACCATTGCAGTCACATATTCGAAACCCAGTGTCATCATTTCTCCCACCAGCTCCCCCAACCTCCACAGAACTGTGGATCACTGTCGGCTGTGTAGGGCTCTGGGCAGAGTCATTGTGCTAATAAAAGAATAAGGGCGGCCAGGCGTGGTAGCTCATGCCTGTAATCTCAGCACTTTGGGAGGCCAAGGCGGGTGGATCACTTGAGGCCAGGAGTTCAAGACCAGACTGGCCAACATGGTGAAACCCTATCTCTACTAAAAATACAAAAAATTAGCTGAGTGTGGTGGCAGGCACCTGTAGTCCCAGCTACTCGGTGGCTGAGGCAGGAGAATAGCCTGAACCCAGGAGGTGGAGGCTGCAGTGAACCCGAGATCACACCACTGCACTCCAGCCTGGGCAACAGAGTGAGACTCTGTCCCAAAAAAAAAAAAAAAAAAATTATGCCAGTATCTGGAGATTGAGTTCTTGTTTCTGACAACAGTGCTGCACTACATATGAATTATTGCTTCATTTTGTCACTTTAAATGCTATCTCTAAGTCAGATTATGGAGAATTAAATGAGTTGATGTAACTGTTTTGAACGCTGCTTGGCACATATGGGCAGTATGTGAGTATCCACTGTATCGTTGCTGTTACCACCGCTGTCATTAGGCCAAGAACTTGGACAGTAACACAAGACTATTTGTCAAGCATCTCTGAATGGCGCCTGTCAATGGAAGCTATTCCAGATTCTCTCTTGGCTATCGGGTCCTCTCAGGAAGCATCCGCCATTTCCTTCAGCTCTCTCCTGAGGTAAGCTGTGCACCCATGGGTATTTTAGAAGAATGATGTTTATCCAGCCTTATTGCAATAGGACTGTTCTTGTAAAAAGAAAAAATAAAATAAAATAGAAAACATATTTATCCAGCTTTGGCCACCCGAGTAAAACATTAGCTGTCACATTCCCCTTTTCCCTTCTGAGCAAAGGCAGTCTGGCTGTTTTCCTCCTTGGTCATCCTGTCTAATTGGCAAGGAATCATGGGAATTTCCGCAGTTTGCTTTGTGGAAGTTTTCCAGCTTTAATGTTTGTCAAACTATCAGCACAGGGCGAAGGCTGCCAGACTCAGCTGGAGCAGTAGCATGAGCTCTGAAGGGCCCTCACCTGGACACAGGTCCAGGCTCTTTGCTCTGGCCAAATTCGTGACCTTGAGCAAGTTGCTTCACCTCTTCTATCCTTAGTTTTATCTTCAGTTTACCCATGTAAAATGGAGGGAACAGCAATTTATAGGATTGTAGTGAGATTTAGGAGTAATGTCTGTAATACACATAGTACACTAGCCTGGCAAATAGTGGGCGCTCAATAATGGAGATGTTATAATCTCTTTTCAGCTTTTATACCTTTAAGTTTCTAAAAATGTTGCATTCAGACATTCATACACACACACACACACACACACACGTTAAAATATGAACAGGAAGAAAAGCAAAAGGAAAATATCAACATATTAATAATGACTAGTTTCAGATGAACCACTGTACAAACAAAAAATAAAATAAACTTTAAAAAATAACTGCAGGGTCATAATAATTTTTAGCATCCAGGTAATAACTAATAAATGTATTCATCTCATGTTCCCCTCTTCTCCTGACCAGATGTGAGCATGGTTAGGCTTTTGTTTGAAGTATTTACACCTTTGATCTTGACATTTTTATAATTCATATATATGTGCCTAAAGAAGACTGTATTGCTTTATGTGTTTCCTCTAAAAGTATTATCTCTTATGTGTCATTCTGTATCTTGCTTTTTTCATGTAACACGATGTTTTTGAAATCTCATCATGCTGCTACAAGTGTATCTAATTAATTCCTTCTAATTGTTATATTGTATTATATGAATATACCATAATTTGTTTATTCCACTTTTGATGGGCATTTAGGCTATTTTAATTTTTTCACTCTTACAAGCAATGCCACAATGAATAGTCTTGCATGTCTCTCTCCAGTGCACATCGGTGTTTTTTTTCAGAAAGAACTCTTAGAATCTCTTGGAAGATTGTGCATGTGTTAAGCTGTAATAAACACTATCAATTGCCCTTCAAAACGACTATCCTTGTTCTCTAGAACTTTGCTCACACTTAATTGAATCAAGCTTTAAAGTGTTCTCCAATCTGATGGATAAAGAATCATACTGCTTGAAGTTTTTTATTTTGAAATAATTATTGATTAATAGGAAGTTCAAAGATAGTACAGAGAGGTCCCTTGCCCCTTTTACTCAGTTTCTTTCAATGGCTACATCTAATATAATTATAGTACAATATCACACCAGAAAATCGACATTGGTATACAGTATGTATAGTTCTATGTCATTTTACTATACACGCAGATCCATGGAAACATAACCATAATTAAGATATGGAACTATCTCATCCCCCCAAAGATCTCCCTCTTGCTACCCCTTGATAGGCAGACCTGCCCGTCCCCACCAACTCTAACTACTTATCTGTTCTCCATCCCTATAATTGTGTCATTTTCATATGATTATATAAACACAATCAGACAGTGTGTGACCTTTGGAGACTGTTTTTTTTCACTCAGAATAATACCCTTGAGATCCAGCTAAGGTGTTGCATTTACCGATATTTTTTTCCCCTTTATTGCTGAGTTAAATCAGCAATAAATCATGGTAGGCATTACTGCAGTTTGTCCAATCCTTCACCTATCATAGGGCATTTTGGTTGTTTCCAGTTTGGAGATATCACAAATAAAGCTGCTATGAGCACCATGTGCAGGTTTTTGTGGGAACACAAGTTTTTGTTTCTCTGGGAAATGCCAGGGGTGCAGTGAGGGCTAGGTCACATCATAAGCATATGTTTAGTTTTTTAAGAAACGGGCACACCATTTTCCAGAGTGGTTGTATCATTTTATATTCCCTCCAGTGATGTGTGAGAGATCAATTTCTCCACATTTTTGCCACCATTTGGTGTTGCCACTAAGTCTTATTTTAGCTGTTCTAATTAGTGTGTGGTGGTATTGTTTGCTGGTCTTAATTCACATTTCCCTAAATGCCAGTGATGCTGAACAACTTTTCATGAGCTTATTTGCCATCTGTATGTCTACTTTGTAAAGTGTCTTTTCATATCTTTTGCTCATTTTATAATTGGATTGTTCGTGTTTCTTTTACAGTTGATATTTGAATGTCCTTTATAAATCTGTGTATTCTAGATATGAGTCCTTACATAGCGGGTGAGAGTTCAGGCTCCCCAAGTGGTCCTGATGAAGGACATGAAAGTGGTTCATTACCACCAGGAGGGGACAAAGTCCAGACCAGACTCCTCCCTTGGCCTTCTCTGACATCACCTCAACAAGGTGTATTAGTCTGTTCTGACACTGCTAATAAACATACCTGAGACTGGGTAATTTATAAAGGAAAGAGGATTAATTGACTCACAGTTCAGCATTGATGGAGAGGCCTCAGGAAACTTACAATCATGGTGGAAGAGAAAGCAAACACATCCCTCTTCACATGGCAGCAGGAAGGAGAAGTGCTGAGCAAAGGGCAAAAGCCCCTTATAAAACCATCAGATCTCATGAGAACTCACTTTCACAAAAACAGCATGGGAGTAACTGCCCCCATGATCCAGTCACCTCCCACTGGATCCCTCCATTGGGGACTACAGTGCAAGATGATATTTGAATGGGGACACAAACAATCATATCACGGGGGAAGGGTTGTGGGGAAGCAAGGGGTGCTCAGTAGAGCTTGTCCAGAGTGGAAGTTTAAGTTACCCTCTTGCACTTTGCTGGTAGAGATGGAGTGGGCCACAGTTTTTTTCTGTGGTGTCTGCTGGGAAAGATCAGTTCATGCCTAAGAGTTTTCTGTCTTGCTAGCCTGCCCCTCTTATGGGCTTTTGACCAGAGAGACAGGCTTTCCCTGCTCTGTGTCTATGGCATTTACTGGTTGCCCACTTCTTTAGCATCTCGTCTTTGGGACAAAAATAAAACCCACGGAACTCACCACCATATTGTTTCTTGGGTTTTGAGATCTCTAGCTGGTCTACCTTCTTCTCTCCACTGTTCAGTCTTCTCATGTTGTTTTATATCTACTGTCCAGGGTTTTTAGCTGTACTTAGCAGGAGAAATGGGGGGAAATACTTCTACTTCATCTTTCCAGAAGTAGAATGCATACCCTATTGTTCTAATTTGCTTTTTTTTAATTAGTGAAGTTGAGTATCATTTTATCTGTTCACTGGACATTTTATTTCCCTCCTCTAGAATTGCCTGTCTCTTCGTACATACTTTTGTCTACTGTTTCTACTCAATTAACTATATTTTTATTAATGATTTGTAGTTCTTTTGTTTTTTCTTTTGAGACAAAGTCTTGCTCTGTTGCCCAGGCTGGAGTGCAGTGGTGCAATCTCAGCTGACTGCAACCTCCACCTCCCAGGTTCAAGAGATTCTCCTACCTCAACCTCTTGGGTAGCTGGGATTACAAGCGTCCACCACCACACCTGGCTCATTTTTGTAATTTTAGTAGAGTCGGGGATTCACCATGTTGGTCAGGCTGGCCTTGAACTCCTGACTTCAAGTGATCCTCTTGCCTTGGCCTCCCAAGGTGCTGGGATTATAGACATGAGCCACCGCACCCAGCCTAGTTCTTTATATATTCTGAATATTATTCCTTTGTCAATTTATATGTTGCATATATTTTCCAAATCTGTTACTTATTTTGCTTATAACGGTTTTGTCACCCAGAGGCCTTTAAATTCTAATGCAGTCAGCTTGTTGTCTTTTAATAATGAAAATATAAGAACTATACAAATATGCGGGCGGAAGATGGCAAAGGGAGCTGGTGCTTGTGCAAGTTGTTGAGGTGTGCTCTGTGGAATGATGGCTGTCACAGACACTGTCAAGCAGGAGGTTGCCCTGGCTGTGCACATGCTGCAAAGCATGCATGTGAACGTGATTCTGATCACGGGGGACAACTGGAAGACAGTCAGAGCCTTTGCCACCCAGGTTGGCATCAACAAAGTCTTTGCAGAGGTGTTGCCTTCACACAAGGTGACCAAGGTTCAGGAGCTCCTGAATGAAGGGAAGAAAGTCGCCATGGTGGGGGACGGGGTCAATGATTCCCTGGCCTTGGCCCAGGCAGACTTGGGCATTGCCACTGGCACTGGCACGGATGTGGTCATCGAGGCAGCCAACGTCATCCTCATCAAAAATGATTTGCTGGATGTGGTGGCTAGCATTCATATTTCCAAGATGACTGTCCAGAGGATATGCATCAAACTGGTCCTGGCGCTGATTTATAACCTAGTGGGCATACCCATTGCTGCAGGAGCAAGCTTTCCAGATGAGTTGAAGATATGTGCATGGGCGGGAGATGATGACTTATTGCAGGGCAAGGCGTCATCCGTGTTGAAGGAGTGCCAGTGTTTCAGAAATGGACACAGAGCAGGTAAGTTTGATGGACAGGTAAGAGAATCACTCTCTATGTGCCAGCACTGTTCTAAGAGTCCTGGATCTTCTGGGGATGAGATTAGCGTTTTTCAGTTGTACATGGGACAGCTGAGGCTCATGCTAGGGAGTGGTGAGCCCTTTCCTGGAAGAAGTTAATCTAAAAAGCATAATCTGTCTCATTTGGGAGGAGCTAAATAAATATCTCTTCAATGAAGCAAAGGTCAATCAGAAAATTTGTATTTTAGCTATAAAATTACCTATCAGAATTTACCATAGGGCATAATCTTAGTCAAGCACCCAAATTCATTATTTCAGCCACAGATACTGAAACACCAAAGGGATAAGGGGGCAGGTATTTCAGTTAGCTACTGCTGCATAACAAATGACCCCAAAGCTTAGTGACTTAAAACAATGATTTGTTATTCCTTATCATTCTGTCAGCTGGGAGGTTCTTCTGCCCGCCCCACCTGGGGTCATGCACAAGGCTACATTTAGCTAGGGTGTCAGCTTGGGATGGGCATAGCTGGGATGCTGGGTCACCTGAGTCTTTCTCACCATGTGGTACTGTTTTAAAATATAGGTTTTAGCGCTTCCTCAGGATGTAAAGTGTAACAAAGGTACCGGGGTGGGCAGTGTGGGTCTGTGAGGCCTACGGGTGCCCGCGTCCCCTAACTCCCCCCGCAGCCGGCTCCGCAGTGGTACGCTCCGGTTGCCCGTTAGGGATTCAGGTTCCAAACGGAATGCTGCGTCTTCTCCAGCGTTTGTTGTGGCCGAGGTTACTGCAGCAACCGCCAGAGCAGCCTTGGCGCTACGGAGGAGCCTAGGGCTAACCCTCAGCCATACCTGGGGCTGGTCCTGGAGTTGCTACGCAGGGTTGTGGCAGCACTGACTGAAGGTATGAGACCCGATTCTCATCCTTATGGTTTTCCATGGGAATTGGTGATACGTGCAGCTGTTGCTGGATTTTTTGCTGTTCTCTTCTTGTGGAGAAGTTTTAGATCAGTTACGAGTCGGCTTTATGTGAGAAGAGAGAAAAAGTTTGCTGTGGCACTTTCTGGACTAATTGAAGAAAAATGTAAACTACTTGAAAAATTTAGCCTTGTTCAAAAAGAGTATGAAGGCTATGAAGTAGAGTCATCTTTAAAGAATGCCAGCTTTGAGAAGGAGGCAACAGAAGCACAAAGTTTGGAGGCAACCTGCGAAAAGCTGAACAGGTTCAATTCTGAACTTGTGCATGAAATACTCTGTCTAGAAAAAGAGTTAAAAGAAGAGAAATCTAAACATTCTGAACAAAATGAATTGATGGCGGATATTTCCAAAAGGATACAGTCGCTAGAAGATGAGTCAAAATCCCTCAAATCACAAGTAGCTGAAGCCAAAATGACCTTCAAGAGATTTCAAGCGAATGAAGAACGGTTGGAGATAGAAATACAAGATGCTTGGAAAGAAAATTCTGAACTTCAGGAAAGCCAGAAACAGCTTTTGCAAGAAGCTGAAGTATGGAAAGAACAAGTGAGTGAACTTATTAAACAGAAAAGAACATTTGAAGACTCCAAAGTACATGCAGAACAAGTTCTAAATGATAAAGAAAATCACATCAAGACTCTGACTGAACGCTTGCTAAAGATGAAAGATGGGGTTGCTATGCTTGAAGAAGATGTAACGGATGATGATAACTTGGAATTAGAAATGAACAGTGAATCGGAAGATGGTGCTTACTTAGATAATCCTCCAAAAGGAGCTTTGAAGAAACTGATTCATGCTGCTAAGTTAAATGCTTCCTTAAAAACCTTAGAAGGAGAAAGAAACCAAATTTATATTCAATTATCTGAAGTTGATAAAACAAAGGAAGAGCTTACAGAGCATATTAAAAATCTTCAGACTGAACAAGCATCTTTGCAGTCAGAAAACACACATTTTGAAAGTGAGAATCAGAAGCTTCAGCAGAAACTTAAAGTAATGACTGAATTATATCAAGAAAATGAAATGAAACTCTACAGGAAATTAATAGTAGAGGAAAAATGCCGGTTAGAGAAAGAAGAGAAACTTTCTAAAGTAGACGAAATGATCAGCCATGCCACTGAAGAGCTGGAGACCTACCGAAAGCGAGCCAAAGATCTTAAAGAATTTGAGAAAACTATTCATTTTTATCAAAAGAAGATTATTCTCCATGAGAAAAAAGCACATGATAATTGGTCGGCAGCTTGGACTGCTGAAAGAAACCTCAATGATTTAAGGAAAGAAAATGCTCACAACAGACAAAAATTAACTGAAATAGAGTTTAAAATAAAACTTTTAGAAAAAGATCCTTATGGACTTGATGTTCCAAATACAGCATTTGGCAGACAGCATTCCCCATATGGTCCCTCACCATTGGGTTGGCCTTCATCTGAAACGAGAGCTTCTCTCTATCCTCCAACTTTGTTGGAAGGTCCTCTCAGACTCTCACCTTTGCTTCCACGGGGAGGAGGAAGAGGCTCCAGAGGCCCAGGGAATCCTCCGGACCATCAGATTACCAAAGAAAGAGGAGAATCAAGCTGTGATAGGTTAACTGATCCTCACAGGGCTCCTTCTGACGCTGGGCCCCTGGCACCTCCGTGGGAACAGGACTATAGGATGATGTTTCCTCCACCAGGACAATCATATCCTGATTCAGCTCTCCCTCCACAAAGGCAAGACAGATTTTATTCTAATTGTGCTAGACTCTCTGGACCAGCAGAACTCAGAAGTTTTAATATGCCTTCTTTGGATAAAATGGATGGGTCAATGCCTTCAGAAATGGAATCCAGTAGAAATGATACCAAAGATAATCTTGGTAATTTAAAGGTGCCTGATTCATCTCTCCCCGCTGAAAATGAAGCAACTGGCCCTGGCTTTGTTCCTCCACCTCTTGCTCCAATCAGAGGTTTATTGTTTCCAGTAGATACAAGGGGCCCGTTCATAAGAAGAGGACCTCCTTTCCCCCCACCTCCTCCAGGAACCGTGTTTGGAGCTTCTCCAGATTATTTTTCTCCAAGGGATGTCCCAGGTCCACCACGTGCTCCATTTGCAATGAGAAATGTCTATTTACCGAGAGGTTTTCTTCCTTACCGTCCCCCAAGACCTGCATTTTTCCCCCCAGCCCCCACATTCTGAAGGTAGAATGAGTTTCCATCAGGGTTGAGTCCGACTTCAAATGAGCCTGCTGCTGAACATCCAGAACGACAGCAAGAAACCTAACAACATGTTTGCCCTCTTCAAAAGTAATTTTGACTGATCTCATTTTCAGTTTAAGTAACTGCTGTTACTTAAGTGATTACACTTTTGTTCAGATTGAAACTTAATGGAACTATAATTCCCAGGATAGTATTTTGTAAATGAGGATGATTTAAATATGAATCTTATGAGTAAATTATTTCATTTTATTTTATTCTAGATAGTATAACTTTTAATTTGATTAATCCACTATTATATAAAGAATGGTGGGAGCTTTATATATGTAATCTTGCAGGTGGGGAGGCTTTAAATTGTCTTTATGTCAAGAACTGTATTTACTGTGGTTGTAGACAAATGTGAAAGTAACTTTATGCTTAAATAAGTTTTAGTTGATTAAAAAAATTTAAAAAATTTAAAAAAAGAAATATATAAATATGCACAGGTGGGAAGGTAGAATACTATGTAACTGTTAGAATATTTCACTTTAAACCAAGATGATCTTGGATCTCCTGTCTTATAGATTTTATATCCTCTTTCAGTACTTTGAGAGTGTAAAACATTTATAGCAGAAAGTATTCGTGTTTCCTCTGTTTTCCTCAAGAATGGTTTCTTCGCCCTCCCTTTCCTTCCCTTCGTCTTCCCTAAGCTAATTTCTTCCTATGTTTGTCATCATATCATTACATAATTGTGTTGTTATTTCTTTTGTTTTATTTTTATTTGGTGGGAACAACTTTATCCAGAACTTTTACTTGCCCCAGAATTATATAGATCAGTTTCTCCTGACTTCTTTCCCAACCTTTACCTCTGTTGGTGTTCTAATAGTTTTAGTTTTATGTTCTGCTTTTCTCTTGCTGTGGCAAGGGGAAGGAGTAAATCTAAGATAGTGCTTAATTGCAGTTGGTGAATTTGATCTCTGATTGAGCTCTCTTCTCTGGAATTCTGTTAAAAGATGAAATGTATCGTGTTCCCTGAGAGACGCCCTCAAATTTTGGATTAGTCCTTCATGCAAGCTGGGCCACCAAGCCATTGCTTCTTTTGGGGACAACCTGCCCTCACTTTTAAAAAGCATCCTAGCTCACATGCCTCCCCTAGCAGTTAATGCCACTCCAGTCTCTGCTTGAATGTAATAAAATAAAAGAAAAGTAACTATTTGAGACATGAGGTGCCCTTATTGTACACTGGGGCTTCCTATACATTTTCCGTCTTCCCTTGAACCACCACTATCCTCAGCTACTTTATGCTTCTGTTCTGTTAAAGCCCTATTTGCTAGTGGAAAAATTTAACTCCTGGTGATTTTTTTAATACTAGGCCTCTTGCCTTCCTTCCAGTGAGAGAAAAATAGAATGGTAAGCCTAGTGGTTTCTTCCTTCACTGTTGAATACTATTTATCCAAGGTATCAAGGAAGAACTTCTAATCAGAAAAGACATGTATTATTTTCACAACTGGGTAGCATATCTCACTCCCAGAATGGAAGTTAGGTGGGAATTGCAAGATTAAGGAGATTTTTCTGGATTTCTGTCTATGTATCATATCCACAGAACTCTTTCTAGAGGAATTTTATATTGAGCCAGGCATCCATTTCCACAGTCTTGCATTTCTAGATACTTCCAAAGTTATAGCACTGTTCCTAAATCATTTTTGGCTTTATTTATTAATTTATTGTTCACTTCATTTCATTAGGTTCAGTATGAAACAGGTATTGTCATCTCTTTGTGTCTACTTTGCCACCTTTCCCCAGAATAGGCCTGAATGAGATTGAAAACGTTACTTCAGTTCCTTGTGTCTGACATTGCTTGTTTGTAACTAAGAAAAATAATATTTGCTTTTGTTGAATGACTACTAATTTTTTTCCATGAACCTAATAAACTAAAAAGAAAGTTGAAATAATAAAGAGTGAATAAGTATAAAAATCCATGTTGAGTCAATCTTCCTTCAGAAACTTTTTCCTCAAACTCTCTTACCAAATTTGAGGTAACACATTACCTATGAACCGGGTTGGCAGTCCTCGCCAATCGTTAATTTTGTTTTCCTTTCTTCCCTCCCTCTTTCTTTCTTTCCTTCTTTCCTTCTCTGTCTCTCTCTTTCTTCTTTCAGGGGAAGTATCTCTGCATGGAGATCTCATTTCTAAAGGTGTGGAGGGATAACAGGGTGGCTTTCACTAAGATACAAGTTGACTTAAACCAACTGAGCTGCCCGATCTTACTAACATTCTGTATCCATTCTCTCCTCTGCAGTTTTAGAATAGCAGCCTGTGTCCACTGTATCCTTACCAAGTCCCATTCCTTCCCCCGGTTGACTTCTACTAGTCCTGAAGCTACCAGTTAAAATATCATTTGATGATTTCTCTGGGAAGCCTGTCTTACTCTCCAAGACTGGATGAGGTGCCTCCCATGTGAACCCTCTCCCATAACATACTGTCTCTACCCTTATCTGCAGTGATCAGCCTGTATGGTGATGAACTATATCTTTTTATTTCCTGTTGGATAGTAAGCCAGAAGGGCACGGACTAAGCACCCAGTTCAGTCCTTTGCACATCATTGCCCTTCAATGAATATGTGTTTCATGACTAAATTTTTTAAAACTTAATAATATTTCCAAAGTTTTTAAGGCATTTTGAAGCTCAAAATAGTGGTCAAGTTGGTTCTCATCACCTCATCTTTTGTGGTTTATTGAAAGGAGTGCATACATGCTCTCAATTCACAAACGTATGATTGTGTGGACCAAATTTTTAACAGAATTTGGCAAAACACCAGAGCTAGCTTACATTCTTAAGCAGCTGAGCAGCCACAGGTTTCATCACACTATTATTAATGGCTTTATTTTCCCATCACTGTTGCACCATTATGCCCTTTGCAGAATTAATCAAAGGCACAATCTCTGCCCTGAGGCTTTGGATTTTATCATTCCACTGCCTGAAGTCATCCATCTGAGAAGCCAGGTAATACACTCCTACCTCTGAAGGGTGTTGAACATCAATTAATGCTCAGCTGTCTTCAATATGAAGATTGCATTCAAATGAACATGTCCCTCATCTGTTCTATTAATAATTACACCCCATGTTTGAGCGAGGTGGCTAAGACCACAGAGCATTAGGATTTGCAAGGATTTTGCGTGCAGTGCAAAGCTTGTTGTCTCTAAATGTAAAGTATCAATAGGAGGCATTAAAATGTCAGCACCTTTTCAGGAATTTTGCTCATGAAAACGACTGCAAAAGAGTCCTCTGAATACATCACTGTAGACCAAGTTATAGTCTAAGCATTAGATCAGCTAGGAGCCTCCAGAGAGTTCCTGAAGTGTGAGGAACAAGTGTTTTAAATGGTGGGGTGACATGGTGGGAGGGGGTCCTGGGAGAATCTGAATTTGCCGGACACTTCCATCCCCCAACTTGGCAGTCGATCAACTTGACACTTCCCGGCTCTAATTTTCTTCCTCCTCATTTTTATTTCACGGCATTCCCAATTATGCAGCTGCCAGGAAAGGAAGCAATGGAATTTCAATATAGAAAAGACCAGGCCACTTCTTTTCGGACTAGACACTTATGCACAAAGAGCCAGTGGGTCACATCTTCTGCTGGTTCGGAGATGCTTCCAGGACAACCAAGCAAGGTCGAGCGACAACATCAGCCTCTTTGGCTTCGCTCTTTCCTTAGCAGCCACACGATTTCTCAGCTGCCCAGGGGATCATCTGTAATAGGCCATTTTATTTGGTAAATGTTTCCCTACTTACTGAAGACTGTTCATTATTAATGACCAGAAAGGGAACTCCTGCCTCCCATGGCAGAAGTTGATACATTTGCTTTGTATAATTGCTGTGTATAGTTAGCCATGTGGTTGTGCAGCTGAAATAAATTGCCTTCTTCCCATAAGAGCCTCCCTGAGTGTCACAGGAGAGCTAGAAGGAAGCTGGCCACAGAGACTAATCTCTTCGCTAACGCCGTAGACGATTCCAGAAGCTGAAGACAGATGGCAAGTTTGAGATGAATAGCATTTTTTAATGGCTTCAAAATAGCTCTGTCTGTAAACAGCTTTTCTGAATGACAGCACGTAGTACAATTTAATTTATCTATTGCTGCTGTTGTTAGATCTTCTGAGAACTTTCCCCCAGTCCCTCTATTAGAACAAACACTAATCTCACTTCAAAGGGGGAAAATCTAGAATGGTAGGAGGCAAGTGGAACGAAAGGGTAAGAAGAATTTCAACCTACAAATAAATGACAGGTATCCTCCAAACAGTGTCTTGTAGCCTGGAACTTGAAGAAAGTAACTCCGTGTTGAGATTTAAGAGCAGAAGTTGAACTCTGAACTCTGAAATGAAATAGGCCCAAAGACTAGGAGAAAAGGTCATGATAAGACAGCACACCTTGGTCTGTTTCTGATTAGTAAGAATTCACATCCCACCAATGAGATTAATCCTTCGTCATTCATGTAATTGGTTTGGGAAATGCTACTATGGGCGAGAACACGGGTATTCTTTATAGGCTAGCAGGGGAAAAAATGAGTATAAAAGGTAATCGGAGGCAGGCGTGGTGGCTCATACTTGTAATCTCAGCACTTTGGGAGGCCAAGGCAGGTGGATCACTTGAGGTCAGGAGTTGGAGACTAGCTGGGGCAACATGGTGAAACCCCGTCCCTGCTGAAAAAAATACAAAAAAATTAGCTGGTCATGGTGGTGCACCTGTAGTCTCAGCTACTCAGGAGGTTAAGGCACAAGAAGTGCTTGAATCCAGGAGGTGGAGGTTGCAGTGAGCTGAAATCATGCCACTGCACTCCAGCCTGGGTGACAGACGGAGACTCTGCCTCAGAAAAAAAAAAAAAAAAAAAGGAATCAGTGCTAATAATTAAGTGAAGAAATAAGTTCGTACCTCTAATTTCCAATTTCCAATTTCTACAAATGTCTATTAAAACGGCATGTTTCCCATAAGAAGCCACTTTAAAGGGGCATAGTAGAGTAGTTAATAGAAAATGCTAGCATTTCTTACAAAGTAGTAGATGTAATAAGCCTAAAATTAAGAGTGAGAATTAAACAGAGGGGAAGTTCAATAGGAATAATGATTTTACGTTCAATAAAAATAGTCACAAACCAGTTACAGAAAAAGACCATGGTCAGACTTTTTCCTTCTATTCTGATATTGGAGGTGAAATGATGTAAAAAGCTACTCTTTCTTATTCTGTATTGCATCATTCTTTCAAAACACACACAAGTGCTAGCAGTTGGTGACCACTTAAAATTTATGCTTGTTTTAATAAAGCATTATAGTTGCATTGGAATGACGCTCTCGGTCTCTGAAATCTGAAATAAACCTGGCTTGTTTTCCCATATTGTTCATTCAGCTTTACAGATATTTATTAATTGCCTGCAATGTCCAAAGCATTTGTAACAATGACCACACTTTACGAGCCCCAAAGTGGGTCAACAGTACTTATTTGCATAGTAGGATGAAATATTTAAAATTGAGACTGTCTCCAAAATTCAAACTAAAAGCTTGGTGCCAAGAGCTGAAAGGAAAAATAAGAAAGTTACTCAAAAGTTTATGTGCAGAGGAATTAAATGCACACACACACAATATTCAGTTGCTGCAAAAGTAATTGAGGTTTTTGCTATTAAAAATAGTGGATGGCAAAGTAAGGCAGGTGACTCAAGAAGGCACAACCAGCACTGTGTGGCCATCATGTATCCAGAGTCCCAGGTCCACCACTTGCTGCTCTTGTGACTCTGAGCAGGTCCTGGGACCTCTGTGAAGCCTGGTTTGGAGAGAATACTATCCAGTCAACAGGTGTATTGTGGGGAACCTGGAACTGTGTCTGTCACATAAGAGCTAGTCTAAAAAAATGTTTTAAGTACCCTGTGTATTCAAAAGAGGAAGTCGCATTAGCCTGGGGAAAGCTAAACAGGAAAGGATCCATTCTTTTTTGAAGGTGGTACATGAGAGCTCTTAGGGGTAAGTTTTCTGTGGCTTGAGGCTATGCTGGGGAGCTAGGAGCTTTGTCTGTCTAGAGAAGGGAAAGAATCAGTAAAGCTTCCAATTCTCCTACACCATTAGAAGTTCTGGGGACAAGCACCTGCACAGTGGAGGAAATTAGTTGGGAAGATAAAGAGAAGAGAGCCAAGAACAAAAGTTTGGGCAATGCTGACATTTAAAGGGGGAAGTATAGGCAGCAAAGATGGAGAGAAAGTGGTCTGAGAATTTGGAGGAAAACCAGAAGTGACAGTGTCACAGGAGCCAAGCGACGAAAGAGTGCCAAAACGGAGCAGTGGTGTCCAAAGCTTCAGCGAGATGGATGGGAAGGAAAACCAAGAGGAGGTCAATGAGTTCAGCAGTTATGGGGTCAATGGTGGTATGGTGGTCTGTGACAGTAACCCTATAATGACGTTCACCATGGTACTAGACGTGTGTCTCTTAAAGAGGTTGGGTTCATTATGTTGTATTCTGAAGGCCACGGCCAATTCAGTCCATGGATCAAGGCCTTACTCATGTCTCTCAGGAACAGGGTGGACATCAGGATGTCAGGAAAGCTGGATTTTCTGTGAAGACATTCCTACTCAAAAGGTAAGCAGGAGGCAAATCTCTCTGGGTCTCACTTTCTTGAATCTGGACTTCCAGAGTTTAAAAAGAACTTGAAGAAGCTCCAATATAGGAGGAAAGATGTTCTCTGCCACAGGGAACAGGGCAGGGAAGCATCCTCATACTGAATGCTGTAGGAGAAAGCCCTACTTTGTTGGGTGGTATATTCGTCCATTCTCACACAGCTAATAAGGACATACCCAAGACTGGGTAATTTATAAAGGAAAGAGGGTTAATGAACTCACAGTTCCACATGGCTGGGGAGGCCTCACAATCATGGCAGAAGGCAAAGGAGGAGCAAAGTCACATCTTACATGGCAGCAGGCAAGAGAGAGCATATGCAAGGGGAACTGCCCTTTATAAAGCCATTAGATCTCATGAAACTTTTTCACTATCATGAGAACATCATGAGAAAAACCCACCCCCATGGTTCAATTATCTCCCACCAGGTCACTCCCATGACACGTGAGGATTATGGGAGCTACAATTCAAGATGAGATTTGGGTGAGGACACAGCCAAACCATATCAAGTGGATAATTTGGTTTCAGGTTGTTTCTTCAATTTGTTTACCCCAAATCTTCAGTCTCATTTAAAGGGTTCTGACTGGTCTTAGTTGTGCCGGAAGGTAATTAACAAAAAGTGTCTGGCCTCAAATAGACTGAGGTGTTAAAGAGGGCACAGCTCCTCTTGAGGCCCATGTGGGGATGACACCCTCTAGGACAGGAAACCAGAGCCCAGGGGAGGCTAGAAACAGGAGAAACCAACAATCAGAGGCACAGGGTTTAGAGATGAAGAGAAGGTGAGAGGCAGCAACAATTTTATTCCTTCCTCCCTGAATCAACGCTTATGCACACTGCAGATGAGGAAGAGCGTGGGGAGTAATTAGGGCTGTGGGTTTATCATGGAGTAAGGCACTGCTGCTACTTGCAAGGAACCTAAGAAAGTAACAGGGTTTAGAGACACCCTTGGGTGCCTGGAGAAGTGGCATGTTTGTAAACAGGGCAGAGGGTTCTGTAAGTGAGTGAAGGGGAGCATACAAGACATGGAGAGGCTGGGGGAGGTGCTGGGAGAAGTGAGGTCCAAGGCTTAGGTGAGTTGTCACCCTTGCAGATTCCTCTTTTGCAGCAGAAGGAGACACACACACAAAGAATATCAGTGATTTTTGAGGAAGAGAAAGGAGAAGCAGTGAAAATCAGATGGCAGTGGCCCTTTATGCAAAATAGAAAGTGAGATCTGTGGAAGGCAGGGCCAGGGTGGAGAGCTGTGAGCGCAGTTTGGAAAAGTAGGAAGGAAAGGGGCGCCACGAAGTCCTGAAGGCTGCTATTTGCAGGAGCACGTTGCTCATCGCCAGGTGACAGCCACCAGAACTGCAGGTGCCAGGCCTTCAAGGGAAGACATCAAGGCCTCCAGCACACCTGCTGGCTGAGCTAGCTTAAACTCACGAGGGGCAACTGCCATCAGGTTGTGGCCTTGGAAACCATGTTGAGCTGCAATAGAGAGTGATGTAACCATGCCAAGAAAAGCTCACTGGTCCTTGGCACTTGCCAGTCACTCCTTGGACTGCCTCTCAGGTGCTTCTCTGCCTAACATACTCCTACTCAACCATGAAATCTCAGGCAGAGCTAGTCTTCCTTTTCTGCTGCACTCCCATTTGTATTTGTACAACCTGCCATTTTGCAAGATTGAACCTGTGTGTTCCACCCCTAGACTGTAAGCTCCCCGGAAGAGCATGTTAAAAATGCAGAATCTCAGACCCCTCCCCAGACCTAGAGTCAGAATCTGCATTGTAACAAGATCCTCAGCTGATTCAGGTGCACATTCAGAATTGAAAAGCCCTGATATCAGTGGTAAATAACTCATATAGGTAATGTACTATTATGGAAGATGCAGTCTGGCATTTTTCTATTTTATTCTATTTCATGTTTTATTATTATTATTATTATACCTTAAGTTCTGGGGTACACGTGCAGAATGTGCAGGTTTGTTACATAGGTATACATGTGCCACGGTGGTTTGCTGCACCCATCAACCCGTCATCTACATTAGGTATTTCTCCTAATGCTATCCCTCCCCTAGCCCCCACCCCCCGACGTGCCCCGGAGTGTGACGTACCCCTCCCTGTGTCCATGTGTTCTCATTGTTCAACTCCCACTTATGAGTGTTCAGTTTGGTTTTCTGTTGTTGTGTTAGTTTGCCAAGAATGATGGTTTCCAGCTTCATCCATGTCCTTGCAAAGGTTTGCTGGAGGTCCACTCCAGACCCTGTTTGCCTGAATATCACCAGTAGAGGCTGCAGAACAGCAAAGATTGCTGTCTGTTCCTTCCTCTGGAAGCTTCGTCGAAGAGGGGCACCCACCAGATGCCAGCCGGAGCTCTCCTGTGTGAGGTGTCTGTCGGCCCCTACTGGGAGGTATCTTCCAGTCAGGATCCACGGGGATCAGGGACTCACTTGAGGAGGCAGTGTGTCCCTTATCAGAGCTCGAATGCTGAGCTGGGAGATCTGCTGCTCTCTTCAGAGCTGTCAGACAGGGACGTTTAAGTCAGCTGAAGCTGCGCCCACAACTGCCCCTTCCCTCAGGTACTCTGTCCCAGGGAGATGGGGGTTTTATCTATAAGTCCCTAACTGGGGTTGCTGCCTGTTTTTCAGAGATGCCCTGCCCAGAGAGGAGGAATCTAGAGAGGGAGTCTGGCCGCAGAGGCCTTGCTGAGCTGTGGTGGGCTCCGCCCAGTTTAAACTTCCTGGCAGCTTTGTTTTCTCTGTTTCATGTTTTTAAAATGCTGGTCCTGACCCACTACATTTAAATGACATTAGTTCATTTACTTTTCAGAGCTTGAGCTATGGATTATAAAGCTTCCTTCAACCCTTTTAGTGCTTCTCTGACCTCTCAAATCACCCCTAATGGCAAGAGACAGTAACTGTGTGCCCCCAGGTGCCTGAGGCATAAGGAGCAACTGCTGAAAGTTTGAAAATTTATTTCAGGTGTTTTTTTGTTTTGAAATATCATACAAATTATGCAAACAATTCTTATTTATGATATCTGCTTGCTTTGGTGTAAGAACATGGGTTTTGTGCAAAACTTCAAACACATAAGCACAGAGAAAATAGCAGAGTGAATCCTCTTTCAGTCATCACCTGGCTCTAAAAATTATCAACATTCTGTCATTTGCTTTCATCTTTCTGCTCCTTCTAATACACCAGACACATAGAGATGAAACATATGCACACTTATTTTTACTAGAGTATTTTAAAGCAACTCCTAGACAACATGCCACTTTACCTCAATATTTGCTGATAGGCAAATGCTCTTTTTTCAACCATAACTCAGTATTGTTATCACACCTAGCAAAATTACCAATAAATCTTTAATATCATCTTTTTCCCAATTAGTTTTCAATTTTCCCTAGTTGTCTTGAAAATATCTTTTGATGGCTGGATTGCTTGAATGAGGATCCTAAAAATATCCACATATTTGCATGTGGTTGATATATCCTTTAAGGGAGTTCCCCCCCTTTTCCTCTTTATTTTTAATGTGATTTATTTGTGGAAGAAACTGAGTAATCTTTCCTACATAACTTCTTTTGTTATGTATTTAGCTAATTGCATCCTCATGGTGTCATTTAACATGTTCCTCCATCCTTCATATTTTCTTAACCTGGTAGATAGGGGTCTTGGCAGGTGGTACCTTGTACTTTCTGTTGCATGCCACCAGGATGCACATAATGGGTGCTTATCCCACTTTGTGGGAGTGGAGTTAAGGTTGGCCAGTGTTTAGGAGGGGTTCAGGAGGTGTCAGTCTGATCCATCAATTATAAAGTTCCCATCAACATTTCACCCAATGGTGTTAGTAGCTGCTGAAGAAAGATTGTTTCCTGGGACCATGATCTCACAGGGGTGACAAATGATGATTTGCTAATTGTTATTTCTTTTACTAGCTATTAGATAGATAGATAGATAGATAGATAGATAGATAGATAGATAGATAAACTTTCTCTTGTTAGTTATTTGATTACTCTGAAATACTCCCCCCAAAAACAATATTAATGTTAGAATTCTTTCCCATTATTTACCAGTTTTCAGAATAAATATATCCCTCTCAAGAACCCTCTGAGAGAAATGTTATTTATAGCCCCACTTTATTTTACAGACAGGGAAACTGAGACAGTGAAAGATTACATGAATTTTTCAATATCACAAGGCTATTGGAGGACAGAACAAAAATTCAAGTTTTAGTCGAACTGACTCCAGAGTCTCTTTAGATAACTTTCTCAACCTTCTACTTCATGTGTATAAATATATTAATATGTTAATATAATACAGAATCATGAGCAGGAATTACTTTCTTCCTTAAGAAAAGTTATCCTATTGACTTAGAAATACCTCTTCCCAATGTGATATCACATCATACCTGTTAGAATGGCTATTAACAAAAAACAAAAGGCAATAAGTGTTGGTGAGGATAGACCAACAGTATACACTGTTGATGGGAATGCAAAATGGTGCAGTCTCTATGGAAAATAGTATGGAAAAAAATTTAAAATCAAAATAGAATTACTATATGACTTAGCAATTCCTCTTATAGATATTTATCCAAAAGAGTTGAAATCAGGATCTCGAAAAGATAGGAGCACTCCTGTGTTCACTGCAGCATTATTTATAATAGCCAATATGTGGAAATGATCTAAATGCCCATCAGTGAATGAATGGATAAAGAAAATATGGCATATATATACAATGGAATATTATTCAGCCCTAAAAAAGGAGATTCTACAATATGGAATAACATAAGTGAATCTTGAGGACATTATGCTAAGTGAAATACGCCAGTCGCAGATGGGCAGGTATGGCATGATTCCATGTACATGAAGTATCTAAAGTAGTCAAACTCATTGAAGCAAAAAATAGAATGTTGGTTGTCAGGGGTTGTGGGGGTAAGGGAATTGGATGTTGTTAATCAATGGGTGTGAAATTTCAGTTATGCAAGATGAGTAAGTTCTAGAGATTTACTGTACAACGTTGTGCCTGTAGATAACACCACCATAAAGTACACTTAAAAATCCATTAAGAGGTTTGATCTCATGTTAAGTAATTTTACCACAACAAAATTTTTAAAAGAAGAATAAATACTGTTACGTAAAGGAAAACCTCAGTGGAAGAATAAATGTAAAGAACTATTTTTTTTCATCAAGCTTTGGAAAAGTGTCAAATGCATTGTTACTGATATTAATGGAACATCTGTACTAATGAATCAGGAGGAGTTACCACTACTATCAACTGTAAGCTGATGGCTTTTTCAGATGATATCTGATTAACTGGTATTACATCAACAAACCCCTCCCCCAGACTTCCACATAACAAGCTAAAGATTGTCTGGAGAAGTTACCAACCAGAATTAGCACAGGGATTATCAACTGAAATACAGATAGTTAGAGGCTGAGTAGAGATTAGAAGGTGGTATACAGCCTTCTGTACACACACCACAAATGCCTAGAGTGGTGGCAGATAGTCAATTAGAAAAGAGTTTGCCATGGTTCTTGAGGAGTCAATTCAAAGCTAGTGTCAGGTGCTTCAGAAGAGGTTCTAGGTCATAGAATTAGACAGAGGTCATTGGCAGTCATTTTGTAATTCTTGTAAGCTTACCTGGTATACTGGAGTTTTTTTGTAGACAACTAATAACAAGAAAGATGTGGTGAAGTTGGAGGGAAGCCAGAGGTCAACACAAACAACAAAGGTAAATGGGAATGCTAAAAATGCTCTCTGTTCACAAAAGGGTGAGAAAACACTTTGGATATCTGAGGACTATAAAACCCAAGGATTGGAAGAAACTATGTTAGTTTGGAATACAAAAATACTGCTAGATGCAGAAAAGCGTCTACACTTTGGTTCCTATCTGCATTTCCTTGTGTATTTCCTGGTGCTCCCATTACAGACACTACTCTTTGCCTAGGGAAAGGCTGCTTTCAGTAGTACATAAGCAACATAGGGCAGAGATTTGGTATGCATTGTTCCCTAGTGTATCCCCAGCACTGAGAACAGTGCTAAACCTTAGTAGGAGGAGCTAAATATATTTTTAGTGAATTAATTTAGAGCTTTTCCCTACTTATTTCAAGGTGAAACTTAATCCCATTTCTTCAACAAGTTGTAATTTCTCCATCCAATGTTCTTTATAGCTTTATTGTAGTTTGTACCTTGTTTTAGTTTTTGTCTTTAATACATAGATTTCTTTGCGATTAGATCATGAGCTCTTGCTAGTCTTTGTCAGAACATAATCCAAAGATTTTCTACATCAATTTTACCTATAGCACTTAATTTAAAATGTTGTGTACTAGGCTCCACTCCAGATCTACTAAATCAGAATCTCTGGAGTTGGACCCCAGGAATCAACACATTTTACCAGTTCCCCAGATGATTCAGGTGTACACTGAGGTCTGAAAAGCATGTGGAGACCTTATGCATCTTCCTTTCATTGTGTTTTGAGTTCTCAGTAAACGCTTGTTATGTTAAATGGAATTGAATTGAATGAAGTGATTGCCACAGTGGTGATGCAACTAATTTACTTGTTAATTTTGAAACGCATCACCTTCGCAGAGGAGACAATAGATGGAATTATAGTTACCTGAGTTTCTCAACAGGAAAACAGAAAACACATTTAAAAACAAACAAAAAACCCATGAAAATTATGCATGTCAGTTAATGATTTTAATGTAAATTTCATTGACATGAGCACACATAGAGAAAGCCGTGCAAAATATAAGTATACATTATAATGAATATCTTCAAAATGAACACAACCACGTAACCAGTACCCAGTCAAGAAATAGAACATGACTCATATTCCAGAAGCCCCTTCCTGTCCCTTTCCTGTCACTAGCCTCCTTTCAGGGTAGCTGCTAGCCAAACTTCTAACAACATGGATTTGTTTTACTGTTTGTTTGCTCATATGTATTTCTCTCTCTCTCTCTCTCTCCATATTGTCATAGTTCATCCATTCTCACTGCTGTATAATACTCCATCATGTGAATATAGCACAGTTTGCTTATCCACACTACTATACATGAATATCTGAGTTGTTCTCAGCTTGAGGTTATTATGAAAAGTGCTGCTATTAATATTCTTGGATATTTCTCTTCATGAACACATGTATATTTTTTTGTTGGGTATATATCTAAGAGTGAAATTGCTGCATCACAGGGTATACAAATGTCTGTCCAGCCTGAGTAAATACTGGCCCAATCTTCACACTTCTTTGTATTCATGTCATCATAATGCCTTCCCACACTGGCTCGGGGCTTGGTCATTTGACTTGCTTTGGCCAATGGACAGTGGAAAAGTTGGTACCAGTAGTGCTCCTACAAGCAAGCACTTGCTTTTTTTGCTCTCTCTCTCTCGTCTGTGACTACCCCTCCAGGTGAGCCTGCCGAAGGATTTGAAGGACATGAGGAGAGCTGAGCCATCCTGGACAGGCCATCGCACTAGCCAGCCCCAGCCATTCTGCCAGCTGCACGCGCAAGCCCAGGTAGAATTGACTGAGCTTAACCCAGAGCCGCAGAGCTGCCCACCTGATCTATAAACGTGTATAAAATAATAAATGGTTGCTTTTTTCTTTCTTTTTTTTTTTGATGAAGTCTTGCTCTGCCACCGAGGCTAGAGTGCAGTGTCACAATCTCAGTTCACTGTAACCTTCACCTCCTAGGTTCAAGTAATTCTCCTGCCTCAGCCTCCTGAGTAGCTAGAATTACAGGCACATGCCACCACGCCTGGCTAAATTTTGTATTTTTAGTAGATACGGGGTTTCACTATGTTGGCCAGGCTGGTCTCGAACTCCTGACCTCAGGTGATCCACCCACCTTGGCCTCCCAGAGTGCTGGGATTACAGGCGTGAGCCACAGCGCCCTGCCAAATATTTGCTTTTTTAAGTCACCAAGCTTTAGTGTAGTTTTGCCAAACAGATTCCCAAAGGGTGACACCAACTGACACTCCACAAATGTCTGAAGATCTGAAGTTCCACATCCTCATCAGTACTTGATATCGATTACATTATATGATATTTCACTATTTCTGACCTGCAAAGATTGCAGTTTCATATGGTCCAATAAATTTATTTCATTTTAATTTTTCTTCTAAGTGTGTAATAAAATCAATTGAGGATTTAATTTGCATTTTCTTAATGACGAAGGATGTTGAGCACCCTTTCATTTGTTTATTAGTATATCCTCTTTTTTGAAGTACCTGTTCAAGGTTTTTTTCTATTTTTTTATGGGATTAACTGCCTTTTTTGCCACTAATTTGTAGGAATGAACACACACACACACACACACACACAGAGCCATGCTGGATACAAGCTCTATGTCACCACACATGTGTACAGACGTCTTCTCCCACTCTGGGACTTTTCCTTTCCACTTCCTTAATGGTACATCTTAATAAAGAAAAGTTATTACTTTTAGTATAATTCAATTTACCCATTTTAACCTTTACAGTTGTCAACACTTCTTTGCCTACCCCAAGATCATGTAGCTGTTCTTAAAAGCTTTGTTATTTTGCTTTTCACATTTAGATAAATGATGCACTTGGAATTGATTTTTTATGTATGATATGAGTAGGAGTCAGGATTCATCCTGGTCCCAAGTGGGTACCCAACTGACCTGGATGTTCATTGAAAAGGCAGTGGGTTGCAGAGTTTGGCTTGCATAGCTCTCACTGGGAGGCAGCACGGTGTCATCGGAGGAGTTCCTACTGGGCTCTAGTCCCAACTCTGCTACCAGCTCACTGGTTCTGTGACCCTGGGCAGGTCACCACAGCTGTCTCTGTTTACCCATATGTAAAATGAGGTTAAATTAGATCATCTTCATTGTTCCTTGCAGACGCATAAGATCAGGCAGAAGTGATGTCAGACTCCAAATATGACATGATTACTTCTGGGACCTCAGGGAGAGTATTTAACTTATCAGAGTCCCAATTTCCTTACCTAAAAGATGGGAGCAATTGTGCCCATATCTAGGGCTGCTGAAAAACAAGAAAGAAGATGTACATGAAGTTCTGTACTTGGCACATTATGTTGTTCAACAAAAGGTAACACTTGTGGTTGTTAATAGTCATTCTGGAAATATTAAGGAGAATTTGCCTTTATTTAATTTCAGTAAAAATGTAATTGGTGTCTCTAAACTTAATTACTAATTCAAATTTGTTTATGTTTGCTTGGCATGAAAGTTAAGTAGCCCTGTGAGGAGAACTTTGGTTTTGCCCCAACTTCTTTAGTCCTAAGAGATACTGTCCTGTAAAGAAGGCTAAAAATAAAGACAGAAGTTACACGGATATAAAATCAGCTTTCTCGAAATTGCTAACCATTAACCTTGAATTTAAAAGTTTTTCCTAAACACTTGTAGAACCCAGGAAAGAATGGAATGTCACAATTATACAGCCACGATGATAGTTGTCCGTGATGGATTATTAGTCTGAAATTATTAACTTTCCACAGACAAACCCAGGATTTCCCTGATTTCCTGACCCCCCGCCATTTAAGGTAGTACCCCTCCCTCATTCTTGTCTCACTCTGTTTTTCTTCATAGCAATTACAACTCCCTGACATATTTTCCTGTCTTTTTGTTAATTGTCTGTTTTCCCTTCAACTAGAACGTTAGCTCCATGGGAGCAGGAGCTTTGTTTAATTTACCTTGTATCTCAGCACCTAGAAGAATGCCTGGTACATGGCAGACATTCAGTAAGTATTGTGGAATAAATGAATGAAGGCAAAGTAGGAACCACATAAAATATGTATCAAAAGTAGTAATTATGTTCAATTAGGTCCATGCTACATTTAACATGACATAGAAATCAATAATGTATTTGGACTGCAGCACCTCTGTCAACCCCAAACTCCAATTCTTATAGATGTTCAGTAATAACACTACCACAAAAATATTAGCTCTGTTAATAATCAACACATTTTTCATAAGTGTGCCTTTGGGAACTATGAGAAGGAAATTGATATTTCCCACATATATATGCTGTCATTGTTTTTTTAAAGAGAAACTCTTCAATAAACACAATTACCGAAGGAGAAAATTATTTAAAAAGCTGGGTGTTTTGCAAATAAAAGTAGACATGGAAATCATGTTTTTATTATAAACAAATATTAAGTTTTACGTGTTGACTATTAAAAAGTTATTCAGTTTTTCCTTTACCAAAATAAATTGTTAATTAAGATAGACAAAAACCAGGAAACATTGAAGTTAGTCATTTAATTTCCTCACTTATTCAGAGCTGCCTGGAGTCATTTCCTGCAGGAATTCCATGTCTTCCCATTGAAGTGTTTCAGCAGCTGGTAACAAAATCATCCACACAGGCGGTGGGTGACACTCCAGGCTCCGATTGCAAATCAGGTTTTTATACTCACAATGGAACCAGATCGAGTTTAGAAATAAATCTAAATTCCTTCTAGAATGCTGTTTCTGCATTGCTCTAAGGGGGAATTTGGTCCAGTGGGAGGAATTGTAGACAAGGAAACCTGATTTCTACATTTGGCTCAGCACTAATTGTGTGACCTTAAATTTAACCTCCTGTGCACTAATAGCCTCGTCTATGTAAGGGTAATAACATTTAAATTTTACCTACCAAATTGTTTCTAAGATGGAAGAATCAGCCAAACTCAGCATGCAGCTATTTTTGTAGAAGTGCATGACTCCAATATATACTATTAATTTTTTTATTTTTAATTTTTAATTTTCTTAATATTTTTTGAGATGAAGTTTCACTCTTGTTGCCTAGGCTGGAGTGCAGTGGCACAATCTCAGCTCACTGCAACCTCTGCCTCCCTGGTTCAAGTGATTCTCCTCCTGCCTCAGCCTCCTGAATAGCTGGGATTTACAGGTGTCCACCACCACACCCACTTCACTTCTGTATTTTCAGTAGATACAGGGTTTCACCATGTTGGCCAGGCTGGTCTCAAACTCCTGACCTCAGGTGATCCACCCACCTAGGCCTCCCAAAGTGCTGGGACCACCGTGCCCAGCCCATATAAATTATTAATGACAACAACACTCAAGTCTTAAGAATAGAGACCTTGTCCAATAGTTTTTAGGATAGAGACCTTCATAGGATTAAACCGTGGCCAAAGCAATGCAGTAGATGACCTGGAAATCAGATAAAACTATGTCTTTTGCAGTATCATAAGAAAATTGGTAACTGTTCTTTACAGATCTGAAATGTACAAGCTTTTTTCTCATTCCTAAGTTGCTTATGTGGGAAACAGAAGCCAGTAAGTAGATCACACCATTAATTTTTGGGAAGAATAGCAAGGGATTTGATTAAACACACCCAGTGTAACTATACCGGGGGTGGGGGTGTGGGAGGATGGAACTAAAGTTCTGTAGATTGAGTGTTTGCATGCCCTAAAATTCATATGTTGAAATCCCAACCCGCTATGTGATGCACTGGGAGGTGGGACTCTTGGGAGGTGATCAGGTCACGAGGGGCCAACATGGAGTTAGTGCCCTTATAAAAGAAGCCCCAGAGAGCTCCCTCATGTCTTCCACCACATAAGAACACCATCTATGAACCAGGAAGCAAGCCCTCATTAGACATTGAATCTGCCAATGCCTTCCCAGCCTCCAGAACTGTGAGAAATAAATGTGTGTTGTTTATAAGCCACCCAATTTATAGTATTTTTCTATAGCAGTCCAAATGGACTAAGACAGAAATGTACAACTTTTTCTTGTCCAAACATTTTCTTGATTGGACCAGTCAACCAGATGAGAAAGCTGAGTTGTTTCATATTTTGGCTAGCAATAACTGCACCAGTACTTCTTGATTGGAAAATAATCTACAGGCATGATTACTGAGCATATGATGAATTCTGGGTATATAGAAATGTTTCTCAAATATTGAGGTAGGTTGACTCTCTGTAACACTTTTATTTTAATTTTGTGTTCATTTGAATGGTAAGCTGAACAAATTTTTTTTTCTGAGATGGAATCTCACTCTGTCAACCCAGGCTGGGGTGCAATGGTGCGATCTTGGCTCAATGCAACCTCTGCCTCCCAGGCTCAAGCAATTCTCCTGCCTCAGCCTCCCACGTAGCTGGGACTACAGGTGCCCGCCACCATGCCCGGCTAATTTTTTTTTTTGTATTTTTAGTAGAGATGTGGTTTCACTATGTTGGCCAAGCTGGTCTTGAACTCCTGACCTCATGATCTGCCTGCCTCGGCCTCCCAAAGTGCTGGGATTACAGGCGTGAGCCACCACACCCACCCAGCTGAACAAATTAATAAGTATAGTATAGCATTCATGTTTCGGGTCAGATTTCATGGGTTAAAATTCTTTATGAGCAGCATGGATTTGAGAATGCTATTGAACTCTGAGGCACTGTTTCCTTGTCTATAAAATGATGATGATGGCTCCTTTCTCAGAGAGTTATTGAAAGAATTAAATGAGATAGTCTACATATAGGAAAGCACTTGGCACATAAAAAAGTTTGTAAATAATAGCTGTTAATATTATTATGAGTATTTTCATTTGGATGACCATCTATAACAAAGTATTGCCACAGATTTCATAGCATCTACGTTTAAGGTCACATTGATGCCAAGTGGTATATTATTGTCATAGGTAAATGAGAAAGAAGAGAGGTTGGAACTAACACAGCAGTGATGTACTTGTGCCAGATGAAGTCCAATGACATGATATTTTTTTGAATGAATGATGGTTTCATAAGGTTCAAATAGAGCAAATGGATGGAAAATTGGAATGGTCATATAGAAAACCACAATATGGGCATGATAAATTGTAAACAGCCTGCCTCACAGCAGTCATGACCCTATTCCCGTTCTGAACAGTGATTTAGTTGCAGCAAAATAGCATCTGTCAGATTAAATTAATATTAATTCAAATATGTGGGTTTATTTGCATTTAATTGTAAACTGTTTTCATTTTATAGTTGTATGGAAGCTATAAATGGAAGGAGTTTATGCTTTGTTTTATACTTAAGCATATTTAAGTTGACACTGGGTATGTGCAGATTTCATTTTCTTTAAGGATCTCTACATTACTCAGTTTGGGGAAACATTGGTGTTTGATAGAGTGGGGCTGTGAATAATGTTGGGGGCTGTGCCTAATTACAAGATTCTAACATATTTGCAAGAGCCACTGTGTATGAGGCACTTGTTGGGCACAAACAGTAATAAAATGCAAATCTTGTCTAGTTAGGGAAGATAGGAATGTGTGTGTGTGTGAGAGACAGAGTGTGAAAGAGAAAGAGAGAGAGAGAGACTAACAATATAGGGTGGCAGTAAGTG
Organism: Homo sapiens; assembly: GCF_000001405.40. Classification (NCBI taxonomy): domain Eukaryota; kingdom Metazoa; phylum Chordata; class Mammalia; order Primates; family Hominidae; genus Homo; species Homo sapiens. The sequence goes on along the minus strand of NC_000018.10, from coordinate 22,395,661 downwards.
TGAAATGAACAGTATAAAAAGTATTTTAAGAATTTGAGAGAGGGCCCGCTAGCAGATGGCTGAGATGGTTAGGTATAGTTTTGTGGGGACATAAGATTTGAGCTAGGCCTTCAGTAAGGATGGTAGAAGGTGGATCCATTTCCAGACTCAGGAAATGAATGCATGGAAGTAAGTAATAGTGTAAGCAAAGAAGGCAGTTGTGTTAGTTATATTCAGTAGTGTATTGCCTGATTTAGTGTAAAATACATAAAGTTTTCCTCATATAAACTGTATGTATGTATAAGTATATATACATACATATGTATACATATGTATGTATAAGTATATATACATACATGTATACATATGTATGTATATGTATATATATAAACTATATGTGTGTATACATATATATGTTTATATATGCATACACAGACATATATACATAGTAGTCCCCCCTTATCCATGGGGGATACATTCCAAGACCCTCAGTGGATGCCTGAAACTGCAGATAATACCAAACCCTATATACACTATGTTTTTGCCTATACATACATACCTATAATAAAGTTTAATTTATAAACTTTTTTCCCATACATACATATAGTATGTATGTATTTTTTCCTTTACATTTCTTCCTATACATACATACCTATAATGAAGTTTAATTTATAAACTTTATTTAAACTTTAAATAAAGTTTAATTTATAAACTTTTTATTTATAACAGTTTAATTTATAAACTTTATTTATAACAAAGTTTAATTTATAAACTTTATTTATAGCAAAGTTTAATTTATAAACTTTATTTATAACAAAGTTTAACTTATAAACTTTATTTATAACGAAGTTTAATTTATAAACTTTATTATAGGTATGTATGTATAGGCATAGTAAGAGATTAGAACAATTGTAACAATATACTGTAATAACAAATATGTGAATGTGGTCGCTCTCACTCTCTTTCTCAAAATATCTTATTGTGTTGTACTCACCTATTTTCAGACTGCGGTTGACCACTGGTAACTGAAACAGCAGAAAGCCAAGCTGTGGCTAAGGGGAGCTACTTTATATACATAGCTCCAGTTTCAAGTGACCCCACAGAAGAGTCGAGTGTCTGCCCACTAGCTTAGTAGGCAACTCACACTTTGCTCTTACAGCACCTAGGAGGTGCAATCTACGAGATCTGCCAAGTCACCTGCAAACTTCCTAGTAGCCTGGAATCGTGAGATGTCCCTCATTTTGATTAGTGAATATTGCCACAAATTGGCATTGTAGCTGTTAGGTTGAACTTTTACGTTGGTTCTCAAAGGCCAGTGTTTTAAAAATTACGTAGAAGTGTTTTGTCCCTGAAAGATAATTAGGGATTCTTTACTCTCAGGTTAGTGTAAAAATGGGTAAAATGTCACATGTGTAATGTTTCTCTCCCCTATTTTCATATACCCATGGTGCCTACTGCTGCTAACCTGCTAGTAAATTCCCACAGATAACAAGTGAGCAATGACCCAGTAAACAAATACTAATAGAAATTCATAAAAAGTCAGTCGTATTTGGTTGATGTGTGTGTGCATGTCCATATTAATAATTTCATAATATGGTCATATTTCTTGCAATAACTTTTTCTGTTTATGCCTTGGAATTGAATATATTGGAACTCTGGTGTTCTGGGATGATTGTAGTGTTCTCTGAAAAGAGTATCATTGTTTCCAGAAGACCCTTTGCTTACTCTGAGAACCAGTCTAAGAGACAACCTACCTTGACTTGAAATGGAATGATAAATATATCATTCAAACTTGACTTTTAAGCTTCTTGTTATAGAAGTGTTTACCATGCCAAAACATTTTGCCACATAAATTATGCCCTCATATCAGTTAATGGAGAAACAGCTGGCAGAGTAAACATGGGGAACACCAGCCAATGCAGACAACATTTGTTACTTAACAACAAAAAAATTATAAGCAAAAACATAACCTATACTTAAAACCTAATTGGAGACCGGGTGTGGTGGCTCACACCTGTACCCAGCACTTTGGGAGGCTAAGGTGGGTGGATCACGTGAACCCAGGGGTTTGAGACTAGGCTGGGCAACACAGAAAGACCCTGTCTCTACTAAAAATACAAAAACTAACCAGGCGTGGTGGCACATGCCTGTAGTCCCAGGTACTTGAGAGGCTGAAGCATGAGAATTGCTTGAACTGGGGAGGCAGAGGTTGCAGTGAGCCAGGATCACACCACTGCACTCCAGCCTGGGTAACAGAGTGAGACTGTCTCAAAAAAAAAACAAAAAAAAAAAAACCTAATTGGAGATTGCACTTACGTAGTTGTACCAGACACTATGTAAGTGTCATGCCTCCCCTATGATCTTTGAAATAGAAATATACTCTATACAGTCCCTCAGAAGGTCTTAGGATTGTGTCCAGTTTGCCCACAGAGATATATTTTTATTGCCTTTTTTCTCTCTTCCCTGGTTCACTTCCTCACTGCATTTCCCGGGATCACCTTCCAAACAAACACTCTGCACACAAATCCTTGTCTCAGACTCTGCTTTCGAGAAATTCAAAGCAAGTTATTAGTATACCTAAAAAATATCTCACTGATCCCTGGAGTAGTCCAAGGGAAAATAATAATAGTGAATATGTCCTTATTAAAATAATAATGGCCATCATTATTGAGTGCTTACTATGTGCCAGCCATTGTACTAACACCTCTACTTAGAGTATCTCAGTTGATCCTCATAGTAATCATGTGAATTAGGTGATATTATTTCCACTTTACACACAATAAAACTAAAGCATGGGGAGGTTTGGTCATTTGCTCAAGGTGACAAGTAAATGCCAGGGCTGGGGTTCAAACCCAAATCCTTTGTGCTTTTTTTTTTTTTCACTAGCTCATGCAAGTGTGGTTTTGTCATTTATACCACAATTATGATAATAATATTTTTTAAATGATCAACCCACAAGAAACACCTTTGTAGTAAGTATAGACATAGGAAGAGAAAGAACCCCCTTGTTCTCAACATGTGTCTTTTCAATCTCAGAGAAAATAAATGTAAAGCAGTTATGCAATATTTTTTTTTTGAGACAAGGTCTTGCTCTGTCACTTAAGCTGGAGTGCAGTGGCATGATCATGGTTCACTGCAGCCTCAACTTCCTAGGTTCAAGTGATCCTCCCTCCTCAGCCTCTCGAGTAGCTGGGACTATAGGCACATGCCACCACTCTCAGCTATTTTTTTGTATGTTTAGTAGAGACAGAGTTTTGCCATATTGCCGAGGCTAGTCTCAATTACGTGATTTTTTAAAAATCAAAATTAATCTGGTACAGGTTTTGTTTTTAATCCAAGCCATCTCCATTCTTTACTTTGGAATCATAAAGATTAATCATTAAAGCATTTGCTTTCTTAAGTTTCCAAGTTCTCAAGAACAGGTCTGGAATCCAAGACATTTCTGCGTTGGCTCAGCCTCTGGGCTCATTGGCTCCCTTGCAGTTTTGCCACTGGTCACACTGGTGCTTGTACCCAGCATCCCTAGGACTGAAGTGGAGAAATCAAGAGGGACAAGCTCTGGTCCCCACCCAGCCATGGGAGCAGGAACACACAACCTGCTGGTGCTCCAGCTGCCTTGTTTCCTCCTTCATAAAAAGGGAGTTTTATGAGCTCTAACCATGCTAAACTTCTCTAGAGGTCCCTAAAGGGTTTTCCTTTTCCTTATTGCACAAGTAAGATAGGAACAAATTTTTGTTTGAAGCAATACACAAGTATACAGAATAAAGTATGACGAGTCCCCAGGCCATCAACCCACCACCTTTCCCACTTCCTTCAGCAGAGGTTTCTACTGTTGCTAGGGTGATGTGTATCATTCTAGTATTTTCCCATGCAAGGTGTCATGAATGTTTTTGTGGCATGATGACACAGAGCCCTCGGGATTGGCCGGGTTCCAGAGTATGACCAACATGCATATCTTCTCCACATTCAGGGGAAATGGAGCCTGTAGCAAAAGAGAAAGTGAATTACTAATTGGATTTATGGCCATTACTCCCAGAGCAGCCCTCTGCCCTCAGTCATCTCGATAGCAGTTCAGATATAATCTCTCTCTGCAAAAGATCCAGAAGACTCTGTAAGGAGAAAGCTGGTACATCTCCTGTTCACCCAATAAAAAGTCAGATTGTTATTAAACTGTCCTTGAAGCTACTGTGATTTACATTCATGTTAATGGTTCTCTTTGTAGAGCAGTCCCTTTAATGGGGGATGCCCTCCGGTTCCTGTTAGTTGCATTTAAAATAAATATTACACCATCTCCAGCTGTCCAGCTCTCCTTGCATGCTTTGATTTGCCACTGAAAGTATAGAGACCAGATATTTTCCCCTGAGAAATGCTCACACATTCAAGGATCCCAACACATTATTGATGTAGTAAAGAGATAGAGGTAACCCACTTGTCCATCACTGGGAGAATGTGGATGGATATTATGGAATAGGATACAACAATCAGAAGCAATGAACTAGATGGATATAAATAAATGTATGGAGAACTTAAAAGCACTGAGTAAAAAGCAAGAAATAGAATGAAGTGCATAGAACAATGCTATGTATATAATTCACATATGTATACATATGCAAATGTACTCATGCCTATGTAAAATAATGTTATGTACATTTTTCAAGGACATATGTATACCCAAGGACATATACCAAACAGAATAGTGTTATATCTCTGGGGCAGAAAGAAATGAGGATGAAAGAAGAAAGAGAAAAATTATCAACGAACACCGAAGCAGCTCTTACAAGGAATGATGAACTGAAGATGATGCTATGAAAACTTAATGCTTTGTTCCTGAGAGGCAGTGAATAAATACCAAATGAATAAAAGCACAAAGTCACCTTTTACTTTTCTTTCCCTTCAACTTAAATTTCATTACCAATAAGCATTTATAGACCGCTTTCTATCCATGTGACATGATCCCACCTTGAACAAGTCGCTTTACCTCGCTGAGCCTCAGTTCCTTTAATGGTAAAAATAACAAAGGAAAGGAAACATGAACGACATTATTCCCACATCACAATGTTGTAAGTATAATTTCTAAGACTGAAGCAAGGCAACATCTGAGGCCTGGTACACAATGGGCACTGGGCAAGCACACCATTTTATTTTTAAAGTTCTGGGGTACATGTGCAGAATGTGCAGGTTTGTTACATAGGTAAACGTGCGTCATGGTGATTTGCAGCACTTATCAACCCATCACCTAGGTATTAAGCTAAGCATGCATTAGTTATTTATCCTAATGCCCTCCCTCCCTCCACCCCACCCCCTAACAGGCCCCAGTGTGTGTTGTTCCCCTCCCTGTGTCCGTGTGTTCCCATTATTCAGCTTCCACTTATAAGTGAGAACATGCGGTGTTTGGCTTTCTGTTCCTGCATTAGTTTGCTGAGGATAATGGCTTCCTGCTCTATCCACATCCCTGCAGAGGACATGACCTGGTTCCTTTTTATGGCTGCATAGTATTCCATGGTGTATATGTACCACATTTTCTTTATCCAGACTATTATTGATGGGCATTTGGGTTGATTCCATGTCTTTGCTATTGTGAATAGTGCTGCAATGAACATATGCATGCATGTATCTTTGTATTAGAAAGAATTATATTCCTTTGGGTATATACATAGTAATTGAATTGCTGGTATTCAAATGGTATTTCTGGTTCTAAAACTTTGAGGAATTGCCACACCATCTTCCACAATGGTTGAAGTAATCTATATTCCCACCAACAGTGTAAAAGGGTTCCTATTTCTTTGCAACCGAGCCAGCATTGGTTGTTTCATGACCTTTTAATAATCACCATTGTGACTGGTGTCAGATGGTATCTCATTGTGGTTTTGATTTGCATTTCTCTAATGATCAGTGATGGTGAGCTTTATTTAATCTTTGTTGGCAGCATGAATGTTTTCTTTTGAGAAGTGTTTGTTCATGTCCTTTGCCCACTTTTTAATGGGGTTGTTTGGTTTTTTCTTGTAAATTTGTTTAAGTTCCTTGTAGATTCTGGATATTAGACCTCTGTCAGATGGATACATTGCAAACATTTTCTCCCACTCCGTAGGTTGCCTGTTCATTCTGATGATAGTTTCTTTTGCTGAATCACACCATTTTTTCTCACCTATGGAGAATGGGAAAACAATCAGGCCCAAGCAGGGCAAAGTCAATTGCTCCTTGACATTTATTCCTAACTTACCTACAGGGCCACAGGAGGCAAACAACTGTGACTGCCACATGATGTTCAATTATCCTCTGCCCCTGTATGAGAGAGGCGGAGATCTGGCTACAACCATCACCCCATTAATGACCAGCATCAATTTGGCATAACTAACACAGGTGCCCCCTTTCTCTTCCTCCCCTGCAAAGCTGCAAGCTGACTTGCAGGTAACCTACCCAATCTGATGGGCCCATTCTGCAGACTATGAGATAGACTCTTCTAAGATTTGAGGTTCAAGGTCTAACACGTAAAATCAAGGTAGCACTGTCACCCGCAAGGTTCCTGACCACCCCCACACCCAAATTCTCTGTATCCGCCCCAATCCAAAGAATCACTTAAAGCTTTGTTTTATGTGGCTGGAGAGGAAAGGCATGTGCCTCTGCCCTCTCTTTCTTAAACAGTCTATAAAAAGCCTGAGAAAATATTCCTGTTCACAGGCTGAGAAATCCAAGGTTTTCCTTGCAAACAAAAGCCAACAACCATGAAAACAAGCAAAGCAGGAAACTGGACTGGACAAAATGGTGGTCCAATCTCCTTGCTCACTCTGAGCAGATAAAGAGCAAGCTAGGGCTGAGCCTGGCCTCTTCAGAGGAACAAGAGATTCTTGGGCAGCTTCAGGGAAGGAGCACCTGAATGAAGGATGGAAATGAGTGGAGATCTCCCAGGAGGCTGCATCCTGACAATGGCATCATCAGCATAAGCGCAAGAAGCCCATAGAACTCTCTCCAGCCTCAGGGTTGACTTCATGCTAGTAAGTTTTAGGAATTCTCTTGAGTTGCACTTTAAGTCAAATAAAATTGCTATGGAAAAACTGAGAGGACATCAGAGAGCGAGAGAGAGCTCAATCACACTGTTTGATTTTCTTTCCCTCCTTAAAAGGGTAGCAATCCCAGAGTTTCAACGGACCACAAATGGCAAGTCTGCATGAACACAAGGTTGAATTTTTCACTGAAAAAAAGAATGTATCACTGTGGCTGTCTGTAATCAGATGGCCTTCCATGACCAGTTTGACCAGTTAATCCTGTGGTTCAAGCGAAAACCTTTGGTTTTCCATTTTTCATATGTAGTGGACCCAGAAAGCATTAAGAGGAAAGCTGCCAATGGCATTTAAAGTAAACCCAGGGTGAACAACTTCAAAAGAATAATGTATTATTCCTGGGCTCCTTCCCCATGGGCATTTTGCACATACTTCCTGATTTGCACCCAAGTATGCAGATTTCAAAGTCATAATAAAGGTCTCACTTCTCTACTCTTTAAGAAAAATAAAGTCAAGTGCACTGGCCTAGATGAAGTCATTTTAGTTGGTCAATACCCACCTGGCCTGGGCACCAATGTAGTTTGGAACCATTTTTTTTTCTTTTAATTCATCATGTCCTCATGGTAGCCCCGAGCTTTTTTTTGAAAATGGTTAACAGATGATGTGAGGCCTTGCTATTTATACCCTGCCATCCAGAGAGGGAAGCAGAATAGAAGGTGTCAAGTTGAAAGAAACCAACATTTGCCAAGTGCCCATTATGTGCCAAGGAAGGGGGAAGGGAGGCTTTTCTTGAACTAGAAGAAAAGAAACTGGATCTTAGGAGGCCCAGGATAGAACCAACTGGGCTCAGCTTCATCTGCTCATCACCTCCCTACCTACCAGGCCCTTGGGGGAATTTAGAATCAGGGGAAGGATAGAGATCATGGAGTGCTCACCGTTGGCCAAGAGACACACTATTTCAGGGATATACATAATCCCAACATGCAAAAATGTCAAGAGGAAGAAATTGGAAGGATGAAGCCATTGAAGAATCCATTAGCAAGGGTCTGTAGAGCCTGGAAAGCACAAGGTTGTATAAATATGAAACTCACGAGGCAACACGGAGGAGCAACGAGGTGGCTGGGCAAGCTGCCATATCCCAGCACCTGTTACTCCAGCAGAGACACAGGAAAGACACAGCCAGAGAATTCCATCACACAAGAGTTTATTAATTAATTCATTCATTCATTAAATGTTTTTTGAGCATTTACTATGTCTTGGTCACCGTGCAAAGGTACAAAAGATATTTAAGATATAGTCCTTGCCCTTAAATGAGTTCATATTCTGATGGGGAACCGCCTATTTTAAAAGATAAAATGCAGTGCCAGCCAGGCGCGGTGGCTCACGCCTGTAATCCCAGCACTTTGGGAGGCCGAGATGGGTGGATCACGAGGTCAGGAGATCGAGACCATCCTGACTAACACGGTGAAACTTCGTCTCTACTAAAAAATACAAAAAATTATCCGGGCATGGTGGCGGGCGCCTGTAGTCCCAGCTACTCGGGAGGCTGAGACAGGAGAATGGCGTAAACCCGGGAGGCAGAGCTTGCAGTGAGCCGAGTTTGCGCCACTGCACTCCAGCCTGGGCGACAGGGCGAGACTCCATCTCAGAAAAACAAAACAAAACAAAACAACAACAACAACAAAACGCAGTGCCAGGTGCTCATGTCTGTAATCTTAGCACTTTGGGAGGCTAAGGAGGGAGTATCACTCGAAGCCAGAAGTCTGAGAGTGACTTGGACAACATAGTGAGATCCTGTCTCTACCAAAAAGAAAAAAACATTAGCCGAGTGTTGTGGTGTGCATCTGTAGTCCCAGCTGCTCGGGAGGCTGAGGTGGGAGGATTGTTTGAGCCTGGGAGTTTGAGGCTGCAGTCAACTATGATCATGCCACTACACTCTAGCCTGGAAGTCAGAGTAAGATCCTGTCTCTAAAAACAAAACAAAACAAAATAAAAACTAATTGCAAAAATAGAGTATTGCAATGTGTATTGAGGGTATAATCAGAGGCAGCAAAGCCAGGAAACTCTTCAAGTAGAATCCTTAGGAGTTTTTCTAAACGCAGCTCTGATTTTCTTAGAATTTAGACATCTTACTTCCTGCTTCTGGAATTATAGTGCCTGTTACCTTAGATTGTTAAATTGCTGAGAGTGTGAAGATTTTTCTGCATCTTCATGGGTATCTGCAACATGAAAATAAAAGGATTAAAAATATCTTCAGAAACAATAAACAAGCTAGAAAGCCAAATGATCTTTGGAAAGAAAAGTTGAGAGTCCCTTATTAGACATTAAAACCTCCTACAATGTTAATTAAAACGTGGTATCAATTGAGCAATGGATAGAAAATTCAGTGCACAATATATAGCATGCCCAAAAACATTCACAAATACATGCAGTAGTTTAGTATATGGAAAAGTTTCCAACTCAAATTAGTAATGAAAGTCTGGGTTATTCAATAAATAGCGGTAAGTACCATTTGCAAAGATATCCATTTTATAATATAATGACACATCTTTCCCATCTATATCAAAATTAATTCCAGATGGACCAATAATTTAAATGTTTGTAAAATAAATCTTCAAGTTGCTAAAGTAAAATACGGGTGATGATTTATGAAACCCGAGCACAGAAGGATTTCCTAAGAATGACTAAGAATTAATCAGCATTAGAGGATAATGCTGATAGATTTTACTCCGTGTAAAGAAAGAATGTATGGTGTCACTTCCTCCCATTGACTTGAGGCAAAGGGTGAGAAAATGTCAGGGAGACACTCTGAGCAGACACGTTGACACTGGGGGAGGGTGGGTTTGCTGTCTTCATTTTCCAACAATAATCATGTATTATTGTGTAATACATAAAAGCATGTTATTTTTTACAGTAAATATCTGAGAACTCAATTTTCTTTTTCTTTTTTTCTTTTTCTTTTTTTTTTTTTGAGATGGAGTCTTGCTCTGTTGCCCAGGCTGAAGTGCAGTGATGTGATCTCTGCTCACTGCAACCTCTGGCTCCCAGGTTCAAGCGATTCTCCTGCCTCAGCCTCCTGAGTAGCTGGGATTACAGGCACCCACCACCATGCCCAGCTAATTTTTTTTTTTTTTTTTTGTATTTTAGTGGAGATGGGGTTTTTCCTTGTTGGCCAGGCTGGTCTCAAACTCCTGACCTCAGGTGATCCACCCGCCTTGGCCTCTCAAAGTGCTAGGATTACAGGCGTGAGCCACCAAGCCTGGCCTGAGAACTCAATTTTCGAAGTATTTTTCCCTTGACTCATCTAAAAAACAAACAAAAACTAAAGTTGATATGTTCCCAGTTAATTATACTCTTTTTAAAAAATTCATTTGTTTATTTATTTAGAGATGGAGTTTTGCTCTTGTTGCCCAGGCTGGAGTGCAGTGGCGCAATCTTGGCTCACTGCAACCTCTACCTCCCAAGTTCAAGCGATGCTCCTCCCTCAGCTTCCCAAGTGCTGGGATTACAGTTGCCTGCCACCATGCCCAGCTAATTTTTTTGTTTTTTTAGTAGAGACGGGATTTCACCATATTGGCCAGGCTGGTCTCGAACTCCTGATCTCAGGCGATCCACCCGCCTTGGCCTCCCAAAGTGCTGGGATTACAGGCGTGAGCCACTGCACCCAGCCAATTATACTCTTTTGCATACATTAGGGTGCAATTTTTCAAAGTAACCCAATGAGGTAAATGATTTCATTTTATCTCTACCTTTGGTTAATGAAGATATTAGGACTCAGTAGTGTAGAGAGTTGTCCAACATCACACAGCTAACAAGAAGCAGTACTGTACAGCATCCCCAGGCTTCCTGCTTCATGAGCTATGCTATGCCCCTACCGCCACCGCTGCTACTACTGCACAAACAATTTCTTCTTGCAGAGCTACCTTTAAAAAAAAACAAAAAACAAACAAACAAAAACCAGTCCTTTCAAAAATCATATTTTCAAAAATGCTATTTTAATAGTATTCTTTCTATATATCCATATGCTCAGGCAAAATGTACTACTTCTATCAGTCTTATCCCCAACTTTTCCTAAATGATATGCAAAAAAAACACATACCCTTGAATAAATAATAATTTAAAGGGATAGGTCATTCAAATTCATACATGGAAAATTGTGCATTTCTGTAAGAAGTTACAAAGTCTAGAGCCATAACTCTGTATGCTAAAATACATATATATATAAATATATATTAATCAAAGCACTTAATCTCTCAATTCAATATATCTGCTGTTCCATTTATTTTTCCAAGAACCTGTGGGTGGAAATTAGCTTCACATTTATATAACTAAAGGACCATGTGTTGGCTTTGCCAAATCTAAAGAACACAAGCTCTTAGGAGCTACATGAGAACCAGGAAAATGTCAGTTTTTCTTTTCTTTTTTTTTTTTGGACGGAGCTTGCTCTATTGCCCAAGCTGGAGTGCAATGGCACAATCTCGGCTCACTGCAACCTCTACCTCCCAGGTTCAAGTGATTCTTCTGCCTCAGCCTCCCTAAAAGCTGGGATTATAGGCGTAAGCCACCATGCCCAGCTAATTTTTTGTATTTTTAGTAGAGATGGGGTTTCACCATGTTGGCCAGGCTGATCTCAAACTCCTGGCCTCAAGTGCCAGGACTCTCTATCTGCCCATCTCAGCCTCCCAAAGTGCTGAGATTATAGGCGTGAGCCACTGCACCTGGTCCCTTGTTAGTTTTAAGTTACCGTTCTATCCTGAGCCTTTAGCATGGAAGGGACTCAACAAATATGAATGAAGATCTGGTTCAGAGGGAGACAGGCCTCCTGTCCTTAGGAAGCCAAAATGTGCTTACAACTTTTATTTGGCATTATTTTCAGAAAGGGACCCTCTTCATATTACAGTGGCTAAAAATAGAAAACTACCTAAATGTTAAGTCACAGGAGATTCATTAAATATATTACAGTCTAGACATGTTCTACAATTAAAATAACATTACAGAAGTCAAGTTGATGTATCACTTAGAATGTTTTCAGTTTCAAGTAACATAAAACCCTCACTGAAATTGATTTTAAAATAAGGACTTTTATTATTGCACATATCAGGAAGTCCAGAGATAGAAGATTCAGGGTTGCTTGATTCCAAGTCTCAATAATGTCATCAAGGGCCAGGTTCTTTCCATCACCCTTGCTCCGCCACCCTCATGGGTCATATTTGTCCTCATGTGTATCTTTTTCTCAGTTTCAGGATGGCTACAAAGCTCCAGGCACCACATCCAACAAATGCAATGTCCAGAGGCCTCAAGGACTTTTTCTTCGGGTCTCTTGTCTAGGATCAGGGAAGCTTTTCTCAGAAGCCCCAGCAGACCTCTCATTATCTCTCAAAAGAGCCATGTGCCCACCCCTAAGCTACTCACTGGAAAGAACAGCAGATGACAATTATTGCTGTAGACTAATTAGGATGAACCCCTATGATCATGGATGCAGTCACCCTCATCTGATGAGGAGGAGGAAGCCTCTGAACTAAAGTGATGAAGAGGTATCAGATGTATCCATGAGGATAGACTAGGCTATGCAGTAACAAACCACCCCGAGGTTCCAATGGTTTAAAATTACCGAAGTTGGGGCTGGGTGCAGTGCTCATGCCTGTAATCCTAGCACTTTGGGAGGCTGAGACAGGAGATCCTTTGAGCTCAGGAGTTTGAGACCAGCCTGGGCAACATAATCAGACCTCGTTTCTACAAAAAAAATAAACAAAATTAGCCAGGTGTGGTGGTGCGCACCTATGTTCTCAGCTACTTAGGTGGCTGAGGTGGACAGATCACTAAAGCCCAGCAGGTCAAGGCTACAGTGAGCTGTGATCACACACTTGCACCCCAGCCGGTCAAGGCTACAGTGAGCTGTGATCACACACTTGCACCCCAGCCTGGGCAACAGCAAGACCCTGTCTCAAAAAACATATATAAATAATAAAATAAATAAAATAACAAAAGTCTACTTCTCATGTCACGTGTACATCATATCAATAAGGTCCTCTTTTCACTGTGGTCTCTCAAATACCCAGGCTGATGGAGGAGTTCCACCTCAAACGTTGATAATCACCTTACTGTAAGGAAATAGAGAGCCCTGAAAGGGATCAGATCAGTAATTAAAAGGTCTCACCTAGAAGTTACATGTTCCTTCCACTGTCAACTAGGCACAGGGCCCCACCAGTCACAGGGATGTCAGGAAGTGCAATCTTACAACATGCCTAGAAGTGAGAAGACCCAGAAATATTTGGCAAATAGCATCATATTAGGTAAGCAATGGAAAAATATTCATGAAACCCAATATTAACTTTAAAAAGCATGTGGAGAAATACTATCCACTGTTTTATCCCAAGTATCACTTGGAGTATGTGGGTATATAATAAGCTGGAAATAAGAATTATCTTAACAAACAGCAATAAAATTTCTCTTAGAGACTGTACTATATTTGCTTAGGAAGACACTTCATTAAATATCTTGGGGTGGAGGTATGAGCCTGAAAGCAAGGTCTACTGGAGGATGAAAACATAAGGGAATAGCTAGCTAGCTCTGTATTAGAAATAAAGAGGAATTATGGATGAGGAAAAGCAATGAAGAAGGAACGTAGAAAGGAATCGGAGGGAACTGCCAAGCACCATCAAGTATGGCCCCAGGACTTCCAGATATCTTAAAGCAGAGCTTCTCAACAAAGACACATAGAGAGGATAACTCATTTGGGGAGGGCTGTCCTGTGCCTTGCAGCATCCTTGGTCTCTACTATCTTAAATGACAGTAGCACTTGTAACAACCAAAAATGTTGTAACAATCAAAAGCGTCTCTAGTTGTTGCCAAATGTCCTTCGAGTGGCAAAATCACCCCTGTTGAGAACCCTCCCTCCTCAAATGCCCTAAACCTTAAGTGGAGTCTACCAGATATGCAAATATTTTATATAAGTTGTTTCTCTTGGGATATGCAAGGAAGGGGCAAATTCCACAACTGGGGTCAGTGCAAGTCACAGAGTAGAGAGCAAGAGTCCAGCAGAAGGAGGAAGGAAGAGCCCAAAGTGGCCACCTTCCCCTCACCTCCCAAACCCCAGAAATTCATGTAGCTTGCAGTGGGCATTGTGTGTTTATCTTGAATGTGAAAAGGGGAGGGAGGCGAACTAAATTTCCAAGATTTAAAGAGACAGGGAGAATATAAATAGATACATACATAAAGTAAGAAGGCATAGGATAATACACGTTAAGGCTTCCTCCCCAACGTCCATGCCATCTCTTAACACCTCCACCATTGGGTGAAGACATGGTGTTTGGGTGCATCCTCCCGCCCCTACCTCCCAAGGATCCAAGTTGTTCAAACAGGGTATTCTCGGGTCCCTTGTTTTAGTGATTAGTTCACAAGTGGGCCAATCCAAGTAGAGCTCAGGACTCTTATGCAAAAGCTATGAGAAGTGGGGCTCTTCCTCCCTGTGAAGATGGATGTGAGAGCCTGAATCCTAGTCTTGTTGCCAGAAGGGAAGCCAGCCCGAGAATAAAGCCAATCAATATACAAGAGTCACTAGAGAACGATGAAGAAACTGAGCAGGAGGTCTAATCAAGCCAGGCATGAAACCTACCCTGCCACTGAATGTTTCAAGTATATAAGCCAAAAAAGTTCCACTTCTTGTTTAAGCAAGTGTGAACTGGGTTTTCTGTTACAGAAGGCCTTCTCACTGATTAACATACTGATAGATAGGATATATTAAATATATATATTCACACATACACGTAATTTAAAGGACTAGATCAAAAAACATCAAAAATTAACAGTGATGTAGATTGTAGGAGTGTGGGCAACTTTAATTTCCCCTTTATGCTTATCTGAATTGTCTATAATAAATATTCATTAGTTTCACTAGCAGAAAGAAATCATTCATAATAATGTAGCATTTATGGGTGAAGTGGCATGGTTCTGGGATTTATTTTAAACTACCTTAGCAAAAAGCAAAGGTTGGAGGGAGATAGATTGAACAAATTTAGCAAGATATCCATATTGATATTGATGCTAGGTGACAGGGACATAAGGTTCATTGTACTATTCTGGCTTTCATAATTTTGAAAATTCACATAATAAAATGATGAAAGAAGGAAGGAAAGAAGGAGGGAGGGAGGGAAGGAGGGAGGGAGCGAGAGAGGGAGGGTGAATCTGCAGAGGTTGTTCTAATTACCATTGCTGGCTTTGCACTGTGCTGCATCTGTCCCAATGGGTCCTGAGTGTGCCCGTCCATTGCCTGGCGACTACAAGTTGGTGAACGCATCCTTCATAACTTCTCTGTCCTTCATCTGGATTGCACTGCTTTGGAGGTGGCTGTGAAACCTGTTGAACATCAACGCACTGCTCAGCAACCTCCCCACCCACCCCGCTCCATCACCACTGACAAAATGTGTATATTTATATTTGTATCAACTCTGCAAAAAAAAAATATATATATACATATATATATCTCTCTTCAATGTTGGACTTGTTGTCTTATTTTACAGTAGCATTTGAAATAATGTCAGATGTCCCCACTGTGACGGGGAGCTTCCATGAATGAGATTAATTCCGTGAATTGGATAAAATAAATCCAGACATTACTGAAATTAACTAATTTTCTTTATAACGCATCTGATGACAGTGATGAAAATCTGGCATCATTTAACTGTGTGCAAAGTTCTTTTCCTGCAAATGGAGACAATTCATTTAGAGTACAGCTTCATTTTCTTACATACAAAGAAAATTTAGAATGAAAAGGATTAAGTGGATTTAGAAAAACAGATACGTAGTCAAAGTGAGAAATTATGCTTCACGGGGTAATATGTAACCTTCCTGCTGTAGGTTCATGTGTTGAATCATTGAGACTACTTGTTATTTGTCTTTTAAGTTTGCATAACCAATTGCTACAAACATGGTGGCTTAAAAGAACAGAATTTATTCTTACAGTTCTGGAGGCCAGAAGTCCAAAATCAAAGTGTCCACAGGGCCACACTCCCACTGAAGGCTCTGGGTGACAATCGCTCCTTGCTCCTTCCAGCTTCTGGTGGCTGTCAGCTTTGCTTGTGGCCACAGCACTCCATCTCCATCTTCATCTTCATATGGCCTTCTCCTCCATGTCTCTGTCTCCTCTTCTCTGTCTTAGAATGACACTTGTCATAGGATTTAGGGCTCACCTGGATCATCCAGAATGATTTCATCTTGAGATCCTTAATTACATCTGCAGGTAAGACCTCTTTTTAAAAATTAGGTCACTTTCACAGGTTCTGAGTATACATACATTTTGGGTGGACTACCATTCAACCCACTACACTACTTAACTACTAACTTGGAAGCAGATGGTAACATTTCTTCAGCAGTTTTGACAATGTTACCACTGTAGCACTTTGAATGCCAACCAGTAGTTTGTGTCACTTAACCTTTCAACATCAACTTTCTTAAGAAATAGAAACTCAGCACTTAATTTTTTATTAATCATGCACTTAATTTTTAACCTCCTTGCTGCTGAAAGCATTTAATGTAAAATTTTAGAGAAATATTAACAAATAAAAATAAAGCAATATTTGTGATGCCCCCCATACAGTAAGTAACAAGATTACTCTAACAAGAGCATTTGGACTATGCCCTACAGACCGACTGCTCAGATCCTATTTCCCCCACATTTTTTACACACACATAACCTAAAATCTGCTTTATTTCCATTGGATGGTGCAGACTAATGGTCTACCAGCTTTGCACATCTCATAAACTGCAGCTGGAGCCATGGCACAACTAGATGGCACACCAAGTGACCAGCAGGGGCAGTCACATCAAATACCTCCCTAGATCTGAAGGAATGAGCTGTTCTGAGCTGCTCATACCCC
Source organism: Homo sapiens (assembly GCF_000001405.40). NCBI lineage: Eukaryota > Metazoa > Chordata > Mammalia > Primates > Hominidae > Homo > Homo sapiens. The sequence goes on along the minus strand of NC_000018.10, from coordinate 22,378,809 downwards.
ACTGCACTTAGTTTTATCACTGAATGCCCTGCGTGCTATCCTTGAAAGGGAGATGCTAGTTATATTCCATCTAGAAAGAATGGGAAAAGAAACCCAGGAGAAGAGAGTGGGATTATTTCTGGTCCTTTTTCAAAATTACTAACATATGAAAGTGAGAATTCCAATCACTGCTATACAGCCTTGGAAGAAGTTCTTCTAATCAACAGGTTTACCAAATACTTGGCTTCATTTAACTCAATTAATAATAAAAATACTTTATTTAAAATAAAAAGTCAGTCTGGGTACAGTGATGCTCACCTGTAATCCCAGCTACTTGAGAGGCTGAGCTGGAAGGATCGCTTGAGGCTGGGAGTTTGAGACCAGCCTGGGCAACATACTGAGACCCCATCTTTAAACAAACAAATAAATAAATAAAAATAAAAACATTAAAACTCAGGAAAATTACAAACTACATGTAAAGGCAGGATAGTAGAGATAAGTTAGGACCATCCTAGGCAATCAGAGACATGAATTATCTTACCTAGAACTCACATAGGTTTTTCCATCTCTATAGTTTAACCTTTTCGAGAAAGTCATACATGTGGAAACTTCCTTCTGAGTCTGGCTTCTTTAACGTGGCATAATGCATTTGAGATTCATTCATGTTGTTGCATGTATCAATAGTTGATTATTTTTATTGCTGAGTATGGATGTATCAAAATTTGTTTATCCATTCACCTGTTATAAGGCATTTAACTTGTTTTCAGTTTTTGGTGATTACAGATAGTACTGCTATAAATATTCATGTACAGGTTTTTGTGAAAACATAAGTTTTCATTTCTTTAGGTTAAACATTTAAGAGTAGAATTGCTGAGTCATATGGAAAATGCATATGTAATTTTATAAGAAATTGCCAAACTGTTTTTCAAAAATGGTGGCTGTTCTTTGGCAGTCCTACCTGCAATATATGAAAATTCCAGTTGCCCTGAATGTTCACCGGCACTTGGTACTGCCAGGCTTATTTGATTGTTTTTTAACCACTCTAATATGTATGCAGTGGTATCTTTTATGGTTTTCATTTGCATTTTCCTAATGAATAATATTGAGCTTCCTTCCACATACTTATTTGTCACATATATGTCTTGTTTGGTGAAGTGTTAACATTTTTTGCCAATTATATAATTGAGTTTCTTTCTTTCTTATTGAGGTTTGAGAGCTCTTCATATATTCTAGACATAAGCTTCTTATCAGAGATGTGATTTTCAAATATTTTCACTCAGTGTACAGCTTGTTTTTTTATTCTTTTAGCAGTTATTTGCTCAGAGCAAGAGATTTCAATTTTTATGAAGTTCACTTATCAATTTTTTAATTGATCATATTTTTAGTATTATATCTGAGAGAAAGCTTTCACTGAACTCAAGATCACAAAGATTTTCTTCCCTTTTTTCTTTTAATAATTTTATGGATTTTTTATGTTTAGTTCTCTGACGCATTTTAATTTTTAAAAGGTATGAGGTTTAGGTCTAGGTTCTTATTTTGTAAACGGACGTCCTATTAGTCCAACACCGTTTGTTGAAAAGACAATCCTTTCTCCATTGGATTGCTTTCCATCTTTGTCAAAATCAACTGATCATATTTATGTGGTTCTATTTCTGCACTCTCTATCTGTTCCATTTATCTATGTGTTTATCCTTTTGCCCATACCACACTGTCTTGATGATTATGATGTTATAGTAAGTCTTCAGTTCAGGTAGTGTGAGTCTTCTAACTTTGTTCTTTTTCAAAACCATTCTGGCTGTTGTAATTCCTCTGCCTTTCCATAAAAATGTTAGGATCAGCTATAAAAATCCTGCTATTTTACTTGGGATTGCATTGAATCTATATCAATATGGGGAGGATGAACATGTTAATAAGACTGAGTTTTTCAACCCATGAACAGAGTATATTTTTTCATTTATTTCCATCTTTGTTGATTTTTTTCATTAGCATTTTGTCATCTTCAGCATACCAACCTACATGTACTTTGCTAGATTCACAACTATTTCATTTTTTGATTTTTTTGGAGCTATTGTAATTGATCCTTTCTTTGTAATTTCTATTTGACATTGTTTATTGTTAGTACATACATATATGAGGTTTTTATATTTACCATGTATCTTGCAACATTGCTAAACTCATTAATTCCAGTTTTCTAGAAGATTCATTGGGATTTTCTATGTAGACAATCATGCCATCTGTGAACAGAGGCAGTTTTATTTTTTTTCTTTCCATTGTAAATGCATTTTTCCCCTTACTATACTATGGCTGGGACTGCCAGCATGATATTGCCTTATTCCTGATCTTAGGGGGAAAGCATTCTGTCTTTCACTATTAAGTATGTTAGTTGCAGGGTTTTTGTTAATGCCATTCATCAGATTAAAAAAATTCCTCTATTTCTAGTTTGTTGAAAGTTTAAAATACAAATAGATGTTGAACTTTGTCAAATGCTTTTCTGCATCTACTAACATGATTATATGTTTTTCTTCTTTAGTAGGTTAATAGGGTATTTGCACCGATTGACTTTCAAATGTGAACCAGACTTCATTCCTGAAATAAACCCTACTTAGCCAAAAAGTTTTTATATACATTACTAGATTTAATTTTTTAATATTTTGAGAATTTTTGTATTTATGCTTATGAGGGATATTGGTCTGCAGCTGTCTCTCCTGCTGTATCATTGTCTGGTTTTGATATTAGAATAATTCTAGCCTCATAAGATGAGCATCCTCTTTTACTTTTCTGAAGACATTGTGTAGAACTGATATTATTTCTTTTTAAAATAATCACCAGTGAAACCATAAGGTTTTCTTTGTTGGAAAGTTTTTAACTACAATTTCTTTAACAGATAAGTACTAGTGAGGTTATCTATTTCTTCTTGAGTGAGCTTTGGTAGTTTGGGTCTTTCAGGGAATTGGTCCATTTCATCTATGTTGTTAAATTTATTTACATAAAGTTGTTCTTAATATTTTCATACAATTTTAACTTCTATAGGGTCAGTAGAAAGGCACCTCTTTCACTCCTGATTTTGGAAACTTGTAGTCTTCTCTTTTTCTTGATCAGTTTAGCTGAAAGTATTTCCTTTTTCATTTAAAAATTTTTTTTGAGAAACAGTTTTGTTACTTTGGTTCTCTATTGTTTTTCCTTTTTCTGTTTCATTGATTTTGGTTTTAGTCTCTTATTTCCTTTCTGGTGCCTGCATTGGACCAGTTTGCTCTTTCTTTTCTGGTTTCTTAAGGTGAAAACTCTTAATGGTTACTCTTTCATGGTGTATGTTTCTTCTATCCTCTTATTTTCAACCTATTTGTATCTTTGAACCTAATGTGTGTCTCTTATACACAGCATATAGTTAGATACGACTTTTTATCCAGTTTTTTAATCCACTGATTCTTTCTTCTGCCATCTCAATTCTGCTGTTGACCCCTTCTAATTAATTTTACTTTCAGTTATTGTACTTCTCAATTCTGAATTTCCATTTAATTCATTTTTACAGTTTCTGTCTCATTGAAAGTCTCTATTTATTGAATCATTTTAGCCATACCTTCCTTTAATTCTTTAGTTTCCTTTAGCTCTTCGAACATATTATAATACCTGCCTTGAAGCCTTTGCCCTCTAAATCCAACATTTGATACTTAGAGATAGACAGTTTCTAATGACTGCTTTTTCCCCCACTGAACATGGGCACACTTTTCATTTCTTTGGTCTCATTTTTCATTGAAAACTGAATTTGTGTGTGTGTGAGAGAGACAGGGTCTGGCTCAGTCGCCCAGGCTGGAGTGCAGTGGTGCAATCTCGATTCACTGCAGCCTCAGCCTCCCAGGCTCAGGCAATCCTCCCACCTCAGCCTCCTGAGTAGCTGGGACTACAGGCATGCACCACCACACCTGGCTAATTTTTGTGTTTTTTGTAGAGATGGGGTTTCACCATGTTGCCCAGGCTGGCCTCAAACTCCTGAGCTCAAGTGCTCTGCCTGCCTCAGCCTCCCAATGTTCTGGGATTACAGGAATGAGCCACTGTGCCCAACCAAAAAAAAAAAAACTGAATATTTTAGATAATATATCATAACGAAATCCAATATATCATTGGATTTTGCTTTTTCCCTGCTGGAGGTTGTAGTTCTTCTTACACTGGCTGGCTTTTTTGGTTTGCTTATTACTTTGCTGCGTAATTTACCTGTACTAAATCTGTGCAATCTGTTTCCCTTGAAGTGTTCAGCTGTTGATATCTTTACATTCTTTTTGGTGGTAGTGGTTTTAAGCCTGGCTCCCTATGACATTCATCCCTGTCTGCATAGTGTAATGGTAAGGCAAAGACTAGAGAGAGGCTTTGCTCAACCACCTTGAGCCAGTAACCTTTCCATTCCTTGTCAATGGATCTGTGTGTGGGTAAAGGAGAATATTAAAAGATCAAGTATTCCCAGCCATTACTTTTCACTGAGCCCTTTTCCATCTCCTCTGTGTATGCGCACAGCCTCAGTGCTGGCCAAGACGATGGCTGGCTTGAGTACTCTTCTGCCTTGCTGTGCATCCATGCAGCCTCAGCTAGTTTGCCCCAACCACCACTACAACCTCAGACCCAAACAATTGGCATGTTTACTCCACCAACAACAACACCGGGTGTGGGCATTGCCCACTACTCCAAATCCGAACCAAGTGGGCTCCCTTTGACTGTGATAGAGAAGCTTCCAGTCCTCATCTGGCAAAACCTATCCCAGGCAGAACCTTAGTGTGAACTGAACTTGTGGAGTGTGGTGAGGTGGAAGAGGAACAGGAGCATCTGCAGGCCAGAACACTACAGATTGTCCTGTTTCTTATCTAGTGTTTAGCAGTTTTTCAAGTATAAATGCTTCTTAGATTGTTGTGTGCCTTTGGCCAATTTCCAGGTGCTGAAAGGTTGTTGTTCTTTTTTCCAATTTGCCTATGTTTATAGTTACTTTAATAAAACAGAATTTGCCACTCTCTTCACTCAGCCACAGCCAGAGTGAGCCACCAACTTACTTTTGAAAGATACAGAAAGAACTTGCAAAACCTTAAGTTCTTAATTATATCTCTATAAGTTATCCTATATTTAATGTCTACATGTATTTTATATGATTGTAAGTAGTGTGTACATATTGTTTTTAATTCTGTTTTTCTTTAATTGTTATTTTATATGTTCATTTGGATGCGCTGGCATAACTCACTCACAGAATGCCATCATGTTCACATTCCATGGACAACAGTGTACTTTTAAAAGTCTTCTAACACATGAGCCTTTCAATTTTGTATGTTGGCTTGGAAACCAACCTTGTTCTTTTCAGGTTGCTCAGAGAGCTATTCATAAGCTTTGTGAAATAAATACTCTCGTCACCATCTCAATGGCTTCTTATAGAGTCAATGAGAGTAATCGCTCAGATTGTGAAGAAATTCTAACATTCAGAACAGCTTGACAGGCCTTAAAACCCACATGCTTACTATGCTGATGAGTAATTGCAAAGCTTATAAAGCCACATTATAAAATGTACCTGTGATTTATAATTCAGATACCAGGTATCTTAGTTCATTTTCTGCTGTTTAACAGAATATCACAGACTAGGTAATTTATAAAGAAAATAAGTTTATTTGGCTCATGGTTCTGGGGACGGGAAAGTCCAAGGGCACGGTGTTGACATCTGACAAGGACCTTCATGCTATGTCATATCATGGCAGAAGGGCAAGCAAGCACATGAGACAGAGAGAGGAAATTGGGCTGGATACATCTTTTTTATCAGGAACCCATTACCTCCATAAAGGCATTTATCTATTTATGAGGACAGAGCCCTCATGGCCTAATCCCCTCTTAAAGGCCTCACCTCTTAATACTTTTATAATGGCAATTAAATTTCAACATGATTTTTGGAGGGGACATTCAAACCGTGGTACTAAGTATCTTATTCTGGATACAGATTTTCATAATATATCTCACTCTTTCTATAATTTTTACATGTCGTCTATATCTAGCTTTATATCTATTCGTCTCTATACAAAGTGAATTGAAGACATTCATATTCATAGTCCATATTTTATGACAATCCTAGAAATGGCTGGATACATGCTGGGTAACCAAATGTGGAAAATCAAATGTGATCACTACAGTATAACTGTTAACACTTCAACTTTTCAAGGTATACTAATCCTATATTGGATAAAAATGCTTTAAACTAAAAAGCACTTTACAACCAGAATTCCATATTTCCTAAAATTTTATGGAAGAGTGTGTTCCAAAAGTATTAGCTCTCCATTACAGACTTATTACTGCATATACTAAAGTCATTGTACATTGTACCTTGCTTTCTATTTTCTACTCTGTTACAGCATAAATCAAATTGATTTGGTGTGGCCTAGTGTTAGCACGCAATAATGTGCCAGAAAAAAAGTGTTTCAGGGGAGGCAAAAAGAAACATAAAGAGGTGACAGTTTTTCCTTTAAATCCATATGCAGTAATAAATATATCAATGCTACCTATGGTTTTTACAGAAATTTTAGAAGTCTTTTTATAAAATTCATGTCTTAGTCCTCTATTTTCATTATTGAACAGCTGTTTATGGTTAACCAAAATAAGTCCTTACTGTATTTTAATACATTGGTTTCCCCAGGTCAGCACATTGCAGGCCTTATTTAGGTTTTCTTAAAAAATCAATCACACAAACATTGGATAGTAGATATGACCTATGGGTAGTACCTGTGAAACTGAAGAACTGGTCACAAATTCTGCAAGGGTCAGCCCACAATATTACTGCCACAAAAACCAAAAATCTGGATGAAAATGCAGAGTCTGACCATAAAGGAATAGTCCTACTGGCTGCACACCAGCACCAAGCACATTGGGAAGACTGAGCTGAGTTCCAGGCACACGCTAGAGCCATACACAGGAGGCCAACTAAAATAAGGAGAATTAAGTAAAGAAACTGAATGCATTTTAGCACTGAGGAGAGAAAATCAAGGAGATTTGAGAGCAATATTTGAATATTTGAAGAGTGGTTGTAGCAGGTTCTGTCCCCATAGCTCACCACTATCCAGCCTCTCCATCCTACTCACTTCCTCCATGCTAACCAGATTTGTTTAGATGGCCCCAGAGACCCCTGGATCTTAGTAAGAAGAGACCTTACCTAAGTGCCAGGCATAGAATCATGATGGGTCTAAACCAATCACAGTAATCTTCCTCGTGACCTGTAATTGATCTAAGGGTGACCATATCACCAAATTCTGGCTACAGAAGTCAGTTGAATCATGCCCTTGGAAAGATTTTTGCTTACCTTATAAGAAGGAAAGTTGGCTGGCATGCACTTCACTTGCGAGTTCTTTCTCTTTCTTGCTGCCTGAGGATACAGCAGTCAACTCATGACTAAGAGGTGCCAAACATAAGCACCAAAGCCATTACACTAAGAAAGTCAATGCAGTAAGATAGAACGCACCTATATCTTTGAGAGCTGTACCAGCTGAACTGTCTGTCTGCAGATATTTTGCTTTATGAGGAAAAACAAGTTTCCATTTGTTTAACCACTGTAGTAAGGTATTCTATTCATTGTAACCAAACACACTCCTAAAAGATACTATCATCATGGGGAAAAAAACACATTTGGTCCTCAGAGGTTCTAGAAAGCAAAACTTAAACCAAAAAAAGGGAGTTACAAGGAGGAAGATTTTGGGTCAATATCAGAAATCATTTTCTACCAAATAGAATTGCTAGAAAAAGAGGTGACTTGGAGTCAATGATCCCTCATCACAAGCACATTCAAGAAGGTGGCTGCCTGCCTGAAGAAGAAATTTCTGCATGAGTCAAGAGGTTCCAAAATCCCTTTCAACTCTAATTATTATACCATACCTTTACATTTGAAAAAGCACTACTAATATTTGTTGGTCATATATAAGAAAACTGGCTTTAAAAGAGTGACAGATGACCAATTATTCTTCTAGACTGCTCAGGATTAAAAACCATGCCTTCCTGGCACCAAGTATCTCAATATTTGGAAATATGCAAATGTTGTTCCAAGTTTCTTTCACTTTGGCATTTGCGTTGAACCAATCAGTGTCCCATAATTTGTTGCTACAGATTGCATTTGAATTAAAGACTGACTGTTTGATTTAAGACTATTTCGGTCAAATTTCCATTCTGAGAACAATGCTTCGCTCTGAATGACTCACCTCAATTCTGAGTGCTGAATGCCAGAAGAGCTCATCTTTTGTTGTGTCAACTTCTCACAGCCCCAGATATACTGTACATTATGTCCTCTAAAGGGTTTATCAATTCTTCTTTTAATCATGCTCAAGGATACCCCATGAGAAGCTACCTCTATATATTATGACCTATTCTACGTATGGTCAACAGGGTGGAGACAACATTTTAATGGCCACATTCTGGCTTCTTTCTGGAAATTCACTAAGATGAACTGAATGTTAAGTTTGACTGACAGGATGTGACACTGAAGAAATTACTCATGAATTTGTCATTTTAACTGCATGAACTTGTCATTTTAACTCCACACTCAGATCCCACAATATTTATTGAACATCAACCATGGAAATGGTAGTTTTTTGTAGAGACTCACTAAAAGTTGTAGAGACAACTAAAACGCAAAGCATACCAGGATAAGCGAGATGACAGAGCAATGGTAATGATGCCTTTTATTTGTTTGCAACACTTTTCCGTTCATATGTCAGGACAGACAGCATTGTTCCAATTTTAAAGATGAGGAAGCTGAAGCTCAGGAACATCCAGATTAACTACAAGCAGGCAGAATGAAACAGTGCTTTGTAGAGGTAGGAACAGCTCCACGATCCCTTATCTGAAACCCTTGGGAGCACTCGCATGTATAAAGTCTTCAGCTTCTAGGGAGACAATGTACTGCATAATTGGTTATTAACACCCACATCAGAGCCCAAGCATCCCTCTGTCATTAATATATTTATGCAGCAAAATTATATAATTATCCACACTTCATGAGATAAATAAATATTGAGAAAAAATCATGAGATAAATAAAGATTGCAAAGGGCTTTGAGGTCAGGTAAGTGATGTAAATGCTTTCCACTTTCAGAGCTTTTTGGATTTCAGAAGTACAGAGAAGGAACCACGGGCCCGTTCCAGCAGTAGAGAACTAGTCTACTTGGATTGGAGAAGTGAATCGAGGAAGGTGTCACAAAGAAAGTGACATCTTAGCTATACTTTGAAAAACTAATAGGATTTCAAAAGCCAGAGAAGTAGTATACATCTTCTGTAAAAGAAATTAAACTGCTTAATTCCTTCGTGAGACAAAGTATTGCTCTATTTGCCAGGCTGGTCCTGAACTCCTGGCCTCAAGTGATCCTTCTGCCTTAGCTTCCCACAGTGCTGGAATTACAGGCATGAGCCACTGTGCCTGGCCCTAAAGGAAATTAAACAAAAACAAAACAGGAGACATGGTGCAGGGAAAGCATTTCAGGTTATCACAAATGGTGTCCACATGATGTTTGTCACATCCCCAAAGGCCCAGCAGTCCACTAGGGTGAACAACCATCCTGGTCTGCCCGGGACTCTCCTGGTTTTGGCATTTAAAGTCTTTAGCATTCAAAGACCCCAGTCCCAGGTAACCTAGGAGAGTTGGTCACCTAATGGCCCCATGATCCATTTTCTTTGTTGATGAGTGTCTCATTCAGCAGATCTCCAAGTTGCGGTTTGGGTTTGTGCTGCCAATGAGAGCCTTCAACTGTGCCCAGCATTTCCCAGATGCAGGCCTTATATGAGCTGGACTAAACCAAAGGCCATGGAGCCACTAAAAGGAGTCTACAGCCCAGGAGCTGGGACTCTTCTTGGTTGTGCACCTCTGGAGCCAGACATAGCCCACAAATGAGCATCATGGTGATTTCAGATGTAAAAAGTGGAAAGAGAGCATTTTAGCTCACTTTTTTTTCCGTACAAATAAATTATTCTTGGTAAAGAGACTCTGAATTTGAACAACACCTTTATGGATTATTTGGGGATCATTTTGTTGATGGCTATTGTTCAAAAGTGTCAAGGAAGGTCAGCAAATCCATCCCAACAAATGAAACTTTCAGCTGAAAAACAGTGTTTGGGAATATCTAGATATTCATTCTACTTTTACTCCTAAATAACTTAGCTGGGTACTCATTGTAGATGAATTATTTTTTGCTTTCCACAATTTTGTCTTGCAGTCTCAGCCTCTATGTTGATCATTTGGAATTAAGCTTAGAGTATGAGGCAATGTTCATACAGCATGTCACACACAAAAATGTAAAGCTGGATCTAATAGAAATGATAAAAACCAAATCCAGAAAACATTTTCTCCAGAAGAAGCAACATGTCGGAACAACTTGGCTAACACCTATTTTTAGTCATGAGGATTATATTAATTATCACCAAGTGCTGTTGTCCTTTGTTACTGGGACATTGCATAGTGTTTTTCCTGTCTCTGGTTTCCCAAGGATGGAACACAAACTGTCACTACATGTTACACAAACCTGCCTGAAACCTGGATCCAGGCAGCTTCACTGGTTTAAGTCTGGACAGGACAGAGCCCAGCCAGACACCTCCCTAATCTTAACGCCCTCACAGAAAGTGTTGATAGGAACTGTTTTAATTCCAGTGCTCACCAAGTTGTACATAGTCTCTAAGTGATACAACCATTATTTACAAATGAGGGTGTGTCTGCATTGAGATGTTTTTGTAGTTTTCAGAAATAATCATAACCACAATCTTGGGCAACATAAATAAGAAACACTGAAAGAAGATACAATATACACTCACCAAGCAGGCTTTACAAAATCTGATGTATTTGGCATCATTTTGTTTTCAAGAAGAGAACTACAGTCATGGAGCCAATTGAATGACAAGGGGAGGAAATTAGGAAATAAAGACCTAACATATTACAAAATAACCAAGATATTCATTATAGCTGGAATAAGAAATAAAATAAAATTGATACCTAAATATGGTCCAAATTCAAGGAAAGAACACCCTCCCCCCCAGCTCCCGCCACACACACAGACACACACTGGTAAAATAGTAAATGTCAAAGGGTAACTTGCTATCTTGTCCATTCATTTATATATTTATTCATGTTCATTTAACAAATATTTATTCAGAAACTAATAGGTGTCAGACATTAGGGTAGACTGTTAAAAAGATATGATTCTTGCCCCTAAAAAGTTGACACTCTAGCAGAAAAAACAATCAGATAAAGATATTCAAGGAATAACATGGTGAGGGATGTGACTTCAATAAATAACAGTCCTTCCCATTCAGAAAGAATTCTATACTTTACAAGATTCTTTCACATCTTGTGGTGTCCTTCTGAGTCATTGTGTCTAAGGTATGTCTCTTAAAAACAGAATATGGTTGAGTATATTCTCCAACACAATCTGAGATTTCCTGTCTTTTAAATGAATAATTTGCTTACTGATATTTCAACTTATTTCTACCTTCTAATTTTGTGGGTATTTTATTGCTACATTGCTTGTTTCTTCTTCTCCACATTCTTTCCTCTATGGGATCAAGCTTTCTTTAATCTATTTTGTTTCCTTCTCCTGACTTGAAGTTATACATTGTATTTCTATTCTTCTAGTACATTACCACTTAAACGTATAACATGAGCAAATAATAAAGTCAAAAATTACCAATGGCTCTCTCCTCCTATTGGACAAGAACAAGGTGGGGGCCATTCATGCTTTCTTGCTTCCTTCCCTATTATTAGATAGTGTTTTAATTCCACTTCATTTTTCCCCTTTCCCCTTACTCAGTATTATTGTTACCTTTTTTTTCTTTGAATATCAATGCTTGTTTGTTTTACTAATATGTTTAGCAATTTCTTGGTTCTCCATTGGTTTCAATTCCCTTCTTACTGAAAGACAGGCATACCCTGATAACCAATACTTAGATTAACATTTCCCTGTTTTTAATTCCCAAACTTCATAAAACTTACGTACTTCTAAGCACAATGTTTTTTGACTGATATATTTATAGAAAAAGTTCATGTACATCTCCACATTTCATCAATATTTTAAGCAAAACAAGATGCAAGAAGAGTCACGGGTTTTATTTCAAATACAATTGGTACGATGTCAGAATCATGGGAAGCCATGTTGAAAAGCCCGCTGAGAGTCAGCGAAGTGTACATCTCATATGTTGGTGATGCTAAAGAGAAGCATCATGACATTACTCCAGACAAGTGTTTAATAGCTATGTTCACTGTGTTCTGCTCAGGAAGTGATGCGTTAAGCATTTATTTATTTAAACATTTGATGGTTGTTGCTTATTATGTTAATATTTTACTGTATTGATTTGCATTTTAGGAAATAGTTAGTGGTTTGGGGTTATCATGTAATGAAGTATAATTTTTCCTATTTGAAATAATAAAAAATAGGCTTGGTAATATTTTCATTTAGAATGTCTGATTTTGGGGGAGGAATTACTGGAGTTAAATGGGCAATACATGTATATTTTTAAGTAACTTTTTCATGGATTCCAATTTATTATTGGCAATTGCTTCATTCTACTTTTACTCCTAAATAACTTAGCTGGGTACTCATTGTAGGTGAATTATTTTTTGCCTTCCACAATTTAATGATATCCCACCATCTTTTGGTATTGTTTTTGAGAATTCTATTCTCAATCTAATCATCATTCCTTTGTCGATAATCTGTCTTTCTTCTCTGGATTCTTTTAATATTTTAGTTCTCAATATTTGCAAACTATCCATCTGACAAAGGATTAATAATCTATATTCATAAGGAACTCAAACAACTCAATAGCAAAAAACAAAACAAAACAAATAATCCAGTTTTAAAATGAGCAAAAGACCCGAATAGAAATTTCTCAAAAGAAGACATACAAATGGCCAACAGGTACATGAAAAAATGCTCAACATCACTAATCATCAAGGAAATGCAAATCAAAACCACAATGAGATATCATCTCACCCCAGTTAGAATGACTATAATCAAAAAGACAAAAAATAACAAATGCTGGCAAGGATGCAGAGACAGAGGAACACTTCTACACCATTAGTAGAAATGTGAAGTAGTACAGCCATTATGAAAGGTTCCTCAAAAAACTAAAAATAGAACTACCATATGATCCAGCAATCTCACTATTAGGTATATATCCAAAAGAAAGGAAGTCAGTACATCTAAGAGATATCTGAACTATCACATTTATTGCAGCACTATTAATAATAGTCAAGGTGATGAATGGATAAAGAAAATGTGATATATATACATACATTTCTTTATATATGTATAGGAATTTATATATATATATAGGAATATTATTCAGTCATTAAAAATGAAATCCTGGCATTTGCAGCAACATGTATGAAACTGGAGGTTATTATATTCAGTGAGATAAGCCAGGCACAGAAAGGCCAATATTGCATGTTCTCATCCCTATGTGGGAACTGAAAAAGTGGATCTCTTGGAGATAGAGAGTAGAATGATGGGCCGGGTGTAGTGGCTCACACCGGTAATCCCAACACTTTGAGAAGCCAAGGTGGGCAGATGGCTTGAACCTAGGAGTTTGAGACCAGCCTGAGCAACATGGCAAAAAAAAAAAAACTCTACAAAAAAATAAAAAAATTAACCAGGCATAGTGGCGCACATCTGTAATCCCAGCTACTTAGGAAGCTGAGGTGGGAGGATGGTTTGAACCCAGGGTGCCAAGGCTACAGTGAGCTATGATCACACCACTGCACTCCAACCTGGGTGACCGAGTAAGTCTTTGTCAAAAAAAAAAAAAAAAAAAGGAGAGAGTAGAATGGTGGTTACCAGAGGAAAGCAGGTAGAGAGGATGATGAGAAATTGGTTAATGCATGCAAAAATACAGCTCAATAGAAGCAATAAGTTCTAGTATTCAATGGTGCAGTTGAGAAGTTATAGTGAATAATACCTTATTGCATATTTATAAATTGATAGAAGAATTGTAATGTTTCCAACATAAGAAGAAGAGAAACATTTGAGGTGATTGATATCCCAATCACCCTCATTTTATCACTGCATACTATATACATGTATCAAACTATCACATGTGTCCCCCAAATAAGTACAACTATGATATATTAATAAAAATACATATAAATAAAATATAGTTCTGCATGTTCTGCAGTTTTCATTCTGATGTGGCAAGGTGTGGATTTGGATTTATATTTACAGGAAGCCCTTGAATAATGTGGGGGTTGGGGCACTGGCTCCCCAACCCCCTGCAGTTGAAAATATGCCTATGACTTTTGACTCCTCAGAAACTTAACTACTAATAGCCTACTGTTGACCAGAAGCCTTACCAATAACATACACAGCTGAACACATGTTTTGTATATGTGTTACATACTGTATTCTTACAATAAAGTAAGCTACAGAAAAAAGTTATTAAAAATCATAAGGAAGAGAAAATATATTTACTATTCATTAAGTGGAAGTGGATCTCATAAAGGTCTTCATTTTTATCATCTTCATGTTGAGTAGCAGAAGAGGAGGAAGAGGAGGGGTTGGTCTTGCTGTGTCAGGGGTGGCAGAGGCGGAAGAGGAGGAGGAGGTGGAAGGGGAGGCAGGCACACTTAGCATAAGTTTTATTGAGAAAAATCTGCATGTAAGTGGACCCACACAGTTCAAACCCATGTTGTCCAAGGGTCAGCTGTATATTCTGCTTGAAACTCATTCATTCACTTGATATATACTTATTGTGCCCCTACTACTTGCTAGATCCAGGCACTAGGGATCAGCAGAGAGCAAATCAGACAAAGTCCCTGTGTTCATGCAGCTTACCTTCTGGTGGGAGGAAATGGAAATTAACTAACAGTCTCATGGAAATACATTATGTCTGATAATGATAAGAGCTATGGAAAAAAATAAATTAGGACATGGGGGTAGTGGATGCTGGGAGAGTACTATGTATAAGGTGGTCAGGAGGTCTTTTTTGATAAGCTGATATTTGAGCAGATACCTGAAGAAAATGAGGACACCAACTATCTAAATATCTGGGGAAAGAGCATTGCGGCAGAGGATACAGCACAAGCACGAGCCTGGAGGTCAGAGAATGCCTGCTGTGCTCAAGGAAGAGCATAGAAGCCAATGTGTCTGGACAGGAGTAGTGAGAGGGAGAATGGATCAGGTCAGACACGTGGAGGGGTGAGTAATGCACACGGATCCTCCAGTCCATTGCAAAGACTTTGGAAAGGCTCTGAGAAACCACTAAACAGTCTTAAATAATAGAGTATGACATTTGTCTAAAAGGCTCATTGTGACTGTTGCGCAGAGAACAGACATTTTATTGTGTAGGGATGCAAGTAGGAAGGACAGCAGAATGACCAGTTGTAGACTACTGCCATGGTCCAGAGGAAAGATGATGGAGGAAAGATGACAGAACATGGCAGTAGTGATGGAGGCATTGAGAAATGGTCAAAGTCTGGGTATCTTTTCGGGATAGAACTGGCGACATTTGCTGAATTGGATATGGGGTATGAGATAGAGAAGATACAAGCATCACATGAAATTCTTTGAACCAAATAACTGAAAGAATGAAAAAAATCTTTTTGTGACATGGGCAATTGTTAAGAACAGTTTAGGTGGAGGGAGAGATGCAATGTCAGGGGTTTTCCTTTGAAGACAGTGAGTTTGAGATGTCTGTCAGATGGTAAAATGGAGCTGTGGTATAGGAGGCTGGATATGGGAATTTGAATTTCAGAGAAGAGGTCCAGGCTGGAGAGAGCAATGTGGGAGTTGTTAGCAGTAGGACTCACAGCCACAGGACTGGGAGGAGATTGCCTTAGAGAGTAAGGAAGGAGCCTACATCCTCAAAAACTTCATGTTTAAGGTCCACAGGTGAAAAGGAACCAACAAGGAAACTGAAAAGGAACAATCAGAACAGTATGAGGAGAACCCAGAGAAAGTGGTCCCTAGAAGCCAAGAGAAGAAAACGTTTCCAAGAGGAGAAATCACACAACTCTGTCCAATGCTGCCAGTTGCACATCATGAAGATGGAGAATCGGCCACTGGACTTGGCAATGTGGGCAGCCTCAGTAACCGTAATAAACTGTTCCTATGTGGTGACCAGGATAAAATCCTGATTAGAGGGGTTTTGAAAAAGAATAAGAGCAGAGAAAGTATACATGGGGACTTTAGGCAACTCTGAATGAGTGTTGCTGTGAAAGGGAGCAGAGGAATGGAGTAGTATCTGGAGCAGAGTAGCAGACAAGGGAAGTTTGCTTTATTTTACTATGACAAGTTGTTGCAATATCTTTTCTTGCTGATGATAATAACATAATTGAGAGGAAAAAAACTGATTGAGAGAAGGAGAGAGACTGCAATTGCTGGAGTGTGCCTCTTTATTCTGCGGACTCAAATTTTTCTTCGTTTCTAGAAAATTATCAGCCTCCTAGCCTTCCAACATTACATTTCCCCAATTCTCTGAATATCTTCATTCCAGAACTCTCATTTGGATTTGTATTGGGTCTCTTTAGTCTATCAGGCAAATCACAAAAACTCCCTTCAAATTTCCACTTCCTTATCTCTCTGTACTATATTCTGGGTGATTTCTTCAGCTCTACCTTTTGATTCAATAATTCTGCCTTCGATTATGACTAGTTTGTTCTTTGACCCATCTACTGAATTCTAAATGTCAATATTTTTCCTTTTCACAATTTCTATTTTGTTCTTTTTCAAATCTGCTTATTCTTTTATTAGAAGGTCATTTGCTTGTCATATAATTTCTATCATTTATTTCTATTCATTTTCAGAATTTCTATTTTATGTCTCTTTTGGATCGTTCTGTTTTCTCACAGTCTTGGTTACTGTGTTCCCATTTATTGCATCTGCTGACTCTACACCACGGTGGGTTTGTCCTTCATATAGTTTGCAATTTATTTTAGCTCATCTTCAGCAAAAGGTGTTTTCCAGTAGAAGTCCCATGTACCCTTACTTGTGGAAAGATCTCTTCAGATACATTTTTATCTTTGCTTCTATTAAATCCCAAGTTTTTGGTCTGACCCAAAGATATTTGTTTGTATAGTTCCTTTACAAAGACCGGTAGCCCTTTGAGTATCTGGAATTGAGGGTCTGAGTCCCAGCCCTCAAGCCATGCCTTGTCAAGATTAAGCATTAAACTCCCAGCCCGCAGTTCCTGAGACCTAAGCCCATGGCACACCTCAGCATCAACTGTAGCGCTCCCTTCTAAGTTGCAGTTTTCTTTTTGTTTGTGAAACCCACAACTTTCCCTTTCTTGCTTGCTTGAGTATATACTTTAAAGTGTTTTCTTGACACTCTTTACATTTAATATGTTTATGTATTTGCAATAGGAAACATGTCCACATAAGGTCGGTCTATCAAATATGGTAATCTCCAAAGTTCAGCATGATGTACTGGTCCCAGAACACTTTGACTGAACTCAAAATTGAAGCTGGCCTCAAAATCCTTCTCAACCTAAGAAACAACTACCATTGCGTCAGAGTTGGCATGGGAAATGAAAACTTTTCCCATCCTTGTGATGCTACACCAAAAACAATTACTATTTTGTCTTTGGGCAATTAAGAAAAGATTCATTAGCAGATCTCCATCAATTCATAGAGAGAATTCCTGATATCCAACCCTTGGGTATATTTCCTAAAACTAGAGGAGTATTTAAAGGAGGATCAAAATAACAGTGGAGTGACATTCCCTGAGTGCAGACAGATGCCCCATCAACCAAGCTGCTTGCTTCCTCCAGTGAGCTTGCACTTTGTGGAAATGCAAACCTAATCTTGTCTTCAGAGTATCAATAAGGAAAATGTTTGAGTTTTGCCGTGGAAGAAGCTCTGCAGTTTTTGTGTTTGTTTGTTTTTGTTTTTGTTTTGAGACGGAGTCTCACTCTGTAGCCCAGGCTGGAGTGCAGTAGCGCGATCTCGGCTCACTGCAACTTCCGCCTCCCGGGTTCACAAGTCTGCAGTTTTTAAACATTGGAGCATAAGAAGTTATTGATGTTTTTGTGGATTTTATTACTTTTTTTATTTTTTCTTTCTAATCTGAATACTTTTTTCTACCCCTGAATACTTTTAATTTTGAATAGATAGCCCTTTATGTACTGAAAATTTTTATTTTAGGTTAAGAGATTATAATACAGAAACATCTTAATATATGCCTAATATATTTTTACCATCCCTAGTAAAATAGAGAACTCACAATTATCCCACAAATCCTCTATGTTTATAAAGTTGATTTTTAAAAATCTACAACAGAAATTCTACTTTGCAATATAGACAATCTCATTCTATTACTTTTAGTATATTTCCAAGTCTACTTACAACTTAGATTTTACTGAAAGTGAAAATATCATCAGGAGATAAATTATGTTGAATTGGGCAATAATCGACATGCAGAACAGAAACATTATTTAATGTTTTAAATATAATTACCTCAAACTCCTCCTGTTCATGGATTGTTCAGGTTCCTTCATCTTATAGCTGCATCTACCACCTCCAGTCTTTCTTAGGGCACTGACTTAACCAAAGTATCTGAAAATCCTGAAAGCAATACAAAAACCCATAGGATGAGCAGCACAGAGCTCATCTTCCCTCCTGCCATCTAGAAACCAAACAAGAGAAAAGTGAAACCACTGCCCAGACACAGAATAAAATACAGAGCTTCTCCATCCCACTCACACCACTCCACTCTCTATATACACATGCGTGTGTATATCAAAGGTAATAGTATTTACAATATATATAATGATACATAATGTTCTATATATACATACATTATATTCTATATGGACATATGTAAATATATAGAGAGACATATATATACACACATATAACTTTATAATGTCATTTGACCAACAGTTAGGCCTTAGGGACATGTATCTAATTTTAAAAAATAAGTCAGTTGTAAATTATTATTTAATTCAAGAAAATTAACTCTATCCATGATATTTCAAGAAAGCATTAATTTCATGTATGGAAAATTGTTCATTTCATAGAAAGACACTAAAAGGCCATTTAGGAAGGTGAGTGAGCACACAGGCTTTGGTGTCAGCCACTCTGATTCCAAATCTGACTTTACCACTCACAAGCTGTATAACCTTAGATAAATATTAATCTTTCTGGGTTTTCCTGTAAAATGGAGCAAATAATAATACCTCTCAGAATTGCGACAATTAAGATAATATATGTAAAGCAATCAGCCATATATCCTGGAATGTAGTAAAAACTAGGAAAGTTAGTCATCATCCTTATCATTTTTAGGAGAGACACACTCTTTAACAAACTATTTTATTTTACTCCAGGCACAAATATCATAATGTTTTTAAAGCAGTACTGAAAATGTAAAGCAAAATCATTGACTAAGAATAACACTACTTGTGTACATTCAAAATAAATGTCTCCTTTAACCCTTTTTTCGTTTTGTTTTGCTCTGTTTTGTTTTTCTGAGACAGGATCTCTCTCTGTTGCCCAGGCTGGAGTGCGGTGGTACGATCTTGGCTCTGCCTCCCAGACTCACGCAACCCTCTCACCTCAGCCTCCTGAGTAGCTGGGACTACAGGTGTGTGCCACCACACAAAGCTATTTTTTTGTATTTTTTGGTAGAGATGGGGTTTCTACCAAAAATACAAAAAATGTATGTATTGCCATATTGTCCAAGCAGGTCTTGAACTCCTGGGCTCAAGGGATCCATCCACCCTGGCCTCCCAAAGTGCTGGGATTACAGGCAAGAGCTACCATGCCTGGCCAAACCTTTGTATTCTAAAGGAATGTCTTTGGACCACATATTTACAATGCTTGTTATCATGAGGTATTAGAGGTGGGTAATAATTTCTGCTCCAAAGAAACAGATAAGTGTCATTCAAATATCACTATCCCAGTTACGTGAAAAAATAAAATTTGTGACTAGGATGTGAATATATCTGTGCTTTCATTTGGGTCATCTATATTTTACAGTTTTGTTTTTGTTTTTGTTTGTTTTTATCTTGTCTATTTTCCAGAAATGGAATTATACTATACATTCTGCACAATGGCTTGCATTTTGTCTCACTTACCAATACTTTATGGAAATCCCTTCAATTCAACTGGTATAACTCCATTTCATTCTCATTAATGGCTACATAATATTCTATTACTGGACAACCACTTTGTCACCAGGTTTTTATTATTTTGCTCTGGGGTTTTGTTTTTCCGTTTGCTACTATGAATAATTTCTCAATATGTTTTCCAGCTATCCAATCTCTGGAAATAAAAATTTTTAAAAAGGAGACTTCTTGGTCAAAGAGCATATACATTTTAAATTTTAATACATTCTACCAGCTAGCCTCCCAAAAGAATCTAAAATTATTCACATTTCTATCAACACAAAAATGCTGAAAAGATTTGGAAAGGATCTAGAAGGAACACCAACCTTGACCACTGTGGGGAGGCGGGGAGAAAATTAAAATTTAAAAAAATAATAATTAAGCTTGCTATGGTTATTCAACTAACAAAACATGAATTGTATTAAAGGTTGTAAATATGAAGACTACACAAATACATGAAAAAGAGAAAAATCTGAAATAAGATCATAAAAACATGCAAAAATGTCTTTTGCATGTAGCAATGTGCTATGCCAGTGTAAAGCGTTATTACAGAATGAAAGAGTAGTGCTTAAAATTACATTTCCTCACCATTGCAATCACATAAAACCTATGTTTGGCCTGGCGCGGTGGCTCATGCCTGTAATCCAGCACTTTGGGAGGCCGAGGCAGGTAGATCACCCGAGGTCGAGAGTTCGAGACCAGCCTGACCAACATGGAGAAACCCCATCTCTACTAAAAATACAAAATTAGCCGGGCATGGTGGCACATACTTGAAATCCCAGTTACTCGGGAGGCTGGTAGGAGAATCACTTGGACCTGGAGGTTGCAGTGAGCCGAGATCACGCCATTGCACTCCAGCCTGGGCAATAAGAGCAAAAGTCCATCTCAAAAAAACAAACAAAACTCTATGTTTAAGTATAAATAGAAATATAGTTTATTTGGCAATGGGATTATAAAACATCTTAAATAAAATTATTTTAATAATTAAAATTCTTATATAAGAAATAGATCAAAATGGTAGGGTGGTTCTCAATGGGTTTTAATTTTTGACTTACCTGCTTTTTGTGTATTTTCTTTCAAGAGCTGTAGTATTTGAAAATTTTTTTTCAATTTAAAATTGCCTACTTGCAGTAGAGGACATCTGTACCATTTGGGGGCTTATTCAAAGTAAGTGGTTCATCTTTACATATTGTTGTTATCCTGTGTGTCCTGATATTGCTTCTGTGACTCATGGCCAAACACAGCTCTGTTAGAAAGAGACTTCATCTACCTGCTAGCTAGCAAGCACACCGCCAGCTCTTCTCCAAACCTGGCTCCTGCTTTCCCGGCACACAGATAGATGCTTCCCAGAGCCCACCACAGGAGGTGTGAACCTTGACCAAATTCTAGTAAATGGGATGAGAGCAGGAGTCACCCATGCCATTCCCAGAGAAGTCCACAGTAGCCTCCCCACGTGCAATGCTGCAGGCTCTTTTCACTTTTGCCGGCTTGGTGAAGGTGAGCACCGTGACCCAGGAAGCCTCCCTCATGTTGATGGGGAGCCCGGATGCTACAGAGCCCACGTATGGACAGCCTGTGCCCTGTTGCTGCTTGGAGGAGAGCCATCTGCTGATCAGAAATACTCAACTTTGATCTGATGTGAGCAAGACATTACCTCTGAAGCTATTGATACTTGGGTATTTGCAAAAAGGAAGGAAGGAAGAAAGGAAGGAAGGAAGGAGGGAGGGAGGGAAGTAAGGAGGGAGGGAGGGAGAGAAGGAAAGAAAGAACTCAAAGAAAGGGAAAGAATAGAGATGTGGAATGACAGCAAATTAGGTTTCAAAGTACTATAAAAGTCAACTTTGAATAATTGGTTTTCTAAAGCTATTCAGCATCAGTGGTGTTTATATAAGAGTAGTTTCCTCCACAGACTTTAGCAACTCATGAATCACAGACCTTATCCTCACTTAGAGACAGCTATGGGGACAAACGAAATGAACATGCCATGGGAGTGAACGGACCTGAACTCCCCTCCTGACTTGTTCAAGGACTCCCGCGGGCCGAGTGCTCACAGTTCAACCTTTATCCTCGCCATGAGAGCTTCTGGGAGCCAGCAGAATATCATTTCCAGGTGTGAGGGTTCTACTCGCTATCTTTACTTCCCCCCAATAGTCAGATATTACCAAGATCCCCATCATTCTCAGACACATTTTACATTAACTGTACTGACAAACTTGAACAGAATGCGTAGTGCATGTTGGAGAATGTTGTGCATGTTGGAGACATATGAACCAGGCAGTGGGAAGGCCTGGGTTCCAGGCCCAGCTCTCTAAATAAACAACTCTGAAGCCTGAACAGAGCTCCTCAATCTCCCTATGACTATTTTTCATCTCTAAAATAAACATTAAGGATATTACAAGCTACCTACCTCATGGGGTTGTTGTGAAGGGTGAAGTGAGATCACAGGATCAAAGTAAGATGCAAGGTATTGTATTTATTTCTAGAACTGGCAGAAATACAACACTTACTGACTTCCCAGCATTGAGGAAGGTGCCTGAATACTGTTTCAGCGACTTTTATCTCAAGGATTTAGGAGATCCCTCGAACTGTTCCTTGCTTTGCCTAAATGAGCCTGCCTATGGTCCATCTCTTCAGCTAATGAGGCGTTGATATAAATCTGGGACCACAACTTTAAACCGCTATAAATTCCTATTCTCATCTTGACCACTAATCCACCAACACATTGGATCAGAATACTCAATAGTTACTATGTGAATAGGTCTTCTGCAAACCATTTCCTATTCTTGTTCAATGTCCAGGAAACTTCACGCACTTATCAGAGGACGTTTTCAACATTAGAATGACACATCCCTTTCCCTGGATCATCTTGTAGCTGCTTAATGTCATTTTTCTCTATCATGTTTTTTTGGCCTCCACTCTAGCACAATGTCCCTAAATCCTAAAAATGTTCCACTCACCAACGTCACTGAAAGGCCAGATTTGGAAGGATGCTTGCAAGGGAATGCAGGAAGTTCAAATTTGGCCGTGCTATTAAGTGTATTTAGAGGAACACCGGTTCATGGTCACATTCCGTACATCTGCTTGATGTATTAACTTGCATTTGGGAGTCCAAAATTTCATCTGTAGCTGCTTCCTGTTTCCATTTTTTAAGGAACCACTCAGATCTCTCTACAATTGCACTATCAGCTTGAGGTGGTGAAACTGGCTGGTAACTCTCTCCATTTCTTGAAAATTAGAAGAGGGCACTCATTCACCCTAAGCTTCTGCAAGATTCTGACTGATGGACAGGAAAGCAGATGAGTTCCGAGTGTGGCAAAGCTCCCCTTATGGTTTCATGTCCCGGATAGGATGCTTAGAACACTGAATGTGGGGCTCATTCTCACAAAGACTTTGTCAGTAAAAATAGCTTCATAACGGTCAGGCCTGGAGTTGCGTGATGCTCTCTATGGGAATTTCAAAAGGGCATAGTTGGATGCCTGAACTTGGTGCTATTCCATGATGATTAAGAGTAAGAAGAATTAAAAATTCTAAGAAAGCTGAAAGACAAGAGATAGGGAGTGGGAGAGAGATAGAAAAAGGGCAGGATGGAGAGTCAGCACATCTTAAAACTCCTGGAGTCTAGAAGTTTTGACGTTTACTTGTCTGATCTGAAGGTCTGAATTACACACATCAAAGAGGTGGCGTGTGAGGCTTGGATGCAGTTGGAGCATTGTGCAGCTACTTTTTAAAAGCGGTAAGTAAATGGTGAAGAGCACAGGCACTGAAGCCAGACTGCCTGAGTTTTAGTCAAACTCAGTCCCTAATTCACAGAGTGACTTTAGCAGATTACTTAAGTTCTGTGCCTCAGTTTTCTTCCCTGTAAGGTGAGGATCATCAGCATGTTTATTTTGTAGAAGATTAAACTAATTAATGCATATAAAATGCTTAGAACAGTGGCTGACACACACAAAGAGAGCTATGTGCATGTTTACACCTCTTTCCATCATCACTTTAATACCACACTGAGATGCCATCTTACACCAGTCAGGATGGCTCTTATTAAAAAGTTGAAAAAATAACAGATGTTGGTGAGGATGTGGTGAAAAGGGAATGCTTACACATTGTTGGTGCAAATATAAATTAGTAAACCTCTAAGGAAAAGAATATGGAGATTTCTCAAAGAAATAAAAATAGAACTACCATTCAATCCAGCAGTCCCACTACTCAGTATCTACCCAAAGGAACAGAAGTCATTCTACGAAAAAGACACCTGCACCCGTATGATTATTCACAATAGCAAAGATATAGAATCAACCTAAGTACTGAACAATAGATGATTAAAGAAAATGTGGTATATATACCATGGAATACTACTCAGCTATAAAAAAAGAATGAAATAATGTCTTTTACAGTAACATGGATGGAACTGGAGGCCATCATCTTAAATGAAATGACTCAGAAACAGAAGGTCAAAAACTGCATCTTCTCACTTATAAGTGGGAACCAAACAATGGCTACACACAGACATAGAGTGAGAAAACAATAAACACTGAAGACTCAGAAAGATAGGAGGGTGGAAGGGGTTAGAGATGAGACGTGACCTAATAGACACAATGTACACTATTCAGGTGATGGTTACACTAAAAGCCCAGGCTTAGCCACTATGCAATATATCCATGTAGCAAAACTGCACTTGTTTTAAATCTATAAAAATTAAACTAAACTAAAATAAAAATGTCTGCTACCCAAAGCAATCAACAGATTCAGTGAAATCCCTATCAAAATACCAATGACGTTCTTCACAGAAATAGAAAAAACAATTCTAAAATTTGTATGGAATCACAAAAGACACTGAATATACAAAGCAATCTTAAGCAAAAAAGAACAAAGCTGAAGGCATCACACTACCTGACTTCAAAATATACAAAGCTATAATAACCAAAACAGCAAGATCCTGACATATAAACAGACAAATAGACCACTGGAACAGAATAGAGAGCCCCAAAATAAATCCACATGTCTACAGACAACTGATTTTTGACAAAGGGGCCAAGAACACACATTGGGGAAAGGGCAACCTCTTTAATCAATGGTGCTGGGGAAAATGAATATCCACATGCAGAAGAATTAAACTAGAACCCTATCTCCCACCATACAAAAGAAACAACTCAAAATGAGTAAAGGCTTAAATGTAAGACCCAAAACTATAAAACTTCTAGAAGAAAACTTAGGGGAATCACTACATGACATTGGTCTAGGCAAGGATTTTTTTGGATAAGACCTCAAAAGCACAGGCAGCAAAAGCAAAAATAGACAAATGGGATTACATCAAACTACGAAGCCTCCTGACAGCAAAGAAAACAATCGACAGAGTGAAGAGAAACCTACAGAATGGGAAAAAATATATGCAAACCAGACATCTGACAAGGAGTCAATAACCAGAATATAAAAGGAACAAAAACAACTCAATAGCAAAAAATAATAATAATAATCCATTTTAAAAATGGGAAAAAGATCTGAATAGACATTTTTCAAAAGCAGACATACAAATGGCAAGGAGGTATATAAAAAAATGTTCACCATTAATCATCAGAGAAATGTAAACAGAATAACCTCAGTAAGATAGTATCTCATTCCAGTTAGAATGGCTATGATCAAAAAGACAAAAAAATAACAAGTGTTGGCAATGATATGGAGAAAAGTGAACCCCTGCACGCTGTTGGTGGGAATGTAAATTAGTACAGCCATTATGAAAACTGTATCGAGATTTCTCAAAAAATTAAAAATAGAACTATCATATGATTCAGCAATCCCATTACTGGATACACATCCAGAGGAAATTGAATCAGTATGTAGAAGAGGTGTCTACACTCCCATGTTTACTGTGGCACTATTCACAGTAGCAGAGATATGTAATCAACCTAAGTGTTCATTACCAGATGGATGAAGGAATGAAGAAAATGTGGTATATATACACACATGGAATACTATTTAGCCATAAAAAAGAATAAAATCCTGTCATTTGAGACAACATGTGTGAGCCTGAAGATATTATGTTCAGTGAAATAAGCCAGGCACAGAAAGACCAATACTGCATGGTCTCACTCAGATGTGGGCTCTAAAATAGTTGGTCTCATAGAAGAAGAGAGCGGAAAAGTGGTTACCAGAGGCTGGGGAAGGTAGAGGGGAGGAGGAGGTGGAAAGAGGCTGGTACAAAGTTATAGTTAGATAAGAGGAGTAAGTTCTGGTATCCTATTGCGCAGCAGAGTAACTACAGTTAACAATAATGTACTGTACATTTCAAAATAGCTAGAAGAGAGGATTCTGAATGTTCTTACCACAAAGAAATGATAAATGTTGGAGGTGATGAATTTGCTAATTACCCTGATTTGATCATTACACAATGTATACATCTATCGAAACATCACATTGTACCCCACAAATATATACAATTATTATGTGTCAGTTAAAAATAAAATAAAACCTTTTTTTAAAAAAGGTTTTGTTTGTGGCAAGGAACTGATGAATCCAAGACAAGCAGGCAAAGAAGAGTGAAGGAGGCTAGGCCCAGAGCAGTGACGGGAGAGGAGCGAGGGAGGCAGTGGGGGTCGTCTCAGGCTGCGTGCAGAGGTTCAGCTGATTTATCTCAATTCTCTTCACCTTGACATTTACTCAGCATTTACTTGCCACACATTGTGCTAGACACAAGTTCGGAGTCAATAATGAAGAGGATGTGATGCCAGGCTCAGCTATAAGCCTTGAACCAAATCCCGGGTCAGCCAAACTCTTCTGTCACTGCCCTGCCAGTTTCTACCTCGAGCTCTTTGCAAAGCTGGTGCCCCTTCATCTCCCACCACCCAAACCTGACTTGCCCTTTAAGGGCAATCCCCAGAGCTCCTGTCTTCTGAAACTTTTCCCAAACACATGAAGGTTCTTTAAGCCTCACTTTGTTTAGTGCCGTTGCTTTTGCTCAACCATAAAAATAATGATAGTGATGGCAGGGCGCGGTGTCTCACGCCTGTAATCCCAGCACTTTGGGAGGCCGAGGCGGGCAGATCACAAGGTCAGGAGATCAACACCATCCTGGCTAACACGGTGAAACCCCGTCTCTACTAAAAATACAAAAATTTAGCCAGGGGTGGTGGTGGGCGCCTGTGGTCCCAGCTACTCAGGAGGCTGAGGCAGGAGAATCGCTTGAACCTGGGAGGCGGAGCTTGCAGTGAGCCGAGATCGCGCCACTGCACTCCAGGCTGCGCAACAGAGGAGACTGTCTCAAAATAAAATAAAATAAAATAAAATAAAATAAAATAAAATAAAATAAAATAAAATAAAATAAAATAAAATAAAATAAAATAAATCATAGTGATAATAATAGTAACTACTAACATTTACCAAATATTTACAATGTGCTAAGCCCTGTGCTACAGTCACTGTGCCCTTCCTAATTTCTCTATTGTCAGGGCCACCAGAGCAATTTCAGTCACTTGATAGGATTTGAAGGAGGGCTACAGATTATTGGAGAAAAAGGCTTCTTTCTTGCTGCTCAGCCTACGTGGACTTCTCCATCTCCCTTCCCCCAACACACACACACACACACACACACGCACGCACGCACACACACACACACACAAAGCGACACGTGCCAGGGAGCAGAGGATACCACACACAGCAGCAAGGTTAAAAGTCCAGGCTCAGGAGTGAAAAGATCTGGGTTCAAACACCAGCTCTGCCACCACATGAACTTCAGAAAGTCATTCAGCTTGTTCAAGCCTTTGGTGCGTCCTCCTCAAATTGGGGATGATACTACACAACTACCTTGAGGAGCAGCTCATACTAAGTGCCCCATTAATGGTTAATAGTAACTATTTTCAGAATCCAACGTTTAATAGAGCTGATTTCATTTCTTGATTGATTTTGCCAACGGCTTTTCAGCATGAAATCACATAGGAGGCAGAAGTGTACAGGGGCTAAAAGTAGTACTTTAAATTCACTTCTGTTTCCTTGCAGTGTGACCTTGGGCAAGTTACATAAGCTCTTTCTGACTCCATTTCCTTACCTATAAAATTGGGATAAAAGGGACCCACCCCACTGAAGTTCTGTGAGAATTAAATAAGATCATGTATGCAAGGGCTTAGCACAGGGCTCAGTACATCATAAATATTTGGCAAATGTTAGCAGTTACCATTATTATCACTATCATTATTATTACGGCTGAGCAAAAGCAAAAGCATGAAACAGAGTGAGGCTTAAAGAACCTTTATGTGTTTGGGAAAATCCTCATTTTCTTTTTATTTCTTACCTTGTATAATCCCCACCACTGTCAGGTAGGCAGGCAGAATCATCTGCTTACTTCTACCTTGTGGACCATTTATTCCATGGAGCACTTATTCCGCGTGTAACTTGATCTCCTTCCTTTTGTAGAACATCAAGAGGGAAATAAACTATGGTGTATGTAATAATATTATTTCTTTCTAAATCTGACGGAGCAGGAAGATAACACAACGTTTAATGCAGGCTTGTTGTGTAGCTGTCTGAGTAGAGGGTTCCAGGCCATAAAACCAACACCATTTACCCATTTCCTTTGAAGCAAAGTAACTGTTCAACGTAAAGCGGAAAGAATCTTTGGGACAAGTTTATCGCTATGATCAGCCTATTAGTCTAACATGCTGTCATCCTTCCCGCACTATTTACTCAGGCACACTAAGTGCTTCTTGGTTAACCCTGCCCAGTACTGATCATCTCCAGTGGCGGGGGGCTACATGTTTTTTGTAGGTTGTTTTTATATAGAATGTGAAGGATACACGATTACCTTGTGCAAGGGACAAAAAGAATATAGCGGTGTCGGTTCCAAAAGCTTTTCCCATGTTTTCATTCCCAGCAAATACCATGTTCTTCCATCTTTCAGCAGCTCATGTAGGGGAATGAACAAAATGTTCTGCCACGAACTTGTTCCAAAATTTCTACTAGGGCAGCAGTTTGAGGGATTTAGCAGGAGAAGCGTGGGGTGTGTTATTCTGGTCATGCGTAAGAAACTTGGAAAACAGAATCAGAAAATGAGGGCGGTGGGGAGTGGTGGCAGAGATAACTTGGCAGTAAAACAAAAGTGAACCAACAAAAACAACACAACCTAAAAGGGAGTTGAGGAGGCCAGTGGAGAAAGAGGGCATCACATTGACAACTTGGCCAGAAATCTGGACACTGTAAGGGAGGATTTAGTGCTGGGTCGTGCCCTGGGCTGAATTTATCGCTGCTTGCCTTGTTAACTCGCCTCATGTTTAAAGTCAAAACTGCCATAGGCTCTGAGGGATTTCCATCTTTGTCATTTGTATGATCTGCCTCAAAATACAACCTCCCAAGTAAGGAGCATGATTCCCCTCCTGCCAGGAAGAAGAAAGCAGAGAATTGAGGGATGCCGAAATCGATTTTTAAAGGGTTTGGGTTTGGGGCGGTTCCGGATGAGGCTCTGTGCGCTAAGTGAGCGAGACGGGGAGGTGGGAGAGGACTGAGCGCTATGGAAAGGTGGTGGGGACGCAGGTGAGGGCGACGCGGGGAAGCGCATGGTCCTGGGGCCCGCAGACGGGACGGAGCAGCCGCGGCCCGCAGACGGGACGGAGCAGCCAGCGCCGCTTGTCGGGGCTTGTGGTTGCGAACATAGAGTGGAAAGAGGATTCTGCGCTCTGCTCCCGCCCCGGGAGATTAAGAGTCAACCCTACCATGCAGCCACGTTTTGCCAGTTCCAGGTAAGTAGGAAAGACTGACTCCCTAGCACAGATAATGTTACAAATGAGGTGCGCTGCGAAGCCAGGAAGCACAGCACCCTTTCGTGTCTAGGCAGCCGGGAGCCCAGGAATGCACCCGAAAGGCGGGGAGTCAAGGTCCCCCACCGCTTCTCCAGCGCCAGGAGGCCGCAATTTGTAAGGCGAAATTAAAAATGCACCACGTGTCGGCCCGGAGGCTAACGATGTTTATACAGACATACCACACCGAGGGAACCGGCCCATCATTCCGCACTGGGCGCGGAGAAGAGGGGGTGAGGGCGCGGCCGGCCCGCCCCTCCCCCGCCGCCTTCCTGCGCCGCAACCTGGACTTGACCCCCGCGAGCCTGGCTCGGCGCGTCCGGGGCCGCCCAGCCGGAGCCGGGCGCTGAGACCGGCGGCCCGGGCCGGCGTCGCTGCGCGCCTGAAGACCCGGGCGGCCAGACGCGCCCACCACCCCGCCGCGCGCGCAGACCGACCCCGCAGCGCGGCCGGACCCTGGCGCTCCCGGCGGGGAAACGTTTCCAATGCCTGGAGCTTTTGTTTGATAGCGAGGGAGGTGGGTACGGCGCTTGGTGGGGGTGAGGGGAGCAGAAAGAGAGAGAGTTTGGTCCCCAAGTATTGAGCTGTGAGAGAGCAGGGGCAACTCCAGGGCCAGCATTCAGAGCGGAGAATTAGAGCTGCGCACGCCCCAGGTCGGATGCGACAACGAGGTCCCCGGGCCTCAGCAGCTAGGTGACACTGGGCAAGTCTCAGCAGCTCTGGGGGCCTCAACGTCTCAACTGTAAACTCTGGGCACGCGGCTAGCGCCACGTCCTCTCCAGCCCTAACATTCTGTGATTCTAAACTTGTCTGATTTGTCTCATATGTTGCAAGGCTCGTAGCAAAAAGAAAAAAATACTCCATAACTATTTAACAGGAATTAGCTGAAGCACAGCTCTAGAGAGAGAGACACACACACACGTTTCAAATAACCCGAACACTAGAACCTAGTGAATTTTATACCTTTACTAAACTTTAGCGATTATTTGTTTCTTTCGTAACAAAGGTTATTGATTAGATTTAGTGCTGAAAAAAACCAACAACGTGCGCTTCGGTCATTTGTCTTATGGAGGAAACATAAATCTATAAATCTTCCTCCTGTCTCTAAGAAATAAAACTCTCTTCATTTCCAAAGTATGCAGATCTTCCAAAGGCGTATTCTTTCTTCTTTCTAAATCTTTGCTCTTAGACTCCTAAAACCAGTGGCTTTCTTTTCTTAAAATTTATGTGATCTTTAAATAAAGAGAGATAGAAAAAAGCCCCATTCTGCAGTTGCAGTCTGAAAAAAGCTATGTCCAGGAAGAGATATTTAGATTTTATTTTGAGAGAGTTTTTAATCTGAAACAAAATGATTTCTCATCTCCTAAAAATGTACGCAAAATAATTTATAAAATGTTACACAAATTTACAGTATGATTCTTCAAGTATCTCTGGAAAGAGGAACATACAATCTTCTAATTACCCCAAGGAATGTACCACATGTGGGTGGGTGATTCAGAGGCTGGCTAATCTCGCTTCCCCGCATCCCCCAAAACAGTAAAAACAAGGTTTAGATTTCTGACATCTGTCGTTTTAAAAATAATGAATGGAAAGGTGATTGATTTGAACTCTTAATTATTACCAAAACAAGGTAACAAGGTGTTCTCTGATTATGTAATGTTCCAAGTGCAAAAGCTCATTTCAGTGAACAGCCTCCTACGTGATCTTCTGCCTAGCTCAGGGTCACCTCCTCCACCTCACTCCTGCCCTCCAGAATTGCTCCCTCTCTAATCAGCGCAGTCCCATTCTGGCCTCGGACAGGCAGGAGTCAAGGGAGACGCGGAAGCACGCAGGCTCCTCCCCCAGCTTCCCAGGGACAATCCTTGCAGCAGGAGGGTTTGTTGTGCTGACCTTGTGAGCGAGTGACCCATAGAGAAGGACACTGTGTGCGGTCACTGAAGTTTTCTGACCTCATTTGTCCACGTCGGTATCAATAAGTCGGCCAGGGGGAGGGGAGAGAGGAAGTGGAAAAGGACGATTATCAGGACATACAGGACAAGGGACTGTGTGCAGCTGCTCTGCTGACAAGGAATAGTTGGAGCTGTGTTTCCTTGAAGGAATTGTTTTAAATTGAAGGTTGGCCTGGTGTTCACAGCACTCCCACCAGCCTTTCTGCTCATTTCCCCACCATGATCTCAGCCTCCTATCTCCTCGGAAAGTTCCTATGCCAGGGCAGTGTGTTATGCCCAGGACACAGACTCCAGGGCCAGATGACTTGGGTTTGAATCCAGTTTCATCACCTGCAAAATGGAAATGATAGTAGTTCCAGCTTGTAAGAGTGTGTGAGGTTGAACTAAGTTATCACATCCTTAGAAGTGTGCCTAGCACTGCATAAAGCCTTCTAGATACTTCCTTCCATGGTTTTGTTCAGGTTTCCTCTCTCAGCTGGAGGGGTGCCAGCTTTACTCACTCACTGCTGCTTCAAGCTGCTCTGAGCAAGGATCAAACCTTGGCTTCTCCAGGAAGAAAAGATGTGTTATCAGATTTGCCTTTGAAAAGATCTCATGGGGAATCTAAGGTGTAGAAGACTCCCAAACGATCCTTCCTGGGAAGGCTACCACTTATTGAACCCAACTCAATAAATGCCAATTTGTACACTATTCCATTTAAACTTTACAACAGCCCCAAAAGAAGTATTTTTATTCCATTTTATAAGGGAGAAACAAGGACAAAAAGAGGTTAATGGCATTCCCCTGATTGCACAAGTAGGATCAGAGCACAACAATAATAAATAACATTAACTAAATAGCTGACCCGTGCAAGGTATTGAACACCTTGCTATGTCTTCATTCATTTAACGCTCACAGCCACCCTGGGAGCCAAATACTATTATTCTCCCTACTTTGCAGCTGAGGAACTGAGGCAGAGAGGCCTTATCAGCAAACCCCACAAGTAGAAAGTGGTAGAACTGCATTTGAGTGCAGGCCTGCTGGCTCCCAGCCTATAGATCCAACCCCAGTACATGCTCCCTGTGCTCCTCTGCCCACCAGTGACCGGAAAGCCCCAGCCACGCTGACCTCATTGCCCCTGGCTGTAGTCACCATCCAGAAAGTCCTTGAGAACTGCAGATCTCAGTTCTGTGAGAAACAAAAACTACCATATGTCATTGCCTTGTGCCTATTTGAATTTTTGAGACAGAGTGAATGTTGTTCTGTTTTTTTGTTGTGGTTTCCAGGAATCATAATGTCATGTTTAAGTATTGAGAAAGGATGGCTTTTTCCTGTCATTTGCAAGGGATTTTCTTTTCTCCTCCTGAATATTTAGGAATAGGTGGCCCTCAAAACTTTCCATCCAGCCTGAGCTGGCTCAGATGTGTAAGTGCTGGGACCACGATGAATCTTCTACAAGGCTCCAGAAAAAGAAGTTCCTGTGAGCAGCTGGCCAAGGGAGAAGGGAGAGGCACAGCCCCTCCTAAGCAGGCAGAAATCTAGCACCCACCCCTTAAGCCACAAGCTCAGCCTCAGCTCCAGTTCCTCACTAGCCCTTCTGCACCTTGACCTTAAACTCTCTGAAGTGCATGTAAAACCTTGCCAACCAGAGCTTCCTGTTGTTCTTTTGCAAAGTGAGACATTCACAGGTTTTTTCCCTTTTCACCAAACAGGCTTGTGTTTAGAAGTTATTTGAAGCATAAAAAGTAAAAGTTCAACCCTTTCATCCTCCCAAAGGTATTTTTCCAGAGTTGAAATAAGCAAATATTTTGGTAACAATTTGGTAAAGTAAAATGAATTTCCTTTGGAATTGGTCAATAAGTGTGATTTTCTGTCTTTTCATTTTATTATTAATATGTTGGAAAGTTGAGAAGCCCTTGGTTTATGCATGCAGCCACTCTCTGTACCCACAGGAAACACTACTGCGTGAGATGACAATAACCCCTGTTAGAGGCTGTCCTGTCAACAGTGAGTGACACTGTCAACCACTAGATAAAGAGATCAGGATCTGACCCCAGAGCTTAACCTAATTCAGTTCACATATAATGAGATTCGTTGGTGCTAGTTCAGCTGCAGATAGGTGAGATGAAATAATAATAATAATAGTTAACACGGACATGTGCCGGGTTACCTTACATATATTAACTCATCCTCAAGCAACCCTAAGAAGTATTATTATTATCCTTATGTTACAGATGAAGCACTGAGAAGTTAAGTAACATGCCCAAAGTGACACAGCTGCTAAGTGATGGAGCTGAGATGTAAACTCAGGCATTCTATATCCATAGTCCATATTCTTAACCACCACAGAATGCTGTTTCCCGTGGTATTTTGAGTTTTGGTAGGTGATTAATATCTCAGTAGGAGTGAAACAGAAAACACAGGCAGTGCAAAGGAGTCTCAAGAGAAAAGTTTCTGATGCCAGGCTGCCTGGTCCAGTCCTGACTCTGTGCTTGTTAAATGTGCAGCCTGTCTTGGTTTCTTTATCTTTCTGTGTGTCACCCACTGTCAAATGGAAAAGCTAAAGGAACCTTCCCATAGGGCTATGTGGGGATTAAATGGCCTAAAACATGAGTGTGCGCCATGAAGACTAGCCATTGTTATGGGTGCATGGTCACTTTCTGAAATGCAAGGGTCCAAGTGTGTTTGGAATTCAGACTCTTTCCAATTTTAGAACAATAGATCAGTGCATATCTTGTTTTATCTAACTCCCCAGTAGGGTCTAGGAGTCTTAGGTGTCATCCTGTAAACAAACATATTAATAATTCTGCAGCAACATGTTTGGCTCTTTAAGTGGGCAAATGAAGGTTATAATAGCTTCATGGGAGTTCAGGTTTGGGCACCAAGTGTGTTATTTAAAAAAAAAAAAAGAACAAAAACAAACAACAACAACAAAAACCTTGCAGCGTTCAAGGCTTCGTGGGTTTCGGATGTGGAAAGGGACTGAGGGCTGTATCTGTCTTGTATCAACCGTGAGGTCCAGAGCATTTGGGGCCACAGCTGATTTGAGTGGAGACAGTGGTGCTAAGGAAGGAAAGCACAGCAAGTGCTGTATAATCCCCCTCATGGGGGATCTCTAATGAAAAAAAAGATGTTTAATTTTTCACACTCAAGAAGAAGCCCGCCACCAACCCCATGAATTCAAACCCTGGTGCTTGTTTGTCATCCTGTGGCCTCACTGCATGCTGGGAGGAAGAAAACCACACGCAGGCAAGACCTAAGAGGTGGCCATGGGGGAGAACAAACATCAGGGGCCCCGGGAGGGAAAGTCTTATCATTATGGGGGCAGAACTGACTCTAAAAAGCCAGAGTGAAGGGCAGCAATGTCAGCTCAGCCCAAGAACAACAGCGATGAGTTGGGGGAGCTAGACCAGCGCTCCACCTGCAACACCCCTTGTAATCCTGGAGCAAATGAACACTTATTGGGGGGTTAATGGCAAAGGCACCTACCAAAAGGTGGATGGGGAGAGCAGAGGGGCTTTCCCTTTCCCAGCAAAGCACTCTTGCCTTCCCCACTCAGAAAACAAGAGGGATTTTGTGAACCTTTTCACATATATCACTGGTTGGTCTGTTAAGCCCTTGAGGAATATCTGGCATCAGCTGGTGCTGCATGAGCAACATTTGATCCTCAAATAACCTGAAAAGTAAGTATTATCATCATTCCCACTCTATGGATTTAGGACTATTCCATAGGTTTTTTGTCCATGATCTTGAAACTAATAAAGGAGACAGCTGGGTTTCAAGCTCAAGTCTCCTGACTCCTAGCTGGAGCTCTAGCCCTGCATTTTACCCAGAATGATGGCCAATGCCTCGGGCGCACAGATGGGAAGAAGTGACAGTATTAGGGATTCAGAGCTGCCATCAGTAACTCATTTCCATTCCTATTACTGTAATTCAGCTCTCAAAAGATCAGCCTGCACTTCTAGTAAAGGAAGAAAAAAAAAGCACCAACACACGCAACTTAGATTTTCAGCTCAGAAACGCTGTGCCCGACAGCTACAATAGGCCGTTTTGATTTGGAAAGTGAAACACACAGAAGCCCTGGTTATTATAGTTAATTTAATTTAATTAAAACCGTAAAAGCAAACCACAGTTCTGCAGTGGGTTCTTACCATCCTGATTGCTTGAAGGAGCCACAGGAGTCATGCTCTTAACTGATGGGCAGAGGCCCAAGTCGCCACCATTACTCAGCCCTCCACTAAAGGGCCTCTTACCTTGGCTCAGCCTGTGGTTCTTTTATGCACTGACTTATCTTCGGTGTCCTTTTGTTTTGAAGGTGATTTGCTGTGGTTCACTTCCAGCTGTAGTAAGAATGGCACTTTTAAGCTGGGTGCAGTGGCTCAGCCTCTAATCCCAGCACTCAGGAGGCTGAGGCAGGAGGATCACTGGAGCCCAGGAGTTCCAGCCCAGCATGGGCAACATAGGGAGATCCAGCTGAATGAAAGAAAGAGAGAGGCGGGGGTGGGGGGGAGGGGGGAAGAGATGATTAGAAAGAGAGAGAAATTAAGAATTATACTTTTATTCTCTTCCTTTAAGAAGCCCAAAATGCTGAGGGCAATTTTCCATTTCCTTTCCTTTTTCTACTTCTTCACGCTCTCTCAATATTCTGTCCCTCTCTGCTTCTCCTCTCTCTGCCTATTGCTTTCCTTGTCAGCCAGTCTGCAGCTGGCCCCAAACCCCAGTCTCCCAGGAAGGCCAGTGGCCTCCTTGGCAAGGTCGAGCCAGGCCCTGTGCTCGATGCTGGGCATGAAAGTTAGCCCTGCCCTCAACTTACCCACTGAACAGATGGGAGAGACAAGCAAGCAAACAGGCATTCAGAGTGTGGTGTGATACACACTATAGCATATGGGTCACCTGCCATTTCAAGGGCACTGGAACTGGAGGGACCCCATCCCTGGATAAGGCCCAGAGGTTAGGAAGCCTGTCGGCCTACAAAGGTCTGCTAGTGGCTCTGCAGCCTTGCTGAGCTGGCTTCCAAGGCCCTGTGGGGTCCAGCCTCAGCCTATGCCTCCAGCCCCCTCTCTACCTCTTCCCAGCACATCTTCTGTCTTCTCACCATATGGAACTCTTCCTTTCATGCCTCAGCCTTGGCATATGCTGTCTGGAACACTCTGCCCACCCTCCCACCCTCATCTGGCTCATGTCAACTCACTTTCCAGGTCCCTAAGGAAATGTTCCTTCCTCTGGGAAGCATCCCTGGCCCACCAAGTCCAGGTGGCATTCCATTTACTGGTTCCCATAGCACCCTGTACATGGGTACCTGACACTTATCACACTACCTTGTCACCACCTGTTTATTTGTTTGTATTCCACCCTGGCCCCCAAGCTCTGTGGAAGCAGGAATAGTATTCACATTGCTTGCCTCTGTATCTCTGTGCCAGAAGCAGTGGCAGGCACAAAGTAGGTGCTTATACAGGTATGCTGCATTCATCAAATGCGCCTGGAGTGGTGTGGGATGAAGGCAGAGGGGTAAGCAGGAATGGATCAGGAAGAACCTGGAATGCCACGCTTACAGAGGAGGAAGGGCAGAGGAGAAGACTGTGAGAGAGCAAGGGAAGAGAGAATGCCTGTGAGAGAGAACCCTTGGTGACAGGCAGTAAGCGCTGCCAGAAACATCTGCAAGCCACTCCCTGGAACCAGGGCAGAGTCAGTGCATCCCAATTTGGTTGAACTTCCTTGAAGAAGGAGAGAGGAAACCTAGCCAGCCCAAGCCATCTTGAACTCTCTTTATTTTTTAAAATTTTATTTTATTTATTATTTTTTTGAGACAAAGTCTTGCTCTGTTGCCCAGGCTGGGGTGCAGTGGCACGTACCTCCACCTCCTGGGTTCAAGCCATTCTCCTGCCTCAGCCTCCCAAGTAGCTGGGATTACAGGTGCCCTCCACCACGCCCGGCTAATTTTTGTATTTTTAGCAGAGACGGTGTTTCACCATGATGGCCAGGCTGGTCTTGAACTCCTGACCTCAAGTGATCCGCCTACCTCGGCCTCCCAAATTGCTGGGTTTACAGACGTGAGCCACTCTGCCCGGCCTTGAACGCTCTTTTAACAACAAGATAGCAGATTCCAGTGGAGCTGGCTACTACTTGGTGTCAGCAATTTCTTCTTCTGTCTGTAAGTTGAAGTAGTGTTTGCTCATATCTTGAAACAAATGAGACACTTCTGGAGACATGAAGAGACATGAGAGTCACACAGAGGCCCAGCTGTCTCCCTTTTGGGAAGGGGT
Source organism: Homo sapiens (assembly GCF_000001405.40). Classification (NCBI taxonomy): domain Eukaryota; kingdom Metazoa; phylum Chordata; class Mammalia; order Primates; family Hominidae; genus Homo; species Homo sapiens. Next base: position 22,340,791 of record NC_000018.10, on the reverse strand, counting down.
GGCCGTCACTGAGCACCTGCTTCTAGTGGCCATTTCCCAGTGCCGTCTGTCCCCACAGCTGGCAGGGCTGTCTCAGTAGGAGGCTGCCCCCAGATGCCAGAGCCCACTGTATCTGCACACAGGATGGGCCTGGGAATTTGCAGCCCCCCAGGGGAGGATTAAATTCTCCATCCCCTACCCAAGAGCTGATGACAGGGATGCATGACCTGCCCTGTTCTCGGAGCTCTGCTGCAGGACTTTGCTTCGTGTCACCCCCTTGCTGGGCCCCTTCCCTGGCCTGTCTCATGTTGCTCATGTCTGCTGGTCTTTCATGGGAGCACTCATAGAAAAATAATCTGCATGACTGTCCCTGTGTCAGAGTCTCCATCTGGGGAAGCCCACCTATGCCAGACAGGGTTCCCAAAGCTCATGACAACAATAAGCATTGCGCTGGAAGCAGTAACACCTGTCACACTTCAGCCCAGCCATTCACACACACGCTATTTCCATCATAGCCGGGCTCCTCAGAGTTAAGGGCATACACTCGGAAAAGTTCCAACCCTGATGGGAGATTTCTAATAAAAAAGAGATGTTTAATTTTTCACATTCAAGAAGGAGCCCATCGCCAACCCCATGAATTCAAAGCCTGATGCTTGTGACTGTCATCCTGTGGCCTCATTGCATGCTGGGAGGAAGATAACCTCATTCAGGGACAGAACGTGTCAGGGAAAGGATGGCATGGGATACAGTTCCAGCTTTCACAAGAATGCAGCAGGCTCTCCAAATGCACTTGGAGGGAGAAAATTATGTTTGGGGTGTGTCTATTTACATTTTTAAAAAGATAAAGTTGTAAAAGATCAGTAAGCCTAATTTCCTGTGGCAGGTATTTATCAAAGGAAAAAGTTTCCAAAGTTTCCAAGTGGAGAGGAGAAACCCCAGCCTGCTGCAGGGTGGCTTTCTGCAGTTAATCGTGCTGGGAATCGTATGAAATCATTTGCACATTATTCTTTGTGACCTTCAACCTTAGGTTTACATTTCAATATTTCACATTGCTACATTGCCCCATTAAAAGAAATGAGAAAGTTTAATTAAAAACTTGAAAATAAGGGCTTTAAATAAACCAAAAGGAAAAATAAAACTTTGCCCCGGTGTCCCTCCAATGAGAAACAACTAGAAATTTCTGAGGGATTAAATGTCTATTTAATCCCATAGGTTTGGTTTTAATACGTGAACATTTAAATCATTTTCAGGTAGTTATAATTTTTTTCCCAATCCGGCATCCAATAAAGTAGTCATCATTTTTTTTTCCTAATCTGGCATCAAATTCAAGAAAGATTAGAAGCAGCATATGTGCCCACATGCTGTTGCAGGTGGCAAAGCCATGCCCCTCGCTCTACACACAGCCTGGTCCTGGGCTGGGGTTGGTCAGACTCAGCATGGGGTGGTCCCGGAACTGACTCACCCCACCTAGCCCTAGGTCCCTATATGGGCTTCCACTTCATTCTTTGTGGGAGTGCCCAGAGCCCCTCCTAGAAGCCAGACAGTGGATTTCCCTCTAACTCCTGTGGGTCGGCTTCCATGGCTAGTGAGTAACTCTGATTTACTTAGTGCCAACGTCATGCCAGGCACTTGGCTGAGGGCACTAGGCCCACCTCTCCTCACAGATGCTCCTCGAAGAGGCTGCTATCATTCATCCCTTTGTTGCCTGTAACTTGGAAGCCGGATGTGCCCTGCCTCCGTTCATGTGTAGCTACTGCCTCTTTGTCCAAAGTCAATCCTGACACAGCCTTGAGCCCTTCCTCTGGTGATCACAAAAGATTCCTTCACACCAAATCGTTTAGAAGCCTTGAATATTTGAAGGATCAAGAAGAGAGGACACAATGCACCCTGCACAGACCCTACCGTCCCCTGCCACCAGTGTCTTGGGGCGTCAGCACAGGACAACACAGCTTTCCCACAAAGCACAACGCTCTCCATAAGTCTAATTCTGGTAAAGCCATTTGAAGACAACTGCCCTCATCCTGCAAGATATGGATGGGCAAGCTGAGGTAGAGAGGGGCTCAGCAATTTGCTCAAGCTCACTTGGCTAATAAGAATCATAATAGGAATCTGATCCCAGGTCTGCCTAAAAGCTCACACTCTAATAAGTCATGCTGCCTCTCCAAGACCAAATCAATAGCCTGGCACGTGATTTCTTCTGGCAGTGCCTACCCTGCTTTACCCTTTCCTCTAAGGCTTAAAGTTGCCCCCTATTTCATCCCAATAGCTGGAGACAGTTCCCACCTGCAGGCTCCGGGACCCCCACTACCTAACACACAGAGCACCTCCTTGGTTCTCCTCTTCCCATCCCCACCCTGTCTCTGTGCCTCTCTCTGGGCTCTACCTACTCCCTTTGCTCTTTGATGGGGACAGATTGCTTGGCCTGCCTCCAGTCCCCCATCCCCAAACCTTCTATCTGTCTGATCGGGCTTCTTTTTATCACCTGTAACTGGACCCCTCCCCTGGGCCACCTCCCATCCTCCCTTGAGCCCATTTACAGGCCACCCATCTCTAAACCCCTTGCTGATTGGATTCACTGTTTTGGGAGAACAACACATCTCTCATCTCTGCCTTTCTTGTCCTTCCTCATTGCCTATAGCAGGCAAAGAATGTCTGCCTTACCAAGAATGATTCAGTTCCACACTTTCCCTAATGACCAGGGTGCTCTAGGGAGGGCCTTGCAGTGTTTAATGGAGTGACTGAGACATCTCTACCTCCCTTCTCTCCTCTTTTGCTCCATATCAGCTGAGATGGCAGCTGCCCCAGAAAAGATTTTTGGCTGATCTGGCTGATCCATTTTCTCCATGCTCCCTTGGATTTTCCCATGCAAAGCTAAAAATAGCAACCCATTTCTGTTCTTAAACTAAAAGACAGAAGCAGACTCCCTTTCATCTGGGCAAGGAAGTGACACTTGTGCTGATGGTGTGGGCAGGTACTGGTGCCCCAGCCTCAGGGAGGAAACAGAAACCGCAGGAAGGAGCAGGGAAGGAACTCTTAGGAAGGGGTTGGTATGCACTTAACATCAAAAGGGATACACCACTATCATCACGAGTAGCAGCTCTGAATATTAGAGTAGGAGTTGGAATTCTCAGGCGATCTGGCAACCAGTTGGGGCTTTCCAAAGGGTCTCATGTGGTCCACCAACGCACGTGTCCCTGGATGGCCAGCTGAGGGGTAGAGTTCACCACTTATGTAGCTGCATCCCCTGGGAGGTGCCCCCAAGCTCTGGAGGCTGCAGATCAAATTCAAAGTTGTCCCTGGAGGTTTGAGTCCTGTGTTGAAGAGCTGTGATATATGCATCTCCATGGCACCAGCCAAATTATGCAATTGCTCCAGTTTCATCACTGTTTTCTCTCTCCCTTCTCCATGATGTCCTTCCTCCCAGGCTGACTCCACTAGTAGCATCTCTTCCTCCTCTCAATTTCTGTCTGCACCAACCATTGGGCATTTAATCATGTAGGACCTTGTGACATTCTCTGTGTTGCTAAAAGAAACTTTTATCGGTTGCAGTTTTCTTTGAAGAGGGGTGTGGGGTGTGTGTGTGTGTGTGTGTGTGTGTGTCCCCTGGTTCAGGAGCGGTGGGTGAGCACTGCAGAATGTTGAGGAAATGCTTGCTTATAGATGCATAAGAGCCGAGGAACTCGGCTCCTCATTCTAGATCTGACATTCGTGAACAACTCTGGAGAAGTGATAAGTTTCTCTGAGACTCCCTGGAAGATGTGCTCAAGAACCCTGGGGTGGAAAGAAATGGTCCCTTCCCAAATTTGTCTGTAGTAAGGGAATTCATATCTTCTGAGTCATGGAAAGTTGGCAAAAATTGAAACAGACTTTAGAAATTTTAGACTTTTAGAAATTTAGACTTTAGATTTTTAGAAATTTTAGAGATTCCTAGGAAGCAAGTAAGCTCAGAAAATGTGATTAGGTAAGGGCCTGAGTGGTGGTAAGATAAATCAATGTTAGATAATGGATGGATGGATACATAGATCGATGATAGATAGATAGATAGATGATAGACAGATAGATAGATAGATAGATAGATAGATAGATAGATAGATGAGGGCTCATCTCTCCCTGGGACTGAGATGACCTCACACAAGGACACAAGCAGCACAATGGGCATTCCCCACAGAAGGCACCGACCAGGGCCAGTCACTTCTCATGACAAGCATCATGTCATCAGTGGCAGGGCCAAGGTCCCCTCGACTCTGAAAGGCCAATGCTTTGAAATGTCCTTTAGCACCCCGGGCATTAAGTCATTTCAGGTCAAGAGCCAGACTGCCCAGTGCCCACTCAGAACCCTGAGGAGCCCTGACCTGGGATTAGGTGAAGTTTGAGTCTGTCTCTGGACTGGGTGCACAGCCAGTCCTGTCTCAGGCCGGGACATGAAATGCTCCCCTTCCACCTGCTCACACGCCCCAAAGAGAAGCCTCCCCCATCACCCCCGTTCCTCCACAGCCCAGTCCCTCAGCTCAGGCCCTCCTCCCTTTGCACCTGAAGCCCCTGCAGGTTGCTCCACGCTCTTCCAGCCCCAGGCTCAGCAAAGCGCCCACCACTATTCTTCCTTGCCAGAGTCCCCACCAAGACAGGGGAGCTAGGCTCGATCTGTCCTGCTGACTGCCTGCGCCCAGCCCTTGGGGACCCCGCGGGCCTCCGTTACTGCTTCCACTCCCCAGTCCTCTCCACTCCCTCTCTAGCTCGTCTTTGTTCCTCAGGCCTGACCCCGGGGCCAACTTCTCCAGGAAGTTTTCCCTGACAACGCCCTGCAGCCCAAGTTGGCAGGCTTGGCACGGCCCCCTCTAAAGAACAGAGGGAGCCAGCCCAGAATTGTCTATCTGACCCTGCTCTCTGCGGGCATCGGCCCTCCTCACCCTCCCACTCTCCCACCGAGCAGACAGTGAGCTCCTGAGGGTCAGGAAGCTCATAGTGCCCTGTCCTAGTATCCCCGTTTCAGTGAAAGGCTTGGTGCTTATCAGATGATTGTCAGAGCTTGTGGAATGCACAGGAAAGCAAGGCGTTCCTGCCAGGGAGTTCTGCCGTCCCAGGACAAAAAAAAATGGATTGGGGCTATGCTCCCCCAGAAAGGGCCCCTCAGGGCCAGTCTGCACTTTATTTTCTCTTTTCCAGTGCTACCTCCACCCAATGCTCTCAATACAAGAGCACTTGGGTTTCATTTTCACTTTTTAAATTTATTTATTTTTTAATTGACAAACAAAAATTGTATAATTTATTGCATTCAACGTGTTTTGAAATACATATATGTTGTATAATGGCTATGCTAAGCTAATTAACATATCCACTCCCTCAAATACTTACGTTTTTGTGGTAAGAGCACTTAAAATCTACTCTCTTGGCAATTTTCGAGTATATAATTCATTAACTATAATCATCATGTTGCACAATAGACCTCTTGATCACTCCTCCTGTCTAACTGAAATTGTATGCCCTTTGACCAACGTCTCCCTCCCCCAGTCCCTAGTAGCCATCATTTTACCCATTTTACCCTCTGCTTCTATGAATTCAATTTTTTTAGTTTCTGCATATAAGTGAGATCACATGGTATTTGTCTTTCTGTGCCTAGCTTATTTCACTTAATATGATATCTCCCAGGTTCACTCACATTGTCACAAATGACAGAATGTCTTTCTTCTTTTATGGCTGAAGAGTACTCCATTGTGTATTATATATTCTTCTTTATCCATTCATCTGTTGATGGAACTTAGATTGCTTCCACGCCTTGACTGTGGTGAACAGTGCTGCCATGAGCCCGGGGTGCAGACATCCCTCCAAACAGGGATTCCCTTTCTTTTGGGTGTAGACCAAGCAGTGGGCCCCCCGTGCTGCTGAACACTCAGGCTGCAATGTTAAACCAGACAGATGTTGTAGAAACAGTGAGCCGTAAACAAACAAATAATTTCTAGCACATGGAATCACAAAGAATGTAAAGCCAGGGGCACACAATAGCTTTACAAAGTGCAAGGAAAGCTCAAGGTGCTGAGCTGTGTCCCAAGACCATCATCCTGCATTATCTAATGGGTGGGGCCCACCTGTGTGTACCGAATCTCCTTCCAGATGCCCCTGCCGTCTCTCCTCTTTCTCTCTCTGTCTGGTTCTCTCCAAAGGACTATGGGGCCGGGGTACCTCCCTTGCCTGTCTGCCTCCCTCCCAGCCCCCATTGCCACTCACCTCCAGCCTTGGCTAGGCCCTTTCCATTGCTCCTTAACCCCTTATCCTCCCTGTACCCCAGGAACTCCTGCATGGGCCTTACCCTGGAATTGCTCACATCAATCCCTGACCAGCTCTAAGGATATGCCTTGAGTCTGGGCTACAGGAAATCTGCAAGACCCTTCCTCCCACCTCCTAGCACCAAGAAGCCCCAAATTGAGCCACATGTCTTTTTTCATTATACATTCATTCAATCATTTCCTTCATTTTTTCATGCCTTCATCCCTAATTAGCATTTACTAATGACTGTACTCTGTGCTAAACATAGGGTGCCAGGTGTCTAGAGATGAGTGCCACTCTTGTCAAGGTGCATGCTCAGTACCCAGTAGGGAGCTGAGCATAGGAGTAAACTCACCAAAATTCACCAGGCACAGTGGCTCACACCTGTAATCCTAGTGCTTTGGGTGGCTGAAGCAGGAGGGTTGCTTGAGGCCAGGAGTTTGAGACAAGCCTGGGCAACATAGTGAGACCCCACCTCTACAAAAAAAAAAAATTAAATTAGCCAGGCATGGTGGCACATGCCTGTAGTCCCAGCTACTCAGGAGACTGATGTGGGAGGATGGCTTGAGCTTAGAAAGTTGAGGCTGCAGTGAGCCATGGTGGTCCACTACACTCCAGCCTGGGTGACAGAGTGAAATTTTGACTCTAAAAAATAAAAATAAATGAAAAATAAAAACACTAACCAAAATGCAGGGAGCAAGGAGTGCTGAGTTGGCTACAGGAGTGCTGAGCATTTCATTGCTTTCCCCATGAAAAACATGCCATCTTTACCCTGTCACAGAACAAATGGAATATCTGTCTCTTTCATGATTAGCAAAGCTGATTTCATGTGTTTCTGAAAAGTCTATCACAGTGAAAACATTTTTACCTTCCAGGAAAGCAGGGAGCTATTTGCTTCCAATGTTTATGGAGATTGATAGGAAAAGAGAAAATTGCATTATAGGCTTATGTGCTGTGATAAAAGTCTATGCAAGGCCCGGTTGGGACAAAGAAAGGATAATTCAAGTCCAGGTAAAGGCAGGTTATGGGGAAAGTACGGCTGACCTCTCTGAAGACATCACGCTTGAACCACGTCCTAATGAGTAGAGGTTGACCAAGCTGGCAAGGAGAAGGAGGGAAAGGGCTTTCCAAAGAATCAGAAAGACCACAGCAAATGCATGGACCATGAAATTTCAAGAACTCTTCATTAATACCTATTACTACCTAACAAATTACTCACAAATGGAGTGGCTTAAAACAACACACAGTTATGATCCCACAGTGTCTTGGGGCAGCCACCTGGTCATGGCTTAGCTGGATCCATCCTTCAGGATCTCTCACAAGGTGGCAATCGAGGCGCTGGCCAGGGCTGGGGTCGCATCTGAAGGGTCAAGGCGGGGATCCATTTCCAAGCTCATGTGGTTGTTAGAAGATTTCAGTTCTTCAAGGGTTGTTGGATAAAGGGCCTTAGCTCCTTGCTGGCTGTTGGCCAAAGGCCACTTTCATCCCCTTGCCAAGTGGACCTCTGCAACACAGCCACTTGCTTCATCAAAGCACACAAACCAGGAAGGCAACAGACAGCATCCACTAGCAAGACAGAAGCTACAGTCTCCCGTCAGTTAATTACGGGAAGTGACATCCCATCACTTGTCATTCTCCGACAGTTAGAAGCAAGTTGCTGGGCCAGCCCACACTCAGGAGAGGGGATTCTACAGTGATGTGGCTACTGGGAAGTGGAGATCACTGGGGCCAGATTAAACCCTGCCTCCCATCGTCCATTTGGGGAACTACAGATTGTCTTGTACTAAGGGGATGATGCAGCAACACTAGAGGCAGCAGGCAGCAAATGCAGACCAAGAGGGCCTTATGCACCGTGCTAAATAACCAGGGTATTTGCCCTGTAGAAGATGGGACTTCCTTCTTTTCTTTTTACTCACCTTTTCCTTTGGCTTTGTTTCTCAAATCACTTTTGCTGTCATTGTTTCCTGAATTCCCACCTTACACATTCTATATCATCACTTCCCCTTACTCTTTGCCATGTTTCTGTCCTCCAGTAGGCACCAGCACAGCTGTTATTCAGACACACCTAAGATTTTAACAATGCAACTGAAATCAGTTTAACTTCCCTAACCCAAAGAGGTGACACCCAGAAATCCATTACTTAGATTTCAGGAACAAGTTGTTTAGGGCTGCTCAAAAAACCAGAGACGAGGTTATTAGACAAGTGTTGAAATGCCTTCTTGGGAACCCAGCCCTTCCCACAGATTCCTGTGTTGTTCCCTAATTGAGGGGCTGCCACCAGGCATTAGTTGTTCCAAATCCATCATCAGCTCCAAAGCCCAAACTTCCCAAACCACAACCAACTTTCCCTGAGGAAATGGCCTCATGTCATAATCCTTCATTGCCCAAAATGTCTCCTGATTATGGTTGTCTGTTCTTTCCTTTCATCGCAGTTGAAAAATGTTCACAGTTCTGGCTTCTAGAGATCTCTACTGGCTTCTTTACCTTGATCACTTTTTCTGCACATGTGAGAGTATATCCTTGCCAAAGCTCATTTTTCCATGCTTAATAAAGCATTTGATAGACTACTTTTTTGGCATGAACCCCCTATCTTCCATCCTTTGATCTGTGAGCTCTACATGGACAGAACTGTATTAGTAAGAACTACCTTTCCAAATACTGTAGCCATGTCCAAAAATATAACACCCTAGGGTTCCATTGGAAAGCCCTGGGGACTCATTTCCTATGATCCTTAGATCCTCTTGGCTTCAATCCTTGCCCCATCCATTATTGATCTCCCAGGGAAAAGAATAATTGCTGCAATACATTCATGGATTTTGACTATCTCCACCCAAGTCCTTTTTGCAAACATACTCACTGGTTACTGCATATCATTTGGAGGATGGCTGCCTTTTACAAATGGATCATGACAACATTCCAAATGCAGCAGCTTTGATGTCTTGGCCAGAAGACACCCGCTTGCCTCTTATGTCATTTTTACCTTAGGTTCAGGCCAAAATAGTCCCAGAGCTTGTCTCCCTGCTGGAGTATCACTCCTTGTCTCTTTTGTTTCCTTGGCTTAACGTTATCACCTTCTCCTTCCCACACTTTCGCCTCATCATTCCATGCAATATTTTACCTTGGACCAGGAGAAATTCTGCAGCTGACAGGCGATTGTATTGTCTTTGAAGTGTGCTGGCTCTAGGCTCGTCTCTGGCTGGAGAAACATCTTACTGGAATTGCTGACAAGAAACCTTTCTGCTTTTGTTTCCTTTTCTGTGTTTACCCATGGATGAGAATGTCAGTAATCAGGAGGGAAGACAGTTGGTCTTCTCTGTGGATCAGCTGAGGATGCATTTTCCCCCACTTACTCCTTTCCCGCAAAAAGTGACGATATTGAACAAAGTTCCTCTCTCTCTAACTACCTCCATTTCCCAATCTCTTCTCCTCCTATCAGCAACCCCCAGTGTTAGTCCTGCTTGGGATATGAGCTGAAGTTTAAATCATGTGTGATTGAGCTGAAGTTTAAATCCACCTGGCAAGGAAAGCCTGACCAGAATCCACCCTGCACCCCTGCCAAAAAAAAAAAAAAGAAACAAAACAAAAAACATTTCCTTTAGTTTTTACCTGGGCCCTTGCTCTCTTTGTGGAGACAGGCATCGGCCTCCCTGGGTTGCAAGGAGATTTGTTTAACTGCTTCAAAGCTATGATTTGCATGAGAAGGCCTTGAAACAAAAGCCCCTGTGTGTGTAAAAATGCTACAGGATTAGGCCTATGTTTGGGACTCTTCTAAAAAGAAGTGTGATTACACAAAAAGCAAGGGCACCCAAGAGCTAAGTGAGCTATCAAATGACCTAACAGACCCGGCTAAGAAACTTAATCTGGCACACGGCGCCCTTCCGGCAGTACCCTGGTCAGTTACACAATTCACGACTTCCCTCATTTCTCTACAAGTTGTGCCTTTGTCTCTAATAGGGGGTCTGCAACCAGGCCTGCTGGGGGGACAGGAATGATGGGCAAGAGTGTGGGACAATGTAAAAATGGAAACCACAGAGTGACTGATGCCTACAGATACCGAGGGAATGGACTGAATGCATCCTTTGACCTAATGAGACCACAACCCACCCGTTACCAAGCCAGAATGAATAAATGGAGTTGGAGTCGCCCCTAAGATTCCTGAATGTCTGATGGCAAACCCTGCCACTCATTCTATCTCCACCACCTGAGAAAGCAGCCTGTGAGGCATAAAATCTTACTAATGAACAAAATCTTACATGGTAGTTCCTGTAGCCCCACCTTCTCCTGGACATGGACTTCTGGGAGGTTAAAGAGAATGACTGAGGTCACACAGGAGTCTGTTCCAAATGGATTGAAAGTCTAAATTTTAGTGTGTGACTTTCATTCCTTCAGATGTAAGCTCTAATGATGGCATCCTTGAAAGGTTTCTCAATGAAAACTAAGTCATAATTGGGAAGTCCTCATTATCAAAGAGCCTTCACGAAAGCTCATATGCACAGGCTCTGCCTGAGAGCAACGAAGCAGAGTAGCTACCGTCTGCCTACTGGGTGACCCTGTGTTTCCCACGGAGACCCAAAACTCAGCACATCCATAGCTATCTTTTCAGCATCCTCTCCAATCTCCTCATCTCCATCAAAGTCCACCACTTCGATTGATAACACCTCGTATGCATCCTGGTAGCCTCAGCTCTCACCCCGGTTACTGCATGCAACAGCCATCGGGCACTCTCCCTACCTCAGCCTCCACTCCTTCCAGCCCATCCTCCACACTGCAGCAGACAGTGAACTGGTGTGGGGTAAACTCAGCGAATAGCAATAATTTAGGCACACTTTTAGAATGACCCAGGGTGGCAGATGCACCTGAATGTGTGTTCCAAGCCAGGGAATCTGGGAGGGGCCAACCTGAGATTTGTTCCTTGTCTATGAGGAACATCTGAGCACCTCGCCTGTGCAATGGATTGGGATTGGGGTCCTGAGTTTGGGGTTAAATGAAGGTTGCCAGGTTGTCAGGGGGATGGTGTTAAGTGAAAATGCTATGTAAACTGCACGCCGTTTGCAGAGGCTTCCATTTTCCTGCCAGCCTGCCACCATTGGACTGTAGGAAAGCGGATATGTGGTTCAGCCCTCTGCCACTGGACTGTTTCTGCATGTTAGGTGGTTCTCCTGTCCAGCTTGCCACCACTGGACCACTCCCCTCTATGTAAGCCCCTAATGAAACCCCATGTCTCATGTGCTGGCTCTGGGTCTCCTCTTTAGTCTCTTGAACATGGTGCCTTCCCTACTGGGGTTAATAGGGGTTCACCAGAGCAACTGTCCAAAATGCAAACTTGGTCCTGCTGTTCCTCTACTTGCATGACCCCCAATGCTTCCCCAGGTCTAAGCAGGAGAATGTTCATACTACACAGTGCCGCAACCCCAGCCTTGCCTGATCTGGCCTCTGCCTTCCTCTCCAGCCTCATTTCTCTCCTCTCCCATACATGCCATCCTCATACTCGCCATCACCTCCATGTCTTTTCCCATGTTTATTCTCTCTTCCTACAAGGCTACCTCTTACTTATGTCTCCTGGGCTTCAGTCTATGCATCCACTGAGGCTCAGTTCAAATGGCATCTCCCCCAAGTCCTCCTTCACCACCATAACTCTTCGAGCAACTTATGCATACCCAGGTCACACTGCTGAATTATTGCTTACATTTCAGTGTTTTCACTAAACTACAAATACCTGAAGAGTGAAGATAGGTCTGTAACCAGCTTTGCATCTTAGCACATTGCCTGACATACAGGAGCTACAAGAGAGATGCTGGTTTATTGGAAGAGATGAGTTGATTTATTGGGCACCTACTATAAGTCTGGCACTAGAGCTATAGAAACGAACAAAACAGAGAAAAAACTCCCTGCCCTTCTGAAGCTTATATTATGTAGGAGGATCAGTCAATAATCAAATGCATAACTAGATAATGTCAACAGTGATAAGAGCTAAAAGGAAGAATAAAGTAGGTGAGGAGATGGGGAATGATGGGAAGGCTGTTTCAGATGGCGGAATCAGAGACAACGACTCTGAGAAGTGACCATTGGTCCTGGAACGAGGTGAACTAGAGAGTCTCATTATCAGGAAGAAGAACATTCCAGAAATAGGGATGAGTAGTACCAGGGCCCTGGGGCGGAAGGGTGTTTGGCATGTTGGAGAAATGGAAAAGAGGCCCAGCGTGGCTGGTGTACAGTGAATGAGGGAGAATCATAAAAGTCAAGTTGAAGAAAGGGCCAGACTTATGGACTGCATGGACATTGTGGACACACATATGCACATCTCACAGAAGAAATGAAAACAAAATTCAAAAAGGTGGTTATGTATATACAGGGAGGGAGGGTGTACAGGCAGGGGAATAGAGGTTGCTCTGGGTTATTGTCAGTATCTTAGTTTGGGGGTTGATTGGTGGCTTTGTGGGTCTCATAATATGCATTTCTGTATAGGGACTAGCTAGCAAAGCCATACAAAGATGTTAAAGTGTTATGAGCCAAAAATCATTACTAGTCTGATTCTGCGCACTGGAGAGATATAAACTAAAGTAATTTGCCTGGGGCTAAAATGTTCATTATTCTGAAATAATTGTCTATATCGCTTGTACTTAAAGAAAACCTCCCAAGTTAATACCTGCTTAAATGAGGAATTCTCTTCAAAGGTTTTGGTGGATTCCTTTTCCCAGTTGCTGCCATTTTAAATACTTTCCAACAGGATGCATGGAGCAGCACGTGGCCCATGGTCGGTGGACCACAGCATCCCATTGCAGGAAGGCACTGGGGCCAGACAGTGCTGGGCAGGGTACACAATCTGACAGCACAGGGTAAACGCACCTTATAGCAAGAACTTAAGCAAGAACTTACAGTGACCCTGTATGGCAGACGCACCTGAACGTGTGTTCTGAGCTAAGGAATCGTGGTGTGGACAACCCGGAAAGTCATTCCTGTCTATAATAAACATCTGAACTCTCAGCCCATTCCATGTAACAGGGGCCATACAGGGGATTGAAGCCCTGAGTTTTGGGTTAAATGAGAGTGTCCAGGTGGAGGCCATTACGGAGAGGGTGTTAAGTGACATGCTATATAAACGGCATGCAGTTTGCAAGTGGTTGCAGTTTTCCTGCCCAGCTTGCCGCCACTGGACTGTAGGTAAGATGGTTATCTCGTCCAGCCCACTGCCCCTGGACTCTCTCTCCTGTATGTGAGCCTCCAATAGAACCCCAGGTTTCTCATTTGCTGATGCTGGGTCTCCTGCCTCTTGAACTTGGTGCCATTCCTATTGAGGTTAATAGGGGTTTGGCAAGACAGCCAGCCTAAAAGCTGACCCAGACACTTTGACGACTCCAACACTCACTAGAGGATGTCAGAGCACAACACTGGAAGTCAGACAGACCCAAGTTCAAGTCCCAGGTCTGCCGCCACTAACTAGCTGAGTTTAGGCAAGTTCTTTCATCTCCCTGAGCCTCAATTTCTCAGCTGTGAACTGGTCTATATTAGCTCCTCGGGGCTGCCATAACAAAGTACCGTAAACTGTATGTAAGCCCCTAATAAAACCCCATGTGTCATGCTTCAAATAACAGGAATTTATTATCTTACAGGCCTAGAGACTAGATGTCCAAAATCCAGCTGCCTGCAGGGCCACGTGCCTTCTGAAGACTCTAGGAACGAATGGCCACCTCGCCTCTCCCTAGGTTCTGGTGGTTGCTGGCCACCTTCAGAATTCCTTGGCTTGCAGCTGCCTCACTCCAGTCTCTGTCTCCATCATCACCTTTTGTTCTGTCATTCTTCCTGAAGGTCCCTGTGTCTTCACGTGGCCTTCCTATAAGGACACCAGTCATTCGATGTAGAGCCCATTCCAATCCCATATGACCTCATCTCAACTAAGTACATCTGTGAAGATCCTGTTTCCAAATCAGGTCACATTTTGAGGTTCTAGGTGGACATGAATTTTGGAGGCATACTATTCAACTCAGTATGTGGAGATAAGAGTATATAACTGAAGGGGCTACAGAAGAATTAAACCCAATAATGTACATAAGGCACCTAGCAAAATATAAGCAATCGATACATTTTAGCTGCTAATATATTTATCATCATCACCATCGTCATTACCATCATCCATCATGTCAGGGAATGGATTATATTTCCAAACCGTAATATTCCATCCCACTTGCTAAGGTGACCACAAGTGAAATTGTCGAATAGGCCAAGTTCAAATCTTAGCTCTGACAGCAAACACCTGTGAAACCTCTGACAAGTTACTTAACATCTTCTCTAAGCTTCAGTTTCTTTATCTATGCTTATGGGATTATCTGTCTGCCTGTCTGTCTGTCTGCCTATCTGTCTATCTGTTCATCTTGTACTTACATGGCATTTACTATGCATCAGGCACTGTTCTAAGATACTTACAAACACGGGCTCAGTCAATCTTTGGAACAACCCTGTGAGTTGGGTACCATTATCATCTCCATTTTACAATTGAAGAAACTGAATCATCAGGTATTTAAGACAGTTGTCTACGGTCCATAGGAAGTAAGTGATGGAACCAGCATTCAAACCCAGGCAGTCTGGCTCCAGAATTCCTCAAGGATTGAAAGACAAGGATTAAATAAAGCATGTAACCCACTCTAGTACATAGGAAGCAGTCAGTCTGTGCTAGCAAAGTCACTGTGGCTCCCCGTGCGAGCCTTCCTCTGTGCCGCACTGGGACTGCCTTCCCTCTCTCCTCTTCTCTCAGTTCAGAAGCTCCTGTTGTTTCCCATGTTGACACTAAGCCAGAGCCAAGTCCCACATTTAAATGTTAGGCTGCTCAAGTTTCATTCAGTTTCCTGGGGTGTCTTGCTCTCTTTTTTTATTTTGTTCTTATTCTCTCAAGTGTTCCATGACCCTGGTGGCTGGCAGGGTAAGAGAAGGAGAGCGAGTGGCAGCTCTCTCTGGCAACTGGTGAACTGTGGATGCCTCTTTCGTGCGGCGGGGGCAGAGTTAAGCAATAGATTGTCGGACGTATCTTGGGGACATCCACCCATGGGGCCACTCACGCTAAGCCCAGGGACTTGTGTGCCGGGCCTTTATACAAGATCCTTGAAAGATCCATCATGAAACAAAAGCTCTCTTAGAATTACAAATGCCACTGCAAAAAGAGGAAAAGAGAAATCCTCCTCCCATTGAAAACGCTGGTGCCTGAGGGTGTCAGAATGTAGGGGCCTCAAGCACACCCTGGAGCCTCCAACTTTGGGTTCATAGCTGGGCCACCCCTCCTTTCACCCTGCCAGGCCTCAACCTCAGCAGGAGGTGTTAACACAGCTCTAGTCCAATATCCTGGGACTTGGCATCAACTCCCACCTGCTGCTAGTTGGCCTCCGTTGTGGTGCCCAGGTCCTGATATCTGGTGCAGAAGAAAGAAGCGGAACCCCAATCCTCTCCCACCCCTAGTTCTCCTCCTGCCTTTCTGGCTATTGCCAGAGTCCCAGCACAGACATGGCAGCCGCCCAAGGAATTCACTCCCTGAGACCATGTGTGCATGCAGGCAGGGTAAAGGACTGGACAGATCCAACTGTAACCGAAGCTGCACCAGCGGCACCAGGACAGAGGTCTCCAAGAGGGAAAGGAAGGGGCAGCCCTTCAACTGTGAAGCAAGCAGTCGCGGTTGGGCTCCACCATTCCCCTTTTGGGTCCCTCGCTCCTCCCTCCCAGGGGCCCCTCGCTCCACCCTCCCGGGGGCCCTCTGTCCACGTGGAAGCGCCCACCCACTCAAACCACTGCCTGTCTTCTTTGCTTCCTCAGGGGACAAAACCTTCCCACGCCCTAGACTTTCCAGGGCTCGCTCTCATTTTGGTAACAATGGAAGTGTTTAAAGAAACAAATCCCTGCTTAATTTGTCGACCTCCTATTGGGCTGCACCTCCTAGAGGCCATTAGGCCTCATCCCAGGTAAAATGTGCAAAGGGCGCGGCGGGTGGATTCCGAAACTTTAGGTAATTCCTAAATTCCTAACCGGCTCCCCTGCAGGCTGGCAAGATTTATGCTGAGTTTACACTTCCTGCTGTGAAGTGAGGGGCTTTTCTGTGAACTGGTTACTAAATCCTTGAGTGCACACTAACAGAAAGTAATGGAATCCTCGTGCTGGGAGCCTTGGGGAAGCTGAAGTAGCCGGCCCATCCCACACGTGCCTGAGCTCCAAGCTGGAGTCAGGACCTAGGGCACTCGCCCTCCACGGGCTCGCTGTGTGCCCGCCGCAAGCTGCGCGCCCCTCCCCTTTCCTCCCAGCCCAGCCAAGCCCAGCCCTGCCCGCTGGAGCTCTCAAGACTGCTCTGCTGGCCACAGGACCCAGACACTTCAAGAGCAATTCGGAGCTCCTGGAGATTTAAATGGACTGCACCCTCTGGGAAGCATAAATTATTGTCAGATTCTGTCCCTATCTGTACTCACTTTGTTTACCGTTCAATTCTGTCTGAAAGGCATGAAAAACCTCAGAACTTTTCTTACCTAATACCCCCTTGTGCTTGTTACTATGAATTTAAAGTTAAAATATATATATTATTTGACTATTCCATGTACGTCATATAAATTGAATCATATTATATACTGTATATCATATATGTAATATATATTATATAATATGACTACATAGATGTAATATATTACTATATATGTATATTTGACTATTCTATACCTCATATCAATGGAATCATGTAATAATACATTATTTTATATATTTTATATAATTATATTAATAATATATAATATAATAATATATTCATGATATAACTTCATTTATATGAGGTACATGGAATAGTCAAATAATATACATATATTTTAACTTTATTACATTATATTTATATTATATTATATATAATGTATACACACATAAAATTTCAGTCATGCATATATATATATACATATTTATGTGAATGTACCTACATACATATACAAAATTCCACTTATATGAGGTATGTGGACAAAAAGAATGGTGGTTACTAGGGGCTGCGGGAAGGGAATGGGGAGTTGGTGTTTAACGGGGACAGTTTCCATTTGGGAAGATGAACAGTTCTGGAAATGAAGGGTGGTGATGGTTGCACAACAATGTGATTGTACTTAAGGCCACTGAACTATCCATTTAAAAGTGGCTAAAATGCTAAATTTTATGTCATGTATATTTTATCACTAATATATAATATATACATATTAAATATAAAATTAGTTCAACTCTTATTTAGATACACCTACATAACTAGTGTCAGACAGTTTCCATTTCACTTTTTGATGTCTCTCCTCTTTCGTAGTTTCTGTCTTGGTTTGGGTCTTTTGCCTCCTAAATATTTTCTGGATTTGGCTTTTATGCAACCAGGAGCAGCGCCATTCCGACAAAACCCCCAGCCCTCTCCTCCTCCTGCAGTCCCACAGCCACCCTCTTCTCAGTTGCTTTTAAGCAGAAAGCTTTACTAGTTAAAGTCTGTGATTTTCAGTGGTACATTTAATAATTCATAAATCACGAGAGGTTCAAACAAGTTCAAAGTTTAAAAGTTTAAAAGTTTTGCTGAAGCTTTAAAGTTTAAACTGTCAGAGGTTTTGACAAAAAACTTTTCCTGTCTGGAATACATAAAATTGTTGTGCCATATTATATTCAGGACTCTACAATATCTACCTCTCCCAAAACGTTTCTCCTAAGAAAATCCCGGCCTTGTCTGTGTCCCGCATTCCCTCAGTGATGGTGTGTTCACTGCAGGGCCCAGGAGGCTGACAGGCCCCGGGAGAGAGTGCGGGTTTATGACAATCTGCACTTTAGGGAAAAACAGCCAGAATCACCACTGTGTGAGGATTTCTCTTTAAAGGAATGGAAATTGCAAAATGAGATCCTGACAAATGTGTGTAACAAGGTCTTGGCGGAAGACAGTGAGTTGTGTATAATCTGCTATTTCAAAATCTGGAAGCAGAGAGACCAAATCTTCCGCTGGCCTCCAGCTGACCTCTAATATTTCAGGCGTAATTACTGCATTTGCATGTGCAATTGAGTGTGATGTCAGCTACCCAGGCCAAGGCGCTTTTTGGAGTTTGCTGGGACCAGAACACACACAGACATTTCCATTTCAGATTGTGACCAAGCAAGTGTAGACTGTGGAGGTCATTTCTGACATTCTGGCCTTGTACCCTGATTCTGCACATACTATGCTGTTTTGATCACTCTGTTTCTCAGAAAACTACCGTGGCTCCAAGGGCATTTCACGTCAGAGCCGACTGCTTAGTGATGAGCTGTCCAGGCCATTGTGCCTCACATCAGACACTCACTGCAGACAAGCAGACCCTCCCCTTCCCTCTGACCTGACTTCCTCACTGCCACCTCTGGCCCATCCATTTACCGTTTCTTTCTCCTTTTCTCCAAACACTTCTACACATTCCTTCAAAATCCCCTTCTTCCATGTGATTCCACAAGCCATCAGCATCAATGCCAGGAACAACTTCGGTAACAAAAATCTTTTCCTAGTTTCCAAGATTTGATGACAGGATGTTGTAAAATTATTCCAGGACATGAATGTCCTAATACCGGATCCCACTTTGGTACCCTCTCTTTGACAATAATAACCACACTGTCACGTAAGTCGCCTCCTTTGATCCCAACCACAACCTCCTTTCGATGCCTTCACTTCCTGCCTGAGACTCGAATCCTAGGTCCTCTGCTGGGTTCCTAATTAGGAATCCTACAAGTCTCCCACATGACCTCTTGGTGGCATCTGACACTTTCCAGCACTCTCTTCTTGAATCTTTCTATTCTCTTGACTTTAATTTGTTTGTTTCTCCTGTTTTTGTGCCTGCCTTCATGATTCTTCCGGGTCTCGCTCCCCAGCTCTCTCCTCCAGAATGGGAATGCCTCCTCACCACCAGCAAGTTCTCAGCCCACTCCCCCTTCATGCCACGTAGCTGCCCCTGGTTGAGCTATAGGACTTGCTATAGGCTTGAACTATAGGACTTGAGCTGTAGGCTTGAGCTATAGGCTTGATTAGTAACCTCTGTACTAGGGACTTGAGCTATAGACTTGAGCTACAGGACTTGAGCTACAGGCTCGAGCTATAATCCCTATACTAGGGACTTGAGCTATAGGCTTGAGCTATAGGACTTGCTATAGACTTGAGCTATAGGCTTGAACTATAGGACTTGAGCTATAGGCTTGAGCTATAACCCTTATACTAGGGACCTCCATGTCTGGTCTCCACCCCTCAATGCCCACCTGGGTTCCGGCACCACATCTGCCCACTGGCTCTTCAAGCTAGAACCCAGCAAACTCAACCACCATGTATCAATTGCCTACTGTCTGAAATAAAAATCAGTCAGGCACACACCCTTCATATATCCACATCCATCTCAAACTCAATATTTCTTTTTCTTTCTGCGAATGCTTTTTTGTGTGTTTCCTATGTAGTCAAGTATCTGGTTGTCCACAGTTAGAAATCTCAGAGTCCCCCTTAATACCTTCCTCCCCCTCAAACTTCCCATCTGATCTGAGAGCAATCCCTGTTGTTTCAATGCCAACAGTCTCCCTCCCATCTCTTAACTCTCCCTCTTCCCCACTGCTACTTCCTGAATTCAACCTTTCATCAGCTCTTGTCTTAACTGTTGCAATCCTCTTTTTTCTGGTCGCTCTTCTGCCAGCCTTACCCTCTTCCAATCTTTACAAGGCAAACATGTGAAGAGCTGTGTCACTGCCTGATGCTCAACCCCTGTTTCCCAAAGCTGTAGCCTACACTCCTGGAAACAAGCGCAGGGCCTTTCCAGCCCAACCTATGGACCTTGTCAGCTACATAGTCCACACCACCCTCCTCCTCTCTCTCCCTTCACCCTTTGCGCCAGCAAGACCAAACTTCCTGCTGTTTCTTGAGCATGCAAGCTTTTCATTCCTCCATGTCTTTGCAAATATAGTTTCTCCTACCTGGCAGGCCTTTATTTATTCTGCTCTCTGCCTGGTGAGCCCCTATTCATCCACTGGGCCCAACTCACTTCCACCATGAGCTTTTGGGGGTTTCTGTCTGCAGAGAGACACCCTTCGGTCACCCATGCTTTTAGACCACCATGCTCCACGCCACGGCCCCTCAATTAGACAAGCTTTTCCTGCTTGCAGGACTCTGGACTGCTCATCAGCACTCCCTCAGCAACCAGTACAATGTGGCACAGCAGCTGCCAGTCTCTCTTTTGAATGAATGAAATCTTGTGGCACTAAATGATATCCTCTGGGTAACTAAATGCAGCTAGTTAGCACAATGCCTAATTTGGATTCTTTGTTCCTCTTCAATTGCAACCTGATAAAACTCTCATTATTCCTGGGTAGTGAGTGTGCATTCTTGGAGAAAAGAAAGAAACATTCTCAATTAATCCCCGCTCCCCAACAGGCTCACCTGCCTCACTCTGCAGGTGCAGATTGTGAAATTCATTTATCCAGCAGCACGCATGCAGGTATCTTGTATAACATTCTAATTTGTATTAGAGTAGCCATAAATTATTTTATGCTAAAACCAGTCAGCTACGAAATACTTTGTAGACAGTACTGCAGTTGAATTTCTGTGTTGGTATATGAAAGATATTTGTGGGCAGGATTTCCTTTGCTTCAATCCATGGGGAGATGGCATAGGTTACACTTGCATAGTCATCAAGAGAAATGTCAGGCTCTGAAGTCAAACAAACTAGGATTTAAATCCTAGTTTCATCAACACGTGACCTGTGACATGTCACTTAACCTCTCTGCCTCTGGTTCCTCATCTGTAAAATGGAAAAAGTGAAGCCTCACAGCACCATTTTAAAAATGAGATGAGATCATGTCTTTAGAGCATTTATCACAGAGGAAGCCCTCAATCATAGTTATCACTCACTGTACTTAAGGCTTTATATATTATGTAACTATATACACACACAGGAGTATGTAAAAATATATATATACACATACACACACATGCACATGTATAGTGTGTATATATACCACATGTATTTATACACACACATACACATTATACTGCCTGTAACAACATATAAACCTTACAACAACCGTATGATGGAGGTACTATAATTATCTCTATTTTACAGATGAAGAAACTGAGGCAGGTTAAGTAACTTGTCCAAAGTCACACAGCTAGTAAGTAGCAGATCTGAAATTTAAACCCAGGTAATTAAGATTCAAAGTCTGTGCTCTTAGCATTCCATTAGAATGTCTCGCAATGTCTCAATGCACTCTTCAAGTCAATGAATGTTAACCATCATCATCATCATCATCGTAATCCAGGATGCTAACCAGGCCTATCTCATATTACAAAAGTGCTCCAGCAAGCTCAGTCAGCTCTAGGATGGTAACTTTGTTGCACAAACAACACTGTACTAATCCTGCCGCTGCCCCAAAGGTCAATCTGGTGTGACACCAATGCATGGGTGGTAGGATACACTGTCGGGGGAGGCCCTGAAATTCCAAAAGAGCCAAGCCAGGATGCAAACTGGCATGAAGTCAGAGTGTGTGTCCCTGGCACAACTTCATCCCATTGCTGATTGCCTTCCTTCTTTTATCTGGATAAAGAGAGACCAGTTGATTCCCCCTCCCGACTAGCTCCAGCCAGACTGTGAGATTTTGCAATCGTGTCTGTCTCAGCTCACGGCCCCACAGAAATCAGACATAGAAGTACTTGCTTGGGTTGTCCACAACTCCATCCCTGAGACAGGAAATGAGAACTTCTAACCCAGTGTCACCGTTTTGTTGTAAAAATCACAATCACTTGTAAAATGTATAAGTGGAATTAAATGCATCTTAGTGCCATGAGCTTGTTTACCAGAAATTTCATTTAGCCTTTGTTTTCTTTTCCTTCTTGTCATCACCTACGTTTATTGACCATCCTTCTTTACTCCCTTTTCCCCCATCCTCCATCTCCAAGTGTACTGTTTGCTTTGACCCCTGCTAAGGGTCTTAGTCCACTGTAATCTATGCAAAATATGCTTTTCTGGAGTATTTGTGCTTTTAGAACCAGGCAGATCTGCCTTTCAGTTCTGATTCTGTTTGGCATTGGGCAAGTTACCCTCTATAAAAGCCTCAGTTTTGCACATGTAAAATGATTACAATAAAGAACCCATGTTGGGAAAGCTATGCTGATCATATGCAACCATAGCAGCAGCTATTCCTTCTTACTGAGAATTGGCACAAGTCCTCGATTACTGTGCTAGGTGCCTTTTCACAGTCTTACAGATGAAACTGCTGAATGAAGGAAGGGAGCATAGCGTCCCATCTGACACTGGCCTCTTTCCAGGAGGCACCTCTCCACCCTGATAGAAGGGAATGAAGTCTATCTCATCTGTCAGACCTTGGACATAGCACTGTGGCACAGGCACCGTCTCATTTAATCCTCATAAAAATCCTACAGGGAAGGTATTGTTTCTATGCCCATTTTACAGATGAAGAACTTCAGTTAAGAAAATAACTTGCTCGAGGCCACCCAATGAATGAGTGGCAGAGGAGGTCTCTTAATTACCGTGAATGTAACAATATAATAAATAGTAGCGATGACAGCAACAACAATTAGTGACTATCGTGCATTTACCTTGAGCCAGGCACTGATGTAGGATTATTTCATGTAACCCTATCATCAACTCCGTGAGGCAGACACCATTCTTAAACCCATTTTATGTCGGGCGCGGTGGCTCACACCTGTAATCCCAGGACTTTGGGAAGCCGAGGCAGACTGATCACCTGAGGCCAGGAGTTCAAGACCACCCCGGGCAACAAAGCAAGACTCTGTCTCTATAAAAAAAAAAAAATTAGCCGAGCATGATGGCATGTGGCTGTAGTCCCAGCTACCTAGGATGTTGAGGTGGGAGGATTGCTTGAGCCCAAGAGGTCGAGGCTGCAGTGTGCCATGATCTCACCACTGCACTCCAGCCTGAGTGACAGAGCGAGACCCTGTCTCAAAAAATAAACAACCAAAAAGGACAAATGTGAGGCTTGAAAGGAAATGGTGTTGAGTGACTTGCTGAAGGCCCTGTCATTGGCGAGTAGACAGGACTAGCGCGTGGAACCTGGTGGTCTGTGTTCAGAGCCAGAACCCATCCTATATTGTTTCTTCAAAATGAAATCATGAATTTCTGTGTATAAAGAGCTTAGCCCAGTGCCTGGCACATACTAATTTCCAATATGCTGTTATTATAACGGTTATTGTTACTATTACAATAATAGTATTAGTTTTCTATTGCTGTATAAAAAATTACCACAAATTTAGTGGCTTAAACAACATGCATTTTTCATCTCACAGTTTCTAGAGGCCGGGTGTCCCAGCACAGCTGAGCTGGGTGCTGGTAATTCAGTTCTGGCGTTATCTATCTTGATGGTAACATCAGACCTCACAAGGCTGCAATCAAGGTGTTGGCTGGCTTGCATTCCTTCTGGAGCTGAGCAGCCTTTTCCAGGCTTATGTGATCGTTAGCAGAATTCAGTTCCTTGTTGTTGTAGGACTGACTGAAGGCTCCTAGCTTCTAACTGGATGTTGGCTAGAGGCCACCTTCGGGTCCTAGAGGTCCCTGAGGGGGCCAGCCATGTGGCCTTCTCTGAAAGAAGCTCACGTCAGAGCAACTGGCTTCTTCAAGGCCAGCAGGAGAATTTCTCCCTCCAGTCTAAGACGGAGTCTGATAGTCATAATCACAGGAATGATGTCGCAGCGGCTTTGCCATAGTCTATTGTCAGATGCAAGTCATAGGTCTCACCAAGCTCGAGAGGAGGGAGTTACACAGGTTGGGCCACTGCGAGCCACCTTAGGATGTGACCAGCACACATTCCTTGGCTTCAATTTTTATTTTCTTTCCCACTTACCTTAATTTCCTTTTCATCTCCGAAGGGTACCCTCACCCATTTCATCCTCACCTTCATAGCCACAACAAAGCATTTTCTTACTATACCAGTAAAATGATCAGATTCATTCTATTTCCCAGATTTGTAGAAAGGTTGGGGGGTGGGGTAAGCACACTCGCTGTTGCTCTACCCTCTCTCGCAACACTTCTGATGCCAATTCTGAAGAAAGATACTCTGTTTCTCTCCTACTGTGCTTGCATCACAGCCCAGAACACTTCTGTGACCAGACACAGAGGGGATTTTCCCCACACACCATGCAGTTCTCCAGCAAACACCAACTGGGTATACTATACATCAATTCAATCCTGACATTATCTATCTGGAGTTAGCATTAGATCCCATAGGTTGGGTGTTAGGGAACTCTTTGCCAGGAACTGGGGACAAAGACCAAATGTCTTTCATATTACACCGCAGTAAGGATCCAAACCAAGTCCTCTCTTTTTCTTTCCATTTTATAAGACCATAGTTTATTCATTTTTCTTTCTTTTTTCTTTCTTTCTCTCTCTCTCTCTCTTTCTTTCTTTCTCTCTCTCTCTTTCTTTCTTTCTTTCTTTCTCTTTCTCTCTCTCTCTTTCTTTCTTTCTTTCTCCTTTTTATTTTCAGAGTCTCACTCACTCTGTCACCCAGGCTGGAGTGCAGTGGCATGATCTCCACTCACTGCAACCTCCATCTCCTGGGTTCAAGTGTTTCTCTTGCCTCAGCCTCCTGAGTAGCTGGGATTACAGGCGCCCACCACTACACCTGGCTAATTTTTGTATTTTAATAGAGTTGGGGTTTCACCATGTTGGTCAGGCTGGTCTCGAACTCCTGACCTCAAGTGATCTGCCCACCTCGGCCTCCCAAAGTGCTCGGATTACAAGCTTAAGCCACCATGCCAGGCCAGTTTATTCATTTTTAAACCACTGTATTGATATGTAATTTACATACCATAACATTCAAAGTGTATAAGTCAAAGCACATTTACAGAGTTATACAACCATCACCATAACATAATTTTAGAACATTTCATCACCCCAAAAAGAAACTTCATACTCTTTAGCAGTCACCCCCATTTCTCTTGTCTCCCTCAGCCCTAGGCAACAACTAACGTATTTTCTATCTCTATAGATTAGACTATTCTAGACATTTGACATGAGTGGAACCGTACAATATGGGATCCTTTGTGACTGGCTTCCTTCACTTAGCATAATGTTTCTGAGGTTTACCCACACTGCAGTATAAACAGTATTATTGTGCCCATGGAGGAAGTTTAGTATACTATAGACAAAACAGCTGGAAAATGAAAGATTTCAACTTATCAAAATAGGGTTAGAAATAAACATCTTTATTTGCTTTTTCACCTCACAATTTTTTATGAGAACGTACTATACCAAAGGCCCTGGAAAGATGATAAGACAGGTAAAATTGAGTTACTCTGATAAAGAAAACCGACAAATACACAACGCTTTACCCTATAGGTCTGACTTGTTCTTCAACACACATAAACATCATAGAATCATATAAGGTGAAATTCAGGGTAAATTTTCTGTTATTTTTCGTTTTCTTTTTTTTTTTTTTTGAGACAGAATCTCACTCTGCCACGGTGCTATCACAGCTCACCGCAGCCTCACCATTCTGGACTCAGGCAATCCTCCCACCTCTGCCTCCCAAGTAGCTGGGACTACAGGAACGTGCCACCTCACCCAGCTATTATTTAAATTTTTTGTAAAGACAAGGTTTCATCATGTCACCCAGGCTGGTCTCGAACTCCTGGACTCAAGCAATCAGCCCGCCTTGGCCTCCCAAAGTGCTGAGATTACAGGCCCCTGGCCACAGTAAATTTTCAACTCACTAGAATAAACAGAATCCAAAAGTAGTTTCTCTGAGAGGTGAATTGTATTTTAGGGGAAAAAAATAATGTTAACCAATACTTTCTGCTTTGAGTTACATTGAAGCTTGATGATTTTTATTTTTTTAATGGGGCAGGGGTTGTTTGGAAGATGTCACATCTTGGGAGTGTGCCTGAGAGGCCTGGCTTGCATGTTGTGTCAAAGAAATCGGGGCAGGGCCGGCATTTCTGTGGGGGCTGGTGCTGCCTGCCTTGACATCAGCCCTAGTCATCTCATTCTGCAGTGATGTGGTCATGGATGTATGTGCTCCAAGCCTGGAGGAATTTCACTGTGCTGTAACAGTTTTTCATTTACTGGAGGTCAGGGTTTGAATATCGAAAACACTTCTGATTTAGACAAGTTGAGGAATGATGAGACTAAAAGGTTTCTGTCAGCAAGAACTAACCTCTATGTGGGAACCCAGGATGTTGCACTGGAGTCGCTAAAGGGCAAGTTCAAGAATCCTTAAAACGATGAAGTATCTATCAGATCAGCTGAAGAAAACAGTAAAGTAATGAAACATATACCACAAATGTGATATTCGTAGTGTTTCCAAACATTCCTCTGGGAAAAGCAAGATGCTTGCTCAAGATTTTCAGACAGAGCCCCAGGACTTCAAGCTCTGGTCGTGGAGTGAGGCCAGAGTTTCACCATGGGACCAGCCCCTCCCACAGACAGCAGCCCGGGCCTCCTATGACCGGCTGCTACCTTGGAGGAGGATGTCCTTAGAAGCAGGCTGATGGGGGCCTCAAGAAGATATCTCACCCCCAACTCCTTCCCTTCCCTGGCTGCTGATCTGAAATTCCACCATTAGAAATTTATATCTTTGCACCAAAGCAAATGCTCCTAGTAAAAAAACAAACAAACAAACAAACAAAACACGCATCTTTTATCAGCCATTTACACCTCAGTGCAAATGTGTTTATCAGAGCCTTTGCCAAAGAGTCTTTTTTTTAGAAGGGAGGAGATGAAAAGAGCTAAGCACAAAAAAATGCCCAAGGATGAAGAAGTTACCAAAAGCCACAGAAGGGCAGAAAAGGAAGACAGGATGCACCAAAGATAAATAAACTTGGCCTCTTCCCATGGGTGCCAACTTGAGAGGATGAAGAGCTGACTCAAACTTATAGTAATCAAAAAGGGGAAAAAGGGATGCAAGGTAATTGCTGTGATATGGGGGAACTCAGAACTGTGCCTCCGACCATAAAGAGGAGGGAATAGGACCTGGACGATGGTTTATAAGCAGTGTCCATCCTCTCTCCAAGGGGCAATCCCATGAAGAACAACAGTAATGTGGGGGATTTGCCTGTGCTGCCCAAAACAAGGAAGAGGAAGCAAACACCTGTCTTACCAATCACTGGAATTCCTTTGTTTCACTTTAGCACACCACCAGGAGCCTAAATTCTACTTAATCGTGCACAGACTTTCTGCAGTTAAAGAAAGTAAGCAATGTTTGTCTAAAAAAATGTGATCTTGGGGGAAAAGAGGCCGTGACCCAGGACTCACACTGAGTTCCTGTTTCAGACCTATTAACAGGATGACCCCCAAACCTGGCAAGATGATGATTTGTTTATATAACGTGAAGATTTCAAAACACTACCAATGATTACAGCTCAGAGCTGTCTGATTCCATGGGAAATCAGGGAACCCCAAGAGAAGTCATCGAAGAATTAATCAGCTGCTTTCAGAAAATCCTCTTGGTTTCCTCTAGTTGACATGGTTCCTGAAAACCATCATGCCTGTTTGAGGAGCTGAAATTACCTACACTTAGTGTCAGTTTAGGTTACTGGTGACAAACCTACACATAGTTGGACGGCCTATGTACAGACCAACAGCACTTTGGGGGATCTATCTACCATTGACAAGGTACTGATCACTAATGAAGGGCAAGTTAAGGGATACTCTTTAACATTCTGTTTTTTTTTTTATTTCAATAGTTTTTGAGGTACAGGTGGTTTTTGGTTATATGGATAAGTTCTCTAGTGGTGATTTCTGAGATTTTAGAGCACCCATCACCTGAACAGTGTACACTGTACCCGATACATGGTCTTTTATCTCTCACCCCTACCAACTTTCCCTGGCCCCGTCCCCAAAGTCCATTACATCATTCTTAGGCCTTTGCATCTTCATAGCTTAGCTCCCACTTATAAGTGAGAACATAGGATATTTGGTTTCCCATTCCTGACTTACTTTACTCAAAATAATAGCCTCCAGCTCCATCCAAGTTGCTGCAAAAGACATTATTTCATTTCTTTTTATGGCTGAGTAGTATTCCATGGTGTATATATACCACATTTTCTTCATCCACTCATTGATCGATGGGCACTTAGGTTGGTTCCATATCTTTGCAATTGAGAGTTATGCTGCTGTAAACATGTAGGTACAAGTGTCTTTTTCATATAATGACTTATTTTCCTTTGGGTAGATACCCAGTAGTGGGATTGCTGGATTGAATGGTAGATCTACTTTTGGTTATTTAAGGAACCTCCATACTGTTTTCTATAGTGGTTGTACTATTTACATTCCCACCAGCTGTGTGAAACTGTTCTGTTTCACCTCATCCATGAAGGGAGACACTTAACATCAACGCTAGGTGTGTATAGATCTACATCTTCCTTGTAAGATGTAGGTGTTCATATGTTGTTTTTTTCCCAAAATATACGTGAATTGCTAAATTCAAAGAATGGGAGTGAAAGATTTAGATATGATGCTCCCCAAAATTATTTTGCCTGCTAAAAATACAGCTGAAATGCCTAGAAAAAGAAGTTCCAATTCTCTTTAACTTGTCTCACATCCGATTCTCATTCCAGATAATTTTATTCTTCTGGACTGGGAGGAAAAGGCCTACCTCACGAACTACAGTGTTAAAGATTCTCCCTGTAAGTGAATGTTTAATGAACTGCAAAACCCATCATAAAAAGCACTTCAGATGGCCTCAGTTACTCCACAAACCAACTATGCCTGAAACACACAAGCTTATGCCTTGGTTGTCTTTTCAGTTGCCACAAGGAGCCTATACATTGAGAGTATTCCTTTTCTCCTATCACAGTGCTTTAAAAAACAAAAATTAAAAAAAAAAACTTCCTTTTTACCATGGAGAATCTAACTGTATTTCTCCTCTTAGAGAGAACTGGTTCTGAGATGCTTTTTAAAACGTGTTTGTGGCATCTAAAAGTTCCCTACCTCCCACACTTTCTCAAGTTTGAAAGAATACATCATTCGTAGTTTGATGTATCTCCAAAACCAAGAACACAATGCAAGGGAGTGTACACCATATTTCACTCCACCGTGGAGTCACAGCTTTTTCTTAGACATGGTTTTAGCATAAAGTAAATTGTATTTCCAGGATTGCTGCCAAATCCAACAATACAAATAATGATGACCAAAAACAGCAGAATGCAAGTGAACCAGAAGTGATGATGTTTCATAACGAAATCCCATAAATACTGTAAATATGCTTTGGTTTTACTTGAAGATTAATTAATTAAACCAAATTGGCAAAACTCCAACGTATAGAACTGTACTAGAAAAGAATTCAATAGAAACCCAGTGGGGATACAAATAATTTCTTAATGCTTCTTAATGCAAATGAAGAGCTGTATATCAACAATCAATGATTCTGAAAAGAGTGCTCAGAAGAATCTATTTGTTCTTTTTCTTCTTCTTCTTCTTTTTTTGGTACTGGCTATATAGTGATGATTTCCCAGAATCTCTAAGTTACTCCATTTCTGGATTGTAGGGATTTCTAGCAAATCATCATCATATCAGCATCAAATCATTCATAAAGCATCAATATGAATTTGCTCCCTGAATATTCTTCAACTGAGTGAAAGGAGTTGAGGAGATAGAGGAAGAGAGCTAACTTGTATTTCATATAGGAACTGTGCTAGGCTGCTGCATGATTTTCTTATTTAATAATCATAAAACTGACATAGTTACTATTATCTCTATTTTACAAGTAAATAAACCTAAAGAGTGAAAAGTAAATTATTAAAGTTCAAACATATTGGAAGTGGGAAGAAGTAAACAGGGGCTTTTGGGGAACGTTGCTGTACTCTGTGTGTATTGCTATATTCGCCATCATTCAAGAAATTCAGGTGAAGGTATTGGCTCAGCTTAAAACAGCTTTAGCCCACGAGGCCATGTTCTTCTGACAGCAGTGCTACTCTAAGACAGAGCCGCATGGATCTCAGCCTCTTGAGCATTACATCTTTACTGGGGTAAGGTTTGCCAAAATGAGGGAGAAAAGATTTTAAGCAATACTATAACATGGTATTAAATAACACTGAATCAAAATTATTCTTTTGGGCTTTTTAAAAATTGAGATAAAATACACCATTTTAACCATGATGAATTTTAAAGTGTGTCATTCAGTGGCTTGTAGTACATTCACAATACTGAGCAAACAGCACTTCTCTTTGAATCCTTCAGAACGTGTCAAAGAAAAAGTCTCAGTTTGTTACTGGAATATCTTTAATAATGCTCTCATACTTGATTATTTATGTTTAAAAAATAAAAGCAAGCTTAGAGGCTTTGGTAAACAAGCATACAGCTAGAGTGTGATAATATAAACTTGATTTGGGGTGTTTTGTGAGGGGTGCATTTATTTTTTATTTGATGTGAATTTCTATGTATATAGCCACAGAATTTCCTTCTTAAGTACATATTTAAGTGAAATGGTCAGTTGATTTAATAGTAGCATTAGTGGTAGGATGAGTAGTATTAATGGTAGGATTAGTAGTATTCATGGTAGTATAGTGGTAGATATGGCCAGGAGTCAGAAAGGAGGAACATGAATGACAGAGTACTGGGACCACCATTCTGGTGGTGGGACAGACAGCAATGGGAGGGTCGTGTGATGAGCATTTAGGAGGAGGAGCATAAGAAGAATGAAAAACCAGTTAAAACATCATGGGAATGATGGGCTAGGACTTGTGAAGCTAGAGTCTAATCATAAATCCCAGAACGCAGGCTGGTCCTGACTCTGCTTTCCTGTTGAAAGCTCACTGGCCCATCCTGCCTTCCACAGTGGTTTAGAAAGGATTCGAGGCAGCAAAACACCCTGCCTCAGAGCAGTAGGAGATCCATTTGCAGACTGGTCATGAGAACCAGGGACAGAAAACCATGATGGCTCCAGGAAGGACCGACTGAAAGGAAGCTTAGAGAAGGCGGGGAGAGCTGAGGGCACAGCTAACAACTATGGGCTGTAATAGAAGGAAATGTTTCTGTCTCCCAATAACTGGTAAGAAAGGAGGTAGAGAAGAGAGGAAAAGCCAGGGGCTGGAGAGGTGATTAATAAACAAAGAGCGTGTCCTTTTGCCCTCAGGCTCTCAGATGAAGGCTTGTAGTTGGAGCCGCGGTGTGGGAGTGGGTGTGTGGAACGAGTTGTCTTCCCTCTGGTGGAGCTGCTCACAGGCCCATTTGTGCAGGAAACTGACTGCATGCCTCAGAAGTGAGGCTCTGCTGCTGGAAGATCCTTCCCTGCCTACAAATCTGTTTCTAATGATTCACCATTTGTAAATGGAACTCCCATCCAAGGCTCTTCATTAGCAAGAGGTTATCGAGAAGAAAAATGGGGCACCCATCTGGAGATAAAAATTCCTGATGCCTAACAGATTGTCAGGAAGATTTCCAACCCACCTGACTTGAAAACAATGCACGTGTACACACACACACACACACACACACACACACACACTCACTCCAGAGCTAGTCTTAGCCAGAATATTTATTCATTCTAGGTATCCAATGTATATTAGACTATTTACTACATGCAAGACAGAGGTTTGCATTTTAAAATGCAACTATACATGAAAGAAAACATTAAGCCTTCATTCCTGTAGAAATTGGTATAACACAGTACAATGAGAATTTTTCCCCTAATGTCTTGGAATATGAGGCTTTGATCCACGGAAATCGCATTTCCCCATGGTTACTGCCGCATTTCTTTGTTTTTCTGCCTGCAAAACTTGTCCCATGAGCTGTTCACTGTCCCCTTGTCCACTTCTTCCCCTCCTGTACTCACTCCTCCCTTGCTTCTGCCCTTATCATGCCTCTGAAACCTGTCTTGTCAAAGTCATCGGTGACTTTGTGTTGTCAAACCTAATGGTCACATCTTGGTCCTCATCTTTTTTGACTGCTAACAGAATTGGATAGAGATGAACCTGCTAACTTGAGACTCTTGTCTTGGATTCTGTAACACTAAACACTTCTGATTTTTATCCTCCTCACTGGCCACTCCTCCTCAACCTTCCTCCCCTCATGCTACTTCTACAAGTAGGAGAACTCTAGGGCTACACTTCAGCTCTTTTCATTTCTCTGTCTACAGGCTTTTCCTGGGTGAAAAAATCCCATCTAGTCCTGAGGGATTCAATACCATCTCTCAGCTGGCAACTCCAAATTTCTCTTTCTAGTCCTGACTCTCCCTGGAATTCTGGGCTCAGTCATCAGCTATCTACCTGATATCTCTCATTGTAGGTCCAATAAGCATTTCAGACTTAACCTATCCTAAACAGAACTTTGATTTCTCCTCCCATATTTCTTCCTCTGTCTGTCCCTTCTCAATCAGTGCATCAACGTCTAAGCATTGATGAAAACAACCCATCGTGGTGAAAATTCTGGTGAAAATCATGGAAAAAAGTGGTGAAAACAAAACCATCATGTCTTGACAAGATGATTGCCTTCTACCTAGCCTTCCTGCATCCACTCCTCTACTCAAAACTCTGCAATGACTAGCCAGGTGTGGTGGTGTGCACCTGTAGTCCCAGCTACTCGGGAGGTGGAGGTGACAGGATGGTTTGAGCCTGGGAGGCAGAGGTTGCAGTGAGCTGAGATCATGCCACTGCACTCCAGCCTGGCTGACAGAGCCAGACCCTGTCTAAACAAACAAACAAAAAACTCTCCAAGGGCCAGGGACACCAGCTCTATGATTTGCCCACCTGCCCACCTCCCCGTGGCCTTGTCTCCCCAGCAACCTCTCTCCTTCACTCCCCTCCCTCCTTGGTACCTGTGTACCACTCTGCCTACATGCCACTCAGGCTTCAACCTCCAGGGCTCCACACTTGCCATTTCCTCTTCCAGGACACCCTTGCCCCAGAGAGCAATGTGGCTCACTTCCTCATTTCTTTGCTTAAATATCACTCCATCAAAGAAGACTCCCGATTATCTTATCTAACTCTAGCCATCCCTTCACAATGCTTTGCTTAACTTCAAAGCCCTGTCACTACCTGACATAAGATGTTTATTTATTATCTGTCCCTCTCTATGAGAGAATAAGGTCTCAAGAGCAGGGACTTGACCCGTTCTGTTCACTGCTCTATTCCCAGAGCCTAGAAGAGTGCCTGGCCCATAGTAGATGTTAAATCAATATTTGCTGAATGAATTAATAAATCTTCTTCTTTTCCCCTACTCCTCATGTTCAAGCCATCTGAAAAATCATTCTTTCATCTCAATCCCAAATCCATCCAACTTTATCCTAGGTGAAGCCACCATACTCTCTCTCCAGGACCACTGTCTAGTGTCCTAACTGGCCTCCATGTTTTCTCTCTAAAATCCATTATCCAAACAGCATCCAGTTATTCAAAACACAAATCAGGCTCCTCGCTGAATACTCACAAAGAGTTCCCAATGCTCTTTGAATAAAGTGCAAACTTTGAATCCTGGTCTAAAAGCTATAAGAGGTCTGGGCCTCACGACCGCTCCCCGCTCACTGTGGTACTTGCCCCTGAGGCTTCTGCCACCCTTCTTCTCCCTGTGCCTTGAGCACATCAGGTTTGTTCCTGCCTCAGTGATTTGCAAATGCTGTACCGTCTCTCCAGACAGCTCTTCCCCCAGACAACCACATAACTGGGGCCTATCCAAGTTTGAGTGAAATATCACCTTCTCAAAGAGAGATCTTCCCTGGTCCTCCATCTAAGTTAGGCCCCAGCCCATCACTCTGTTTCAGGTTAGTGTGTCCTATTCTCTTCATAGCACATGTAAGCATACTGTTTATTCACTTGTATATGTTTTTTAACTTGCTATTCTTAGTAAAATATTCTCTCTTGTTCCCCATATATATTCTCAGTACACTATATAAATATGATGTTATTGTTGTTATTAGTAGTAGTAGTAGTAATAGTATTTGGAAATGGGGTCTCCCTCTGTTGCCCAGGCTGGAGTGAGCACAATGGCATGATCCTGGCTCACTGCAGCTGACATGGTTTGGCAGTATCCCCACCCAAATCTCATCTCGAATTGTAACTCCCACAATTCCCACATGTCATAGGAGGATCCTGGTGGGAGGTAATTGAATCATGGGGGCAGGTCTTCCCCATGTTGTTCTTGTGATAGTGAATAAGTCTCACGCGATCTGAAGGTTTTAAAAACAGGAGTTTCCCTGCACAAGCTCTCTCTTTGCCTGCTGCCATTCATGTAAGACATGACTTGCTCTTCCTTGCCTCTTGCCATGATTGTGAGGCCTCCACAGCCACGTGGAACTGTAAGACCATTAAACCTCTTTCTTTTGTAAATTGCCCAGTCTTGGGTATATCTTTATCAGCAGTGTGAAAACAGACTTGTTTTCCTGGGCTCCAGCCCAGCAGCCTTGAATTCCTGGGCTCAAACCTTGAATTACAGCAGCCTTGAATTCCAGGGGTTCAATATTATTACTACTATTATTATTAATTTATTTTATTATTAATATTCATCAACTATTAAATTGAGTTAAATTTGGTAGCTTTTAAAATTTTTTCTTGGACAAGTAATTTTTCTTAATAAAACTATTTCAAATCTTAGGATGAATTAAAGATATTATTTGTATTAGTGAGGCTAATTAACTGCAGCAAGCAACACCAGAAACTGCAGCAAGCAACACCAGAAGCAATGCCAGAGGCATAAATCAATGAAAGTATATTTTACATATATTTCGATGTTCAATGAAGGAGTTCTGTGAGCAGCATTCCATACAAAGGTCCCAGGACCCAGGTTCCTTCCATCTGTGGCTCTTCCATACCCTCCCTTCAAACCTTCCACTGTCATTTCCTCATCTGTCCCGTCAGCATGCAAAGAGAAAGAGCAAGGTAAGAACCTCCACGGAGATTTGGGCAGCCAGGCCCAGAAGTGGAAGACAACACAACACCTTTATTCACATTCCGTTGATGAGAGCTTGTCATATGGCTCCAACTTAACTACCAGGGAGGCCAGAAATGCCCAGGAGGAGGGGTCAGGACTGGCAAGCATCTCCTCAGTCTCTGCCACACCATTCTTGTTCTCCATGGAGCATGGTGACTTCCAGGTGTCTGCCTCATAAGCAAGTTTGATTATGGCCTTTTAGGTACTTGGGGTTTACAGAAAGTGATGAATAAACCTCAACAGATAGGGAAGACCAAAATGTTCCTGGCTCTGTCAGAGCAAATGAACATGAAACTCTGCCAGAACAATTCTAACCCCCTCTCCCCCAAGCATGTGCCTTCATGTTTTTCTGCATTCCTACGAGCACAATATTTGGGCCCAATTCTAGCCATAACACCAACCCAAACTTTGCAATGTTCAACAGCAACTTGAGACTCTGAATTTCAAGGCCTATTTTCTTGCTAAGACAAATGGATTTTGAGAGCCACGGGTTTTAGTTTTGACTGGTGGTTTCTCCCTTTTAACTCTTCTTAGACTTCACTTATTTTTGTTTGGCTGTACATGATCTTGTCCAATATCATGGGAAACAGCCCACATAAATCAATTATCAATAGTTCAGCCAGGGTGGAAACAAATTCAAACAGACAGTTCTAAAGCAATATATTTAAATCTTTTCTAATTCATTATAAATTAAATCCAATGAGGATAGCCCGCATATCCCAGTGAGGAAATTTTTATTTTCTCGTCTTCTTTCTTGGTTTAATCTCATTCACCTTGGGCTTATTCTGTGATCTGCGTCTCTTAATTGCTTCCCTCAAGTAATCAATGGAAATAACAAGGCCATAAAGACAAGAAACAAAGATATATATCAGAACAGTGTGGAATTTCATGTATAAAATAATAAGATCCAAACCCCAGTTCCACACCATGAACAAGTATGGGACATTAGAGCAAAATACATGAAATGAATGTGTTGACTCCTACATGGTTCTCATTTGTTGATTTGTTCAATAACAATTAAATACCAAATTATAGCCAGCTAGACAAAACAAAGAACAGAAAGCAGTTGAAAAGAGAAGATGTACAATCATGTAGCAACCTTAATAGAACAACTATGTAGCGACCTTCACATAATCTTCAATTCGAAGTAATTTGACAAATACAGACCACAGTTCGAAATAGCGCCTCAGAAAGATGGATTGCTGTGGAATGGGTTGAGAGCAGGAAGTCTTCAGGAAATTAAAGGAAAGGCATCATGTGGATTAGGGGAGAGGAGGTTATACAGGGAGGGCAGAGGATAAGCAGACAAGAATATGGGAATATACAGAAAAAGAAGAGAGCATGCTGAAAACCATGTGACTGAAGTCGGGCATGCATAGTGGGATGCTCTGTGAAAGAAAGTTGAAAAATACAGTCCATGGAGCAAGGCTCATTGTTACTAGGCTGAGCCCAGACTTGAAGTAATCAGAAATAAGGAAATAGTGGAGGGTCTTAATCGGGGGACAGAGATGATGAAAGCAGTGATGAATCTGGCCGCAGGCAGGAGGATAGATTGAAAGTGAGGAGACCAGTAAAGAGGCTGTTGCAAAAATTTATATGGGACTTGATAGGGACTTGGCTCTGAGAGGTGACAGCTGACACGAAGACCCGGGGACAAATCCAAGAGTCTCTGTGGAGAAAGGAAAGATGCTTGTCAATAAAGGAGTAAAGGAGAGGAAAGAGGAAATGAAAACCCTGGGGATGAGAATACGGGTGGTGGCACTGAAGACAAGGGGAATTTATCAAGTAGAGGATGCATTTTTTTCAGATTAAAATTCGTAACATATATTTATGAGTTAGTCATCCATGGAATATTTCTTTTTAACTTCTGATTCTAAGACGCATGGTTAAAATTAAGGTTAATATTCTTGTTGGCTTTAGTTTTATATAACTTTGAAATTTACAAGGTTGGGGGGATTGAGAATACGCACCGAGATATTATATGTTGCCAGGTCATGTTTTAATCTTTAGCAAAATAGCAGAACAGTGCTACATGTAATCAAAACATATTTTACTAGGAGAAGCAATCAGAGCTCAAGACAAAAATGGTTCTTGGATAAGGATAGCTGGTATCAGACAGCTAATTGATCTTTTAAGGATCATGTGAATTTTTTACCTGACATTTTCTCTTCTTTTTTATAGTTACTTCGGTAACAAACAGAAAGAGGCCCAACCGATGCCGAAATCCAAAGAAAAATAGACACTCGACACAGAATAAGGTAGATACCAGGAAAGATGTTTTTAAAAACCTGGTGAAAAGCAAAGCATGAGAATTTCAGGAAAAGAGAAATGTCTGTATGTGAAATGAATGTAAACATGAAGATCTTCCAGGAGCAAATGGGAAAGGCAAAAGAATCAGCAAAACACCCCACCCAGAACAGAGGCTTTGGAAGAAAGCTGTGGTAAATAAAAGTAAACTGGAAATCTGGAGCTCCTCAGATTAGAAATGTGCAAATCACCACAAAATAAAATCAAATGCAATATTTAGCAGGAGACTTTAGCCTTTGGCATTGTCAAAAGTACAATCTTTTCTCAGATTCTGGAGTTTCCAGTTTACTAGAAAAGTGTAACCTTCAGTGCCAGAATAAAGGTGGCCTGCCTCTTGTAATGCTATGGAGGGTAGAAGACAGCCATTGGGAACATGGATAAGTTCTGCATTAGAATTTTAGCTGGGTGCAGTGGCTCACGTCTGTACTCCCAGCACTTTGACAGGCCAAGGTGGGCAGATCACTTGAGGTCAGGAGTTCAAGACCAGCCTGACCAACATAGTGAAATCCTGTCTCTACTAAAAATGCAAAAATTAGCCCAGTGTGTTGGCACACCCCTGTAGCCCTAGCTACTTGGAGGCTGAGGCAGGAGAATCGCTTGTACCCAGAAGGCAGAGCTGTTTGTTTGGGACCTCTGCCATGGAGTTCCCACAGACAAGACTGTAGAATTAAATAGCTCCCAAAATGTAGATACATAGATGTGATTATAGAAGAAGCAAGTTGGGGATTTATTTGAAATTAAGGTATGTATAAATATTTCTAATTGACCTCCAATGTCATTATTCCCTTCTCGCTCAGTAACAGAATTCCCAAAGGTTAGCAGGGCACTTGGCTGCCTAAAATAAAGACTAGCTTTTTTTTCGCAGCTGAGATGTTGCCCTACAACAAAGTTTTGGTCAATGGATTATAAGAGGAAGTCGTGTGTGCAATTTCAGGGAGTATGCCCCTTTGCTGTTCCTTTCTCCTTTCTTGCTCACTGAAATCTAAGCGTGATGGCACAGGCTACAGAAGCCATCTCAGACCACAAAGTGAAAGCCACATGTTGAGGACGGTGAGGCAAGAAGAGAAGAGCCTGGATCCCTGATGATAAGGGAGCAATCGTACCAACCATAGATAGTGTTTACTTGAAAGTGAGATCAACTTCCACTTTGTTAGAGTCCCTGACAATTACCTAACGACTAAAATTATCTCAGGATAACTCAAACTTACAGAGGCAGGACAGGCTTGACCCAAACCAAACTGGTGTACAGCTTCTTGCACTAAAAAGCAGAAAGCTGCATTCAAGGTAGATATTAGGGTGAGTCTGATCAGTGTGAATGAATGTGAGTTTTAGTTTTAGTTTGACAGTGAGAAAAAAAAGGAAAATGAAGTACCCACCTAATTAGGTAACTGACAATGTGGGGCTTGGGGAAAATGAAGCCAACATACCTACCACTTTCTGCTTAGAAACACACAAAATAGAAAAGGGGGATTCGGCTCTTGAGCTGAAAGTGAGGGGCTTTACATAGCAATCATTAGCCAACAATGGACTAAGAGCTTCCCGGTTATAAATATGGGACAGAATGGAGGGTGTTTCCCAGAAAAAAAGTGCATTGTAAGGAACAAAATCAACAGCAACCTTGGAAAATGTTTGCAGGGCTAAGAAAATACAGTCGAATTTTCCTAGGCAGAAATTTCACAGTTAAATCACGAATATGTGGCAACAGGGTTTTACTATAAGCCAAATATCTATGAGATAAAACTGGAGATATTAAATGAAAGTGAAGAAATCACAAGATTAAGCAAGGTAGAAAAATGACGGACCTCGTTTAATCGTACAAACGGGCTAAACACCATTTGGTAAGGAGTGTGGGGATCAAACAAATGACTGCTCTTTAGAATTCACAAACAAAGGAAATATCACAGTTGGGCTTTAAGAGCCAGATAAGAATTTACAGAGAAAGTATTTTCATAGGAACCACTATGTAATCATGGTTACAACACAATTTAGTTCCACATTCTGGCAGAAAATAAAAAATATCCATTATTCAGTTACCCAGTTTTAAAAAGGGAACTGTAATTAACTCACAAGCAGTGAATTGGAAACAACAACAACAAAAGCATTACAAGGAATCATATAAAGAAAAATTAATTGAGAAAACCAGGTTATTGTTTAAACATTACTAGAAACCAAAAGAAAGTACTTGCCAGAGATTTAAAAAAAAAAAAAAAATCTGATCCTTAAAAAAAAAAAAGAAAAAGAAAAAAATCTATATGACCACTAATAGTTAAAAACAAACAAAAAACAAAAACCACTTCTATTTTAGGAAGAATACTTTTTTTTTAAATTTGAGACAGTCTCGCTCTGTTGCCTAGGCTGGAGTGCAGTGGCGTGATCTCAGCTCACTGCAGCCTCCGCTTCTCAGGCTCAAGCAATTCTCCTGCCTCAGCCTGCCAAGTAGCTGGGATTACAGGACTGTGCCACCATGCCTAGCTAATTTTTGTGTTTTTAGTAGAGACGGGTTTTCACCATGTTGCCAGGTTGGTCCTGAACTTCTGACCTCAAGTGATCCACCCACCTCGGGCTCCCAAATTGCTGGGATTACAGGCATGAGTCACCGTGCCTGGCCTCTTTTTTTTTTTTTTTTTTTAATGTAAAGGTTGGCCAAGTGAGACTCACAGGAACAGGGGACACACAGATTGTAAGGGACAGGTATAAACCAGAAACTGCTGGGAGCTTTCAATGCTGGAGTAAGAGAAAGAGGAAGTTCAGCTGGAAGTCTGTGGGACCTCCTTTAATCATGGTACAAAAGATTTAATAGATGGAAATTAAAAAAAGAGAGAGCAAGAAAGAGACTAAATGAAGATTTTAGGGAAGTTTTGTCTCCCAAATTCCATTTGAAAATACTGATTGGGTGGGGTGGGGGGAGGGGGGAGGGATAGCATTGGGAGATATACCTAATGCTAGATGACGTGTTAGTGGGTGCAGCG
This sequence comes from Homo sapiens, assembly GCF_000001405.40. Classification (NCBI taxonomy): domain Eukaryota; kingdom Metazoa; phylum Chordata; class Mammalia; order Primates; family Hominidae; genus Homo; species Homo sapiens. The sequence continues at coordinate 22,300,428 of NC_000018.10, read as the reverse complement.
CACCAGCATGGCACATGTATACATATGTAACTAACCTGCACAATGTGCACATGTACCCTAAAACTTAAAGTATAATTAAAAAAAAAAAAAAGAAAGAAAATACTGATTGGAAACACTAGAACAAGCAGCAATAAACGCCCAGAATGTTCTAGATGTGGCTGATAGAACAATGTCATCAGAGCCAGAGAGCTACTCAGGAGCTCTGAAGAAAGTATTTCCCAAAATGTATAAGAAGCCATAGTCAACACGTGACTTCTGATCGCCAAGTAAGCATCTCTTCTGCATGAATATCTTCAAAAAATGTACAAACTAAACAGAAGCTTCACTTATATAACAGGTAAACTAGTAGAAGAGAAAATCAAGCAGAAATCCTCCATATTTTTCAAATGTGGCAAAATAGGGGAAATCAGGCTAAAGGAATCTAGTATTTTAGGAGAGAAATAAACATGAAGACTAGGAGAATTTGTGGACTAAATTTATTTAGAGGTTTAAGGTACTAAATATGAAAAGAAATAATTTACATGGAAAGAAATAATTTAATTTTACCTGAAATATAACTTGGCCTATTTTAAAAAACAAAACAAAACTCAGATCTGACCGAGGCCTTACAGAGCAAAGTAGTTTATCTTGATAATTTCTTGAGGGTATGCAGAAAAGATGCAGCACTGCACATTGCATAACACAGTGCTAAAAGTCTTTCAATATCTCTCTTCTCAAAGAGCGTGAGTGTGCGTGTGTGTGCACGCCCCCACTTCACCCTCCTCACCCACATAGACCCAAAAGTTAGTTTGATGGCATTCAGCAGGAGAAAACCCCTCATTTGGCCCAAATATTAACCATCTACAGTTCTTTAAATATGCTCTTGGCAATATTCAATTCACTCTGCCATGTAAGACAGAAAACGTTTCAGAAGAAAATCAAAACATCGTTCTATCTTTGCACACGTGGAAAAAAGTGATGATGATAACAAAAGCTAACACTTTCATAGCATTTACTAATGCTTTATGTATATCAGCTCCTTTAATATGGCTTATGATCATTATCATCATCATCGTTATTCCCTTTATACACATGAGGAAACTGAGGTCACACAGCTTAAGTAGCAGGGCAGGTTTCTGACCCTGTTCTTTCTTCTGGCTCCAGAATAAGCGTTTTGTTACCACCACTATATGGACTCTTTTCTCTCCCCAGTGGCTTTCTCTCCCTGGGTCTTCTCTGTGGATGGCACCTTTGCATGGCTCCTACCTACTTCTCCCTCCCCTTTACCACTCAGTACCTGGGCCCACGTGGATTCCTCCAGCAGCCACTCCCTGCCTGTGATTTTGCAGAAACATGTATCCACTCTCACGCACACTCACGCTCACACATGCACACGTGCAAACTCACTCTCACACTCACACAAACTCACACACATACCATCATTTCTCCATACAGCCAGAGTGTGGGGTGTCCAGCACTTCAAGCACTTAAAGTCAGCACTTTTGCTTCCTGCCTAGTAAGAGTAAACAAACAAGAAAATAAATAAACAAGAACACAAGTATCCACTTTTTAAATGATTTAAAACACAGATGTTGAGTGCAGTGGGGTGTCAGGAGACTAGATCTCACCGTTTCTGAACACTTGAGGGTAAAATTAGGAACAAAATGTATTTGAAATCTTCCAGAAATTTGCTTCCTGTGGCTCTAAAAGTGGAAGCAAGAATATGTCTTCTGGGCACACTTTTCTTTGTTCTGGAAGGGAGCAAGTTGACGATCTCAGGGTAGAGGCCACTCTGGGTCCATGTGGCAATAGATGCCAGAGCCTGTCCCAAGCACGCCCTCCCAAGAATATTAGCACCAAAACTGGCCATGCAGGGAGCAAATTGTAAATGTAGTAGTGTTGGGAGCAGGCTAGTTTGGGGAGTGAGTTGGTGTGGGTGTTGCAGACTGGAGGGAACGCTGTTCCAGGAAGGGGAAGAGCAGGCCAGTGGGAATCAAACTCTTTTACCCTTTAAAGAACAATTGTGTGCCTGCAGCAGTGACCCAAAAGAGAGATCCAGGCACAGCTCATTCACTGGAACAAAACCAGCAACAGTGAACTGTTCTTGGAACTCAGCAATAGGGCTCCTCCAGCCTCAACAGGGCACCTGAGTTCTGGGCCCAGCATGAGAAGATGGGCACCAATAAGGCCCCGCCATAGTTCCTGTCCATATAAGGGGAGGGAGGGGCTAAGAGAGGAAGACAGGATTTCCTACTTCTCCATGCATGTGAGGAGTAGAGAAGGTATTAATTTCAAAAAATATGTGAAATGTGACTTTATTTGTTCCTCTATGTGTGTGAAACGGGTCATATCAATGACATTGGCTATTATTATCATTTCTTCCTTCTCCCACTCTCCATTCCATCTCTAGAACCATGGCCTGGACCTACTACCTTCTCCAGACTTCCTGAGACCAACATTACAGATCACCGTTTGACCCTATTCTGCCATGACATCGTTTCTTCATCAAAGGACACCTGTGCTTTTGTGATATGTTTATGTTCTAGTCTGGTTCTCAAATTTTCAGGACCACAAGATGCATTTTATCTGTTTACTCTGTATGATCCAATGGTTGTAAATTGATTTGCACTAATTAAACCCACAAAAGGCTGATTCATAAACTGAGAGAACAATGTGTTAAATTACAGAGAAAGATTAAACTGGGGTGAGAAGCAAGGACATGCATTTGAAAGGCCACTGTATTTGGGGTGAGTCCACCATAGAAGCCAAACAGCAAAGCAAAGCATGGCCTTGTCAACACAGAATCAATGCAAAGCTGTTTGTATGTTGTCATGTGATATTTCTAGAAAGTTCTGGTAGACTGAGAATTTGCCTTTCATGATGGTTATGCTTGAAAAACCAAGTCCAGTATTTAGAATGAGATGGTCTTCTCCCTGGAGGGTGCCAGAGTGACATTGATAAATTGTTACAGTTCAACCCTCATTTTTCCCATTGTCAAAGAAAGATATTCTCATTCTGTTTGTACTTGTCATTGTGCTTAGATTATCAAACTTACAGGTAACTTTTGTCAATTATACTTTGATGGGTAATTTAGATTGTGGCAAATAAATCTAAGCATCGTAGTGCAGCACCTAGGGGCTGGAAAAACATTGGCAATCATCTAGTTCAGTGGTTTTCAAATTGCATCTCATGGACCCAATGGGCTGCTGGATTAGGCAGCTAGAGGTGTGAGGAGGAAGCTGAGTAAGTAGGCTGTGGTCGGCCATCATCCCCTTGTAAGGAGCTTGAATTATTCAAAATGCAGTAGTCACTGATACATTTTAGTATAGAGTGACACAATGAAGTTTACATTTTAAAGAATCAATTTGAGTGAAGTGATTGGAGAAGGCAAGCGTAGAAGACCACCAAGGAAGTTATATAGCATTTGTCCAGAGCAGACATGGTGGTGTTGGGGATCAGGGTAATAGCAATAGAGTTAGAGAGAAGTGGATGGATTTCAGATGTAATTTAAAGTTACAATCAGATAGGACTTGGCTAGTGAGGAAGCAGAAATTATCAAGAATTCACTCATGTACCCCAAATGGAAAATTTACTGGGTACTAACAATGGGCTAGGCACTGGGCTAGGTGTTCCGCTAGACAACCAAGTCCCTGCGCTTCCTGGAGTCCATATTCTAGTAGAAGGAGAGGGACAATAGATGAGCACACAGGGAAAAGCTAACGTGCTCTGAAAGAGCTTGGGAAATTAATTGTAGGACCCACACTGTTTTCCTTCTTTCAGAGATCTCTGTTCTGAACCACCCGCTGTTACAATCAACCAGTTATCCAATCCCCTCAAAATCATGCACATGTTTTGCCTATTTCTCAGTGTGGAAGATGGAAAAGACAACCTACTTCCTGTTATTTCATCATGGCCAGAAGTAGAAGAAACTTTCTCTTGCATAAATGTGGTACAAGGGACAAAGGAAAGGAAGAAGTCAAAACTCATTACGCTCTGACTTAATAGCACAGTAGACGGTTGTGAGACAGAACCAGATGGCTTTGGATTTATTTTTGTTTCTTCCTCTCTTCCTCCCTTCCCTCCTTTCCTCCCTCCCTCCCTTCCTTCCTTTCTTTTGTATGTGGGTTTTAAGTTTTGTTTTGTTTCAAAGATTCCTGAGAGCAGAGTGATGTGGAAAGGATGGAAATCGATGGAATGGCTCTGAACATGTTGAGTTTGAAATGTCTGTAGCACCTGTGGCACAAGAAAGTTCCAAGAGGAGGCCAGGGATATTCTTGAGTACTTGGGCATATGAAGATATAATTCACTGAGATGTAGAATCTGTAGAAGGAGCAGATTTCTGGAGAGAGATTTAGCGCTCAGATGTTGAGATGTTAATTTTGAAATATCTACGAGACATTGAAATATCAACATCAAGTAGGCAGTTCAATATTTACTTGTGGAGCTCAGAAAGAAGAGCTAGGCTGCTTATATAAATTTGAGACTCTTCAACATAGAGGTGGCATTTAAATCATGGTAAAGGATAAGGTTACTTTGGAAGAGAGAGAGATTAAGGGAAAGCAGAAGAGGAAAGGAAGGAAGAGCACAGAAGAGAGACGATAAGAGAGGGGAGGGGAGAGGAGGGGAGAGGAGAGGACAGGAGAGGAGAGGAGAGGAGAGGAGAGAACAGAGGAGGGGAGCGGAGGATCTAACAACTAGCCGTCAGAGTCTAGAGGAATAGCAGTGTTTAGAGGCTGCACATAGGTAGAGGGACCATCAAAGAAGAATAAAAAAGGACTGGCCACAGAAGAAAGTGGGGAAAGTATAGCGTATTTTCAAAAGAAAAAGTATTCCAGGAGGGAATACCGATTGGTTCAAATGCTGCTGAGAGGTCAAGTAAGCTAAGAATGTAAAAGTGTCCATTGGATTCAGTACTGGAAAGTATTTAGAATTTGAAAGTCACTAGTGAGTTTATTAAAAGCAGTTCCTTAGAAGAGGAAGTTCAACCACAGTAAGGTGAAGAATGAATGGGAGGTGATGCAGAGGCAGCATATGCAGAGAGTTCTTTCATGGGGAATGGAAAACTAGAGTATTCTGGAGAGACACGGTGCGTTAGGGGAGGTTGATGTTTATTTTTAAGATGCAAGACACAGAGAGTATTTGGATGATAAAGCCAAGAGGTTAAGAATGCAGAGAGAGAGAGACTAAGAGGCAGAGCAAGGCTCTTGAAAAGGTTCCTGAAAGGTCTGGGATCCAGAACATACTTTCTAATGGCCATTGCCACACTCTCCTGTTAGCTCTAGCAGATCTCCCTTAATGGATTACGACTTTTCTCAAAGCAGGGATCCACCCCCCACCCTCAGTTCTTTTCTGAGCCCACGTATGGCATAACAAAAACAAGTGTTTGAAATATTAATACTTCTTCAATAAATTAATATGTACACAATGCAAATGAATGAATAAATGAATGAATAAAATTTATCTGATAAAATCTGCCCTGTAAAGAGAAGTAAAGATATCTATGTATTTAATTACTTCTAGACCAGAAAATATTTTCTATGGCGTTTGGTGACTGTCCCCAGAATAGAAAATAAGCACAATAAGAGCAAAATTATTATTATTAATATTTTAGAGACAAAGAATGTGCTTTTTTTCCCCAAACTAATCACAACTGATGAATAGCTACTTCCTGTGTAGATCCAAAGGCTTCTTTCATATTCTAGGGCAAAGAGTAATTGCTATATTGTACATCTAAAATCCATTCTCATTTATCAAAAAAAAAAAAAACCTTAGTTTGGAAAGTGCTACATAAATTATTACCGTTATTTCCATAATGTCTCTATATGTTGACATAGTATTATTATGTCATTAATTCTCAATCATTAGGCAAGTAATAGAATCAAATCCGGGGTCATTCAATGAATAATAAGTGGAGTGGAAGACAGCAGGTTTGTCAGCCTAATTTGGGCTCATTTGGACTAATAGTCCACATCAGAACACTGATGACAGAGGTTCAGCTCCAAAGTATTTTGTGTGTCAAGGGGTCAGCTCAGGAATTTTTAATTCCTGAGATTTATTTACAAAGTGCATTAAGAACTGGCTGGAAAGATAGTCCCCTATACAGGAAGAAGGTTACATAGTTCAGGGACATGGCAAAAGGCAAAATTAGAGCATAGCATATACATCTAGAACTGAGAAATTACCCAGTCCTTCCCCTTCATGTTACAGATGAATATAAAACCCAGAGCAATTACATGACTTGCGCAAGGTCACATAACGAGTTTAATGAGACATCCCCACAGGTAGTGGTATCTGGTGATATCCTAGTTCAGTGCTCTACACCATTTTACTTCCCCAGTGAGTTTTTGTTTCTGATGTCTTCTACAGCAAAAAGAATTGTCTTCAAATTCTAAAGTATATTTTAAAATATAAAGAATAAACTGAAACCCAACATAGATAAGGCATTAAGGGAAATCGGGATTTTTGAAGCTCATTTTACTCCAGACACTTCACAGCTGTTAACTCATTTAATCCTTTCAATTCCCTTTCAGGTTTTATTCTCATTTACAGATAAGGAAACAGAGGCTACAGAGACTAAGTAATTTGCTGCAGGTCACACAATTAACAAGTGATGCATCAAGACATGAATTCAAGTCTATAATTCTAGGTACACTTCTCTTTCTACTATATCACACTTCAAATGAGATCACATCTCCCAGCCCATACAGATCATAGCCCAAAGTACTGAAAGACTCTGAGATGTAATTATGCAACCACTGTTGGCAATCTTTGGGGGAGGGGGGAACGTGAAGAACAAAGAGGTGCCAGGAGACTAGAAAACATTTTTTGATTGTGAAATTCAAGAAAGCCTAGATTCTGGGAACTGCAGCCTGGTCAAAGCAAATTCTTGATGTCAACTGTTGGCAAAATTCAAGGATAAATGACTAAATAGATGGTTTGTGAACCACTTAGAAAAGAATGTTATGATCACATGGAACCAACCTGGGTTCACTAAGGCCATGTCATGCCAAACCATCAAACATATTCACTAGAAAATAAAGCTGTCAGTCGGAATGTCATTGTGGTCGATTTGAAAATATGTGATTTAGATAATAGGACAGTTGATATGTTTACAACTGCTTGAAGTTACCAGTAACCTGTCATATTGCCCTGTCTGATATTATTCCATTAAAAAGTTTAAGATGTCTTTTTAAGCATTAAAAATTGTCAAATTTGTAGATAACTCAAAGTTTAAAGAGATGCATTAAGTAATAAAAACCAATAATTATTTTGACAGACTAAAATGATGGCCAAGCCCCCAGTTGTAGATTTAACAGGGAAAAATATAGTTATACATTTAAGTAAAAATAAATAGATGGTACATATCAGATAAATAGACATGTAGGTAGGTAGATTGATTGATAAACTCTTTGATGATAAGATAGAATCACACAAGTTTCAAATGGAGAAAATGTGACTTGACCAAAATTTATAGGAGAAAAGACTGAAGGTTAATTGACCACAAGTTTAGTATAAACCCACAACTGTGCTAGAGGACACAAATGCCCCATAACATAATATGTTAAGAGCTTGAGCTTTAGCACCTGCAAAGCCAGGCCCACCACTTAATAGCTGTGTGATCTTGAGCAATTTGCTTAACTTTTAAACCTCAATATTCTACCCTATAAAATGAATACAGTTAGCCCTCTACATTTATGGGTTCCACATCCATGAATTCAACCAACTGTGGATAAAAATATTTGAAAGAAAATTGCATCTTGTACTGAGCATGTATAGACTTTTTTGTTATTGTTCCCTAAATAAGACAGTGTAAGAATTATTTACATTGTACTAGGTATTATAAGTAATGTAAAAATGATTTAAAGTATACAGGAGGATATGCATGGGTGATATGCAAATATTACATCATTTTATATCAAGGACTTATATCTGTAGATTTTGGTATCTACAGGAGGTTCTGGAACCAATTCCCCATGGATACCATGGGAAGACTGTGTCTACATTGTCACTGGGAATTACTATAATGGAATTTGGATTACAATTCAAGGTTTCTGATTCTTCATCTGGTGCATTTTACATGGAGGACTACCTTCAAATGTTTGAAAAAGATGTATTAGTTTTAGTCTATGGCCATACCACCCTGAACGTGCCCGATCTCATCTGAAAAAGACATTTTAGGAAAAAGGATTAGAATTATTCCACGAGACCCTAGAGGTCCCAACAACATCAGATCAATAAGGGGACATTATCAAGAAGCCAATTTAGCGATCTGGAAAATAGGTTGGTATAAACACAGAAATTTGAAAAATGAATAGAATTTTTTTAAAAATAGCATAAGAGATATATAAGACATGGGGAAAGATCTAAGACGTATTTAATTAGAATCCCTGAAGGACCAAAGTTTCATGTAACTAGAGACTCAAAAGGGGAGATGACACAAGTGAAGCAGAAGCAATATGTAAAAAGATGACATCTTAGTTCAGGGGTGTTCAATCTTTTCGCTTCCCTGGGCCACACTGGAAGAAGAATTATCTTGGGTCACACATAAAACACACTCACACTAACAATAGCTGATGAGCTAAAAAATATATATATACAAAAAAAAACCTCATAATATTTAAAGAAAGTTTATGAATTTGTGGGGTTGGGCCTCATTCAAGGCTGTCCTGGGCAAAATGCAGCCCATGGGCTATGGGTTGGACAAGCTTGTCCTAGATATTTCAAAAGCTCACAAAGCAATCAAAGAAAACTTCAAAATGTTCTAGAATTTAAGTAGAATAAATGCAAAGGAAACCACATCTGGTTATATCAACATAAAACTACTAAGAGCAAAGACAAAATCTTAAAAGCAGCCAGAGAAAACAGACAGGTTTCTTTCAGAGGAGCCACAATAAGCAAAAGACCAAGAGCTTACTTCTCAGTAGAAACAGTGGAAGCCTGAAAAACAAACAAGCAAACGAACAACAAAAAAAAACAACAGCAAAACACAACAAAAAAATGGCATAAAGTTCTGAAAGAAAACAAATGCTAACCTAAAATTCTATACCTAGTGAAAATATCTTTTAAAAATGAAGAAAAACTAAAGATATTTTCAGGCAAGTAAAAACAGATAATTTACTCCCAGCAGGCTCCTATTAAAGGAAATATTAATGAAAATTCTTATATTTGGACAATAATATCAGATAAAAATAGAAATTCAGAAATGGAAAAGGTAAATGTATTACTGTGATGAATTAACTGTATTAAGCAATAACAAAAAAGTTTTATAGTGTTGGAAATGTATATAGGTTAAAATGCACACTGACAATAACAAAAATAGTGAAGAGGAGGAGTTAAATTCTGTTGTCTAAGAGGCATTGTGGAAATGATAAGAGTATATATTATATTAAATACAAATAAGTAGGTATTATAGAAATGGTAAGAGTGCAAGGAATGGTATTGTAATCTCTAAAGTAACAAAAGAATGGCAAAAGGATATATTGCAAACAAACGAGTAAAAGGAAAAATTGAATAATAAAAAGTACATAAAAGAAAATAAAACAAAAGAGAAAAGGAATCATATAAGGTTAAACATAAAGAAATATTAAGAAGATAGATGTAAACCCAATTATTTCAGCAATTACCTTAATATAAACAGAATAAAAGCTTCAATTGAAAGACAAATATCATCAGTCTGTATGATGAACATAACCACAAATCCAAACCAACTATGCAGCTTACAAGATACGTGCCCTAATTTAAGACATGGAGAGATTGAAAGTAAAAGATGGAAAATAATAAACCAAGTAAATGCTAACAAAAACTTTTATAGCTATATTTACATCAAGCAAAGTGAACTTTAAGGCAAGAAACCATACTAAAGATAAAAGGAACATTCATAAAGATAAAAATTTAAGTCTACTGGGAAAATGTAGAAGAAGTACACCCCTAATAACATAGCTTCAAATATTGAAGAACTGAAGGAAGAAATATACAATTATAGGGAGAGATTTTAATAAACCTCCTTTAGCATATGAGAGAAACGAATGGCCAAAAAAAATTAGTAAGGATACAGGAAGTATGAATAACAAATTGAACTTATTTATAAGCAAAGTTGACATTGACAGAATGATCCATCCAACAATGAATAAGCATTCATCCCAAGGGCATATTGAACATTTACAAAATTGACCTTATGCTGTTCAGAAATAAATTATTGAGAAATTTCAAATTATTAAAATCATTCAGAGTATATTTGCTGACCACAGTGAAATGCCTCACAAATGCATTAATGCCAGTATAGAAGGGTTTGTAGGAGTGAGTTTGCTCCCTCCTCCCTTTCCACCTTCCACCCTGTGAGGGCACAGTAAGAAGGACCACACCAAATTCTAGTGCCATGATCTTGGACTTCCCAACCTCCAGAACTGTGAGAGAATAAATTTTTGTTCTTTATAAATCACCGGGTCTCTGGTGTTCTGTTATAGCAGCTGAAAACAGACTAAGACACTTGTACACCCATGTTCATTGCACCATTATTCACAATTGCTAAAAGGTGGAAACAACCCAAATGTTCACAACAGATGAATGGATAAACAAAATGTGGTATATATGTACAATGAAATATTATTCAGCCTTAAAAAAGATGAAGTTCTAATAATGCTACAACATGGATGCACCTTGATGACATTATGCTTAGTGAAATAAACCAGAAAAAAACCCCAAATATTGTATGTCTTCATTTATATGAGATACCTTGTGTAGTCAAATTCTGAGAGAAAGAAATCGCACTACAGGTTACCAGTGGGTAGGGGGAGGGAGGAATAGGCGTTTATTGTTTAATAAGCACAGAATATCTTTTGAAATGATGAAAATGGGCTGGGCACAATGGCTCACGCCTGTAATCCTAACACTTTGGGAGGCTGAGACGGGTGGATCACCTGAGGTCAGGAGTTCAAGACCAGTCTGGCCAACATGGCAAAACCCTGTCTCTACTAAAAATACAAAAATTAGCTGGGTGTGGTGGTGTGCACCTGTAATCCCAGCTACTTGGGAAGCTGAGGCAGAAGAATCACTAGAACCCAGGAGGCAGAGGTTGTAGTGAGCCGAGATCGTGCCACTGCACTCCAGCCTGGGCTACAAAGCGAGACTCCATCTCAAAAAAAAAAAGAAATGATAAAAATGTTCTGGAAATGGATCATGGTGATGGTTGCACAACAATGAGAATGTACTTTATGCCACTAATTTGTACACCTAAAAATGATTACGATGGTAAATTTTTTGTATTAGGTATATTATACCACAACTGAAAAGTTATGCAAAAAATCAATCAAGGTAATTCATATTACAATGAATTATATTCACATGTAATAACAAATTTTTCCTCCAAAAGTTGGGAATAAAATAAGAATGCCCACTATCACTACTTCTAACATTGTTCTGGAATGCCTATAAATTAAAAAATAAATAAATAAAAGTTTTAGTTAATGGAAAAAAGAAATAAAACTATCATTATTTGTAAATCATATGATTGTGTATATGGGTAATCTGAAACACTCCACAATTAGAATTATTAAGTGAAAAGCAAGATCCCTACTTACAAGATCAATAAACTCCTCTATACCATGACAAACAATTAGAAAATGAAAGTTTTCAGATGATAATGATTATAATCTCATTCAAAAAACTGAATACCTAAAATAATTCTAACAACATATGAACAAGACATCTACACAGAAAACTATTAATATAAAACATTATTGGGAGAAGTTAATAAAGACCTAAAATAAACAAAGGGATATACCATGTCCATGGACTCAAAAAAATTAAGATGCCAATTCGTCCCAAATCAATCTATAGATTCAAGGTACTCCCAGTAAAAACTCTCAGCAGGATTATGTGTTCGTTTGTGTGTAAATTGGCAAAATAATTCTAAAATTTTTATGGAAATACAAATGGCCAAGGGCGGTGAAGGCAATCTTGAAAATAAAGAAAAAAGTTGAAAGACTTATACTTCTAGATGTCAAGAAACATGAAACTATAATAATTAAGACAATGCAATTTTGGCACAAAGATAAGCAGAGCAATAGAATAGAACAGAATACAGAATCGAAAACCTGACTCACCTGACAAAGGTGGCACTATAGCCCACTAGGAAAAGAGCAGCAGTTTTCAATAAATGGTGTGCCGTCAATTGGAGACTCACAAGAGAAAAATTAATTTTGACCTTACACCAGACACAAAAATCTACTCCTGATGGTATAGATCTTCATGTACCCTAAAATAATAAAGCTTCTAGAAGAAAAGCACAGGAGAATGACCTTGTAGGGAGAAACAGATTTAAATGGGACACAAAGGTAGAAGTGTATATTCTGGAGTCAAACTGCCAAAGTATGAAATCTAACTCCAAAGTTGGGCAAGTTATTTCACCTTTTCGTGCTTCAGTTCCTTCATCTGTAAAATGAAGATAATAAGCAAAGGACTATTCAAGCATCAAATACAATGAAACATGTAAAGTGCCTAGAACAGTGCCTGACACATGGCAGGCACTTATTACTATTATTATCCTTTCTAAAAATATTGAGACGGCCTCCTTTAAGGGAGAGATACTTGTTTTCTTTTTTCTTTTTTTTTTTTTTTTGGGGGGACACAGTTTCACTCTTTTTGCCCGGGCTGGAGTGCAATGGCACGATCTTGGCTCACTGCAACCACCACCTCCCGGGTTCAAGTGATTCTCCTGCCTCAGCCTCTCAAGCAGCTGTGATTACAGGCGCCTGCCATCATGCCCGGCTTTTTTTGTATTTTTTTAGTAGAGATGGGGTTTCACCACGTCGGCCAGGGTGATCTCGATCTCTCTACCTTGTGATCCGCCCACCTCGGCCTCCCAAAGTGCTGGGATTACAGGCATGAGCCACCGCGCCCGGCCAATACTTGTTTTCATTTTGTGTAGAAACCTTATGTTCTGCACTTTAACATACAATTTTTCTTTTCTTCTTTTTTTATCAGCTGACTTTAAGATTCATGATTTTTTCCCCCTCCCTATTGGAGGCTTTGCAGATGTTCATATCAGAGACACTGCCTCACAATTCACAAGCATTTGTTACACACCTGCCTGCCGTGTGCTGGACTCAGGTTCAGGGGCAGGGAGAGGAAGGTGGAGAAGATGCTTATACGGGGAACAGCTGACAGATTTTTTTCCCATCATCAAAAGCTTCCCATATAGTTGAACAGTACAATATAGGTTTGAGAAACTACTAGAAAATGTGACAGCCAATAAGAAATTGCTACACTGAGGCCCTGTGCAATGGCTCACACCTGTAATCACAACACTTTGGGAAGCCAAGGTGGGAGGATCACTTGAAGCCAGGAGTTTGAGACTAGCCTGATCCCGTCTCTAGAAAAATAAGAAAGAAAGAAAGTGCTACAGTTCACCAAGGAGATCATTAGAAAACATGACGGCATATTATAGGTGCTATTTGCACATATAGATGTACATACAGATATAAGTGTTTAAGAAGCTGGAAGAGGAAGAAATTGAAAGCATAGAAGAAACTGATGAGATTGAGTCATGAGAAGTCATGAGTACTTGCCCTGGAATACAACCTCTAAGAGGTGGCAACCCCTAATGCTGGCATGGTTTACTCTATTTGCTTAAGAAACACCCAGAACTGGAATTGCCTGGGCGGGATTACAGGTTTGGACGGCAGAGCCTTGGCAGAGAGAGGAAAGAGAGGAAGTCAGCCGGGGGACACCCACCCACGGCCCTCTCCCGGCTGACATCAGCACTCTCCCTGGGCACCTCATCAAATGATAACTCTAAGAAGTCCTTTGTATGCTAGGATGGTACTACTGATCCATTTTCAGCAAAGGAAACTGTATGCACCTTCTCCTTCCCACTTTCAATTTCTTATTTAACTAGATTTGGAGCAGAAACCAAACACCGTTTCTCACTACTATCAAAACCCTCCAAAATAAGATGACTAAATCTCAAAGAGATTAAACTCCAAAAACAAGTAAGCATTTTAGGCTGTTTAACCCACGCAAGTAAGCATGAGGATTTGAAGTCCACAGATTCACTAATCTTGTGGACATATCCCCAGATTTGTGCTTAATTTCTCCCACTCTCACTTACTTGATATTCCAAGATCTGTCTGACTTAAGTGGGTGAATTATCAGTTTGTGGACTATCCAATTCCCTATTTCTCCTTCTTTCTTCTACTGGCTTTATTTTTTACTTTTTGCTATTTACCACTTATTCTGGAATCTCCATCTGAGGATAGTGGAAAAAAGAGATTGAAATACAATTAATGAAATGTCAGGGAAGAGGTAGAAACTGGTATCTGAAAGCAGTGGGGTTTTAAACATTGTATTAGCGTTATCATTATTATTTTTGTGTTTTTCCTTTATCCAGTCTCCCTCCTCAATCTTTTAAAATTCTCTTCCTTCCTGTCTTAAATTATAAAGGTAATTTGGGCTCAGATGTTGCTTGGTCCTGGCTGAGAATCTTTGACTGTACAACTTCCAGTTTAGACATGCTTTCTGAGGATTTAGTCATCACAAATAATGTATTTGATTACTGAATTCCAGATGTAATAAAATAGAAGCACATTTGTATCATATTCCTACATTATAAATTCTGTATCTAGCTAAAATTTTTTTTCAAAAGTAGCGTATCATCTTCCACTTTCAAATCCTGCTCTCTTCCTCTTTTATTCTAAAAAAATACCCCAAATTAGTGACACCCCCATCCACTCAGTTGCCTAATCAAGATACCCGGAAGTCATCCTGGACTTCCCCTTCCCCTCACTTCCCACTCCCAGCAGTCACAAGTCCTGCTGAGTTAACCTATAATTCTTTTCTCCTCCAATGAAAATATATATTCAATCAACAGTATCCCATGGCCTCCAGGCTGGAGGTCAAAGTCTCCATGATCAGCCTTTCTTTCTAGGCTATTTGCCCACCATTCCCAGATTTACACATTCCATTCTGGCAAAGTGAATTCCCCATGGTTGCCCAATGACCCTGCTGTTTCTCACTTCCATGCCTTTCTCATGCCAGGAGCCCTCCCCAACCCAGTCACTACTTTTGGCACATAAGTTCTTTCAGGTGCCCATTATCATTCCATTTTCTAGGCTGGCTTGTGACTGTCATTTATGTGTCTGTTTCCTCCCACTCTTCAGGGACTGTGTCTTGCCTCTGCATAACCAGCACCTGGCTTGGCACATAGCAGATGCTCAAGAAATATTCACCAAGTACATGGAATGAATAGTTGCATATGTAATATGTATATCTGAATAGTTCAGAAGTTAGAGATATAAAACACAACAGACAAAAGAGTAAAAACGAGAAACAAATTTGTTTTTAAAACTTTTGCATTGCTTTGGATCCAGAGCACAGAACCAGTCTTTTGTTCTTCCCACAAATCAGTGGCATAGAGCCAATACATCGGATTGCTTTTGCTTCCTGAATAATCAGAGTAAACATCTATTGCATTGCTTATTAAATGCAGGTGCTAAATGCTACAACAGGGATTGTCTCATCTAATCCACAAAATTACCCTATTAGGTAAGAACTATTGTTACATTTGAGGAAACTGAGGCTTAGTAGAATTAATATGTTATCGGTGGAGCTGGGATTTGGAATCTGATATCTGACTCAAAGTTCATGCTCTTAACCATCATAATTTCCATGGGAGTTAGGGTCAGAAGGTAGCCTATTGGTGAAAACATGTAGAGTTGAAATTAGTTTTGGAAATATCTTTTCATCAGGAATCTGTACCTTTTTGGCAGGAAGTTAGAACACATTAAAATTCATAGGCATATACTCATAGTCTGAGTCTTCCAGGCACAAGTCAAAAGCCATTTCAATCTTTTCTAAAATCTTATACATATTTAACTGGGTGTGGTGTCTCATGCCTGTAATCCCAGCACTTTGGGAGGCCGAGGCGGGCAGATCACCTGAGGTTGGGAGTTTGAGACCAGCCTGACTAACATGGTGGAACCCCGTCTCTACTAAAAATACAAAATTAGCCAGGCGTGGTGTCACATGCCTGTAATCCCAGCTACTTGGGAGGCTGAGGCAGGAGAATCTCTTGAACCTGGGAGGTGGAGGTTGCAGTGAGCTGAGATTGTGCCGTTGCACTCCAGCCTGGGCAACAAGAGCGAAACTCAGTCTCAAAAAAAAAAAAAAAAACTTATACATATCTGATGTATCTCCTTAACAATCTTTTTATTATTACTTTATTTATTGTTCTATAACAATAAATGTATTGGGGTACAGGTGGTATTTGGTTACATGAGTAAGTTCTTCAGTGGTGATTTGTGAGATCCTGGTGCACCTATCACCTGAGCAAATCAGTAAGAAAAAAACAAACGATCCTGTCAAAAAGTGGGTTAAGGACATGAATAGACAACTCTCAAAAGAAGATGTACAAATGGCCAACAAACATATGAAAAAATGCTCAACATCACTAATGATTAGGGAAATGCAAATCGAAACCACAATGTGATACCACCTTACTCCTGCAAGAATGGCCATAATCAAAAAATCAAAAAACAGTAGATGTTGGCATGGATGCGGCGATCAGGGGACACTTCTACACTGCTAGTGGGAAGGTAAACTTAGCAACCATTTTAGTACTTAATGCCACAGCTTCACGATTTTTTTTTCTCTCTCAGATCTTTATGACCCCTGTTAGACTGGGCAAACCCATAACTGTGAACCACGTTGGAAATGGACATCTCCTCTCTCAGGAAGCTCAGCATAGCCAGCTCTTACACTGGAATTGAAACTAATCACCGAGCATTACATGAAGATGATGACTCGCATGTAGGAGCCATGCTGTGTGGGGATCAAAACTGTTAGACTCACACTCAGCACAGTGAGATTACACTGAGAGCCTGTGAGAGAGCCCAATTGTGGGGCCAGCAGATTCCTATACCCCCATCCCATCTTCTTGTGGGAACTTGGACTGAGTCATAGGCCTAATTGCCAGGTCCACTTAAATGGCCCCCTCCTCACCCATGTGTGTGCCTATTTGAGTTCATGTAAGTAAATATACAGACAGAATGATACCATTGATCAGGACCCTCTCATTGCCCTGAAGTTCAGGACATCTGATATAGGCAATAATATTCATTTTCATTTTGACATCTCTCTTAGGGAAATGGCCTGACACATAGTCCTTCCTGACCTCTGACCTAAACCCCTTAATCTATGTCATAAAATGGTCTCTATCTGCCTGATTCTTCTCAGTGGTAGAGAACTGAAGCCTCAACCCCAGTGGCTCAAAAGAGGTACTTGCAATTCCTAAAACTTACATGTGCAGTCTGTATCTCTTTCTTTTGCAATAATAAGATTAAATCAGATGCTTGCAAGGTCCCTGAACCATCAATAGGAATATAGATAGACATAGATAGATACTTAGGTAGATAGACAAATAGACAGGCAGATAGACACAGAACTAAAAATCTGAACCAATAAATGCTTTTTAAATTCCTTTGAGAAAGTTTAAGAAAGCCCATTCTTTTCTCATGGGAAATTATGACTCAGGCCTTTTTTTTTTCTGTTTACACTAAGTACGTTATGGCTAAACTCTAATTAACTTTAGGTAAAAGAGGTCAAGAATGAAAGAGCTGAATTAACATAGAGGAATCATTAACTCTCACAGAGCACAAAGAGTACAATGGAATCTACTATATGGTTTTTTTTCTTTTGGTGGACATAGTAGCTTAGCAACACGTATTTACTTCCTGTTATAAGAAAGATGGGTCCTATCAAATGAAGAGTTCCTGCATGATGAATCATACATGAGGCCACAGTTTTTCTTTGTAATTGAATAGCGTTCTAGAAGATCGTCACAAGCTAGAAGATCGTCACAAGTCATTCTCTTACAGGAAAAGTATATGTCAATAACAAGATTGAGTATAGAAACGGAAAGTGCTCCAACAACAAGCTCAAAGACCCAAGCAGAACCATTCCAAAGCTACTCAAGGTGTGGCTGGTGCTGGTTCTCAGTGCCACTGCCACTGGTCCCAGCTCCAGGAGCCTGCCCTGCAGGGGAAGTAGCTGGCTCCCCAGAGACTCATGGCTTTGGGTCAGGCCACAATGCGCCAAGGTGCAATGGGGCTGCGCCTCCTCACTCCACACACTCCCCTGCTGGGCAAGCTGCATTCTTCAGGCTTCATTGTTTTGGGTTTTTTTAATTGTTTTGAGTTGTTTTTGTTGTTTTGAGACAGGGTCTCACTCTGTCTCCCAGGCATGAGTGCAGTGGTGTGATCTCGGCTCACTACAGCCTCAATTTCAGCCTCCCGAGTAGCTGGGACCACATGTGTGAACCACCATGCCCAGCTAATTTTTTGTATTTTTTTGTAGAGACAGTTTTGCCATATTGCTCAGGCTGGTCTCAAAGTCCTGAGCTCAGCAATCTACCTCCCAAAGTGCTGGGATTACAGGCATGAGCCATCATGTCCAGCTCGGCTTTGTTGTTTTAAACTCTTGTATGTGTTATGTCTGTATGTGTTAACTGTGGTTAAATACACATAATATAAAATTTACCATCTTAATCATTTTTAGATATAGAGTTCAGTGACGTTAATTCTATTTAATTGTTGTGCAGCCAATCTCCAGAACCCTTTTTGTCTTGCAAAACTAAAATTCTATACCCCTTAAACATTAATTCCGGAGCTGTTCCTCTCACCCCCTGACAACCATCCTCTACTTTCTATGTCTATGAATTTGACTTCTCTAGGTACCTCATATAAGGAGCATATGGTATTTGTATTCTTGTGACTGGCTTATTTCACTCAGCTTGAGGTTCTCAACTTTCATCCATGTTGTAGCATGTGTCGGAATTTCCTTCCTTTTTCTTGCTGAATAATATTCCATGTGTTATAATTGTTTCGTCTTATCCGTAGAATATTTGTGCAAGGTGAGGGAAGTAAGAGGCTGATTATGTAATTTTCCCACCTCTCCCAACCCCTGTGGGATGTACTTGATACCTGGGATATAACTTTGTTTCTATCGCTAACAAGGCCACAGAAACTCCAGAAGAAAAATCCCTTGTACGAAATGTTGTGAGGACCAGAGGTTAAGCCACAGATTCTAACCTGGGGTCCGTGGATCCTTAATGAGCCCATGGTAGGGCTCTGAGAAGTTTGTGGTCTGCCTGAAACTATATCCAAAACTGTGTGTTTTTGCTTTCTTCTGTGGAAAGAAAGAGTCCTTAGTTTTTATCATATTTTAAGAGAGTTTTTGACCCCCAAATGCTAAACATCATTGGTCTAAACAGTACTTCACTAAGGTTGAACTGAGATATGGGATGAATTGTCATTGTTCCCTTCCATCTCATTACACAGCTCCAGGATGTTGCAGTCCTTAGAAACACCTACCACATAGACGCTGACCCTGTACCTCCAACCCCTAGAGCACCCGCTCTCCAGAGGGTTGTTGAGAGGGTCATGGATGCAGCTGTGCTTGGTCTCATTATTCCTCACAGTCCCTAATAAATTATTTCTGCAATGCCGGAAAAAAATACGACAATCAAAATGTTTTTACCAGATTTAATTTCAAAATACTGCCATAATGAGAGGTAGAAAAGATACACCCAGGTAGAAAAGCATGGTCCCCCATCTTGAGAAACATGCAATCATGGGAGAGAGGCAGGGTTTGGACACCATCAGGAAGCACTACCAGTGAGCAACACAGACACAAGCCAGATGTGTGGCCTAGACCTGAATATTCTAAAGGAACTTTCTTAGGGTCACAGCCTGTTAAAATGACTCTGCCCTGCAGAGAAAATTCCTCTTCATGCTGAGGTCTAGGGAAAGTCTGGTTTCCAATACAAATTGGTATACTTTCACTTCTTTGACAAGGAAAACTATGTAAGTGACCGCATCTTCCTTTAAAACTTGGCCACCAGGAAGCTCAGCATCATATTTCTGGCTCAATAATGGCAACTATGGAAGTCCAAATGATCTCACATTTTTGTTTTATTGTCCAGCCTTCTCCCCTTCTCCCTGCTTGACCTTTAGTTTATGTTTTCTGTGGTCTGGATTGTATTTTTGAATTTACAGTTACCCCTTCGTTGTGTATTTCAGCTGCACGCTGTCACAACTCCTTGTAGCATATTTGTGGTCTGTGATAGAGACGATTAATGGGAGCTGGGGGAGTATGAGGATGTCTACCACGCCAGGAATTTTCTGATCCATCCAGATATACTCTAGATCCTTCCCCATCCTCCTCTGACTCTCCCCACTGGGAAGGGGGCTAGCAGTGACTGTGAGCTTTTACCAAAACCCTACCCGTAGCTCCTACATGCAGCCTCTTCATGTGCAGCTGCAGCTTTTCCTGGATGTTAATAACCGTGCCCTCCCCTGTCCCCTTCAGGGCCAGAGTGGCAGTAGCAACACCCTCCTATCCTTGCTGGCCCCGAGGTGTGTCCCCAGCCCCTCCTGTCTTATTTTAACAGTGTCCACACATGTGTAAGGACTGGCTGTTCTGTCCCAATGTTTCATTTGAGTCTGAGTCAGGGCCATGGCTGACAAGTCTATCAGAATGAGATGTAGTTTTGCCATTTCTCCCCACACAGTATGCTCCAGTCATGCTGCTGTGTGTGTATTTCTTTGAAAGCACCAGTTCCCTCTCGCCTCTGAACCTTTATATGAGCTCCTTCTTCCTCCTAAAACTCCCCTTCCTCCGCTCTCCCTCCTCCCTGCCCTTGTACGCACAGGTTACTCAGTAGATGCAGCCACCCAGACCAGTCCCACTGAATTCTAATTCTTCATTTCTCAGTCTCTCTCCTCTAGTAAACTCCAAGTTCTTCAGAGCAGGGTTGTATCAGATTATTTGTTGTGTTCCCACCACCTGGTATTCAATTTTAAAAACTACTGAATAGATGAAAGAATACAGGAGTGGGTAACAAGCCCATGGCCTTTCCATTGAGCAGTGCTGTGTCCTGAGCCAGCACCAGCCACCATGTTCCTGCCCCAGAACTGCCTCGTCTTTTCCCCCATAGCCTGCTGGACTGGCCACAGTCTAGCATGGGCATGGTGCCAGTGCACATGGGTAGGAGCACAGGTGGGGGTGACCCAAGGGTGTATATTTTAGAGAGACTGAAGGGAGGTGGAAGATGAGGAGGGGAGCAGAGGGCTCTGCACGCACCCTCCCCAGACTGGAGCTTGGCTTCAAGATAACTAGAGCTCATTCAGGCTCAAAGAGCAAGATGACACCCCAAAAGTGAGGCAAGAGATGGTGGGTTTGGAGATTAACATGCACTAAATGGGAGGGAGGTGGTTCCAGGACAGGGCATCTGCTGAGGTTGGTGGCCACTGAGCACTGGGAGACAAGGAGCAAAATGACCATGGCTGTGTCCCACAAAATCAACAGTTCTCGCTCCCCTTGCCATCTCCCCAAAGCCTTCCCCTATGCCCTGTGTAACCATAACAACCTTAACCACCCTGAGATATGAGGTTACAGTAACAATCTGCTTTTGAGTAAACTCAGTGTACTTTAGTGACTAAGAATGTGGTCTCTGCTATCCTAAAGACCTCCATTCACATCTCTGTGTGGCCTTGGCCAGGTGACCCAAACTCTTCCAGATCCAGTGCCCTCATCTTCAAAGTGGGGACAATGACCTAAGGTTGTTTGGAATATTGATTGTTTATACATGTAGAATATGCAGCCCACTTCCTGGCACAGATCACAAATTCTACTATTTTTATTAAGTTTAATTTCTAAGATAACCGCCCCACAAGGGGAAATCAGCTCTGATACCCAGTAAACACAATTACAGAAGTTCAACTGAGTCTGTCCATCATCTTCCATATAAGAAGGGAAAAAATTCTGACAAGAGCTTATAATGCTAAATCCTAAACACCATATGTACTGTTTTACTTTTTTAATAACAAAAGATTCCAGGTAGAATTCTTACCACCACTGGGCCTGGGCTCAGCTATTTTCACACATTATCTTAACTCCTTACAACAACCCTTTAAGTTCAGTATAATTTCTCCCGCTATGAAGATGAGGCGACTGACACCTAGAAGGTTAGGACTTGTTGAGGATAACACAACAAGAAATGCTGGAATGGGGTAGAGGGGTTGGCTCTAAAGTCTAAGCCTGTCCTGCAGGGTCACTGTGTCCTCTCAAAGTGACATTTTCAGTGTTTCCAGCATGATTTAGATGCAGTTCTTTCAAGCACATGAAACTCAATGGCCATGTCTATTAGAAAACCCCTCTATATCTATGAAAAAGTTTGCTGCTTAGTGTAACTGATGAATTTCTAACTGCTAAACAATGGCATCCACCTGCATGTACAGGCTGGTATTCTAAATGCTCCCTTTAAAGTTAAACATCTGCCCTCATAGCCTACCTTTCCTGCACAAGCTGGTGACCCTCAGCATTCAGAGAAGGTCTGCGCCCTCACTGATGTTGCAGCATTGGGCAGTCGGCTTGCCAGGGAAGTCGGGACGCGCGCCCACTCCCTGAAACATCTCTAAAATTCTTGTCTCGATGCGTAATGTTTGGATGGTTTCTGAGCACCGTCACTCGGTCTGCGTTACATCCTCCACACGTCCACAGACACTTTGAGAGTGGTGGAGCTGTGTGAAAAAAATAAGGCCCAGAAACAATTGAGCAGTAATAGTTTCAGTCCTACACAAGTGCTATTTTGGTATCTTGGCCTTGTACCTGACAAATGAAGGAGAATTCTGAGTGGAAACATAGACATCCATTAGTACGAGAAATCGGAGGTGGGGGGCGGCCAATGGGTCTCATGGATCCCAGCTCCTCATGCACTTGACCTTGTTCCCCGACAAGACAGGGTGCCAAGGATCTTTCCACATCCAGACCCAACTGCCTCTTTCATTTAGCTCATCCTTAAAATTACCCACAAGAAAACAAAAGCCAAATTGTGACAGCATGCATTTTAAGGCCTACAAAATACACCCAAGTATTGTGATGTATATACGCTTTTTTTTTTAAGACAGTCTTATTCTGTCGCCATCTCAGCTCACTGCAACCTCCACCTCCCAGATCCAAGCGATTCTCATGTCTCAGCCTCTTGAGTAGCTGGGATTTCAGGTGTGCACCATCACACCCGGCTAATTTTTGTATTTTTAGTAGAGACGGGGTTTTGCCATGTTGGCCAGGCTGGTCTTGAACTCCTAGCCTCAAGTGATCCACCTGCCTCGGCTTCCCAAAGTGCTGGGATTATAGGCATGAGCCACGATGCCTGGCCTGTATGTACACTTCACAGCAAACCAGAGAGCGTGTCAGGGCAGATATTATTATGCCCATTTTAGAGACCAGAACACTGAGGCACAGAAGTTAAGTCAATTAATTAGCCAAGGTCATGGAACTGGTAAAATCAAATCTTAATTTCAGGATCCAGTTGGTCTGATTCCAAGTCCGGTGTTCTTTTAGCTCACTGTTAAAATATAATGTATATTATATATACATTTATATATACATACATATATACATTATATTTTAACAGTGAGATTAAAAAACACTGTTATATTTTTTATCAGAGCCACCAGGACTCAAAGTAAAAATGCACAAATAAAATTTGAGAAAAAGCTGGACGCTAGCCAGGGAAGTCAGAATCTAAGGAGTGTGTAACAACTCACCTGCCAAATCAACAAAAAAAAATAAAGAAGAGAAAAGAAAATGAAAAAAAAAAAAAACAACTGAGGAAAGTACCAGGACAGGGTACTAGAGTTGACTCGCATCCTACTCAAAGACCTCAAAATCCCCAGGTAGCAGCCCTATTAAAGAGCGTTTTCCTCCCAACCGCTGGGCCTGTCCCCCTGCCCAGGGCTGTGGGTGTCACTCCTTTCTGCTCTGGCAGCCACTCTCCTCCACAGGCCTCCTGGTGCCAGGAAACACACAGGCCTGAACACAGGGTCCCCCTGTATTGCCCAGATCCATCAGGAAACAGGAACAGAGCCCAGTGGCTCATCCTTGACACCACAACTGGCCCCTTTCCACTGCTGCCCAGCCCCGCCTCCCCGCCCCACGTCCCTGGGTCATGGGTCACATCCTGCCTGCCCTTGGAGGTTGACCAAGGCTGAAATGCAAAACTTTATATGATATTTGCCGTCGGCTGGCTTCTCACATGACCAGGTACATATCCATTTCCCCAGAGCACAGAAGAGAAACTAAGGCTCAGGGACAAGAATACCGATTGAGCCCAAGGTCACCTGGTGAGATCATGGCAGAGCTGGGATTCCAATGTGACAAACGCTGACCTTTTACTATTTCCACTTATCACATGAGCACACTGAAGCCCAGTGCAGTTTAACGGAGACCTCGAGTCGCTGCAGAGGCGTGGTGCACAGGCCTGGGAAGGGGCCTCCGCTTTCCTGGCATCCGGTCTGGGCCTCCAGCCACAGGCCCATACCAGTCCTCCTAGGCATTCAATCTAGAAGTGGACAGTGGGTCTCACTCCTCTCCAGGCAGTCAAGTGTAGGGGTATTTTCCAGATGAGTATTAAGGGAAAAAAACATAACAGGGAGTTCAGGTTAATGTACAGATCTGTGGACCAAAACACCAAAAGGGAAAGCACAGTAATTCACCGGGGCTTCAAAGGAAAACAAAGGAGGGAAAATTGAAACAAAAGCTATCTCATTGACAATCTGCCATTTCCTTTTTTCCAGTTGTTTTCTTTCCCTCTTGGGAAACTGGCATCAGTCTCTCCCTTCACGAAGTGCATAACATGTAGGGACAACGGCTTGAAAAGTTGGGTCTAGTGAGGCATTAATATGATGTGACTGTGCAGCCGAGAGCCACAGCCTTCTGCAGGTGTCCCAGTGCTCTGTCCTCAGCCCAGCACACGGTGTTCCACCTGCTTTGGAAGCTGTTTATTGACACTTAGTGATTGAGACAAGGCCACAGGTTTGTTTGTTTGTTTGTTTGTTTATTTTGAGACAGAGTCTTGCTCTGTTACCCCAGCTGGAGTGCAGTGGCACAATCTCAGCTCACTGCAACCTCCACTTCCCAGGTTCAAGTGATTCTCCTGCCTCAGCCTCCCGAGTAGCTGGGACTACAGGCACCTGCCACCATGCCTGGCTAATTTTTGTATTTTCAGTAGAAATAGGGTTTCACCACGTTGGCCAGGGTGGTCTCAAACTCCTGACCTCAGGTGATCCGCCCACCTCAGCCTCCCAAAGTGCTGGGATTACAGGCAGGAGCCACCGCATCTGGCCAAGGCCACAGGTATGTGAAATGGGCCTCTTTCCTGAATTTTATTGCCTGGTTTCATTCTGTTTGACTAAAAGGAATTAACTTTCCATAACATTACTTACACTGAGCAAAAACAATATAAAAAATAAAGTTATTTAGCAAAAACAAGGTTAAGAAGAGAGCTGAATGCTTAACATAAAACAAGTCATAAATAAGTAAATAATCCAGGAAGAAGGAATATCCACCTCTGGACCAATCACTCTTTTAAAGTTTGAAAGACGTACCAAGCTTTCCTAAAGTTGCTAAACCAAGCAAGCACTTAAAATGGGGCCCTGTGTTAGGGCAAATGGTTTGACACAGTCACCAAATGAACGCAGATGAGTCTTGTGTTTTCCTTCCAATGGCTGTGGCTCATATGGACATCTCTTCACAGGCAACCCGTTCCATCTGATCCATCACATCCAGTGGTTGCTGTCGTTGGCAGGATTTCTAGGAACAGCCCCCAAGATTCCACACCCTAGTGCCTGAAACTCGGAAATGTGATGAAATATCACAGCATGTGTCCAGGCACGGTGGCTCATGCCTGTAATCACAGTGCTTTGGGAGGCTAAGACAGGAGGATCGCTTGAGGCCAAAAGATCGAGACACATTGCAATGTGTCATGTTATAAGGCACCGTTGACTTTCAAAACGGAAGATCATCCAGGTGAGTCTAGTCTTGTCACATGGGCCCCTAAAGGCTTGGAACTTTCTCCAGCTTGTGGCAGAAGAGGAAGGTGGGAGAAGTCAGAGGGATTGAGGCATGAGAAGGACTTGCTGTGCCATCACTGGCTTGAAGATGAAGGAGACCAGATGAGAAGGAATGCAGGCAGCCCCTGGGAACAGAGAGCTGCAGGGCTGACAGCCGGCAAGGAAACAGGGATCTCAGTCCTACAACCACAAGGCACTGAATTCTGCCAACTTCAGGGAGCCTATAAGCTTATTCCAGCTGGGCGAAGTGGCTCATGCCTGTAATCCCAGCACTTTGGGAGGCTGAAGCAGAAGGATCACTTGAGCCCAGGAGTTGAGACCAGCCTGGGCAACATGGCAAGACCATGTCTCTATTAAAAAGAAGAAGAAGGAGAAGGAGAGGGAGAAGGAGAAGGAGAGGAAGAGGAGGAGGAGGAAGGGGAGGAGGAGGAAGGGAGGGAGGAAAGGGGAAGGGGGGAAGAAGAAGAAGAAGAGGAAGAAGAAAGGAAGAAGAAGAAGAAGGAGGAGGAGGAGGAAGAGGAGGAGGGAGGAGGAGGAGGGAAGAGGAGGAGGGAGGAGGAGGAGGGAGGAGGAGGAGGGAAGAGGAGGAGGGAGGAGGAGGAGGGAAGAGGAGGAGGGAGGAGGAGGGAAGAGGAGGAGGAAGGAGGAGGAGGGAAGAGGAGGAGGGAGGAGGAGGAGGGAAGAGGAGGAGGGAAGAGGGGGAGGAGGGAGGAGGAGGGAGGAGGAAGGAGGAGGATGGAGGAGGAGGAGGGAGGAGGATGGAGGAGGAGGAGGGAGGAGGGGAGGAGGGGGAGGGAGGAGGATGGAGGAGGAGGAGGAGGAGGGGGAGGAGGAGGAGGGAGGAGGAGGGGGAGGAGGAGGAGGAGGAGGAGGAGGAGGAGGGAGGAGGAGGAGGAGAAGGAGAAGAAGATTCCCCAGAGCCTCCAGGTAAGAGCTCAGCCAGCCAACGTCTTGATTTCAGCTTCGTTGAGCCCCTGAGAAGAGGAAGAGGAAGAAGAGGAAGAAGAAGAAGAGGAAGAGGAAGAGGAAGAAGAAGAAGAAGAAGAAGAAGAAGAGGAAGAAGAAAAAGAAGAAAAGGAGGAGGAGGAGGAGGAGGAATCCCCAGAACCTCCAGGTAAGAGCCCAGCCAGCCAACCTCTTGATTTCAGCCTCATGAGCTCCTGAGCAAAGCCCAGCAGAGCCCACTTTGACTCCTGACCCACAGAACCATGAGATCATTAATGGGTATTATTTTAAGCCACCAAGTTAGTGCTCCTTTGTCACAGCAGCAACAGAAAGCCCATACAATTGTCCGAGACGTATTGTGCTATAACACAAAGACAGAAATAGAGAAAAAGAAAAACATCAGAGCAGACTGTGGCGAAGAAAGTGCAAGGAGGGATGAGGTCTCAGGCTGGAACTCTCTGAATTGCCACTTACCACCTCCTCAACTCCTGGTCTGGCCAACTCAGATCATCAGGGAACTAAGATGTAACTAGAGAAGTCTTTTCTGATTCCTGAAAAAGCGTTTTTTTCTTTTTCAAATACTGTAGTGGGTTTTTCTGCTCTGAATCAAAGGGTACTAGATTTTAGTCAGTCTGAAAGGTCTGCCAGCTGTGACATGTGGGTGGCTGGAGCTATGAGACACAGCCACAAGGCACAGGGTCTTAGGAGAATGGAGAATGGAAGATGCCCCCTCCACAGCCTTCTACCTCCAGAACCCTCTCCCCTGGCTCCTGCTCCTCTCAGCCCTCTTAGCTTATGTCAAAACTTATTCCACAAATGTCTCCCTTTCTCTATCTGCTTTCCTCCAGGTCACTATCTTGGCCAGATTCAATTTATATTTTTCTTAGAGGCCATCACAATACCTAGAAAATAAATATTACTTTGGGGGAAAGTTATTCTTGAAGGATTTACTCTCCCTTCTCAAATCCCATCTTTCACTTGATGTTGAATCAATTTGAAGTAAAGCTGAAGTACAGGAGGATTATGGAAGGTTTCAGAGGGCATTGTGAAATGTAAAATTCCATCTTCACTCTTCTATACTTCATCCAAGGGCTCTCACTAGCTGAGGTCAGCCAAGGACTTAAGTCACTCCTCAAGTATATTCAAGCTTTCATTTCAATCCAGCAAACATTTATTGAGGGCCTCCTACATGTGCTAAGCTGGTACTAATGGGATTCACTCACAGCAGGGAATCTTGGCACAAACAGTGAAAGTATAATCACCTAATTGAATTGGGACCTTGGCAAGAATATTACATACAGTGTATCCCCAATATCATTGCCCCAGGCAACTGGGCAGCAAAGCCCCTGTACAGAGGTAGGTACACTGCAGTGGACCCCAGCAAACTGCAGTGCACAAAACCAAGGTGTAAGAGTCTTGGCAACCCATTCTCTCCAACTATCTGCCTTGAGCACTTTATCTAGGCATGAGGCTTTGGGCTGTGAGGGCCCCCACAGTAAAACAAAGAGTCTCTCCTCCAGAAGTTTACAACCCCATGGTGGGCAGAGCTGGCTCACAGAGGTGGCCTTGGAAAATGAAAACCTGCCTGTTTAAAGAGCTAGCCAAATAAAAGAAGGAGCTCTTCATTTAACTAGACTCTTTTAGATACTGATCCAAAAGCAGAAGGAAAGGTTTTGTATTTCCAGCTGTCTCATGTCTCTTCTTCTACCTTTCGTCTCAGGGATACTGTCTCTCAAGACAACCAACTCAATATGGAGACTTACAAATTGTTTTCTTTTGGAGCTCAGCATTCGGTGGTGATGGAAGTACAGTCCTGGCAAAAAAAGAAGTGTCACACCGCGGCCCCCACTGTCTACTGCTCAGACTAACTCCCCACCTGTGATAGTCAGGCCATCACTGATGAGCTTGGAGACTGTTCTTTAATGGTGAATTTTTCCCTAAATCTTCAGAAAAAGAATCTATATGTCCACTGTTTCTGGAGTACCTCTTTCTAGAGTGCCTCTCAATGATTTTGTTGATTTATAAAATGGGGATAATGCTCTATATCTTTCTGTAGAGGCGCTTATAAAGATATTTATATAAAGTACCTAGCATAGTGGCTGATAGACAGTAGGCAGGTTTTGTTGCTGTTCTGATTTGTAATGATTACAATCATTCCCAACTGCTTTCTGAGCATTTGTACCTGGATATCTCAAAGGATTCTCAAACTCAACATCTCTAAAACTAAACTCATGGCCTCTATTCCCAAATCTGTCTGCCTATGCTGTATTCTGCTTTTGTCTAGGATACTACCACCCACCCAATTATCCAAGCTACAATACTGTATGTCTTTCTTCTCCTCCTCTTCCCCCTCATTCCCCTCCTCCCCCACTCCTCCTCCTCCTTCTCCTCCCTCTCCTCCTTCTCCTCCTTTTCCTTCTTCTCACTCAAAAATGATTGGCCATCAGGTCCTAACTATTCTGTCCCCCAAAAATGTTTTCAATCCATTTCACTCTATATTAATCCAAGACTATTATTTTCTACCTGGACCACAACAAAAGCCACATAACTCGCCCCCACTGTAAACCATCATCTTCATTGCCTTCTACAACTTAAACCTGATCATGACACCCTCATCAGTGACTAAAGCCCTACAGTGACTTTCCACTATTGACAAGACATTGACCAACTCCTTGGCACACACAAAATGCCTTTCACAATCCAGCCCCTTCCCTCCCTTTGGCCTCATCTTCTGCCCCTCGCCACCAGTATGCACCTACACTCCAGCCATACCCACCTTCCTGCTCTTCCTCAGATGCACCCTCTTTTTCCTTCCTCCATGCTTCCAGATAGTACTGCGTCTGTTTAGGATGCTTTCCCACACTTTTCACTTGGCAAATTTGCCTCTCAAGAGCTGATTCAAAGCGGGGCATGGTAGCCTGGTACAGTGGCTCACACCTGTAATCCCAGCACTTTGGGAGGCTGAGGTGGGCAGATCCCCTGAGGTCAGGAGTTCAAGACAAGCCTGGACAACATGGTGAAACCCCATCTCTACTAAAAATACAAAAAGTAGCCGGGCATGGTGGCAGGTGCCTGTAATCCCAGCTACTCGAGAGGCTGAGGCAGGAGAATCATTTGAACCCGGAGGCAGAGGCTGCAGTGAGCAGAGATTGTGCCACTGCACTCCAGCCTGGGCAACAGAGCAAGACTCCAACTCAAAAAAAAAAAAATGCTGGCCATGGTGATGCATGTCTATAATCCCAGTACTTTGGGAGGCTGAGGCAAGAGAATCCCTTGAGGCCAGGAGTTGCTGAAAAACACAGCAAATCCCATCTCTACAAAAAAATGTTAAAATTAGCTGGGCATGGCAATGCATGCCTGTAATCCCAACTACTCAGGAAGCTGAGGTGAGAGGGTCACTTAAGCCCAGGAGTTCAAGACTGTAGAGCACTGTGATCACCCCCGTGTTAGCCACTGTACTCCAACCTGGACAACACAGCAAGACCCTGTCTCTTAAAAAATAAATAAATAAAAGAGCAGAGCAGGGGTGAGGTGGCTCACGCCTGTAATCCCAGCACTTTGAGAGGCCAAAGCAGGCGGATCACTTAAGGTCAGGAGTTTGAGACCAGCCTGGGCAACATTGTGAAACCCCATCTCTACTAAAAATACAAAAATTAGCTGGGTGTGGTGGTGGGAGTCTGTAATCCCAGCTACTTGGGAGGCTGAGGCAGGAGAATTGCTTGAACGCGGGAGGTGGAAGTTGCAGTGAGCTGAGAACGTGTCACTGAGTTCCAGCCTGGGTGACAGAGTAAGACTCCGTCTCAAAAAAAAAAGAGCTGATCCAAATATCTCCTCCAATTTGAACTTTTCTGACATATGGATCAAAACTAATCTCTCTTCAATATTCCCACAGCATTTTCTAAAGATTTTAATGAGATCTAATTCACATACAGTAAATTCACCTATTGAAGAGTTCTCAGTGTATTATAGGGTATGTAACTATTACCACAATCTAATTTGAAAATATTTTCATGGCCCCTAAAAAAACCATTTCTCATTAGCAGTAATCACTCTTCCTCTCTCTGCCCCAGCCCCAGGCACCTATTCATCTACTTAATGTCTCTGTGGACTTGCCACATAAAGGGAATTCTGTCAGTATGGACTTGCATAGCTCATATAAAAGGAATCATACAATATGTGGTCTTTCGTGGCTGGCTTCTTTCACTTAGCATGTTTTTAAGATTTATCCATACAATACATGTGTCAGTACTTCATTGATTTTAATTGCTGAGTAATATATTCCATTGTATGGATATAACACATTGTCCATCTGTTCATCCATCAGCTGGTAGACATTTGGGTGGTTTCCATTCTTTTGACTATTATGAATAATGCTGCTATGAACACTGTGTGTAAGTTTTGTGTGTTCTGAAACATTTTGCACACGATTCCATTATAACATTCTCACTTTGTATTACAATTATTTTTACATTCTTCCTTATTGAATTCTAAAATTGTCTAAGACTTTACCACTCTCAAGACCTGCCACTGTCACAAGCAAATCTGATGAATACGTGAATGAATGAATGAATGAATGAATGAACAGAGCAAATAATAAATGGATACTCTTTTGAGCAAGGTAGAGCCAGCAGGGTCATATTTATTTTCTGCAAACAAAAGAAGAGTTTTGGCAATAAGCCAGGAAGGCGTTGGCAACATAGGAAGAGAATAACCCTAAACTCAACTAACTAAATAAATATTAACAGCATCTCCCATGTGCATGTGAATATTGCTATATGGCTTCTCTTGTTCTTTCATAGGCATCATATCATTTGATATGTGAAGTTGGCAGGAAAGGCTGCTATCAAAATTAAGTAAAGTGCCTGGTTGAGCGTCTGCAGCACAGTGGAGAGAACAGAGCACTTCCCAAGGCTGCCCAGAGGAAAGTGGCGGGGCTAGGCTGGCTGTCTCCCCATGCCCACCACTCTTCCTTCCATCATACAGACTCCTGTTTCAATATCAAGACCTACATTAGGCCTGGCATGGTGGCTTATGCCTATAATCCCAGTACTTTGAGATGCCGAGGCGGGTGGATCACCTGAGGTCAGGAGTTTCAGACCAGCCTGGCCAACATGGTGAAACCTCATCTCTACTAAAAGTACAAAATATTAGCCAGGTGTGGTGGCACATGCCTGTAATCCCAGCTACTTGGAAGGCTGGGGCAGGAGAATCACTTGAGCCCAGGAGGCAGAGGTTACAGTGAGCCGAGATTGCGCCATTGCACTCCAGCCTGGGCAACAAGAGAAAAACTTCCTAAAAAAAAAAAAAAACACCACATTATTCTAATCCCATATTTGTAGTTCCCTGAAGGTATGGGACATGGATACCCACAAGAAACTGCTACAGACCATACCTCCTTAGTGCCCACACCAAAAGCCAGCAGTTTGGCAACCAAGGGCAGAACGGCTCTTCCCCAGACACTCAGGGCAAGCCCCATTCTCCTTTTGGATGATTGGACATATCATAAAAACTCCCATGAGCTCACCTCCAGAGTGGCCTGGAGTTCACTCCGTGGAGAATATGTCTCGTTCTCTCTGGAGCTGATTAGAAATGCCGAAGTGCACTAAAGGAAGAGAACACGAGCCTGGCTGCTGCTATTTACAGACCTGATAGGCTGCAGCCCCTGAGTGCCTCCAGCCTCCTGACCTTGTGTACCGAGAGCATGGGATGACGTCGCCTCGCTGGACACCTTCAGTCACCCCAGAAGTTCAGGAGGTTCCTGGTGACAGCTCATGGTGTGTGGACCCTAAAATAACTGAGTGAGAGGTGAATATGCTATTTCTAAAAAGTACAGCCTGTTCTGCTTTGGATGCCAGGGGATTATGTCACTGTATCTGTTCCTATCACAAAGGGATGCTTTTCTGGAGCGCCTACTGCGCTGCATGGATCCTGCATACATCAGGGCCAGGATTACCAACCAGGCGAAAGGTAGGACTTTCGCCTTCATCCCAAGTGAGGGATATTTGCAAGCACATAACCAAGAGAACAGGTATTCCAGTGTAACATGTTTGTGATGTGGGAGGAGGCACTGGAATCCTGAAACTCAAAGGACTCCCAGCCAACCGGGAACAGCCAAGAAAGGAGGTTCACTCCCAGGTAAGGACAGCAGCTACTTTTCCCTCAAGCATGTGATAGGTGCCAGCAGGGAGGGGAAAGTGGCCAAGCTCTTTTGCCATTGTGCCAGGAGTAAGGGCATGGTGTCCATGCTCAGCTTCCCACAAAAGGGGAAGAACACATCTAACTGGAGACCACCAACCACAGGCCTGGAAGGAACTTTGAGACAGCAAAGTGAGGTGATGAAGAGTCAGACTCAAGACTCAGGCTGTCTGGGTTGCCTGCTAATTCTGCCATTTCTTAACAGGATGCCTTGGGCAAGACCCCAAAGCCATTGTTGTCCCTGTACAAGAAGGTTAATATTAATATCTATTGTGTAGAATTTTCTAAGGACTAAACGAAGTAATGTTAACACTTTAAAACTTTTTTTAAATTCCTGGCACATTATAATAGGTGTGTATTTGTAATATCAGTGGAACATTTAGACTGTCACCTTCACTCCAGAAGGATTTTCATCTAGCCATCACACGTCACTGCATTTCTGTGTTAATGCCTGGGGTCTCGACAATCAGAAGTCTCTTCATGCTCCAGCTCTTCTAAGACCAGTGGACTAAAGATGCAGATTTTTTTTTTTTTTGAGATGGAGTCTCACTCTGTCACCCAGGCTGGAGTGCAGTGGCGCAATCTCGGCACACTGCAGCCTCCGCCTCCCAGGTTCAGGTGATTCTCCTGCCTTGGCCTCCTGAGTAGCTGGGATTACAGGCACACACCACCATGCCCGGCTAATTTTTGTATTTTTGATAGAGATGGGGTTTCACCATGTTGTCCAGGCTAGTCTCAAATTCCTGACCTCAAGTGATCCTCCCTCCTTGGCCTCCCAAAGTACTGGGATTACAAGCGTGAGCCAGTGCACCTGGCCTTGAGATGCAGATTTTTAAACGGTCAAAAATGTACAGTAAAGCAAAGGCAGGCCCTTCCCTGCCAATGCAGGTTGGAGCCTTTATGCAGCTCCCGACTCTCTAAAGATGAAAAGGCAAAGAATCCTTGTGACTGGGGGAGCTCCGCTAGAAGGAAGCTTAGGAGGGGAGAAAAGAGCCTTTTTCCTCAATTCCTACATATTTCAAACTAAACAATAGATTTCAGAAGTAATCACAATTATCAGTTTCTGTCTGGAGCAAAAAGAAATTTTCTTTGTGACAATGGAGGGCAGGGACATCCTTGGGTCCTAAGGTCTCCAGGGCCCTACAACCTGTTTCAGGATTTTAGGGGGAGGTTTTTGTTTTTGTTTTTGTTTTTAGTATTCATTACAAAAGAAGCTTAGCTTTATACTCAGGGACATGCTCTAAGCCAAATTTCAACCTTGGGCTGCAGGCTGCACCTGTGAAAACAGACTCTTCCACCTCAACCTGCCAAAGCCTGGAGCATGAGCGGCTGTTGCCATCCCATGGCATGTGGGAGGGAGGGGGTGCGCAGGCCTAGGGGAGCATCTGCCACAGCTGGGGCTGGTGGCAGCCGCAAGGGCACTGAGAAGTGAGCCTCCACCATGGCCGTGCTTCTGGCTACAAATGATGCTAGGTGGCAGGATGTCTTCCTACTCCTCTTTTATTATTTTTTAAACTAATTCTATAGCCACAAGAAGCCCCACCTTCAAATCCTGCATCTGCACCTGCTCTCTAGGATTTGAATGTTATCTCTGCAGGAACATCCCTCCAGTCTCTTCGTTACCATTTTAAGACCTAAAAGAAAAGAAACAGAAATGTGTGTTTTCTCAAGAGGAACATCTCAGCAGCATAAAACCAAACGCATACTCAGGAAATGTCTGTTAGGCTTCAAGGAATAAAAATGAATAAGAATATTTTGATATCATGAAGGAGATGAAAAAATACCTTAGGCAGATAGCAGGTGTAATCAGGCCTTCTTTCCTGATCAATAGGAGCAAAGCAAATATTAAATCAGAGTGGGGGTAGGCAACTCATTCCTTCAATTAACAAACACCTGTGTGGCACCTGCCACGCATCAGGCATGTGCTAAGTGCCAAGGAGCCATCGATGAGCCCCACAGAACTCTGCCATCACAACGCTTCCTTCTCAGGGGAGGCCAATGATAGACATGAAGGATGTAGAATTTTGCACAGTGCCAAGGGCCACAGAGGAGAGTGATGCAGGGAAGTGAATGGGTTACCATTTTAAATAGGCCAGTCAAGGAAGGCCTCAGTGAGGAGGTGATGGGAGCACTCTGCAGGGAGTGAGCTGCAGGCTCTTTTGGCAGTGTTTCAAATAACGTGACAGAAACCACCAGGGCCTGGACACAGGAGCATGACTGCTGGGTTTGGGGAAATACTAGTCGGCCCATGGGTGTCCTGAAGAAGAGACAGTGAGGAGGAAAGTGGTAACAGGGGAGATGAGAGGGGAAGCAGGGCCGAGACCACCTGACGCCTTAAATAACTCACCCTTGCTTCCTGGAATCTGGCGTGAGCTGTGAAAATCCACACGTGGTGCTGGGTGCCGGGCATATAGGGGTGAAAAAACCCGTCGAAGATCAACAAATAATCACATGAATAAATGTGAATAAGTTATACCAATTAATATATTCAGGTATCTGAACAAAAAGTACAGGGCCCCTTGACAGTATATTACAAGGTCACCCAAGCTGGAAGTGGAGGGATGTCTCCCTGAGGTCAAGACATCCAGCTGACGTCTAGCAGGTAAACAGGATGTATCCAGGAGGTCAGGGATGAGGATGCAAAGGAGGAGAGAGGGTTGCAAGCAGAGGAGAAGGCTGTGTGCAGGCTCTGAAGTGTGAGAGGCCAGTGGTTCCAGGAGCTAAAGGAGGGCCAACGTTGTTGGAGAGCAGAGGTTCAGGATGCAGGAGGAAGTAGTACCAAGAAATCTGGAATGGAGGCAGGGCCGGATCCCACGGACCTTGTAAACTGTGTTAAAAGATTTTGCACTTTAGAGCAAGGGATACCAAGAGAATTTTAAGTTAGAGAAGGACATCATTTTTTCATGTGCACTTTTAATGGAAAACAGATTTGTAAGGGCAAATGTAAATCAGACCCCTCACAGGGAAGCTCTTGCAGAAAGTCCGCATGAGAGATCCGGCAGGTGGGTCTGGGGCCGCTGTTAGGATGCATTACCTGAAGTCTACAGCACTCTTATCTCATTCCTAAGTCCCAAGCATAAAATGATGACAGGTAAGATATAAAAATAGAAAGCTAAAAGATACAGCCTATTCTCGCCAGCCGCAGTGGCTCACGCCTGTAATCCCAGCATTTTGGCGGGGCTGAGGGGGGTGGATCACTTAAGGCCAGGAATTCAAGAACAGCCTGGCTAACATGATGAAACCCCGTCTCTACTAAAAATACAAAAATTAGCTGGGTGTGGTGGTTCATGCACCTGTAATCCCAGCTATTCAAAAGGCTGAGGCAGAAGCCAAGCACAGTGGCTCACTACTGTAATCCTAGCATTCTGGGAGGCCGAGGCGAACGGATCACTTGAGGTCAGGAGTTCAAGACCAGCCTGGCCAATATGGTGAAACCCTGCCTCTACTAAAAGTACAAAAATTAGCTGGGCGTGGTGGCACGTGCCTGTGATCCCAGCTACTTGGGAGGCTGTGGCAGGAGAATCGCTTGAACCCAGGAGGCAGAGGTTGCAGTGAGCCGAGATCCTGCACCACTGCCCTCCAGCCTGGGTAACAGAGAAATACTCCATGTCAAGGAAAAAAAAAAAAAAAGAGGCTGAGGTAGGAGAATTGCTTGAACCTGGGAGGTGGAGTTTGCAGTGAGCCGAGATTGTGCCACTGCATTCCAGCCTGGGCAACAGAGCGAGACTCTGTCTCAAAAAACAAACAAACAAACAAACAAAGACATAGCCTATTCTCAAAAACGAATTAAACAACGCTGCAACTGAAAATGGGTCATAAATGCAAAGGAGTGAACAGGGCTGAAGCAACAGGTTCCAGGTCTACAAGACAGGAGGCCAGGCAGGAATCCAACTGCTGTGCTACACAATGTTGAAGACTGGGGCTGGCTAAGGCCACTCTACTACTGAAATGAATAGAGGAGGAAAGGAAAAAAACAAACAAACTGGTGTCTACCACTGCCTGAGGCTAACGTTTTTAGCAAACCACAGGCCCTGGAGGACAAAAGGACACAGATACCAAGAACTGAGCAAAGCTGCCTGGCAGCTCTGTGACTGTATCTGTGATATCACCAAATCTCATCAGTACCAGTGTTCTAAAAGCCATATGAGCCTAGGAACCCAGAGAATTGGTGGAGGAACCCTCAAAACCACTAGAGAGAGGGGCAAGCCAAGGGGAGAAAGACTAATTCAATGAAAGAAAAGTCAACAAAATCAACAATCAGAATCAAATTCATGCCAACTTAAATTTATGTTATAGAACAACATATATGTGATATGTATAGTACATATAGCTCAAATAATGGAATAATTTTCATTTAAAAAGCAGAAGAAATTATGAGGCAAAAATAGGAAACATGAACAAATTAATATAGATAATGAAAAATCTTAGAAATGAAAAATACAGTTATTAGTATAATAACAAATCAATGGGATAAACTCTAGTCTAGACACAACAAAAGAGAGAATACATGAAAAGGTAATAGTCCTAAGGAAGAGAAAGCCTATCCTCTTTAAGACTGTCAAGAGTGGGGAATTACAAAGAGAGAAAGAGTAAGGAATTGTTCAAGACCGGCAAATATGGAAAAAACAGGACAACTAAATGCATCATGCATTTCTGGATGGATTCTGGACCAGAAACAAAAAAGAGACACTGATGGGACAGTTGACCAAAACTGAATGAGATCTGTGGACAGTGCAGTAGTTGATTTCAATGCTGAGTCAGAAATTCATTAGTGAATATGTAGATAGTTGGAAAGTCATTTAGTGAATATATAGAAAAGTTTTGGGGAAACATACTCTGGAATATTTAGGGGTTATGGGGCATTATGTCCACAGCTGATTCTTAAATGGTCAGAAAAAGACTAGGAATAACCATTAGAAATGGGAAGAAAGAGAAAGAGAGAGAGAGAAATAAATGGTAATGGAACATATATAGTGAAATATTAACAGTCAATAGCTGTGAAGGATGTAGAATTCAGTCGGGGAATCTGATTGGGGACATATGTCAGTTCTTTGCACTGTTCTTGTAATTCCTCTGTAAGTTTTAACTTATTTCTAAGTCAACTACTTAAAATATAAATAGGAATTTAATTCTGTTTATTAATATGACCTAGTATCACTTTAAGCAAGAATAACTGATTCTTTTCATTCTTTTCTTCTTTTTGAGATACAGTCATGCTCTGGAATGCAGTGGCATGATCCCGGCTCACTGCAAACTCCGCCTCCCTGGTTCAAGTGAT
Organism: Homo sapiens; assembly: GCF_000001405.40. Lineage (NCBI taxonomy): Eukaryota > Metazoa > Chordata > Mammalia > Primates > Hominidae > Homo > Homo sapiens. The sequence continues at coordinate 22,262,124 of NC_000018.10, read as the reverse complement.
TCTCGTGCCTCAGCCTCCCAAGTAGCTGGGACTACAGGCACGCACCACCACACTCAGCGAATTCTTTTTTATTTTTTATTTTTTTTTATTTTTAGTAGAGATGTGTTTTCACGATGTTGGCCAGGCTGGTCTCAAACTCCTGGCCTCAAGTGATCTGCCCGCCTCAGCCTCCCAAAGTGCTGGGATTACAGGCGTGAGCCACCGTGCCCGGCCATGAATAACTGACTCTTGATACCAGTATTTTTTAGTCAAACAGGAAAACACTTGTCTTACATACAAGCAGCCAACAAACATATAGAAAAATGTTCATCACTAATCATCAGAAGAGATGCAAATCAAAACAACAATGAGATACCATCTCACATCAGCCAGGATAGCTATTTTTAATAAAAAGTCCAGAAATGACAGATGTTGGCAAGGTTGTGGAGAAAAGAGAGAACACTTATACATTGTTGTTAGGGATGTAAATTAGTTCAGCCCCTGTGGAAAACAGTTTGGAGATTTTTTTGAAGAACTAAAAATAGAACTTCCATTCAACTCAGCAATCTCATATCTGAGTATATACCCAGAAGAAAATAAATTGTTCTACCAAATGTTTGTTCATTGCAGCCCTATTCATGATAACAAAGACATGCAATCAATTAGGTGCCCATCAATGACGGATTTTATTTTTTAAATATGGCATAAATACACCATGGAATACTACACAGCCATAAAAAAGAACAAAATCATGTCCTTTGCAGCAACATGGATGCAGCGGGAAGCCATTATCCTGAGCAAATTGACACAGGAACAGAAAACCAAATACTGCATGTTCTCACTTATAAAAGGGAGCTAAACATTGGGTACACATGGACACAAAGATGGGAACAATAGACCCTGGGTACTCCAAAGGGTGGAGGAGAGGGAGTGAGGTTAAAAATCTACCTATTAGATACTATGTTCACTGTTTGGGTGATGAAATCAGTAGAAGCCCAAACCTCAGCATCACACAAAGTACCCATGTAATAAACCTGCACATGCACCCTTAAGTCTAAAATTTAAAAAAATAATCATAAGCTGGGTGCAGTGGCTCACACCTGTAATCCCAGCACTTCAGGAGGCCGAGGCGGGCGGATCACGAGGTCATGAGATTGAGACCATCCTGGCCAACATGATGAAACCCCATCTCTACTAAAATACAAAAAATAAGCCAGGCGTGGTGGTGCACACCTGTAGTCCCAGCTACTCGGGAGGCTGAGGCAGGAGAATCACATGAACGCGAGAGGCAGAGGTTGCGGTGAGCCGAGATTGCAGCATTGCACTCCAGCTTGGGCGATGGAGCAAGACTCTGTCTCAAAAAAATAAAAATAAATCAATAAATAAATAAAAATAAAGAGGCAACACACACAAAGAAAACATTTGTCTTAGTACCTAAAAATTATTTCTTGTTTTTTTCCTTTCTTCTTGTCAGATGGGTAAGTGTCGACGTCATAACAAGGTTTGAAGGTGGCACACCTCACACAACTGTGTGAAAACCCAATCATCACACTTAGAAACCACAGAAGATCATAAAAATTATCACTAAAGTGTAAAAATATAACTTTACTCCTCTTTGTCTTAAAATAACAATAGTTTTAAAACAACGCTCAATTAGGCTTTCATCTCAGGAATGCAAAGAAATAAGATTGTCATGCACGCATGTCAGCAGTGAATTGATTTTGACTATTCACCCCTCGGAGGGCAGAACCTCTTTAGTGAGTCAGGAAAGCTTGATTATGACCTGACTGAAGTTAAGATGTGGGAAGCTGCTTTAGTTTTCTCAGATTTCCTTTTCCGTGTGTCTGTGCCCTCAAATGCCCGGCTTTGCCCCTCTTCCCACTAGAGACATTATCTGTGCTGTTTTTTTTAATGCATAGTATTAGTTGTTTTAAATTAATAATAATAATAAAAGTGAACCTTTATAAAGTGCTTACTATGTGGATGAAGTATTTATATGACCAACTTTTCTTACAGGAACCATAGGGAAAATTAAAAGTAGAGATTTTACATCACAAAAGCAGGATTCTGTTGAAAATGTTTAATGTCCTACGTGTGGTTTATATAGTTAGGTCAGTCAAATTTTGTTGTTGTTTTTCTGTTTGTGATAACAGAGAAAACATGATATCAGATTAAAGGGTGACATGGGGTACTCCAGAGTACATCCTGAGGAAGTGATGGGATGGCAGAGTCTGGGGAATGAGGGCCTGGAGGACCAGTTAAAGGAAACAATGGTGTTTATACTAGAAAGAGAATGCTTCAAGGAAATGCAAGAACTGCTTTCAAATAACCAGCAAGACCGTTTGTGGAAGAAATTTCATTTATCCTGAGTAGATCAAAAGGACAAACCAATAAAGAAAATGTATATGATAGAATATTTTGCATTTTCTTTTTTTTTCTTTTTTTCTCCTCTGTGGGATCCAAATTGGATTTTTAAAAAGGGAACTAGCAAATGATTCAGTCTCTGACATGGAGTGATCCGTGGCCCCACGAGCCATGAACTCCTATCCCCAAACATCCATGAACATCAGTGCTTTGGAGAAGTGATTCCTAAGTAAAGCAAAACCTATACCAGATGATATCTCAAGACAATTTCAAATCTAAGCTGCTATTATGACATCTCCAAAACTACAATCACTTTGACTTGCTATACTTACAATTGAATACTGAAATATCTGGCTTATATATACATTCAGGAATGCATCTATGGTGAGGTCAGTCTGTACATAAGTGATATTTATGAATTTCAAGTACACAATAGACTGAGAGAATGAGAAGTTATTATTGAACAAATGATTCACCATTTGGGAAGGAATGGGCTTTTTAAAAGAAATACGAGAACAATGACGTCTGTAAAATAAATGTGCACTAGGCCACATAATAATTACTTCTTGTGCACCTCTAGCATATGTTAAAATCATCATGTCCATTGCTGACTAACCCCCAGTTTTGTCCTGCCCTGAGGATATGAGAGATCTCATAAAGAAGGTGCTTTAAAGAAAGGCTGCAGCCCAGGCACGAATATCAGCCGCTCTCAGACTCAGGAATAGCAACACATACTGCTTCAGGCCAAAGCACAGAGTCCACCATGACATTCATAACCTCCAGGGGTTAAGCCTGACCCATATGGAGAGAGTGCAAAAAGTCAAAGGTTTCTATGTGCCAAGAAGCATATTTTTCTTCCTTTTGGTGTCAGCAACTGTTTGAACCCCATAGCTTAGCTCATCAGAGTGGATCTTCAGGACAGGGTGGGCGGCAGGGGCGGGGGGTGGGGGAGGGGGTGGTGAAGCTGTGAAGAGCAGTGCAGGAGGTCCCTGGGGGTGATGGCACCATTATGTATCTTGATGAGGGTGGAGGTCACCCGAAGACACATACGTGATAAAATTGCATACAACTACACAGACACACATAGATGCATGTAGAAACATGAAATCTGAGTAGTCTGTAGCCTGCTTAACAGTTTTGTTCCAATGACGGTTTCTTAGTTTTGATACTATACTAAAATTAAGTAAGATGATATTATTGGATGAAGGCTGGGTGAGAGTTAAAGAGGGCTCTGTACCATTTAGGCAACTTCTGGTGAGTCTATAGAGATTATTTCAAAATAAAAAGTACACAACAAAAGAAGAAACAGAAAAAGGAGGAGAGGAAGGATGAGAAGAGGAGGAAAAAGACATAGAGGAGGAGGAGGAGGAGGAAAAGGAGGAAGGGAATGGCCCTTCAGTCACTTGCCTCAAAGCTATGGATGAAGAGGGAAATATACATGAAATGGGAATGAAGGGACACCCCATAAAAATGGATTGTCTATTTTCTAGGGAGTTGCAATTATTCCCTAACTAAACCTCAGACTTCCTTCTCTAGTCTTGACTCCCTCACTCCATTATTTTCTTGGGTGCCAGATACTCTTTTTAAAAACCAGGCCAAGTCCCTCTGGAGCTTACCCACCATTCATAGGGCACCTTGCCTCCCACCGCTCTCCACCACCCTCAAGGACTTGGCCATGGGGATATCCGTGCACACCTGGCTTCTGCATGCTTGCACTCATGCAGCCTACGGTGATGCCACTGCCTGGTATACTCTTTCCCTTCCTCTTCACTTCCTCCTTCCTCCGCTTTCAAGTCATCACTAAGTAAGTCAGAGCTGAGGTACCTATCCTCCCCCATCCCACGGCTGATCTGATTCTTTCTCCTCAGCACTCTGCTTTGTATCTCTCAGGGGATACTCAAAATATTGACACTCCAGCTCTGTCCGGGTACCGTCCAATCAGAACAGCAGCCTAAACCATCAGATCTGGCTGAACCAAACCTTCCGAGTGCATTTCGGGACCCATTTTTTCTACCCCTTAATTTGCCACATTGTTTTGAAATAATGTGTTCGTGAATCACTCTCCCTCCTAGATGGAGAGCTCCCCAAAGCAGAAACCATCCTTCTTCTCTGGGTCCTCGTGCTTAGCAGAGTGCCTGCCACAGGGTTGGGATGCAACAAATCTGTTTGGCTTACCTGACAAACATAGATGGACAGACTTCCTGACCACACTTAGCTTAGAAGCAACAACTTCACATCCAAAACCATGAGTCAGGATAGGCTGCCTTTCCTGAGGTTGTGGAAAGGCATCCAGAGGACTCATTGGCACCAAAGTCAGTGGAGACCAAAGAGAGTGCCGGATAGAGCATGAGAGCCAAATCATAAGGAGGCCATGGAGGCTGCGATGCCAACCCTCATGGTCTGGCCCCTAGGCAGGAGGGTGAGGTGGTCAGCATGGGACGGTGACCAGCCATGCAGACAAGGAGAGGGCTCCTTAGAGACCTAGAGACATGACCAGAGTGTGGCTTTCCTGAACACACACACACACACACACACGTCTCCCATAAAAGAGAAAAATTCACCAAATTTAGAAGTGTGCTGATGCAATCAAGAGTAACAGCAGCAGAAGAGTGGTAGCAATTAAGGTAGAAAGCTGTTTGCATTTCACAACTTGACAAAATTGCCCCTGCTGCTGGCCTGATTCTAATTGTGTGACGGTAATGGAAGAAGATTTAGTTTGGCAAGGTATAAGCCAAGGAGGGGGTGACACAAAGGAGAACTAGGACCAGAAGAGCTGGCCAGCCCCTCACATTCCTGAGTGATGGAGGCACCACAGCTCACTCTTTTGTAGCCTCTTCAAGGTCCAGCAGTTTTGTTTGGGAACTTCTCAATTTGGGTTTCCAGACTTCTGAATGACAGACATTGATGGGGAATTCATCATGATCTCAGCATGATTTTAGAGTCTCCCAGGCTTCCAGTCTCACAGACACTGGTTGCCCAATAGGCCTCTGACTTAGGGGATTCTAGGGGCCCAGCCCTCCTATGACCTTGCAAAGTCTCCATGACGTGGTCCTCAAGGATATGTGACTCAGGGAGGCAATTTATATATATCTACTTTATATATAAATTTCGGGGGAAGAAGGGGACGATCAAGCCAATTGATGCTTTAAGAAGAACCTGGGGGGCCAGGCGTGGTGGCTCATGCCTGTAAGCCAAGCACTTTGGGAGGCCGAGGTGGGCAGATCATGAGGTCAGGAGTTCAAAACCACCCTGGCCAACATGGTGAAACGCTGTCTCTACTAAAAATACAAAAATTAGCTGGGTATGGTGGCGTGTGCCTGTAATCCCAGCTACTCTGGAGGCTGAGGCAGGAGAATTGCTTGAACTGGGACCTGGGAAGCAGAGGTTGCAGTGACCTGAGATGGCGCCACTGCACTCCAGCCTGGGCTACAGAGCAAGACTGCATCTCAAAAAAAAAGAAAAAGAAAAAGAAAAAAGAAGAAGAACCTCGGGGTCTGTACATATATAAAGCCTTTCAGGCCACTAGGCCAAATCAGGCAGATCAATCCATTTCCTTCCAAGATGTCCCGCAAGCTGCCATAGGCATCCATTGACATGTGACTGTTCCATCTGTCCAGTTATTTTATTTTATTTTACTTTATTTTATTTTATTTTATTTTATTTTATTTTATTTTATTTTATTTTATTTTATTTTATTTTATTTTATTTTCGAGACAGAGTCTCACTCTGTCACCCAGGCTGGATTGCAGTGGCGTGATCTTGGCTCACTGCAACCTCCGCCTCCCAGGTTCAAGCGATATTCCTGCCTCAGCCTCCTGAGTAGCTGGGATTACAGGTGCCTGCCACCATGCCGGGCTAATTTTTGTATTTTTAGTAGAAACGGGGTTTTGCCATGTTGGCCAGGCTGGTCTCAAACTCCCGGCCTCAGGTGATCCACCTGCCTCAGCCTCCTGAAGTGCTGGAGTTACAGGCATGAACCACCATGCCTGGTCCCATCTGTCCAGTTCTATTCTGGAGAGAGGAGGGGTCTCAGCCAGCAGGTATGGGTCTTCACCTCTCCTCCCCTCCACCCTCCCAGCCCTTGAGGAGGCTAACTCTGAGCAGGAGTCTCCACCCGTGTTGTGACAAGTGAACAATGCTCACATTAACTGAACACCTATTTTGTGCCAGATACTTCACAGAGACACTCACATAGTCTATCTGATTTAAAGCAAAGACTAAAATTGTTCACTAGTAAGTCAGAAAGGTAAATAATTCCCGAAGTATCAATTTTAGTTTCAGTTTCATGTTCATACTGTCTCTGTTTATGGTCCGTTACTTTCTAAATTTAGGGAGGCTCCATGTTGAAGCAACTCTGCCAAGTATCATCACCTTCAGCTTGGGATCAGAGGAAGCTGAGATTTCTCATCTCACATGGAGATTCTGAACATCCATCTCATACCAAGTCAAAGAGGCGTTGCCCTCAGATCTCCCCTCGTGAGATGGGGAGTGCCTTAGAACCGTCTGCATTTCAAAATTAGTGAAATCCCAAGGTAGTTGATGGGCAGTGTCTGGAAATTCGTCAGGGAAAATGTTATTTTTGATAAATGCCAACCTCCAAATAAAAGAGAGCTCCTTCTTCCTATTACTACCTCAATGGCCAAAGAAGGAAAGGGAGAGGCAGTCTGGGAAGGGCAGGGAGGAGCCCCCCAGGGTATTTTCCGACCGGGCTTGTGCTGTGACCTGACACAGCAAAGACTAGAGAGTACTGAAAAGAAGTCATTGGCAAAGCCAAGTTTTACAACTTTGTCATCTTTGGGCCCCGTTGGTGCATTCTAGGGCTAAAAATAAAAATAAAATAACCACCCTGGTAAAGACATCAGAAGATGGCTGTGTGAAAGCTCAATGTGCCAGATCATGTCTTACGGCAAGTCAGTGGGGATTTGCTGAAGAAAAGTTTAAGGGGTCAGCCCCAGGAGCAAGAAGCCTCCACCTGGAAAGAGGGAAGAAGGAAAATGTAGAGAAGAGGCCTCTGCCAGGGACGGGGGCTCACACCTGCAACCCCAACACTCTGGGAGGCCGAGGCAGGAGGATTGCTTGAGCCCAGGAGTTTGAAACCAGCCTGGGAAACTTAGCGAGACCCTGTCTCTATTTATTTAAAAAATTTATGGAAAAAAAAAAAGAAGACGCCTCAGGAGAAGGGTTCAGAGCACACCTGAGGTCACTGCCCCATAAGACTCCAGGGGGTCTCTGTATGGGGCTGGTCAGGAGCTCACTGACCCAGAGAACATTTGACCTGGGTCACGTCACCATTCCAGCCCCTTCATTTCACAAATGAGGGCACTGAAGACGTGATGTGGTGTGCCCTAAGGTTCAGAACAGCTGGCAGCTGGCCCCTGGTATATGGGGGCATGCTCCCAAATTTAAAGCATCACTCAGGCCAATTAATCTTCGGAACCCTGGGCAGAGGGCTGCCGTAGTAACTCGCCCCGTAGGAGAGAACAGGGAGGGGCCCGACCCAGGCCAGCCACCGTCAAAGGTGTTCCAAACAACCAGGAAGAGAGTTACTGAGAACAACACTCAGCCGTGACTTTTTATTCCCCGCAGCAAAATGAAAAGAAAACAAAATAAATATCCCAGAGTCTTCGTGACTGGCAGCGTCAAACACAACTGTGTAAAGTGTTTGCAGAGAGCCATTAAAAGAACCATTTGGAAAGTTTTGTATTGTTTTCCTAAAGGCCCACGAGCTGCCCGGAGCCGACTGTGAGCTTGAAAGACTCTGCCTGACACTTTCCACTTCCTGCTCATCCTCCAGTTCCAGGATGTGGATGGGGTGAGAGGATGAGAGACTTCCTGCACCCCCAGAGCCCAGGCCCGGCTGACCCACGCGGGAGGAGGCTCTGTCCAGCGGAGCCAGGAGGAGGAAATCTTGCTTCCTCTTCTAAATCACCCAAGAGGTGGTGCAGAGGGATGTGTAGGAAGTCAGTTCATTGTTGTTGAAGTCACAGTCTGTTTCTTAAACATGGGGATAGCAACTCCGATTACATTCAAGCTGGGAAGAGGAGGGAAGTTGAAGGAAAGGTTTCCTCAGTCACTTGGACAAGCGGCTGCACCACAGGCCCTGCTACTGGCTCAAGAAGGCCACTTGAAGCTCTCAGCCACAAAATCCAGAAACCAGGCACCATGAGAGCATTGCCCTCCCATAACCAAAGGCCAAAACCGCCCCATTTCCATTTACTCATTGCCAGAAATAAGCAGGAAAAAAAGGTCTAGTTTTGAAAGCTGTTCCTCTGTAGCTCAAACAGGACCATTCAACGTGTTTGGGAGGGGGCCGAGGGAAGGAAGGCATTTTGGTGCCATTGTTAGCTGAAGAAAAAACACTCACACTATAAACATGTATAAATGGCCTGGGTAACTTCATTGCCCAAGATCCTGTTGAAAACTTTTACTCATTACTCTTGTTATTGTTATTATCGGAGACATTCCCTCCTACACATCCTTCCTTGCTCCTGGCAGGAGACAAATCTTGATCAAAAGCAAAGAATGTTCAATCTCCCCTTCCAATTAGTAAGGATGGGGCTGCCTGGGATGAAGGGGAAGGCAAGGCTGTCAGAGCCGCTTTCCACCGTTAGTAATGAATGGGAATTTTTATAGGCATTAGCTAAGCAGAATAACTTAATCCAAATAGTGACTTCAGAAGTGAGGATCAAGATTACGGTGTCCTCGCACCTCTGCTTCCTAAGGTGCTGGGATTACAGGTGTGGGCACTGTGCCCTGCCTGAGGATTTTGATTGTGAAAACTGGGAGGAAATGGCATCTAGAGCTGGGCCTTGAGGGATAAACCTTGATATTTGATCTCGGATGTTCATTGTTGGCAAAATAAGGTTGGACCAAGCCCTGATTTAATGGGAAAAAAATGCAGACCCCGTTTTCAATTGCCCTACTTATAGTATGACCTCTTTAAAGTAAATTCCAGAGACCATTCAGTATGTTGGTATATATGGTATCCTCTGTCTGTGTGGGTTTGATAGGAAGCAGGTTTTCAGTATTTATTTGATGAAAAAACATTCCTAAATTTCTCTTCATAGCTTTCTTTTCTTCCTTTATTTTTTTCTTTTTTAAAGAAATGGGGTCTTGCTGTGTTGCCCAGGCTGGCCTCAAACTCCTAGGCGCAAGTGATCCTTGTGCCTTAGCTTCCTGAGTAGCTGGGATTCCTGGAGTACACCACTGTGCCCAGCTTGCTTTTCATAGCTTCCTAAATCATGGGGCTTGTATCTCCTTCTCAGAAGTCACTATCTGGATTAAGTTATTCTGCTTAGCTAACGCTTAGTTTGAGACCAGCCTGGGCAACATGGAAAACCCCCATCTCTACAAAAAATACAAAAACTAGCCAGGTGTGATATCATGCACCTGTAGTCCCAGCTACCTGGGAAATGGAGGTAGGAGGATCTCATGAGCCCAGGGAGGTCAAGGCTGCAGTGAGCCATAATCACACCACTGCACTCCAGCCTGGATGACAGAGTGAGACCCTATCTTAAAAAAAAAAAAAAAATCATCTTTTCTTGGTGATCCCACAACATCTCCCTCATCTATTTCAATACATGTTGCCTTTGGAGTCAGATGAAATTACATTCCAACTCTGCCTCTTATAAGCTCTGAAACTTTAAGCAAGCTTTCTTTTTTTAATTTTTATTTTTAAAGTTTTGGGGTACATGTGCAGGTTTGTTACATAGGTAAATGTGTGCCATGATGGTTTGCTGCACCTAGCAATCCATCACCTAGGTATTGAGTCCAGCATGCATTAGCTATTTTTCCTAATTAAGCAAGCTTCTTAATAATCTATGTAAGGCTCTGTTTTATCAACTGTAAAAGGTCCATAATAATATAACTTACCTAATTCATTTTTCAAACACATATTTATGTGCCATGCACAATTTTAGTTACTGAAGACAAACAATGAACGAAAGAAGCAAAAAGTCCCTACTCTCATGCAGCTTTCATTCTAGAGGAATTATAGTGAGATGAAGCTAGATAAGGCATAAAGAGAGCTCAGCCCGGCACATAATAAGCACTAAATAAATGTTTCCTTGATGGATTATTAAACCAATAAATAAGTGGATAAATGAAAAATGTGAGAATTGTGGACAAGCCTTTCAAGGTGAAAGCACAGCCTTTATCCTGTTGATGCTCTGGAAATATTTATCCACTCTGAGAGTATTTCCTGCAACCTTTTTGTAGGGAGTACAGTAATTCACTTCTAAAGACTGGAAATTAAAGAAAGATTGTATTCTGATATTTAAATTAAAAGTCACACCCAAAGCAAGAAAAGGAAGACTTATTCTTCAGGTTGGTAGACATAAATCTTTCACCCTTGAAGCCCAGGGTTTTGGGGAGAAACACAGCACAGTATTTCTGATCTAGTGTTTTTTGAGATGAGTGCTGGAGCCAAGAAATTAGAAAATCCTCTTCCATCTCACGTGCAAGCGGAGAGAATCTAGGACATTTTGTTGATGTTGTTTTTCTCTAGAGACAGGGTCTCACTCTGTTGCCCAGGCTGGTCCCAAACTCCTGAGCTCAAGTGATCCTTGGCCTCCCAAAGTGCTGGGATTACAGTGTCGAGCCCCCGCACCCTGCCAAGGGCGTTTTGATATCTGCAGTGGTCCTTCTACTTCATCCTGGCCTCTCCCACTGGGGCCCGTTTCCATCTCCAGGATCATCCCTCATCAGTGGGTCTCTCTTTTCATTGACGAAGTGGCCAGGGTGTGGAGAGTCGCCTTCCTTTTAACCAACTCCTTTTCTGGTGCCAACTCCCATTTGGAGGAGAGGCACAAGGAACTATTTGTGCAGGGAGTGGCTCGGCCTTCCCTTTCAGCTCCTGCAGCCACCCCCTCTTCCTCTGATCTTTACCACCTAATTCCCAGCAGCTGGCTTTGTTGCCGCAACAAGTGGTAACTCTTTCTTAATGTAGCGCAGAGGTGTCTGTAGGCAGCCAAGCATGGGACACTGCTGGCCACAGCTGGCTAAATGTGGTTTTAGAGACTTGTTTGTGCCCCTGTGTGACTAATACTTACCTACCGGCTGGCTGGGATGAGACCTCTCTCCTACTCATCTGGAACTTGGCACACGATCCACTGGCTTCCCAGCCACTGCCAAACTCAGTCACAGGCGAGGCAGAGGGACGGGGTTTGGGTGGAACCGCACAGCAGAGCCCCCAGAGGACAGCTGGACGATTAAGCCAGGGGCTCAGAGACATTCGAATGTGTTCCTCTTTGGAGGTTTTACACCCTCCCTGCTGATTGGGGTAGCTTATGGGTGGTCCAGGTAAAACATGGCAAATAGGAAGATGCTTAACATTCTCATCTAGCTCAGCACGTCTTTGTCTATTTGCGAAAGGATACTATGGTTTTAAAAGATTCAGTTTAAATTGGTCAAGAGCTTAGAATGATGTGCAACACATAACGGGCTCTGAAATTGATCAAATAAGTAAATAAATCAATGAGTGAGAGAATGGGTGGACTAAGACACGATGAAGGAACAGGGAGGCAGACAGTCTCTGTATTCTAGGAATTTACGCAGCTGATACCCTCCAATCCCATAAAACTGCTCATGAACAGACCATATAAATTACAGTATATCTGTGTTAGGGAATACAACACCATGTGGCTGTTTAAAAAGATAAGGCATCTGTATACATATGGATATGAAAAATAGCTGAGGTCTACTTTGTGTAAAAAACAAAAGCTGGAGAGAGAACAGTATGGATAACATGCTATCATTTTTGTAGGTAAATTTTTAAAAATATATGTTTGTAAATGCGTAAACTATCTAGAAGATAACGGCATAAATGGTAATAGTGGCTGTGTCTGAAAGGAACAATTGGTGGCTGGGGGTTCAGAGATAGATGAAGACGTTCTTCTCACTGTGTACCCTTTTATACCCTGTATAAAATTTTAAATTTTGCACCTTATATGTGTATTATCTATTCAAAAAAAATAGTAAATTAATTTTTATTAATAAAAAATAAAATTGAAAGACTAAGGTAGATCTGTATCTTCAGAAATAAACAGATATCAGTCATATATTTAAAATGAAAAAGAAGGCCGGGCACAGTGGCTCACGCCTGTAATCCCAGCACTTTGGGAGGCCAAGGCGGGCAGATCACCTGAGGTCAGGAGTTCAAGACCAGCCTGGCCAACATGGCGAAACCCCATCTCTACTAAAAATACAAAAATTAGCTGGGCATGGTGGCGGGCACCTGTAGTCCCAGCTACTCGGGAGGCTGAGGCAGGAGAATCGCCTGAACCCAGGAGATGGAGGTTCTGATGAGCCAAGATTGTACCACTGCACTCCAGCCTGGGTAACAGAGCAAGACTCCGTCTCAAAAAAAAAATAAAATGAAAAAGATATCACACAAAAGAAGTATGATACCATTTCTGTTTTTTAAAATACTCTGCATGTGTATGTGTGAATGCATGCATGTGTGTGTATGTTAAGATCTTTAAAAAACAGTTGTGAGAAAGGGATAGTGATGAGGCGCTCACTTTTTGTTCTGTATATTTCTGTATTGTATAAAGGCTTTATAATGTGTGTTTAGGAATTAATAATATAAGTAAACAAATTAGCTTTATATGTACTGATCAGTAATGATCTCTTAAGATACAGTGTTAGGTTAAAAAGCGAGGAACAAAACAGTGTATATATTATGCAACCATTTGTGTAGGAAATCGCCCATGAGTGTAGACATTTTCTGAAAGAGTTTATGTCCATCTGGCATCACTGGTTCCCTTGGTGGAGGGAAAAATTAATTTGGAAAATATAGAGCTTCCTTATTAGACTAGACTATGTCAATGAGATTGAAAGCCTACAAGAAATTGGAAAACCACATTTTATTTTTTTCAACACATGTACACAGGATTCTCACTGTAGAACATTGTTTTCATGGGAGACAGTGCTCAGCCGCACCCACAAAGACACCCCCTCAAAAGATCAGACACAGCTCCTCTCCCAATCTCTCTGCAGTCATCATCCTACCAACACCGAGCCCAGAGGCCCCACCCTGCATAAAATAATATTGAGGCTGGATTAAAATCAAACTACCGCACTATTGGCTCAAATTCTTAACGCTCAAGAATTACTTGTCAACTGCCTACTCTGCAACACTGCCAATACCCATCCCCATTTGTCTCTTAAATATGTCAGGATCATAGACATAGAGGCTCATTTTTTAAAAAATCAGATTAGTATAATGTGATGGATTGCTTATTTTTAACTCTACCTCCTTCAAACCACAGAGAGTGGGTAGAGGGTACATTCTGTCAGAAATTCCCTTCCTCTGGACAAAGTCACAATTTTATGTATAAATAAACAATTTGTCTAGATGTTTAATGGGTAGCTCCTAAAATAACTCTAAAATATCCCTAAAACTGGACCGGGTACAGTGGCTCACACCTGCAATCCCAGCACTTTGGGAGGTCGAGATGGGCAGATCACATGAGGCCAGGAGTTCAAGACCAGCCTGAACAACATGGTGAAACCCTGTCTCTGCTAAAAATACAAAAATTAGCTGGGTATTGTGGCACATGTCTGTAATCCCAGCTACTCCGGAGGCTGAGGCATGAGAATCGCTTGAACCCAGAAGGTGGACGTTGCAGTGAGCCGAGATCATCACCACTGTACTACAGCCTGAGTGACAGAGTGAGACTCCGTCTCAAAAAAATAAAATAATAAATCCCCAAAATTAGCCAAAATTTTCAGAAGTCCCAGAAGAATGTCCTGTCTGTTCACTCCCTGCTACCCCAACCCAGGCTCTGGAGGCCCTGGCTGCGGCTCAGCCCCTCCTCTTCACCAACTCCTCCCTCCCCTCCACATCAGCACCACTGACAAATGGGGCGACTCATGGTTCACCCCAAATACCTGGCACTTCTGCCCATACCATCCCGATTGCTGGAAGGTCTTCCCCCCTCAGCTAACAATCTGAAGCCTGCAATGAAGACCAGCCTAAGCCCAGAGACGTTCTTCTTTTCCTAACCACCCCATCCTAGACAGCGCTCTCGTCTTCTGCATGGTAGGTCTTGCTATGATATCAACTACTTCTTTGGCAATTCACGGTGCCCTGTCCTGGGAGAGATGACTCTTCTCTTGTGATTTCCATGACTCTTTCATTTACTGGTATTAACTAGAACGAGAAAGACCCAGGGCTTACAAAGGAAAAAGAGAAGTCTGGGCTGGCAGGACAGGAGGTGGGTTTTGGGCAGAATCATGTCCAGCTTGACAGAAAAGACAGAAATTGAGTTGGAGATCCCAAGGCCTTGACACTGCCTTCCTGTCAAGGGGTAAGAACTGTGGCGATGAGAGGGAGGGGAGAGAGAGGGGGCAGTGTGTGCCACCAGCTTCACCTGCCATGGTTGCCTCCAGCCTTGTCAAAACTCCAGAACCCTGAGCACTGGTGTGGGGTCTAGTGGCAGAAATGTCAGTGCTTCCCCTCCAACCCCCAACTTCAATGTGCTTTCAGTTCCCACAGCCAGCACCCAAGGCTCTGCTCTGGAGGACTTCCAGGGCTGCTGGAGCCCCTTTGTCCAGAGGGCAGAGAGCCGAAGAGCCTGAGAGTTCTTTCCCCAGGGTAGGTCCAGTGACCGACAGGTGCTAGGAGAATTCTGAATCATCCCTAATAGTTCAGGACTCTTCTGCAAAAATCAAGCTGAAGCTGCCCTCTGTGGGGACTGATGGCGGCGGTATCTCTTTCCCTCCTGCTCCTCCTCCTCCCTTACCTGGCTCCTTAATAAGCTACTGGCATGCGAGTCCTTCTCTGAGGGTCCATTTCTTCGGAACTTCATCTAAGATGGTGAAGTGGGGGCTAGAGAAACATCCTTGGCACATCATGAAGGCAAGTGACGTGGGGGGTGTGTGTGTGTGTGTGTGTTTAATTTCCAAAAATACCCAAGTTCCTTGGTGCCTTGGGAGTGGTGGCAACACTAGGAGATGCAAGCTAACAAGGTGGTGATTTGACTTCTAGAATACTCATAGTTCATAGTTCATTGGCTAAACTGAACCATGAGCAACCTAGGTCAAGGGCCAGGCATTAGGCTTGCCCTGTAATCATCATTAACACATTCTGGATGCTCACTATGTGTCAAGCACTGTGACCATTCTCTCTTTTTTCTCTTTCCTTGAAGTAGCCTCCACATTATAGATTAGGAAGCTGAGACTCTGAGAAATGAAGTACTTTGCCCAAGGAGACACAGGAAAAACCAAGCCTGCTTTTCCCACTGTGTGCATGTCCACGTGATTCCAGACTCTGCGTCGCTCCTGGGCCCACCCCAGGACCTTGGAGATCAGGCTCACTCCAAACTCGCTACTGATTTCTCTGAATGGAAGAATCCTCAAAATAACCAGAAAGTTCTAAGCAGATTGCAAAGCAAAATGACCTATTTCACTAAAATCTTAAGTAATCTAGTAGGGGCCAGGAGAGTGTTAAAAACAGTTTTGTTGTAAGATCATCGATTTCCTCCATCCCTGCCCTCCACCTCACCTAAATAGGCACAGTAGGAAATACGTCTGAGGTCTCTATGGTTGACATGACTTAAACTTTAACTTTAGAACTTCCCCATTTTTCCCTA
Organism: Homo sapiens; assembly: GCF_000001405.40. NCBI lineage: Eukaryota > Metazoa > Chordata > Mammalia > Primates > Hominidae > Homo > Homo sapiens. The sequence goes on along the minus strand of NC_000018.10, from coordinate 22,246,186 downwards.
GTTATGTATGAGTTTTACCTTCTTTCCTTCTGCCCTTCACAATAGGCCAGGTGAGAATTTTTATAGAAATGTTCTTTGTACACTTATAAAAATTGAGGGGGAAAAAAGTGAACACTGAGCTTTTCTGGGTGTCAGGAAATGGTATCTATCTTATAAAACCAAACTCAAAACATATTGTGGGTCTTATTAAGAAACAGTACCCACACCTGTAATCCCAGCACTTTGGTGGCCGAGGCAGGCAGATCACTTGAGGTCAGGAGTTCGAGACCAGCCTGGCCAACATGGTGAAACCCCGTCTCTACTAAAAATAAAAAAAAATAGCCGGGCGTGGTGGTACATACCTGTAATCCCAGCTATTCAGGAGGCTGAAGCAGAAGAATCACTTGAACCTGGGAGGCAGAGGTTGCAGTGGGCCAAGATCGCACCACTGTACTCCAGCCTGGGCAGCAGAGTGAGACTCCATCTCAAACAAACAAACAAAAGAAACAGTACCACACAGATGCATATTAACACCCGTAATCCCAGTACTTTGGGAGGCTGAGGCAGGAGGATCGCTTGAGCTCAGGAGTTTGAGGCTGGAGTCAGCCGTGATCATACTACCACCTGGGTGACATAAACAAGGTGATGGAGGAAGGCTCCCCTAACATCAGTGGTGAGACGGTTGAGGTTGACAACATGGACCTCCTCGGTGCACAACACCATTTCTATAGCATCCCTGCCAAGAATGCCCGACCTGAGTCAGAGCATGAGGAAACGTCAGGCAGACCCAGGCACGGGCCATTCTACAAGGTAGGGGAACACAGGGGGAAGACTAAAGAACCACTCCAGATCAGAAGAGACTATAGAGGCTTCACAACTAAATGTAGCATATGAGCCTGAATTGTATCCTGGACCAGAAAGAAAGAAGTGGCATTCTTGGGGTAGTTGGCAAAGCGTAAATGGGGTCTGTGAAATGATAATGGATGGGGGTGTGGTATGTGCACCTGTAGTCCCAGCTATACGGGAGGCTGAGGCAGGAGGATTGCTTGAGCCCAGGCTGCTATGATCGTGCCACTACACTCCAGCCTGGGCGACCAAGCAAGACTCATCTCTAATAAAACATTTTTTAAAAAGAAACAAATGATCATGTAGGAAGGTGGCTTGGATGGTTGTATGATGGTGGTGTTAGAGAGTGTCCCTGTTTGGAGGAAATACACACTAGAATAATTAGGGCTGATGGAGTAGCATGTCAGCAACTTGTTCTCAGATCGTTCAGAAAAAGACTATGTATTAATTATTTATCTATGTATAATATATATAAATAAACGATATATATGGAGAGAGACAGGGCAAGAGAGACAGCCTGCAAATACAAAATATTAACAATTTGGGAATCTGGGTGAAAGGGAGATAAGGTTTTTCTCATTTCTACAAGTTTAAAATTATTTTTAAATAAATTTTTTTTTAAATTTGGGATTTACACAGGACTTGAGATGATCAAGAGAGGAATTGGAATGGGGTTGAAAAGCTAAGGAGACGAGAGATAAAGAAAAGAAAGTGATAAAGCAATTTATGACCTACCTTCTTCCTCTTGTTCCTTTTTAAAATAAATAAATTGATGTTGGGCACAGTGGTTCATGCCTGTAATCTCTGCACTTTGGGAGGCCAAGGCAGGAGGAACACTTGAGCCCAGGAGTTTGAGATCAGCCCAGGCAACATTGTGGAGACCCCATCTCCACAGAAAAAATAAAAATAAAAAATAGCCAGGCGTGGTGGTGCACAACAGTAGTCCCAGCTACTGGGGAGGCTGAGATCGGAGGATCGCTTAAACCTGGGAGGTCGAGGCTGCAGGGAGCCACGATCGCACCACTGCAATCCAGCCTGGGTGGGCAAGGGAGACTCTGTCTCAAACAAGAAATAATAATAATAAAATAAAATAAGTAAATAGAAAAATATCTGCCATAGAATCTTAGCTGGTTCTCTCACATGCCAAATCCTACTCCATGTGTTCATTATTGTGTAGTGGAAAGAGCACGAGCTTTGCTGTCGAAGGGACCTGGATGCAGACACTGCCGCAGCCTTTGCAGCTTCATGCTCTTGGCACATCGTCTACCCTCTGAGCCTCCGTTCTCTTACATGTAAAATGGAGATAAATACACATATCTCACAGATCATTAGAAAGATTGGGAGAGATCCTTACAGACAACACGTGGGTCATCTGGGAGCAGACCAGGTCGGGTAAGTTATTGAAATGGAGTTCTCATTGAGAACTCACTACTGTTTGGGGCTTACATTGTGCATGAGTGAGTTTTTGGATACTGAAAGCTTAACTTTCACTCCTGAGTCTGTCACTTGACAGTTTGGGTTTAAAGCAATCCAAAAAAATGTTGCAGTTAGGGATCAGGATTGTTATATCCAGAGAATGGTATAAAAGGGACCTCAGATACATTTACGATTCTGACACCCAGTGAGACACCCACTGTTTAAACAAATTCGTAACTTGCTGAGTGTTATTTATTTACCCTGTGCTTGGCGGAATGTGCACAGCAAAATTACCTCCATCTACTTCTGAAAAAAAGTAGTCATCAGTCACAGCCTCTCTATTTATTACACTCTGAAATTTATTACATTTCAAATAAAATGTCTGTCTCTGACATTGGCTGGCCTTGTGGTAGGGTTTCAGTATTGACCAATATTGACCTGGTCAGTTTCCTTGATGGTGAGCCCCTCAGCTCCCATCTTTGCAACCCACAGAGATGTAGCCACTGGTGGAATCAGAATTTCCATATGGGAGAGGATAAGGTTAAAAGGGGAGAGCTGGGGAACTTGTCTTAAAGGAGCGTCTTTATAGCAAGCATACTTTTGAGTTAAGTTTAATAAAAATAATGTTCCTTTCAGACTTCACGTTGAATTGAAAAATAGCAATTGTCCAGATTAAAAGATGTTATTAAGATCATCATTTTTCCTGGGTAGCTTTGCAGGGGCCGATGGAGACTACAGAGGATGATGACTCCACCGGTGGGCTCAGCCACTGTCCTCAGCCCAGCACTGGGCATGGAGTGACTCTCATGCCAGCCCATCCCTTTCTTGTCAGCTGAAATTCAGGGACTTCTAGACTCAAATCTCAATCAATGACAAGGCAAAGTCAGACACTGTGCTTTCACTGTGCTATTAGGTGTGATTCCGTCTGTCCTGAGACTCTTAAAATTCTAAACTTCTGCCATCTACAATCAAGAGCAGGAGACAAGGCAAACACATGCGAGAAATAAAGGCAAGTAGAATCCAAATGAGCTATATAACTAATCACAGCCATGCAGTTATGGGTGGAGAGGGCACTCTGGAGTGAGGGCAGGGATGGGGGCCGCTAGGATCCATGGGGGCTCATCTGGCCAAGGGGGCGGTCAGCAGGCCAAGCTCTCACTCTGCTGCTAATTGAAAACAAAGGGAAAGGTAGATGTTATTTCAGATCCTCTTGCCAAGACAGATGATAGAAGTAGTCATGAGGAGCCATCTTAATATTTTTTTCATTGATGGCCCCACCCCAAGGAGCCTAAATGGCCGAGCCACCCCCAGATTCCCAGGTTCGGCCCTTCATTCTTTCCAGGGACTGCTCATGGCCTCTACTTGCCTATCCCTAGGAAGATCTTTCTGCCAAGCTTGGAAGCAGGAAGAGCAGGCTTTTGGAGGTTTTGGCAAATGGATTTGATAGCTACTCTGCATCCACTTTTCTAGTTTGTGGTTGCAGGACCAGGTGCCTGGTGGGAGTCACGATCCCTGGGGAGACACCTCCCAGGAGCCACCCTCAGTCCTCAGAGGGCCTTTGAGTCCAGGGACAGACTTCCTGACAGAACAAACATATCTGAAGCTCAGAATCTTCTCTCTTGTCCACAGAAGCCATCCTGTAGACCTGAAACACTTAACTAACTGATCATTAATCATGAGGAACAGGTTTTGTGGGCAGCACTCCCATGCAAACACCCAACTGCCATTAACTTGCGTGGCAGATGTCGAGAGGTGAGAACGCTGGGTTCTGAATACAAGGAATGTGTGTCTCCCAGGTTGGGGGCCGATGAGGTGAAAAGAGATTTGTGCGATGCAAGCTATCTCTCCCTTTCCTTTCTTCCTCGGATTTTTCTCTATCTTGAGTAAAGTTCAGTTTTCAGAGATCAAACCTGGTTGTAAACACAGCCTTTAAAACCTTTGCACTGCTTTACTGCAGAATTTATGGTCTGTTTACCTTTGAGGTGAGGAGCAGGCAGGAGAGGTAATCCTGAGCCTTTGGTGGACGCCTCAAAAGAAAAAAGGGATACGGGGCACATGAATAAAAATACTTCCTTGTTCCATCCGTGATTTGTGGGTGCAGAATTCTTCCCCAGAGAGGTCATGCCCTAAGGAAATTGGCCCAACCAGCCTTTTGTAACCATTAAAACAAGTAAGTCCTTGAGATCTTCCCCATTCCAGAAACTTCTGGAAACGCACAGATTTGGGGATTTGGAAAATGCACATGAGAACAACAGAGGCAGGTGCCTCAGTGGTGATGTGAGGTGTCGCTAGCACTAATGCCCTCTGGGAATTAAAGGCCAGGCCCCAGCACGGCATAGGAGCTTCCTTAAGGGGAACCAAGCGCAGCCACCAAGGGCCGGGGTGCTGTTTCCAGCCACACTGCATACACCTTCAGCGACAACCTTCCAAACAGGAACCCAGTCACAAACTGTCCTTTGGGTGAGGACTTTTGAAGGTCAGAGGCCAAAGAGAGTGCCTGGCAGGAATAAATCATCCAAGATTTTTTTCAACATAAATTACAGGAGATTTCAATTCCCCACTCACAGTTGCAGAACTAGCTGTCATCTCAGTCACAGAAGCTGTCACATAAATGAATGGGTCAAGGAGAGGAATTAAAAGACCTGTGTTCCTGAGAGCTCATCCCTCCTGCTTATTCGTACCTGCTGGTTATGTTACCATTAGCAAACACCACACTGGGCTTCAAATTTCTTCCCAGTAGTATGGGAACACCAATACTTGTCACTCAAAGGCACAGCTAGGACACAATAGTGCACTTGAAAGGGCCATGACAAGTTAATCCTATAAAATGTAAAATATATGTACTACTAATAATGATTTTGATGACTGCAATAGATATTTTAGAAATAAACTATCAGTCCCTACTCCGATAATGAATGACTCTTACATTATGGGGAGGAAAGGGAAATGCTCTCCTTTTCTTAACTAAGTTAAGGAAACCACCTCAGACAAGCACCCAGGAGGAGCGCTGTGGCTTCTTTCTGGCCTGGTCCTCACAAACGGTGTGGCCTGAGGCTTCTCTCTTCAGGGGAAGTGTCACAGTCATGACTGGGAGCGGATGTTGCCATGTTAGTGAAGGAGAATCCTCAGGTTGGGGTCAGGAAAGTCGGGGTCCATTCCAGGCTCTGTCGCTTAAGGATCTCTACAATTATGGACAAAATATTGATCCCTTTGGGGCTCCAATATTTAGACCTGAGATAAACCACAGTGTTCCTAAGCCTTTGCTAGTTCTAAGTTCCCATGGTTCCCTATCAGGTAATAGGTAAATAAATTCAAAAACAATAAATAGTTGACTTCAGAATAGTTTTGTATTGTAAGCCATGTGTTAAGTAATGAAAGAGATGAAATTGATAGATCTATTGTGAATCAACCTCAGATAAGAATTAACTCAGTTTTTTTCTTTTTTTAGGCCGAGTGCAGAGGCTCATGCCTGTAATCCCAGCACTTTGGAAGGCTGAGGTAGGTGGATCACCTGAGGTCAGGAGTTGGAGACCAGCTTGGCCAACATGGTGAGACCCCTGTATCACTAAAAAAAAAATGGCTGGGTGTGGTGGTGCAGGCTTGTAATCCCAGCTACTTGGGAGGCTGAGGCAGGAGAATTGTTTGAACCTGGGAGGTGAAGTTTGCAGTGAACCAAGATTGTGCCACGGCACTCCAGCCTGGACAAGAGAGTGAGACTCCATCTCAAAAAAAAAAAAAAAAAAGAATTAACTCAGTTTTGCTGAAAAGACTTTTCTTTTTGTTACCCCACAATTCATGTCTACATGAGGCTTGGCTGCCATTCTTACAGGCTACACTTTCAGTGTGCCATTCCAAAAGACAAGATTAAAAATCTTTAATCATTGATTTAGGGAACTTGAGTAATACTGTTTGGCTTTCTGCCAGGCATCTTCAATATTTAAGAGAGAATCAGCCAAGCGCAGTGGCTCACACCTGTAATCCCAGCACTTTGGGAAGCCAAGGAGGGTGGATCACTTGAGGTCAGGAGTTCAAGACCAGCCTGGCCAACATGGTAAAATCCCGTCTTTACAAAAAACAAAAATTAGCTGGGCGTGGTGGCACACTCCCGTGATCCCAGCTACTCGGGAGGCTGAGACAGGAAAATCGCTTGAAACTGGGAGGGGAAGGTTGCAGTGAGCCGAGATTGCACCACTGCACTCCAGTCTGGGCGACAGAGTAAGACTCCATCTCAAAAAAAAATAAAGAGAGAGAGAGAGAGTCACTATTTGGATCACACAAAAGAAAGATGCAAGGACATATGTGCCCTGTTGGTTACTGAGACAGCTCTCATTTCAGAAAAGACAGAGATTTTGTTTCCAGAATAAAGCTGCCCAGGTGCCAAGCAGGAGAAAATAGAGTAGGAAACAATTTGAATTCATGTATGTTCTATCCGCCTTAAGGCTTCTTTGAATCTGCTAATATAAGGTAAAGGAAATTGAATCAAGTTATGTAAAGTGTGGAGGGAATGATCCCTTACAGTTTAGGTTACATCATATAATTCTAAAACACAACGGATGTAATGTGAGTTAAAATCTGTAAACAATAAAGTCATATAATAAGAGATTGTTCATTTTGTTATTTGATCTACAGCACACCAAACTTCTGGATGGTTGAAATTTCTGAGCAAATCTCAGAAGAGATAAATGACTTCTGAAACATTTTAAGTCTATCAAGTTCAGGATGTGTTTCACCATTGCCTGCTTCCTGGTAAGGCACATCCTTCATTCATGAGTGCATTCATTCATTCATGATCTCACGAATGTGCCCAGTGGTGCAATGTGCCTGCAGTGAGGGGCTACTATCCCTCCTGCCACCTTTCTCTCAATACCCTGGTTCAGAATTTGTTGTCATGAACTTTCTCCAAGGCAAGCAGCACAGCAGGTGAATTCTGCTTCCAGCTCACGTTCTCTGATGTGAGGTGGGGGGATAAGTAAAATGAGGGCAAACAAGGTGTTGACTTTGCTCAAGAACAAGAGAAATCAGTCTGTTAAGGTAGTCCAAGAAAGAATGCTAACTATGGAAAACTCTCTCACTTCCTTGCCCCGAAAGACATTCCTGCATATTTCTTTTGGTAAAATAAGCTACTCAGGATGAATTGAGGGGTTTTGTCTGCCTTGGGCACGTCTGTGGTCTCAGCACCTAGAACAGTGCACGGCACGACGGTGTGCAGATGTTCATTGATGTTGACAGTGGACTTAAAGCACAAAAATGGCTCTTTAATAAGTAAAATTTCACCTTGGTGTTGGAACTTGATTTATTAACACAAGGCCCCAAGCTCACCCCTATTATTAATTCATCACATATTTCAGCTGCCAGGAAACCTCTCTAGAAATACAACACGTGATGTGGTGCCTGGTTAAGACCATGGGCTCAGAGTGAATTTGGGATTCACCCAACTAGTTATGTGGCCTGAATTTCTCCCAGCCTCAGTTTCTCACTGTAAAATGGAAGTAATCCTAGTACCCACCACACAGAACTGTTGTAAGGAGGAAATGAGGGAAGGCGTGTAATCCCACTGTCCCTGTGAAGCCAAGATGAGAACAGTGATTTTTGCATACGGATATGTTGTGTACGCACAGCCCTGGCCAGACCAGGAAACTCTGTCACCCCTGATACACTGTGATGAAACCACAACCCTCATCGAAAACCATCAGCGTGTCTGAGAGGCATCAGAGCCAAGCTCTACTGATGGAAGATGCCCCTCTGCTGGTCATTCCCCCTGGGCCACTGTCTGTCCCTCTGGAGGAGAGAGACCAAGAGGTTTTAGGTTTAGGTCTGGGGAGGATCGACAATATCTCTGTCTCTTAAGGCCTCCCTGGAAAAAGAGCTTATTTGGAAGGGAAAATAATAGCAACAAAAAAGGCAAACTACAGAGGAAGAGCATAACTGCAGAATATTCCTAAACTCCACCACTTGGGTGTGTGCAGAGATGAGACTGTTTAAATTTTTTTGTTTTACCTGCCCCATTTCCAAAACGGGGTATTGTCCTCTCTGATGTGTGTTGACCCACATGTAACACTAAAGAGCTGTTCAGATTTCCCAAGAACCCACTCTCACAAAAGGAATATTGAACAATGTAGACTTTGCATAGCATTTCAAGAGGTCCCACAGGGTTCCACAGGAGGATGAGTTTCCATGGCACTTGCCCACAGCAACTTTCTTTTATTTATTTATTTGAGATGGAGTTTCGCTCTTGTCACCCAGGCTGGAGTGTAATGGTGCGATCTCGGCTCACCGCAACCTCCACCTCCCAGGTTCAAGTGATTCTTCTGCCTCAGCCTCCTGAATAGCTGGGATTACAGGCATGTGCCACCACGCCCAGCTAAGTTTGTATTTTTAGTAGAGACGGGGTTTCTCCATGTTGGTCAGCTGGTCTCAAACTCCCAACCTCAAATGATCCATCTGCCTCAGCCTCCCAAAGTGTTGGGATTGCAGGCATGAGCCACTGCGCCCAGCCCTAGCAACTTTCAAACTCTTTATTAGACATTTCTCTGAAACCTTCTCATCAACCACACCACCTCCACTTCACCAGGCATTTCTGTCTCAGCTCCTGCCCCATGAAATTCCCAGCTCTGCTGGCTCCTCTCTTTCTCATTGGGTTTTTCCTCTTCCAACCCCCACTCTTCAAATTCTTCTGTAGGGCTGTTCAGCTCCTATTACCTCATATTCCAAAACTGGCATGTTTCCCAAGATGGCACCAGCAAGATGTTGTCCATATAACCATGCCCACCATTGTTAGAAGGCAGTTGTGGTTACAGATGGCAAAATTTCCCCAATGACATCTTAATATTTTGCTTGGATCCCATAGTGAGCATAGTTGTTTGTCAATCAGCATCCATTCACCCCTTTTCAATTGTACCCATGTTCCCCTTCTAGTATCTACCCTCCTCCCTTATCCTACCCTTATCCCAGCTCCAGTGGTGAGACCCGATCAATCCGAACCAATCAGAGTACTCCTATTTCCTTTGCCAAAATGCTTCGGTCAGGGATGGATAGGTAACTAATTAGGGCCAATGGAAGGTAACAGATAGTTTGAGAATTTCTGGAAAAGGGATTTCCTTGCTTTTCTGTATGCACTATAGAATGCCCACTCTCGGCCGGGCAGGGTGGCTGATGCCTGTAATCCCAGCACTTTGGGAGGCTGAGATGGGCGGATCTCTTGAGGCCAGGAGTTCAAGACCAGCCTGGCCAACATGGTGAAACCCTGTCTCTACAAAAAATATAAAAATTAGCTAGGCATGGTGGCAGACACCTGTGATCCCAGCTACTCAGGAGGCTGAGGCATGAGAATTGCTTGAACCCAGGAGGCGGAGGTTGCAGTGAGCCGAGATCACGCCACTGCATTCCAGCCCGGGTAACAGAGCAAAACTCCATCTCAAAAAAAAAAAAAAAAAAATACATGCCCACTCTCTCCCGCTGGACCTGAAGAAGGAGTCTTAGTCCTGATGTCTATAGCTGCTGTCTTACGATCTAAGATGAAGCAGCCTTGGGATTGACAGAAGGAAATGAATAAAGGAACCTGGGTCTTCAATAATGTTTTTGAACTTCTGGACCCACTAGATTAAAATCAGTTCTACCTCTGATGTTTAATTACAATATTTGACCAGCTACTTGTTTAAGTGAGTTTCAGTTGAGATTTTTGTTTCTTGCATTCAAAGGCATTCCAACTGATATTGGCCCCATTGTTTCCTGTGTACTGATCTTAATATCCAACTAGACCACAAATTCTTGGAAAACAAAGACTTAGATTTCTTTTGTATTTCCCACAGCAACACTGCAAATATGGCAGACGTTCAATGAGTATTCAACATTGGGCTGGTTTGTTATTATAAGATCCTTGAAGTAAGGAGCTAGGTCTTCCTTGGTTTTTGTGCATTCACTCTGAAGTATTGGCTTGAACCCAGGCATCTATCAATAAATAATTATAAGTTAATGAAAATAATAGCTTTGGATATTCTGAAATTTTAACCACTTGGGAATCATGATTATAAATTACAGCTCTGAGCCTCAGAATTTAAACATACTTTTCCATCTCCATCCTCCAAAATCCTAAGAATCAACTTCCTAGACCAAGCGCGGTGGCTTATGCCTGTAATCCCAGCACTTTGGGAGACTGAGGCAGGTGGATCGCTTGAGCTCATGAATTCAAGACCAGCCTGGGCAACATGGCAAAATCCCATCTCTACAAAACATACAAAACTAGCCAGGCATGGTGGTGCATGCCTGTAGTCCCAGCTACTCAGAAGGCTGAGATAGGAGGATCACTGGAGCCCAGGAGATGGAGGATGCAGTCAGCCAAGATGGCACCACTGCACTTCAGCCCGGGTGATAGAGCCAGAACTTGTCTCAAAATAAGTAAACAAATAAATAAACAAACAAACTTCCTCAAAGGCAGAATCTGGTCAAACCCCCAAATCTGTAGAATCTTGATGGTTTTTAATGTCTTATTGAATTTGGAAATTGTTTTTAATGAACATATTCATGAATTTTAAAGAAATGACCCCCTCAAGGTTAATTCAGCTAAAAATTATTCAAAGTTCAAGAGAAATAAAAACTATCTTACTCAAGCAACCAGCCGGTGAGTGGCAGCTCCTCTCCCACGGGGTGTAAACTGCATGGGTTCAGGAACTATCCTGCAAACAAGATATTCAGAAGGATCCAGAGCCTTTGCCAAAATCACAGCACACAGCAGCACTGTGTCAACTCATACCAGACTTGATGGCTCAGATCTTTAGCAACTACACTTTCACTTGCATGGAAAGCCTGCTCAGAAGGCACATGCTTCCTCCTGAGGCCTTCAGTGAGATTCCAAGTGCACTAAAGGACCTGTCATTTGTGCTGATTTTAGGGAAAGTAGAATATATTTGCTAGGCTTTCTTACAACACATTACTATCCTCCCGTGTTAACACAGAACAGCGTCTTGGTGATGTATGCAAGATTTCCCTATAGATCAGTGATCAACCTACAGATTTCTCTTCCACCCTCCAAGCCCTCTCTTTAGCCTCCCCCTATGCCTGGAATCCCCTGCCCCTCATCTAGACACTTTTGACTGCAAAAGAGTCTTCTGTGCTGTCATTCTGAGGGCTCCTGGAGTCTACTGCGTCCAGGTAACAATTCCTGATTTCCCAGGAAATAGGAAAGTTTTCAGGAACCCTATCCAAATATGAACTTCACAGAGTTCCCCATCACTCAGCACCCCACAGACTGCATTTACCAATATGGAAATACTTAAACATAGGTATTTGTTAATGTCTTCAATATGTTTACCGATACCTTTATTGTATCATTGGTCATATGCTTCTAAAAGGCAATGATCTGGTCAGATTCACTCAAACTGAACAACAGAGAAAATTCATAGAGCAAGTGAGGGCTTCATTCTTCCTTCTCCTTTATTTTGTGTGCTGCGTTTCTGGCATCCAGTGTTGTGGAATACCACTGGCCTGTGTCATCTGCTTCTCTTCCCCACTCCCCTATTTCAAAACACACCTGTCCTGTGCCCCAGTGCCTCAAAGCTCTGCTCTCTGCTAAATTTTCAAATAAGAGACATGATGATTAACATCTTAATAGTTATCCCATCCCAGTTGACATTAAAGTAGGACAGATGATGGGAATTTAGGTAACATGACAGAGAGATTTTGGCTTTGAGGGCCTGCAGAGTTCCATCATCTGGGCATCTATTTACATTTAATTGTGAAAGCCAGCCTTAGAAAGGAATCTGCCACGATGCCTCACAAAAAGCAGAGCTTTAAGAGATGTTTTTAGTAACAGGGCAAAAACAACAATAATCTCATATACCTACTTCTTCTGCTGTTTACAAAGCACTTTCACATATATTATCTAATTTTGATAATGATGATGATACACACACACATACATGAAAATAAAATGGTGGAATCCAAGTGGCTCTTTAAGCGTGCCACTCAGCAAGTTACTAAACAGGACCGCTAAGCCATTTGTATTTTTTAAGGCAATTTTTACAAGTATAGGGAAGGTTGGTAGGTTCACACTTCTACTTCCTCTAAATAGAAAGGGGCTGGAAGCCATTCTCTTCTTATTTTTTGTTGCATAGCTGTATGCTAAGAGCATCTCCACACCTTGGAATGTTTGTGGGAGGGCAGGAGAAGCTATTTCTTCCTGCTATGAAACCTGATAGCAAAGCCAGCAAGGTGTCAGGAAGCAGTGCCCCCTCAGCAGAGGAGACCTTTAAGACTTGTGACCCTCCAGGAACACACAAAGGGACATATCCTTCCTCCTCCCCTCCCCTACCACCCCATCACTCCATTTAGGATGCGATAAGAAAAGTGACTTCATGGAGAGGATGAAAGCTGGGGACCCAGAAAAAAGGAGCTTGATTTCGCCAGGCATTGCCAGCACGCTAAACCTAACCCAGGAGAGGCGCTTCCGGCCAGGACCTTGACACAGGCACACGAACACAAACACCACAGGGGTGTGCCTGCCCAGCCTCCAGGTGGTAGTGCAACTCCTGCCTTCTCCCCAAACATGTGTGTTCACAAATCCCCGGATCCCAGTTGGGAGTAGGAGGCAGAGAGTGGAAAGGCAGGTCAATCAGATACTCAGACATTGCCTGAGATGAAACAGCCCAGGTGTGAGGCCAGAGGCTAGGTGGCTCCGCATGAAAGAAAGGTAGCAGCTTTTGTTTGTCTAGAAAACGCAGAAGGGGAGGGCTGACATACTCAGGATACCTGTTTCTCTAGTCTTTTCATCGAAACTAAAAGTTCAACTCCTCAAATCATTGGAGAAATGTGAGCTTTCAGACATCTCATGGCTATAACAAATTCTAGCCATGGTTTACCAAAATCTCACTCTTTCCAGAATACCCTAGGAGATATAAAGCCTAGTGAGGTGAGGTTTTATGAGAGGGGTCCTAAAAAGAAGGTAAGAGTATTGCACCCCCACATTTTAGTGTTTCTCAAACTTTGTTCCATGGAATACGTGGGGTTCCATAGTTAGACTAGACTGGGAAATGTTACATATGAGTCTCCCCTCATAAACATTCCCAGTGCCTGCAAACGTAGTCAATGCCTGTTGGATGGATGGATGGATAGATGTATGTATGTAGGTATGTATGGATAGATGTATGTATGGATGTATGTATGTATGGATGGATGGATGGATGAGTGGATGGATGGATGGATGGATGGATGGATAGATGTATGTATGTAGGTATGTATGGATAGATGTATGTATGGATGGATGGATGGATGGATGAGTGGATGGATGGATGGATGGATGGATAGATGTATGTATGTAGGTATGTATGGATAGATGTATGTATGTATGGATGGATGGATGAGTGGATGGATGGATAGATGTATGTATGTAGGTATGTATGGATAGATGTATGTATGGATGTATGTATGGATGGATGGATGGATGAGTGGATGGATGGATGGATGGATGGATAGATGTATGTATGTAGGTATGTATGGATAGATGTATGTATGTATGGATGGATGGATGAGTGGATGGATGGATGGATGGATGGATAGATGTATGTATGTAGGTATGTATGGATAGATGTATGTATGGATGTATGTATGGATGGATGGATGGATGAGTGGATGGATGGATGGATGGATAGATGTATGTATGTAGGTATGTATGGATAGATGTATGTATGTATGGATGGATGGATGAGTGGATGGATGGATGGATGGATGCATAGATGTATGTATGTAGGTATGTATGGATAGATGTATGTATGTATGGATGGATGGATGGATGGATGAGTGGATGGATGGATGGATGGATGGATGGATGGATGGATAGATGTATGTATGTAGGTATGTATGGATAGATGTATGTATGGATGTATGTATGGATGGATGGATGAGTGGATGGATGGATGGATGGATGGATAGATGTATGTATGTAGGTATGTATGGATAGATGTATGTATGGATGTATGGATGGATGGATGGATGGATGGATGGATGGATGGATGGATGGACAGATGGCTAAATTAAATCTCTGGCCCCTAAGTGGTTGCATCTAGTTGTGCCCACCAGAAAACCTCCAGGTTGCCAATAGTTTACTTTATGAGCTATAACTTAGAGGTCAGCCAGCCTAGGATCTTTCAGATTTTTATTTATTATTATTATTATTATTATTATTATTATTTTGAGACAGAGTCTCCCTCTGTCGCCCAGGCTGGAGTGCGGTGACATGATCTTAGCTCACTGCAACCTACACCTCCCAGCTTCAAGTGATTCTCGTGCCTCAGCCTCCTAAATAGCTAAGATTACAGGTGCCTCCCAAGAAGCTAGGATTATAGGCATGCACCACCATGCCTGGCTAATGTTTGTATTTTTAGTAGTGACGAAGTTTCACCATGTTGGCCAGGCTAGTCTGAAACTCCTGACCTCAAGCGATCCATTTGCCTCGGCCTTCCAAAGTGTTGGGGTTATAGGTGTGAGCCACTGTGCCTGGCCAGAGCTTTCAGATATTTTAAAAACTTGTGCCTGTTTGATGCCTGCAAGCTGAATAGGTTCAGAGGAATTAAATAATAAAATTCAGAATTAGGGATAAGAGTCATTTGCCTGAGAAGTTGTATATTAGAAACCTCTTATAATAAACCTTCTCTGGGAGAAGATGACATCCTCCAGGGACCACTACAACTCCAGTGACCACCACAATTTCTGGCACACACTCAGTGCATGTTTGTTGAAGGAACAAATGAATGAATACATGAATTTCAAACCATCTCTCTGCAACTGAATTTGCCAACACAGGCACCAGGCTTCAGGCCGGTCACTTTTCCAGCAATTCTCCTGCTTACCAGCTTCATGGTGATGGCACCATAAATGACAAGAGCCACCAGCAGTTTGAAGAAGCAATCTCAGAGAGCTGGGGATACAGACCTCCCATTTCTATTAAAGTCTGTTTGTCCTCCCTACTTACGACTTTCAGAGGCTAACCTTCGAAACTTCTGACCTTACTCATTTGAAGGAATGCATTAAAATCACTGACTTCAGGTTTACACTTAATCCACACGTGCCAGAAGACCTGAGTCATGAACCTCCGATCATGGTACGAAGGACGTCTGAATGGTTCTCTCGGCCACTGATGCGCTCACAGCTCAAAAGAATGACATCAACAAAATGAATAAGAACCCCAGCCTTTGCTTCCCAGGGAAAATGAACTGATGGGGCTAAGAGCCAGTGAAATAAAAACAGAGGAGAGAGATGACACAAATAAATGTCTGAGTCAGTTGCTCACAGAACAGCCAGGCAACAATTGTGTGACTGCGCTCTCACCCCTCCTCACTCATTCCTTGCTCCCTGCACTGTGCAGAGTGCAGGGGGCATCCAGACCTGGAGCCGACCCAAGCCTTGGGGAGACTCACACAGCCCCACACCAGCCCTGCCGCCCTGCCCGGGTCCACTCCCTGCCTAAACACGCATTCAGCGAGACTGTCTGAATGTAATGCCACTAAATTGTACACCTAAAAATGGTTAAAATGGTAAATTTTATATAGGTATATATTACCACAATTTAAAAAGTAGAAAAAAAGTTTTATTACCAATTAAAGAGTAAACCCAGCATCTGTAATACATTAGAGGACAAGTTAGTCTTTACAATAATAATAATAGTTAATATTTATTGAGCTATCACTAGGGCTCCTTTAAATACATTCAGTTCGTGCAATATTGTGTCATTTAATAGAATGACATTAATACATAATATTAATTATATATTAATATGTCATTAATATATTAATATCCATGACATTAATATTAAATGTCATTTAAATATTTCAGTTTGTGCCATAACACTGAGGAAACTGAGGCACAGAGAGAGGATACCACTTTCCCAAAGACACACCGTGGTAATAGGGTAATAGTTAGAGACATTTATGTAGAGTTTTTAGTTTGTTTTATTGTTGTTGTTGTTTTGGGTTTCTTTTTAAAGACAGGGTCCCACTCTGTCACGCAGGTGGAATGCAGTGGTGCAATCACATTTCACTGCAGCCTTGAACTCCTGGGCTCAAGCGATCCTCCTACCTCAGCCTCCACAGTAGCTGGGATTACAGGCACTCACCACCACGCCTGGCTAATTTTTTTACTTTTTATTGTTGTAGAGACAGGGTCTTGCTTTGTTGCCCAAGCTGGTCTCAAATTATCCTCAAGTGATCCTCCTGCCTAGCCCTTGATACATAGTTTAATAAAACACTTGTGTTTACCTACTGGCAATCTACAAAAATGATGAGTGTCTGTCTGTCGCTCTCTCTCTCTCTCTCTCTTTCTCTCTCTCTGCCTCTCTCTCCTGCTAGGGCACCAAAATGTACCAAGAAGAGCCTAAATCTACTGGAGACTCAAATCGGCATTACCACTGCAGTTTTTGAGCATTTCTGGAGCAGATACAGCATTCCAAAACAATCCAGAAGTGTCACCTCTCCTCAGCCCACACGCCAGAACTTCCATGTAAATGCCTCATGTGGGCTTCCCATGGTGTCTAACGGATACTTTCAACTAACTGGGTCTTTCTTCCCTACCCTCTTCCAGATCTATGAAAATACCTGAGGTTTCCATTTCTGTGCCTCATTTATTGACTATTTCAAAGTCCAGTTGTTTCTCTGGAATTTTAACAACACAAGAACGATATCCACAAGACAGAAAGACAATAAGGGACCAACAGGAGACAATTACAGAATACTCATGAAGACTAAAAAAGGCTGAAATCATCATCATTTCCCATATCAGGGAGATAGTTACGACACTGGACAAATATCTAATGCTGCCTTTCAATCCTGACTCAACAACTTACTGAATCACTTAAACTCTTTGGCCTCAGTGTCTTCCTGTGTGAAACAGAAGCAGATCTTTGTCTGCTTCACAAGTTGTGAGAATAAAGAGAAAATGTTTGTTTATTTGCTTGCTTGCTTTTTGAGACAGGATCTAGCTCTGTTGCCCAGACTGAAGTATAGTGGCTTGATGTTGGCTCATTGCAGCCTCCACCTCCTGGGCTCAAGTCAACCTCCCACCTCAGCCTCCTGAGTAGCTGGGACTACAGGTATGTGCCACCATGCCTGGCTAACTTTTGCATTTTTTGTAGAGATAGGGTTTCACCATATTGTCCAGGCTGGTCTTGAACTCCTGGAGCTCAAGTGATCCACCCACCCCTGCCTCCCAAAGTGCTAAGATTACAGGCATAAGCCTCCATGCCCAGTGAGAAAATGTATGTTAAAGCACTTGTCAGCTCATGATTATAGGCTCATGCCTGTAATTCCAGCACTTTGGGAGGCCAAGGCAAGAGGATCACATGAGCCCAGGAGTTTGAGACCAGCCTGGACAACATAGCGAGACCTCGTCTCTTAAAAAATTTAAAAATTAGCTGGACATGATGGTGCATATGCCTATAGTCCCAGCTACTTGGGAGGCTTAGGTAAGGTAGGAGAATCACTTGAGCCTGGGAAGTCCAGGCTACAGTGAGCTGTGATTGCACCACTGCACTCCAGCCTGGGCAAGAGAGTGAGACCCTGCCTCAAAAAAAAAAAAAAAAAACCCACTTGTTAAACTGTAGAACAATATGTAAATAGTTACAGGTATACCTCATAAGCAAATCTGTATAAAAATAGTAGTAAATTAATAAGCATCACCACATTTCAAATGTAAAAACAGATTCTGCATTAGAAATAACCCATTTATAGAAACATCCTACTCACCTAAATTGTTTTAACATTTGATGTGAAAGGCCCTTACCAGACAGGATTTTGGTTTCTAATCTACTTAATGTGATTTCTATTTACTAATGAAGACCTTAGCTAAAGTTATTAAGGGAGGTTATCACTAATATCTTATGATAAAGTCAAAAAGGACAAAATATTTACCCTTTGTTGAAGCCATGGAGAATGAATGGATGGTCCAGCCCACTGGCTTGACCCAATGTTATGTTTTATACTTGAAAAACCGGCTGGGCGCGGTGGCTCACGCCTGTAATCCCAGCACTTTGGAGGCCGAGGCTAGTGGATCACCTGAGGTCCGGAATTCAAGACCAGCCTGACCAACATTGTGAAACCCCATCTCTACTAAATACAAAAAATTAGCCGGGCATGGTGGTGCATGCCTGTAATCCCAGCTACTTGGGAGGCGGAGGCAGGAGAATCACTTGAACCCAGGCGGCGGAGGTTGTAGTGAGCTGAGATCGTGCCATTGTACTCCAGCCTGGGCAACAAGAGCGAAACTCTGTCTCAAAAAAAAAAAAAAGAAAAGAAAGAAAGAAAGAAAAGAAAAATCCTGGACCAGGTGCAGTGGCTCATGCCTGTAATCTCAGCACTTTGGGAGATCAAGGTAGAGGACTGCTTGAGCCCAGGGATTTAAGACCAGCCTGGGCAACAGAGTGAGACCCTGTCTCTAAGAAAATATAAAAATTAAAAATTAAAAAAGAAAAATCCTCTCTAACATTTAACCTCAATTCCCAAACTACAAATTATAAAACGTAGGAATTGATGAGAGTTCCAGTTCCATTACCCAAAGTCACTAAAGGCTTATCCCAGAGGTATTTGCCTGTCACTGTCTTTTCTATGGCCCTGAACTTAACTTGGCAGGGTTCAAAATGCCCCACGAAGTTTTGTTCAAGTGGACAGCCCTCCGTTCAAGCACCCATCCAAATGCCAATATCTCCCAGGAGCAAAAGCCCTGGGCACTTTTCCAAAAACATGGGTGAAAGTTCAGAATCACCCCCTTTTTGTGAAGACTTTCCGTAATGATCTTCCCAGAAAGTCCCCCCTTGTTTCTAGCTCTGATTTTACCTCCCCAGAACATCTACTCACATCTTACAATTATTAACAACTTACAACAACAACACACGTTTGCCAAGAGTCAACTGCATTCTCTGTTCTCTATGACACATGTAAAGGCATGGCCTATGCCTTATGGGCTTGTGATGTAAGTAGGACAAGAAATAATATTTAGATAAGACACCAGATCAAGAGGCTGATAGGATTCAAATATGTGTTGTTCCCCTCCCCGCTTCCTGCATTTCAGGACAGATCTTCAGAAAGGAGCCAGGAGTGAAAAGCTGGATCATTCAGACGAGAGCCTTTGGGGGAGACAGATGTTCAGGAGGAGTCCAAGGGACAGCTTTGGGCTGAGGAAAGGCACTGAGAAGGAGAGTGGGAGGAAATGAAGGCAGAAGCAGAAGGAGCAGAGGAGAGGTATTTAAAGGGCCTGAGAAATCACAACCAGTCGCCCTCTGTGAGATGGCTTGAAAGTGCTGTGTGTCTCCCTCCAGAGAGGACAGAGGTAGAAGAGTGGCCCCTCTTCCTGAAGTCCTGTCTTCATTTGCTACTGCTGAGATTTTCCTAAGAAAACAATTTCAAAGTATCTACATGCAAAAATGTTCCTGGTCCCATCAATAACAGAAAATCCAGAAACAATCAAAATGTCCACCAAAGGGATTGGTTAGACTTAAGTATTCCCATTTCCTGCCTCCTCCTTCCCATATTTAATTTCTTTTCAGACTCCACACATAAGTGGCAGCATGCAGTATTCTTCCTTCTGTGCCTGCCTTATGTTACTTAACATATTGTCCTGTAAGTTCATCCATTTCGTCTCAAATGACAGAATTTCCATCTTCTTTGTAAAGGCTGAATAATATTCCATTATATGTGTATAGAGACAGATAGCTATACTGCAATTTCTTTATCCACTCATCTGTCTATGTACACTTTGGTTGGTTCCCGATCTTGGCTATTGTGAATAATGCTGCAATGAATGAGGGAATGCAGATACCTTTATAAGGTGGTGATTTCATTTCCTTTGGTCAAAAGGTACAAAGTTGCAATTATGTAGGATAAATAAGTTAAAGAGATCTGATGTACAACATGAGGATTATAATTAATAATATTGTATTATATACTGGTAATTTGCCAAGAGAGCAGATTTTAGCTGGGCATGAGGGCACATGCTTGTAGTGATGGCTACTCAGGAGGCTGAAGAGGGATCCTCGAGCCCAGGAGTTCAAGGTTACAGTGAGCTATGATTGTGCCACTGCACTCCAGCCTGGGTGACAGAGGGAGACCCTATCTCAAAAAAAAAAAAAAATTAAATCAAGAGTTTGCTTAGTACATTCAGGGTGTCCACATGATCAATATTATGCAGACATCAAAAATGATCATTATGAAGGCAATGTATAAACATAGGATATAGGTGGGAGGAATGGATAATATTCAGTGAGTATGTTACAATGAGCTTGCCACAATGCCAAATAAATGTGTCTTTATTTGTGGACCAAAACTAGAAAATATGAAAATATATAAATGCTTCTATCATATGAAGATGGTAGTATTATGGGTTTTATGGGTTTTTTACATTTTCTTCAGACCTTTTTTTTCACCTCATTGCTGCCAGTGTGCCTTTTCAAACTTTTTTAGCATTATTTTTATATCCACTTTTTCCATTTAAAATGTCTCTAAGGCTGTGGTAGTTTCATTAGTGGAGACATCCTTCCTGTGTAAATCCAAGTATCTCAGAAGGCAAGAGGATGGGAGAAGTTGTCTTCCTTTTTGAACACCCACCAATAGTCTAGACTGCTTTCACATGGAAGGGGTGCTAATTAGTAATTTTTCACATTTGCTAATGAATAAGTCACCTCGGGGAAAATTGATAGAGGTGTAGAACACAGGTCACTTGTGGGGCCCAGAAGTGAGTTATTGGCTTGGAATGGAAGCTGTGAAAGTTGAAGACGATAAACAGCTACTTGGACCATTTGCCTCAAATTCTGATCACCCATCTCGTCAGCAAAGGCCACAGCTCACTGAGGTTACTGTGGTTTCACCAGGTTTCCTCATTATTTGGAAAAGACCTGAGCTTGCCATTGCTAAGCTAAGTTGAACTATTTCACTTGGCCTAATTTTTCTGGTTATTTTATTTCTTAAAACTTAGCACCAGCTGAGCTTGGTTGCTCACGCCTATAATCCTAGCAACTTGAGAGACTAAGGCTGGCGGATAACTTGAGGCCAGGAGTTCAAGATCAGCCTGGGTGACACAGCAAGACCTCATCTCTAAAAAAAAAAAAAAACAATTAGCCGGCTGTGGTGGTGTGCACCTGTAATCCCAGCTGCTCTGGAGGCTGTAGCGAGCCTGGAAAGTCAAGACTGCAGACGGCAGTGAGTAATGATCACACCACTGCACTCCAGCCTAGGCAACACACCCAAAATCTAAAAAATAAGTAAAATGAAAAACTTAGCACTTATTTTTATTATGGATAAAAACAAGAAGGTGCTTGGCAGAAACAGCACAGCCCAGAGGAAAAAATGGCCCTATTGGTTTCTACCACCCTGATCCTGAATCCCCTGTGACACACAGGGTTAGTGTTCTCTCTTTATGGCTAACAAGTTTTGCTGACCTAGTAGTATTTAGGCAGGACAAGTAAGGCCTCAGGCTTAGGAAGCCAGATGCCTGGGGATTTGTAAGGGAGAGCCCTGGGAGCCTTCCCACGTTGCCCACCTGCACAGAGCTGTGTGCCCTTAAGCAAGTCACTTCACTCACTGAATCCTTCTTTCTGCATTAACTGGAGGATGATTGACACCCAGCCTGTGTTCCTAATACCATCACCCATCCATTGACCAGACACTGTCTTTAGAATCAAATGAGATAGCAGAAAAGGTTTTTTTAAAGCCTTTTACCTATGCTACAGAATAGTATTAAATAAACCAAACACACACACACACACACACACACACACATTTAAGAGGGAGTGGAGGGCGTTTCAGGCATATTAACTGCCCCAGGGACTGACAATGAGGATATAAAGTCCCTATAAGCCAAGGTCCAGGGCTGTCCTGTGTTAGCAGAGCCCTTGAAAGAGCTACCACAGGTCCCAACTAACTATTTAAGAACAAAGGGGAAAACACAACCCAGAAAACCAGAGAGAAGAGAAAAAATAAATAAATAAGAAACCAGGAGTACTGGTGCTTCTGAGGGCAGGTGGAAAGCACAGCCTTAGCCCTGGGGCTTTGATGACATCAGCACTGGCCAGAAAGGAGCTCAGCACATCTCCCTGCCCCTCCCACGGGTTCCAACCCCGCAGTTGCTCACCGCCAGCAGGGCCGGCACCTGAGTCACCCACTTGTCAACGCCCTGGGTTTCCCTTGGACTCCTTGCCCGCCGGGGCTGCCAGATGATGAGATCATAGCACTTGACAAAACCCTGTCTTTCAAAAGCACTTTTATCCAAATGATTTTTTTAAAAAAGAATTTAACAGGCATTATCTTACTAGCTGTCCCATCTTCGGCAAGGCCCACAGCCTGAATACATTAAGGTGTGTTCAGGTTTGAATACACCTTATTTTTTAGGGCAGTCTTAGGTTCATAGCAAAATTGGGCAGAAAGTACGGAGCTCTCACAGACCCCTTGTTCCCCCAGCACGCACAGCCCCACCCACTATCCGCATCCCCACATCCTGCACCAGAGTGCTACGTTGGTTACAATCCAAAGTCCATAGTCCGTGTTAGGGCTCACCCTTGGTGTTGTACATCCTATGACATATTCAGTTTTCAAGGAGAGAAACAGGCAACAAGGGTTCAGAAATGCACACCCTCTCAGTAGAGCAAGGACTCCACCCTCCCCAACCAGGACAGCCTTCTCTCCATCCTTAGTGTGATGCTTTCCTTCTTCAGCCATAAAGCAAGGGAACACTTGATAAGTATTAACGCGTAGGGAAAGTTTTTTCTAAAGCAGAATCATCTAAACTAGTGCTCCTCAAACTTTTACTTGAATACAAATCCCTCGAGAGTCTTGCTAAATCCAGATTTGGCTTGAATAGGTCTGGGACAGAGCCTGAGCTGCTCCAACAAGCTCCCAGGGGATGCCCACGCTGCAGGTGATCAGACCATATTTTGAGGAGCAAGGCTCTGTTTTAAAGGAGTGGCCACAGGGAGTGGGAGCTTTCAAGTGAGTGGATTGGGCCAAATCATACCTCTGCCAATGGCTGGATCTAAAACAATGTGATGATCAAACCTACGTTGCAGGACTCAAGAGGACAATGAATGCAAAGTTCAGTTCCGAGCTGGCACTCAATGACCTGAGCGTAACTACTGTTACTCTCCTTTTTGTTACTATTAGTATTATTATTATTAAGGCAGAGTCTCACTCTGTTGCCCAGGCTGGAGTGCAGTGGTATGATCTTGGCTCACTGCAGCCTCCACCTCCCAGGTTCCAGCAATTCTCCGGCCTCAGCCTCCCCAGTGGCTGGGATTACAGGCATGTGCCACCACGCCCAGCTAATTTTTGTATTTTTAGTAGAGATGGGGTTTTGCCATGTTGGCCAGGCTGGTCTTGAACTCCTGACCTCAAGTGATCCACCCACCTTGGCCTCCCAAAGTGCTGGGATTACAGGCATGAGCCACCACACCTGGCCTGTTACTATTATTATTATCACTCTTCTTCACTCTTCTTCTTCTTGTTTTTGTACTTGCCCAGGTGAGAGTACAGTGGCACAATCAAGGCTCACTGAAGCCTCAACCTCCCAGGCTCAAGTGATCCTCCCACTTCAACCTCCTGAGGAGCTGGGACTACAGGTGTGTGCCACCATGCCTGGCTAGTTTTTTTAAATTTTTTGTGGAGACAGGATCTCCCTATATTGCCCACTCTAGTCTCAAACTCCTGACCTTAAGTGATCCTCCCACCTCAGCCTCCCAAAGTCCTGGGATTACAGGTGTGACCACCATGCCCAGCTTCATTATTCTTTTGGCTGATTTTGATCAGTTTTCCTTTACCCATCTTTGTCTCAAAAAGCATATTATCCACTTTTGGATAATTTTACATTAAATTTTACATTAATTTTACATAATCTTACAAAGAACACCTCATAAAACCAGATTAGCTTGTAAGGTCTAGGCTGTGAAATTAAAAATAAATAAATAAATTAGCATATGAGTTCACTGAATCATGTAGACCAAAATTTTAAATACATCCAAAATCTTTTCTTTTACTCTGCTTTTGAGGAAAATCAAAAGACAGGGTTCTCCCCCTGCCTCTGATCTCCTCCCTCAAGGCCCTGATCTGTACTTCAGCCTTTCCTGTCTGGCCTCACATGCATTCACTTCAATAACATCATGTTAGATCTGGACAGAACCTTCAGAGCTCCCAGCCCATCTTCCTCATTTTAATAAGATAATTGAGGCCCAGGAAGATTAGATTATTTGCCCAAAGTGATAGTTATGTTTTTTGGAGCCAGGAAGAGTTATGTTTATATCATGTTCTTTAAGAAAGGTTTGCACATAATAAAAGACAACCTTCATATACATGGGGGAGTGTGAGGGGAAGAATGGTGTACAACCGCACACCCCTAAATCACGTGCAGATAGAAAGACAACCCTCTAGATTAGTGGTTTCCAGGATGTGGGATTTCACAAGCCAGAAAAAAAGAAAGAACTCTTAGTTGAAGATTTTACCAACTTCCGGCTTTGTCAAGAGAGAAATTTTTTTTTTGTAATTACAATTCACTAGACCATCATCCCATAAAAGAAAACCTAATAGCAAAAAGAGAGAGACAGTGAATGGGCATAATCCCAGAATAAAAGGCATTCTTAGAATTGTAGCTTTATGAGAAGCTGAATTGTATCTCCTTATTTTTCTTATTTTGTTACAAACCAAGCAATCAGAAGTGATCCCTTGTTCTTAACCTACTTTGCATTACATGTGCCTTTGAGAATCTGATGAAAGCAATGAACTTTTCCCCGGAAAAATGTGCAGACCTATATACATACAAAATATTATCTCACACCTATCAGAATGGTTATTATTAAAAAGTCAAAAAATAACAGACACTGGTGAGGTTGCAGAGAAAAGGAAACACTTACACACTGTTGGTGGGAGGTAAATTAGTTCAACCATTGTGGAAAACAGTATGGCAATTCCTGAAAGAGCAAAAAACAGAACTACCATTCAACCCAGTAATCCCATTACTGGGTATATACCCAGAGGAATATAAACCATTCTACCATAAAGACATATGCATGCATATGTTCACTGCAGCACTATTCACAATAGCAAAGACATGGAATCAACCTAAATGCCCATCAGTGACAGATTGGATAAAGGAAGTGTGGTACATATACACCATGGAATACTATGCAGCCATAAAGAAGAACAAAATTATGTCCTTTGCAGGGACATGGATGGAGTTGGAGGCCATTATCCTTAGCAAAATAATGTAGGAAGAGAAAATCAAATACTGCATGTTCTGACTTGCAAGTGGAAGCTAAATGATGAGAACACATGAACATAAACAGGGGAACAGCAGACAATAGGGCCTCTTTGAGGGTGGAGGGTGGGAGGGGGGAGAGGAGCAGAAAAAATAACTATTGGGTACTAGGCCTAGTACCCAAGTGACAAAATAATCTATGCAATGAACCCCCGTGACATGAGTTTACCTATAGAACAAACCTGCACTGTACCCCTGAACCTAAAATAAAACTTTAAAAATGGAATGTAATAAAAATTTTACAAGTAAGTCCACACTTTGGCAGGCCCAAGGTCAAGATCACCTGCTGTTAGCTGATGACTTAGTCTCTGCCTGACTAGTGACTTCACCCTCTGGTCATCCTTAATTGTTCTGAGGTCCTGTGCAAGCTAGAAAAGACTCAGAATCTAGCTGAGCAACAGAGCAAGACCCCATCTCTACATAAAAAAAAACAAGTTAAAAATAAGAAAAATAAGCTAGGCATGGTGGCATGAACCTGTGTCTCAACTACTCTGCAGGCTGAGGTGAGGACAGATCACTTGACTCCAGGAGTTTCAGGCTTCAGTGAGCTATGATTGCGCCACTGTACTCCAGCCTGGGCAACAAAGCAGGACCCTGTCTCTAGGCGGGAAAAAATAACAAGACTCAGAAGAAGGTTCCACATTCAGGGCCTGAAGCTCTCGGGATTAGTCTTCTGTAAAGTGGCATGAATCTTCATAAACGAGAATAAGAAGGAGCTTCTTCTCCTTTGCCCAGACCTTGACCATCAGTGATACTGCCAAATCCAAAAAGATCCCCCAAAGCCCCAAGCCCAGAAGCTCATCTGGGTTCAAGACCAAAAAGCTCCACCTGGTGGTGTCAGATCATGGGAATTCTGGGCAATAAGCCTGGGAAGAGGGAGGGCTGCTCTGAAACCTGGCCAAGGGAGACGGTTCATCGGATCTCACACGGTTCCTCTCCAGGCCCCGCCAAAGAGGCAGGAAAAGGTAGCCGAGATGAAAGTTGGCTCAGGTCCAGCTTAGCGAGCGATGATGTAAAAATGGGGTGGAAGGTACCTAAAAATCCTGGTCCAAAAAAAGGCTGGTGACATCCAGAAAATGAAGAGTTGGCAGGTACACACAAACCATGATATATGTGCATGAAACTTCATCACAGCTTGCTTCTGAGTAACAAGCAAAGATGTAAGATGCTTCTTGACTTTCAGCTGCCGGCAGACACTCAGGACAGCTCAGCAAGGCTTCTCAGCAGCATCTGTCTTAAGACAATCTCAGCCAGGAGAGGTGGCTCACCCCTGTAATCCCAGCATTTTGGGAGGCCGAGGCAGGCAGATCGCTTGAGCTCAGGAGTTTGAGACCAACCTGGGCAACATGGCAAAACCCCATCTCCACAAAAAAATACCAAAAAAAAAAAAAAAATTAGCCGGGGTGGTGGTGCATGCCTGTAGTCCCAACCACTTGGGGGGCTGAAGTGGGAAGATCACTGGAGCCCAGGAAGTCGAGGCCGCAGGGAGCCAAGATCACACCCCTGCTCCCCAGCCTGGGTGACAAAGTGAGACCGTCTCAGGAAAAAAAAAAAAAAAAAAAAAAAAAAAAGGCAATAAAGACAATCTCCATCTACGCCTACCTGCACCATCCAGCTACCCACCCCAGCTGTGGTTCCCAAGGTCATCATGCAGAACACAGGAAATCGTTCTACAATATCCCTCTGGAAGAGGGATATTGGCCTCTCTGGAAGAGAGGCCAGAGAAAGAAGAAGGAAGATCTTCCTTGCCTTCAGTGCCTGTATATTAAAAGGAAGAAAATCAAATTTGCAACCTACCTATCCCTTCCTCACTCCCACCCCATAAAATACTGTAGAGTAGTTTATAGTATACCTTACTGTATATCTTAGCTGTGTTGCAAATGGATTCAGTTGCTCTTTCCTTAAGTCTGTACCGATGCCTGGCTCTAATATCTATAGCATTTAGGAAGAATGGGGTAGGCTAAACAGATGTTATTAACAGGAACAGGTCTCCCTGGGTGCATTAACAACCCTTTTTTTGCAGACAAAAGCTGAGGAAAATCCTTAATGGTTTCAGGGCTGGGAAAAGGCAAATGATAGGGTGTTAGGGAAGTAGGGAATCCTTCAAGTCATTAAAACCAATTCTTTTCTCAAGAATGCCAAAAAAGGTGCTAATTTGCCATATTTAAATGTAGATGAATGGTAAATTCAGACATTTGGCAGTGGATTAGATAGCCATAGGTACCTGAAAATGGCCCCTTCAGCCCCACAGGGGTTTTAAGATCCTGGTAGTGCTCTATTTCTTAAACTGGGTGGTGAGGACCTGAGGATTTGTGTTCTTTTTGAGACAGGGTCTCACTCTATTGCCCAGGCTGGAGTGCAGTGGCACAATCATGGCACACAGCAGCCTTGAACTCCTGGGCTCAAGCGATTCTCCCACCTCAGCCTCCCAAGTAGCAGGTACTACAGGTGTATGCCGCCATGCCCAGCTAATTTTTGTGTTTTTTGTAGAGACAAATTTTTGCCATGTTGGTCAGGCTGCATTATTATTCCTTAAACTGTACATATGTAAGATAAATCTTCTGCTTTTTTGTATGTCTCATTAACATAAAAATATTTAATTTTAAAAGTCTCCATTCCCATTGCCAACTCTACTCCAAGTTAGTAGGACGAGACTTCTGGATCGGATTTGAAAGTGTCACTCTTTTGGCCAGACACGGTGGCTCACGCCTGTAATCCCAGCACTTTTGGAGGCAGAGGTGGGTGGATCACGATGTCAAGAGATAGAGACCATCCTGGCCAACATGGTGAAACCCCGTCTCTACTAAAAATACAAAAATTAGCCAGGCGTAGTGGCGCCCACCTGTAATCCCAGCTACTCTGGAGGCTGAGGCAGGAGAATCGCTTGAACCTGGGAGGCAGAGGTTGCAGTGAGCCGAGATCATGCCACTGCACTCCAGCCTGGGACAGAGCGAGATCCCGTCTCAAAACAAAAAAAAAAAAAGTGCCTCTTCTTGTCTCTGTCCCTTTAGGTCTCTTCCTCTGTGTTTCTTTCCTTTGTTTGGCTTCCTGTTTCCTGACCCTGCTGGAATGTGAGCAGCAAACCTCCAAGAACACAATCTGTGAACAGCTCTCGCCTGCCACAGAACTTAGGCCCGCCTCAGCCTCCGTGTGTTCAGGAGTGAGGCTGGCCAGAGACTCCCTTCCCTCCGTGGCCCAAATGGAGGGATAGACAAGATGAACAGAACAAAGCCATCCCTCCCTGGGACCCACCACCAGAGGTCTGGGTCGCAGACACGAAGCTGTTTGACTCCGTTTCAAGAGCCCAAGGACAGTCAACAAATGACAATCTCTTCCAGCCCTGCCCAGCACTAAAAGGGGTGACAGGGAGCAGGTTCTCCAGAAATAGCCTGCTCGAGTTCTCTGTAGTGCTTGCTCTTTTTTTTTTTTTTTTTTTTTTTTTTTTTTGAGACAGAGCCTCGCTCTGTTGCCCAGGCTGGAGTGCAGTGGCACGATCTCGGCTCAGTGCAACCTCTGCCTCCCGGGTTCAAGCGATTTCCGGCTAATTTTTGTATTTTTAGTAGAGACAGGGTTTCACCATGTTGGCCAGGCTGGTCTTGAACTCCTGACCTGAAGTGATCCACCCGCCTCGGCCTCCCAAAGTACTAGGATTACAGGCGTGAGCCACAACGCGCAGCCCGCTCTTTTTCATTCTCTCTTCTCTCAACACAAATGTCAGCAATCAGTTCTAAAAGCTGCTTGGGCTTGACAGGTAAGGAAGCATCCAGTGCAGGGAAAAGGCCCCGAGTAAGGCAAAAAACAAACTCACCTTCCACTCTGGAAAAGAAGAGCAGGAACCCGAGACCCCCAGCCCTTGGTTAAAATCAGCCCTGCTGGAAACAGCTTTGTTGAGTCCATGAGAAGGTGGAGCTGAGACAAGTGGCTGCGTGAGCCCAGCTGCTGTGGAGGAATCCGCTCAGAGGAGATGGGGCTGAGATCATGCATGCCACCAAGTGCCAGCTGCAGGTATTTGGGGAGTATCAATTAAAATAGCATGTAGAGGCCAGGCACGGTGGCTTATGTCTGTAATCTCAGCATTTTGGGAGGCTAAGGTGGGAGGGTCCCTTGAGTCCAGGAGTTTGAGACCAGCCTGGGCTACATAGCAAGATCCCGTCTCTACAAAAAAATTAAAAATTAGCTGGGCATCATGGTGCACATCTGTAGTCCCAGCTACTTGGGAGGCTGAGATGGGAGGATGGTTTGCGGCAGGCAGGTCAAGGCTGCAGTGAGCCTTAATCACATCACTGCACTCCAGCCTGGATGACAGAACAAGACACTGTTTAACAAAGTAATAATAATAAAACAAAGAGGGGCACACGTACTCAGGACCTCCTGAGGCTATGTCATAGGCAAAAAAGTAAATAGATAAAAAGAAAAAAGAATGTAGATGGTAGTAAAGTAACCTCCAGCCAGCCATAATTGAAGGAAAGAATAAGTTAGAGAACCCATCTTCTTTGAAATGCAAAGCAGTTTAAAGGAACTGGTTAATGGTGATTAACAGCCATTGAGGGTTTGAATGAAACCCAGAGAAATGACAGAGTGAGTACTTTCTGCTCCAGCACAAATGATGTTGTAAAAAGGATGGTCAGACCCTCCCTTGGGCTTACCGCTGCTGGAGGGCAGATGTGGGTCAGTCTCACCTCCTGAGCAACATAGCCACCTCCTCTGCTGTCTTCTCCTCTTTATTTATTCATTCATTCAAATCAGAGATGGGGTCTCTCTCTGATGCCCAGACTAGCCTTGAACTCCTGGGCTCAAACAGTCCTCCTGCCTTAGCCTCCTTGGGATTATAGACGTGAGCCACCACACTCGGCTTGCATTTTTTTTGTTTGTTTTGTTGTGGTGGTGGTGGTGGTTTTTTTGTTTGTTGTTGTTGTTTGTTTGTTTTGTTTTGAGACAGAGTCTCGCTCTGTTGCCAAGGTTGGAGTGCAATGGCGCGATCTCGGCTCACGGCAACCTCCGCCTCCTGGGTTCAAGCAATTCTCCTGCCTCAGCTTCCCGAGTAGCTGGGATTACAGGAGCCTGCCACCACGCCTGGCTAGCTTTTTGTATTTTTAGTAGAGACAGGGTTTCACCATGCTGGCCAGGCTGGTCTCGAACTTTCAACCTCAGGCAATCCGCCAGCCTCTGCCTCCCAAAGTGTTGGGATTACAGGCAAGAGCCACCACGACCGGTCTGCTTTTTTTTTAATTAAAAAATATTTAATTGACAAATAAAGATTGACTAATTCAAGATGTACCACATGATGATTTGATGTACGTATACGTGGTATGATCATGGCCACAATCAAATCAGTGTCTCCGCCAGCACCCACGCTGCCGCACGCTGTCTTCCGCAGCTGGAAGAGCTTTTCTCAGCTACCAATAGAGGCCTATTTTGGTTACTTATTTAGAAGTTACCATTATTTCTATCATTAGTGGTATTCTAAGTCTTTTGAAATCAAGTAGCATTTCAATTAATTTTTTTTCAAGATCCAAGATTTGAGTCCTTGGAGAGACAGTGACAGGGATTAAAACTCCAGATTAACTCACTCAAAGATGTTGACTTCAACCCTAGTAAATTCATCTCCACTCTGACTCCTCCCAAAGTTGTTCTCAACCGAAGCTTCTATTTTTAATAACTTTCATTGGTAAGATACTTGAGGGGAAAAAAAAACACAATATTTCCTGTAATGATTCATCACTTCTTCCTGAAAGGGAAGCACTGTTGATTCCTAGAGTACAGGACTGTCTGTTTTAAAAGCAAAGCACTTCACAGCCTAACCCCGTTCTGTTGGATGGGACACACTCAGATGGTAATCACATCCATCTGATGTGATTAAAAAAAAAAAAAAGCAATAAGTTTCTTGACATCGCTGGAAGAGAGCCTCTTGCCTCAAACTTCCT
The DNA here is from genome assembly GCF_000001405.40 of Homo sapiens. Lineage (NCBI taxonomy): Eukaryota > Metazoa > Chordata > Mammalia > Primates > Hominidae > Homo > Homo sapiens. The sequence continues at coordinate 22,214,753 of NC_000018.10, read as the reverse complement.
AGTGGCATTACAGTGCTCCAGGACTCCACACACAGTCCAAGGGAAGAGAACAAAAAATACCTCATTTTTATTTCAAGTTTACTCTATTAAGCCGTATGCTTGGCAGTTCACATACATGTCATTTAACAACTCTGGGAGATATCCCATTACTCCAATTCTACAGATAAATAAACTGAGTCTCAGAGAAATTAAGAATTATGACCACGGTTGCACAGCTGACAAGTAGAAAATTCAGGATTTAAGTCCAGGTCTGTATTATTGCAAAGCCTTGGTTCTTTCCAATATACTCTGGAGTCCTCTAAACTACAAGATAGTTAATGGAGAGGGTGGGTCTACCTATCATCACCCAGGAGCTTCTGTAGTGCAAATGTCTTTTTAATGATATATAAATTTTTAAAATATGTTTTAATCCAAAAAAACATGTATTGAGCGCTCACTAGATGAATGACATCGCAGTGATTAAAAGAAAAAAAAGCATCTAGTCAGTAAACACATGATGTCAATTTCTTTTCTTTTCTTTTTTTTTTTTTTTTTTTTTTTTGAGATGGAGTCTCACTCTGTCTCCCAGGCTGGAGTGCAGTGGCGCAATCTCAGCTCACTGCAACCTCCGCCTCCTGGGTTCATGTGATTCTCCTGCCTTGTCCTCCCCCGTAGCTGGAACTACAGGCATGTGCTACCACGCCCAGCTAATTTTTGTATTTTAGTAGAGATGGGGTTTCACCATGTTGGCCAGGCTGGTCTCGAACTCCTGACCTCCGGTGATCCACCTGCCTCAGCTTCCCAAAGTGCTGGGATTACAGGTGTGAACCACCACGCTCAGCATTGTTAATTTTTTAAAGTTAATGTTGTTTGAAACCATAGAGCCATTTCCAAAAAAGTGAAGCAATCACAAGCTGTAAATTCCTAACAAGTCTCTGCAAAGCTAGTGGTAAAACAAAAGGAGCTGAGAAGCTGTTTAAAAGCAAGAAGGGAACTTCAGGTACATCAAGTCCAAATGTCCCTATTTATAGACAGTAAACTGAGGCCCAGAAGAGCCCATGACTTGCCCAGGGTCATACAGTTCAACCATGACAGAGCTGAGCCCAGAGCCAAGCCGGTGGGAGTGGTCAGCTCCAGGACTTCAGCAGAGGCACCTTCTACATAACTTCCCCAAGAACCCTCAGAGAGGCCTCCAGCAATAACATAGAATTCCGATCCTGAGGGAGTTCTAACAGAGATCCCTATGGCCCCCGGCAAGCTTCATCATCACAATGTCCTCTTCAGTTAAGCTCTCTAACTTTGGACTGAGGCCCAGTTGCTAAGGATCAGTGGCCAAGCGTGTGGAGAGCGATAGTTAATTTTATGTGTCAGCCTAGCTAGGCTCTGGTGCCTAGTTGCTTGATCAAACACCACAGCTTGGTGCAGTGGCTCAAGCCTGTAATCCCAGCACTTTGGGAGGCTGAGGTGGGAGAATGGCTTGAAGAATTAGATACCAGTCTGGGCAACCTAACAAGACTGAGTCTCAAAACAAAACAAATTAGGCCGGATGTGGTGGCTCATGCCTGTAATCCCAGCACTTTGGGACACTGAGGTGGGCAGATCACTTCAGGCCAGGAGTCCGAGACCAGTCTGATCAACATGGTGAAACCCTGTCTCTACTAAAAATTAAAAAAAAAATTAGCCAGGCATGCTAGTGCACACCTGTAGTCCCAGCTACTTGGGAGGCTGAGGCAGGGGAATCACTTGAATCTGGGAGGCAGAGGTTGCAGTGAGCCGAGATCCCACCACTGCACTCCAGCCTGGGTGACAGAGCAAGACTCTGTCTCAACAACAACAAAAAAAAAATTAGCTGAGCATGGCAGCACAGGCCTGTACTTAAGAGCTACTTAAGAGGCTGAAGCAGAAGATCCCTGAGCCCAGGAATTGAAGCTACATTGAATTACGATGGTACCACTGTACTCCGGCCTGGGCAACAGAGCAAGACCTCCACTTTAAACAAAAAAAAAATCAAACACCAGTCTGGATGTCACTGTGAAGGTATTTTTTAGATGGGACTAACACTGAAATCAGTGGACTTGAAGCAGATTGTCCTCCATCATGTATGTGGGCCTCACCCAATCAGTAGAAGGTCCTAAAAGAGTAAAGATTGAAGTTTCCCCCAGAAGAAATTCTTTTCCCTGCCTGGCCAACATGGTGAAACCGCATGCAAAAATCACCCAGGCATGGTGGCAGGTACCTGTAATCCCAGCTACTCGGGAGGCTGAGGCAGGAGGATCACTTGAACCCAGGAGGTGGAGGTTACAGTGAGCCGAGATCAAGCCACTGCACTCCAACCTGGGTGACAGAGTGAGACTCAGTCTCAAAAAAAAAGGGAATTATTTTCAAGACTGCATCATAAAAACCCTGCCTGCATTTCCAGACTCCTGCCCTGTGGAATTCAGACTCAAGACCAACATCAGTTCTCACCTGAGTCACCAGCTTACTGGCCTGCTCTACAGATTTCAGACTTGCCAGCCCTCACAATCACATGAGCCAATTTCTTAAAACAAATCTCTCTCTGTCTCTCTGTCTCTCTCTCTCTGTCTGTCTGTCTCTGTCTCTGTCTCTCTCTCTCTCTCTCTCTCTCTCTCTCTCTATATATGTATATATATATATATATATATATATTCAAGGATATATATAAAATCAAAAATCCAATATATGGATTATATATGTATATATCCTATTGGTTCTGTTTCCCTGGAGAACCCTAACACATGGAGCATGAATGAATGGTGTGACTCTAGGCTGAAAATGGGAAGTGGAAAGCAGATAAATTAGTGAGTGCCCATCTTGTGAAAGGCACTATGCTAGCATCATGTTCCAGGGTACAAACTCTGCCCCTACCCTCAAAAAGCAGAAGTTGAATAAGGCTTCAAGGCTGAAGACTGGCATACGAGGCAGATTATGTCACCCTCCTTTTTGAGATAAGAGCACTGCAGCCTTGAGAGATTCCAGAACTTGTTCAAGCCTCAGAGCTGCTGTGTGGAGCCAAGATTCAAACCCCCATTTGCATGACTCTGAAGGCACAGTGTTTCCATTTCACCACAGCCCTGATTTATCTATGATGTCTCCGGAGTCAAAAGGGGGAGAAGGCTTCAGGTAAGATGGAGAGGGCCACAATGTCAAATGCTTCTAAAAGGTCAAGGAAAGAAGGTTGGATGGTGCTGGGGACAGGGGAGAAAAGCTCCATCTGCTGCCCCAATTCAAGATATAAACAACTGAAGGCTTCCCATGGTCAGTTCCAAAATAAAGGTATCTCTGACCCATTTAGAAAGAAAAGGAGGCACCTTCTGAAATTTCTCCTGGAAGGACTCAACTGGAAATCATGCCTAGTGATATCAAAGAGTCAGAAATTTTTTTTGGAGACTCAAGTGATCGGTAAAATGTAAATGGAAGAATAGGGTAAACAAAGCTACAAAGAAGGAAGTCCTGGTAAAAGTACAAAGAATAATAAGTATATAAGAAACAATGGGCCGGGTGCAGTGGCTCACACCTGTAATCCCAACATTTTGGGAGGCCCAGGCGGGTGAATCACCTGAGGTCAGGAGTTCGAGACCAGCCTGGCCAATGTGATGAACCCCCCATCTCTACTAAAAATACAAAAATTAGCCAGGCGTGGTAGCACACGCCTATAGTCCCAGCTACTCGGAGGCTGAGGCAAGAGAATCACTTGAACCCGGGAGGCGGAGGTTGCAGTGAGCCAAGATAGCGCCAGCCTGGGTGACACAGTGAGACTCCATGGCAAAAAAGAGAAAAAAAAGAATATAAGAAAGAATGAACAGAATGTTGAATTATAGAAATGTTAAATATTATTAAATCTATGCCAATGTATTCCACACAGGCCAATTTGTATTTGGTATGCCATTATAAATTATAAGTAACAAGCAACCGGTGTTCCCAGGATGATTTTCCATGGATAAGAAGCCCTGTGTTCTTAGTATATGGGTCCTCTGAATTAACTATAGTGGGTTCACAAAGTTTATTCAAATGGAGTCATCACTCTTTCCTGCCAGCCCAGCTACTGGTCATTGCCCAGCTGATTAGAGCCAGAGGTCTTCCCTCTGCCAGATTCAACAAGAGGGAGCATGAAGAATGCAGTCTCTTATTTACAAGCTGTGAAGCCTGCAAAAACTTTGCCGAGTGTATCTGTCCATTTGGTGATAACTGATCTCCAGTGGCTCAGAAAGGGCGGTTGTTTGGGTTAGCAAGTATAGGTGTCTGTCCTGATTTTCTGCTCTCGCAATGCTTCCATTTACTTCAGCAAATGTGGCCTGGTGATTCACTGGAGACCAATGGTCATGTGGGCTACTCCCTGGAAGGAACTCAGAGGTGGTGTTTGGAGACACATGCAATCTTTGAAAACCCATACTGGCCCAAGTCTCAGTATCTTGTTAATTCCTAAACCGATTAATGAAGCATTACTCAGAGTAAAAAGAAGTTATAGCCTCTGCCAAAGTCCAAGCTTTTGCTCACAATGTTTGGTTCTTGCATTTCCTTCAGGGACCTCTCAGCCTAGCCCACAGCACCAAGGTCATGGATCCCCGAGCCTGGAAACCTGAGCTCTATACTGACGAACCACAACCCAACCTTTCTGAGACTCAGTTTCCTCAGCTGGACCTCAGTCAAGTCTCTTCCATCTCTAAAGTTATATGAATTGATGATTTAAGTGAATAAATGCAGTGTGAGGTACCTAGATTTCCTTAATCAGACAACACCATGAAAAGTGTTTCCACCAACACCTGAACCACCAGCAGTACAAATAGAAACTGCATATTCTCTCAGAAAACACAAGAGAATCAACCGAAAAAAAATATGAGAATTTTAAATGGTTCTGGGAAAGAGGCTTACTATACTCTTAATGAACATGACAATCCATTAGAATAAACTAACATCAAAAAGTATTGAACACCTAAGAATAAACTTAACCAGAAACATGCACAAGATCTACAGGAAGAAAAGGTTAAAATTCTTATGAGGGACACAGAAAAAAAAATTTTAACAAACAAAAAAGACATACTTCATCTTGGACAGGAAGACTTAATAAAATTAAGATATTAATTCTCCCTAAGATAATCTAAAATTTTAATACTATTCCAATAAAAATACCAACAGGATTTTTTTGAAAAGGAACAAGCTAATTCTAAAGTTTATGTGGAAAAACAAGTAAGCAAGAATAGTGATCAAATTCTTATTTAAAAAATAAGATCAATGAAAAGGAGCTGGCCTTCTAAACAGTAAAATACATGCAAAGTATAGTCATGCACCACACAATGACATTTTGGTCAAAAATGGACTGCATATATATGAAGGTGGTCCCATAAAATGATAATACTGTATTTTTACTGTACATTATCTAAGTTTGGATATGTTTAGATACATAAATACTTACCATTGTGTTACAGTTGCATACAGTATTCAGTAGAGTCACATGCTGTACAAGTTTGTAGCCTAAGAGCCATAGGCTATATCATTATAGCCTAGGTATGTGGTAGGCTAAACCATCTAAATTTATGTAACCACACTCTGTGATGTTCACACAATGATGAAATTGCCTGATGTACTTCTCAGAAAGTATTCTTGTCGCTAAGTGAGGCATGCTTATATAATAATCAAAAAAAAGTATGAGATTGACACATATATAAACATATCATTGGTACAAAATAGATAGAAATAGACCCAAATGTATATGTAAATTTATATTAAATATATATCCACATAAGAATTTATAAAAGAGTACATATACATATGAGAATTTATATAATTTTGACTTTCTATTTTCAATCAGTGGGAGGGAAATGGATTTTTCAGGAAATGATGCTGTGACAATAAGGTTGCCATTTGGACAAATGTTGAATATATATTCTACATGTTACAACAACCAACAACAAAAGTTCCAGATTTAAAAAACAATGCAAACCTCAAAAATAAAACCATAAAAATACTAGAAGAAAACACGGGATTTTAAAAAAATCATCTTAATGGTGGGGAAGGCCTTCCTAATATTATACAAAACTCCAAAGTCATAAAAGAAAAGACCAATAAATTGAATTACTTTATGAAAGAAAAGATCATCATGACTTTTTAAAAAGTATAAACAAAGTAAAACAAAAAGCCAGAATATATGTATATATATTTCAAGTATATTTCAGACAAAGGGCTGCTTTCCTTAACATGCGAAGAACTTCTCAAATCAATGAGACTGATAACCCAATAGAAAAAATAAGTAAAGAAAATGGACAGAGATGGGCAAAAAGTTCACATAAAAGGAATTACACATGGCTCCTAATCATAGGAAAATATGTTCGACTTCGCTCACAATAAGAGAAATGCAAAACAAAACTCAGAGAATCAAGACTGACAAGATCAGAATGTTTGACACCAGACTTGTGTGAAAAAGAAAAAACACTCTTGTCCATTGCTGGTGGGAGTACAAATTGGGGAAACCTCTGTGAGAGCAATTTGGCAATATCTATCAAAATGAAAAGTAGATACCCTTGAGTCAGTAATGCTGCTTCCAGAAATTCATTTTACAGGTATATTTGCACCTGCGTGAAATGACACAGATAAGGGATATTAATTGCAGCATTACTCAAAAAAACCAAAGGCTGGAAACAAATGTACTTAAATATGGCACTGATTAAATAATGACCTACCCAGATATGCTAAGTGAAAAAAGCAAAATGCAAAGCAATGTGTATAGTGCGCTATCCTATATGTCAAAAAACTGGAATATATTGTGTGTCCCTAGTCAATGCATACAATCCATGCAAGAAATAAGAAGTTATGGTTAGGCGCGGTGGCTCACGCCTGTAATCCCAGCACTTCGGGAGGCCTAGCCGACAGATCACTTGCGGTCAGGAGTTCAAGACCAGCCTGACCAACATGGAGAAGCCCCATCTTTACTAAAAATACAAAAATTAGCTGGGTGCAGCGGTGCATGCTTGTAGTCCCAGCTACTGGGGAGGCTGAAGCAGGAGAATCACTTGAACCTGGCAGGTGGAGGTTGCAGTGAGCCAAAATCACGCCACTGCACTCCAGTCTGGGCGACTGAGGGAGACTCTAGCGAAAAAAAAAAAGGGGGGAAGGAAGGAAGGGAAAGAAAGGAAAGAAATGAAAGAAGAAGAAGGAGGAGGAGGAGGAGAAGGAGAAAAAGAAAAGAAAAGAAAGAAGGAAAGGAAAGGAAGAAAGAGAAAAAGAAGGAAGTAACATCTGGGAGAGGAACTGACTGACTGAGGTAGAGGGGTGAAAAGAACAATTTTTTTTAGTGCATTCTAACTTACAACTTTGTGATTTTGTACTAGCCAAGAAATTTTAATTAATGCAAAGGCCAAAATTGCAGCTTCCAAGACAAGACCTGCAGAATCCAGTTCTCTGGGGGAGTTATGGACTCTGCGATTTTCACAAGCCCTGTGTGTGATTCTCGTGCACATGGGAGTTGGAGAACCCCTGACACAGAGCATCCTTGGCAATGCACACTTATCAAAATAATAATAGCAACAATGATGTAAGCAGTAATGAACACTTACTTAAAAAGATAAAGCCCAAGACACCACTGCCAAGATCTTGTGCAAGTTTTCCTGAAAAAAATTCTTTGGCACAGCTAAGCACAGAGATTTTACACCACAAGGTATTCCTTGTTCCCTCTCATGTTCAGTTTTAACCACTGTTCATCATTTCACCAGCTTTTTTACACTTTACAAAATGCTTTACCCTAATCTTTTGAGCTAGATAAGAGCATAATAAGCTGCACTTGAAGTTACAAGAAAAGGGGAAGGGACTCACTCCAAAAATAGAATGATACCTCTAAACTTTCCAGCTAACAGCTAGGCACTCTCTTCTATGTTCTAAAGAAAGAACTAACTGCGAGAAATATGCATGTTTACTCAATTTCTTCAACCTAGGCATACCTGTGTTGCAAATGATACTTGTGTATTTCTGAGATGCGAGCGGAGAAAGAAAAAGCATAGTCTCTGCTCTCAGACAGCGATGGCTTCCTTCTGTGTTCTTCTATTTCTTCACCTTTTTTATTTTATTTTATTTTATTTTATTTTTTGAGACAGAGTCTTACTCTGTTGCCCAGGCTGGAGTCCAGTGGCACGATCTCGGCTCACTGCAACCTCTGCCTCCCAGGTTCAAGTGATTCTCCTGCCCCAGCCTCCCAAATAGCTGGGATTACAGGCATGCACCATAACGCCCGGCTAACTTTTGTATTTTTAGTAGAGACGGGGTTTCACCATGTTGGCCAGGCTGGTCTTGAACTCCTGACCTCAGGTGATCCACCCGCCTAAGCCTCCCAAAATGCTGGGATTACAGATGTGGGCCGCCGTGCCCATCCTATTTTTTTGCCTTTAAATCAAGATGAAAAGACAACATGATGTAGTGATTAGGAGCATGTGCTCTGGAGCCACACTGCAGGGGTTCAAATCCTAGCTCTGCCACAGTGCAAACTTGGGCAAGTGACTTAACTTCTCTGTGCCTCCGTAGACACATCCCTAAGATGGGAATAGTACCACCCCATTTACTTGGTATGAGGATTAGATAAATGGGTATATGTGAGGCATTTTGCATAGAAAATGGCACATAGTGCTATATAAATATGTGTTGTTCCTATCTCCGACCAGTCTTGGAGCATTAAAGAAATAGAATTCACAAAAGTAAGGGTAAAAACCCTGGAAGAGAGTGATGAGACAGAGAGGAAAACTGTGTAGTAGCTAAAGAGAAGACACAGAAGGCAAACAACAATGAAATGTTGATTGCTTCCAAGAAATAGAAAACCAACTATAAGATACTGAAGCAATGGGCCAAGCAAAGCAAAGCTGTTTTTTCCTTGTTCTGCGGACTGCTCCAATGCCAGACTTTTCCATTTTCCGGTCTGGATTCGTATCGCTGTCTCAGTTTCATATGGGGGACACAGACCAAACAGGTTCAGTGTTAGGGAGCAGTGGCAGCCCTTACTAAGCCCCTGGGTTCATGAATATGACTGCAACTCTCACCCTCTATGGCTTAAGGTTATGGGAGGACTTGGCCTCCAGAGACCAGATCTGAGGTGGGGAGGAGACAGGAAGAGAGGAGATTGTAAATCTACCAGCCTCCTTACTCACAGAGGGTCCCTGCGAGCCCCTCAAACTCAGCCACAGACCTGCCATCACCTTGCATACAGTCTGCCCATGGGACTGTGGGATGTAAACACAGATAGAAGGGAACTTCTAGACCCCAACTGCCAGATCTCGCCATTTTTTGGCTACTGAGATCCAGAGAGAGCAAACAACTTGCCCCAAAGCTATAGGATATGTAGATGATTATTTTGACAGACAGACCACTGATAACTGAAATATAAGCACCTCTCCTCATTAAACATTCTTTAATCACTATATTTTAGTCATTTTTAAAAGGTTCTTTCTTTAAAAAAAAAAAAAAAAAAGCCACCAAGCAAAATAAGTATCTCTTGAGCCAAAATAGTGACATCAACTGTGTAATGGTCACTTCCCTGTAACAGCTACCAGGCGGCAAGAGCAGTGAAGCACCCGTCGTCACGCTGGTTCCCTAGTGCAGACTTGGAATATGCTGGAGAATATTCAGAGGAGCATGGGTGCTTGCTCTGACATGAGTCTCAGAGGTGCAGACACGCACCTGCAACGTCCTAACTTTCCTTAGAAGCAATTTGGAACTATCAACCACAATATATTTATCCAAAGTCCCTATAAACTAAGACTTTCTGGCATCCTTTATCTTGAAGTTGAACCAACTGAAAACACCCTTTGACTCCTCTTCTGCCTGTCCTACTGATGTCTATCACCTTCTCCTGCCTGATCCCAGCCCCACCAGAAGGTCATAAGCGAAGTGGCCTTCTCAGAATGCAGCTGCTGAAGGTTCAGCCACACAGAATCCATCCAGGAGCCTCAAGCAGCCAGACCTGTAGGTACCACATTTTTTCCCACAGACCCTATTCTGAAAGATTTGGTCTAGCAAGTTTATTAATATGTTTCCCATTTAAAATAATCAAAGCATATCTGACTGCCAATTAGAGCTCCCAAGCAACAGAAGATAACTAGTATTGCCACACTGACTTGCTAGTATTTCAACCCAGAAACAAAATGCATTTTAGCCAGGTGCAGTGGCTCACGCCTATAATACTAGCACTTTGGGAGGCTGAGGGGGAAGGATCACTTGAGCCCAGAAAGTTGAGGCTGCAAGTGAGCTATGATTGTGCCACTGCTCTCCAGCCTGGGTGACACAGCCAGACTTTGTCTCAAAGAAAGAAAGAAAAAAAGAAAGAAAGAAAGAAGAAAGAAAGAGAGGGGGGGAGGGGAGGAGAGGGGAAGGGAAGGGAAGGGAAGGGAGAAAGAAAGAAAAAGAAAGAAAGAAAGAAGGAAAGAAAGAAAAAGAAAGAGAGAGAAAGAGAGGGAGGGAGGAAGAGAGAGCGAAAGAAAGAAAGAAAGAAAGAGAAAGAAAGGAAGGAAGGAAGGGGAAGGGAAGGGAAGAAGGAAGGGAGGAAGGGAAGGGAAGGAAGGAAGGGAGAAAGAAAGAAAAAGAAAAGAAAGAGAGAGAGAGGGAGGGAGGGAGAGAGAGGGAGGGAGGGAGGGAGGGGGAGAGAGAGAGAGAGGGAGAGAGAGAGGGAGGGAGGGAGAGAGAGAGAGAGAGAGAGAGAGAGAGAGAAGCATCTTAATAAGCCAGCACTGCCTGATTCTGAAAATATTTGCTTCTGCCTGCCACCTTTCTCCCCACTACACTGCTCCAACCTGAACTCACCCTGGAATCTGGCACAGCATTGAAGACTCGCTGGGTTGCCCTCCCAGCAAAGCAGCCAATTTATCTGTGATCTGAAATTACATCAAATTTCCAAGGACTGTGAAAAACATTTCCCATGAGCAAGAAGTTAATTTATTTGCACTGGGAAATGAATGGTTCCCTTTGCTTTCCTGACCCTCCCATAAGCACCAGGAAACAACATTAAGTGACCCTGAAAAGAGACCCCAGACAGAGCCTTCACTTATTTAAGATGGCCTCAAATCAGCCATGTGTGACAGAAGACATAAATTCTCCAGTCCACGATATACGGTCTGGGGATTCTTTAAGCTGAGGTGCAGCATCTATTTGAATGCATTCCCTTTTGAGAAATGATTGGGTCATGTTCAGTTGCACATGTCATACTTTGGGAGAGGAGTGCTGAAATTGTGTATTTGGAGCAAATTTAACAAACTTCTTTATGCAATCATAGGTAAGAAAGTAATCATTTAAAAACAGATAGTGGAGTTCATTGTGTTAGGACAGGCTACAAGAAGCCCCCTCTGTCTTCTGCCCACTGTAATTTGTTTCATAAAAACTAGAATTCTTTTTAGAATTGGAAGGAGCAATATTTGAGATTATCCCAGAAAAAGGGTCATTTGGAAGCCCCAAAAAGAAAAATTCATTTTCCAATCAAACCATATTAACTTTAACAACTCCCAACCCACCAAAAAGCACTCAAAGTAATGAGAACCATAAAAGGAGGGAGGAAAACAGACATCAGTTCGTGGGGATAATAATTTTCTTCTGTTGTCAGAACAGCCTTGTTCTATTATAAAACAATCAGCTCTCATGCATCCTCCCTCCATTTCTGCAACCCCCTGGATTAGAGGGAGTCTTTCATTTCACTCTTCTTGGCCTTGTTGAAGAAGCACAGGTGACCCACAGGACATCACTCTTACAGACCATAAACTTCTGATATTCCAGGTAGTCAGACATTATTCAAAGGATCTATGTTGCAAATCATGCCACTCTCTTTCAAAGTCAAGTTAGTACTTAATATGTGCCAGGTATTGTGCTAAGCACTTGGCATGGACTATCTCACTTAATCCTGTGATTTATATACTATTTGCCTTTATTTTATATTAGAAAGATGAGAGCTGGATAACTTGCCCAAGGTCACAGAGCTTATCCACGGCCAAGCAGGGAATTGAAGCCTAGTGATCTGCCTGCATACCCAACACTCTTAACCATTGTTCTGGCCCACCTTATGATATCAGGGTGCACGTGGGCCTTACTGAATTACCCAGAAACACACACACACACACACACTGGCTATGGACACTGTCCCTCTATAGAGTAGCATTCACCAGGACTAAGGAAGACATTCCTTCTCTTGAAAGATTCAGACTGAACCCCATAGAATGACTGTAATAAGTGCATGAAAAGAAGTAAAAAAATACTGTACACTCAGGGAGCCACAGTTAAAGGCCATCATTCTGTATTGTGAAACACCTCCTGATTTCCTGAAATCTACTCAACAATGAAGAAAATACAAAGAGGCCACTGGAATCATTTCTACCTATCTTCTGTTGGGGGTAACGTCTGCAACCTCAGGTGAGCTTTGAGACTTCAAGGCACGTTGCAAAAGGAAAAAACTGAAAGGAAATCGCCCTGTTCGTGGGCCAGAATATATTTCATTCACAAAGAAAAAAAATCTGAACTTTCTGGAATATTTTTAAGCATTGTTCCCAAACAAAATGCTTATCATCTCAAATATAATAATACTGAGTCCTTCCCACTTATAAAAACTGTCCCCAATGCACATGGAGAGTAGTAACTAACCCCATGTGTCAACTTCAAATAAGCCAAGGTATAAAAGGTACAAAACGGCTCCAAAAGGACTATGCTTTGAAAGGAAGGCCTTAAAGCATTTTGCAAACTTCACGTGCACTTGTTTTATATGAATATCTATAGTCACATACAGCATAAAAAGAAAGCTTTGAAAAGGGAAGGAACTCACTGTACAGAAGACAAAACAATACCCTTTTTATTTTTAAAACTCTGGTGAAATAGGTTTCCATAGGACATCCCATTCAAAAAAAAAAATTAATGTAAACCAACCTGCCTGTGGGTTAGTCACACTATACAGACTTCATCAGAGTGTTTACAGATACCTAGAGTATTTACAAATGCTATCCGTTAGGTAGTAAAGTGTTGTTGCAATTTTTCCAGCACATATTCCACAGTAAAATAAAGGGGGTATATTGGTGTTCTTGTATAAAAATTCTTAACAAATAGAGAAAGGCAATTTTCCTGAGAGAAGATTTGTTCTTGAAATATTTTTCTTTAACAATTGGAAATATAAAATGGGATGTAGTTGTAAAAGAAGCATAAGAATGTCTAAGTTAACATTTTTCTTTTAAATTATTTTAAGTACCATTAAGTTAAAATGTTTACATTCATTATAAAAAATGCTGTTAAATCTTATGCAAATGATTTAACACTGATTGCTGCAACGCAAATTGCACTTTTTAAAAAAATTATTGTATACATGGAAGAAAAATATCTTGTTTGCTACCCTGTTTACAAATTCCGACTGACTTCAGATCAGCCACACAATATGAACTTTGAGAAACGTCAGTCACAGTGTATGTTAAAGTTACAATGCAGTCTTGCAAACTGAGTAATATTTTTGATAAGAGACCTCATGAACCGACTCAGCCTCCAGAGATGTGTACCAAATGGCCTCAAGTGATCTTCTCCATGAACGCACATGAAATCTGGATGTGGAAAAGGTATGAAGAAATTCTGGAACAACCAAAATTGATCAGAAGAAGCACATGATTTTGGACAAAATGCAAAATCTTTTTTAAAAAATCTCTCTCAATATTCCATAGCAGGCAAGGCCCAGGTCCTAGTCCTGGCTTCTGGAAGTGGAGCAGGGTCCGCCCCGGAGGCGGGCTGGCTGGAGTGGCCCAAGCGCCCAGTTGCACTGGCCCTTCCCTTCCATCTTCTCTCACTCTTTCAGCAAGCCTCTTGGGAAAAACATCTCTTTCAAAATAAAGGCACGAGAATCACGTTCTGTCAGCGCAGTCGCCACTGTCTGGACCGCTGCACAAAAGCAGACACGAGTGGAGTGAGGCCCGCGGCGGAGCCCTCCCTGCCTCCTGGCGGCGTGGGCTCAGGCCAGGGCCAGGGCGCACCAGGAATCCGGTCGCACGGAGGACGTGACTTCGGCCGGCGAGGCGAGACTGACGCCTATGTAGAGCCCATCTTGACCCGAATACTTGAGCTCGCTGTTCTCGGGATTGGTGCTCTCTCCCGCACCAGTCATCACCGGGGCACCCGCCTGGCAGAAGAGGGGGACACAGAGGAGAGACGAGAAGGTGAGAAGCGGTTACAATCCTGGTAGTGAAATACATGGGAGCTAATGAACGGGTCTGTGCAGCCAGGGCCAGAGCTGCTCCTGGGCAGACCCAGGGCAGGAGAAATGAAGCCGGCGTTACTATCCCCTGCCCCCAGCAAGTGGGGGCCTTTCCCTGCATTGCACACAGTGCCACTGACCTGACCCTGGCCACTTAAGCCTTCGAAACTTTAGAACTCAGGGCAGGAGCCACTGGCAAGATGCAAAGCTGGACAAAAGGAAGGGGAACTGAAGAAATCCTATTTGTAAAAAGTGCCAAGCTCTAAGATCTCTGACTGTGAAACAAACCTCACTGTGTGGGTGAATAGGCATTAATGATGCACACACAACCTGATCATTTCCAAAGAGAAAATGCAGAGCGCACGCATGCGTGCGCGCGCACACACACACACACACACACACACTCTAACAAGGCTTATCCAGTGATGGCAAAGTCTTTTTAGACTTTTTAGAAAAGCTGCACAGTTCAACATTCCCTGATCAGTGAAATTTTTGAACATTGACTTCATGGAAAATAAACCTATGCATATACAGGCTTTAAAATCTACCTCATTTACCTTAATTCTTTACAAGAACAGTCCATGTCTGAAGCAGACCACGTTATAAAGAAAATGCTAACATCCTCTATCTGCCATGATCATGGCAATGATTTCTTTCTTTTTTTTTTTTTTTTTTTTTTTGAAACAGAGTCTCACTGTCTCCCAGGCTGGAGTACAGTGGCACGATCTCAGCTCAGTGCAACCTCCATCTCCTGAGTTCAAGTGATTCTCCTGCCTCAGCCTCCCGAGTAGCTGGGATTACAGGCATGCACCACCACACCTGGCTAATTTTTGTATTTTTAGTAGAGACGGGGTTTCACCATGTTGGCCAGGCTGGTCTCAAACTCCTGACCTCAGGTGATCTGCTTGCCTGGGCCTCCCAGAGTGCTGGGATTACAGGCGTGAGCCACTGTGCCTGGCCACAATGATTTCTTGAAGCACAAGTTCACCTTTGCCCTGTTCCACCCATTCCTCCCATTCACATGAAAAAGGCCAAATAGGAAACATCATATAATTTAGTAAAATCAAACCAAAATAACTAAAATCTGTTTAGACAACAGTTTGAATAAAGTTGCTTTTGAGAAGCTTTTTGAAAAATTTCGCCATAATCATGTACTTTTTAAAATCACCTTTTTCCTTCTAAAAGTTCAGGAGCTCTTATTCCTTCCAAGCTTTCAGGGCTCCATTCTATAAATTACCAGATACTTGTTATTTGACAGAGGTAGGACATTGTGTACTTTTCACAGAATTTCTTTTTTACATACATAATCCCATTAAATCCTTAAAACAGCATTTCTCTGGCACCAGACACAGGCGGAACAGAAAGGAAGTGTGCCGAGCCTCCACGGCCTGCAAGTGAATGAGGTCCAACTCTACTCGTTTTCCAACAAGATCTGGTTTGCTCTCAACCCTCACCATAAGGGCATGAGGCTGGGAGGCAGGACTTCAGGCGAGCAAGCCCTCTGAGTCTAAGCACCCAAACTTCCTTCCTCCCAACCAGACAGACCAAACCCGACCCCTCCACAGGTAACCACTCCTTCCCTTTCCCAGCAGAAATGAGGTTTTATGAAAATCCAGCAACAACACTGGCCCCACACCCAAACTTTTGTTTATATAACACAAATGTAAAGACTTAAACTGAGGGTTTTAGGTGCATTAAAAAGCAAATTTCACAAAAATCAGTGAGATGTCTAAAGCTTCAGATGGATTCTTGTGGCAATTCTGAAAAAGCTAAAATAATCCTGTCCAACAAACTGAATGCCATAAACTTGGTTATACTTATAAACATAGTGATTAACTTTAGCCCTTAATTCCAGAGACTCCACCAGAAGCAAATCCAGTGTGGATCCAGATTTAACCCTCAAAGAAATAAGCAAAAGGATGATATTCAATTACAAAAGAATTATTTATTTAGAAAGGAACTATTAGAGTGAGCTTCCTTATAATGATACATCTCACGTCCAACTTTGCATTGATTTTCTTATTCGAAAACAGGCACATCAGCATATGCCTCTGACTAAATCTGACTTCACCGCAACAAGTGTTATTTTCTGAAATGGAGAGGGTTCCTGAACTGGCCCAGGAAATAGCCCATCTCAAATGGCAGGGAAGTGCCAAGACAGCAGAGGGATCTGTCACCACCACCACAGCCAGCAACAAGAAGCATAAGCAGGCTGGGCACGGTGGCTCGTGCCTTTAATCCCAACACTTTGGGAAGCCGAGGAGGGAGGATTACTTAAGCCCAGGAATTTGAGACCAGCCTGGGCAACATTGGGAGACCCCGTCTCTACAAAAAATACAAAAGTTAGCTGGGCATGTAGTCCCAGCTATTTGGGGAGCCGAGATGGAAGGATTGCTTGAGTCTAGGTGATGAAGGCTGCAGTGAGCTACGATTGCATCACTGCACTCCAGCCTAAGGGACAGAGCAAGACCCTGTCTCTAAAAAGTAAAAATTAAAAAAAAAAAAAGAAAGAAAGAGAAGAAAAAAAGAAACATTGGCAAAGCAACAACTGACAGCCAGACACTAGATCAGGAGCCTGAAAGATAGTCAACTGCCCCAGGAGCTCCCAGGCTTTGTGGGGAGCCAGGATCCATACACATTAGAAAGTCGACTGTTGGCTGCTTATCATGAACAACAAATGAGTGGCTGAGACAGGAAGGTAGACCAAGAGTCAGAAAAGGAATAGCAGAGGGCAAGGACTCCTGGGCAAGGAACCAAAGGCAGCCCACACAGGAGTATGAGAAGGAGGGGAAGCAGCTTGGACTCTCAAGTCCTGTCCTGATTCAGTCCCCTGCTGAGTGCAGTCCCCCCTGAGCCTCCTCTGTGCCTGGGTCCTCACATTTCCCACCTCAGGGATGGTTGCGACAATTAAATGAGCTAACGTTTGTAAAAGCGAAGGCAAGGTGCCTTGCCATGTTAAACATTCCGTAAAGGGAAGCTATTGTTATTGGCGAGAGAAGGATGTTCAAAATGGGAGGCAGGGCGGATGAAGAGAGGTGGTCACCTGGCCTGTTCAGAAGAAAAGCCAGCTGAAAAACAGAAGGATGAAGCAAAAGAGTGAACAGACCATGTGGGAGAGGTAAACCAGAAGCCTGACATACAGCTTTGTGTGCCTCAGTTTCCACACCTATAAAGTGGGATAAAAAGAGGCACCTATGCCATAAGATTATTGCAAGAATTAAATTGGCTAGGCCAGGCGCGGTGGCCCACGCCTGCAATCCCTGCACTTTAGAGAGGCCGAGGCAGGTGGATCACCTTAGGTCAGGAGTTTGAGACCAGCCTGACCAACATGGTGAAACCTCATCTCTACTGACACAAAAAAATTAGCCGAGCAAGGTGGAGCATGCTTGTAATCCCAGCTACTCAGAAGGCTGAGGCAGGTTGCAGTGAGCCGAGATTGCACCATTGCACTCCAGTCTGGGCAACAAAAGTGAAACTCCATCTCAAAAAAAAAAAAAAAAAGAATTGGCTAATATATGTAAAGCCCTTGTAACAGTGTCTGAGAACAGTAAAGATTATGTCAGTATAAGCTACTCTTGTTATCTAATTATTATTGTTAAGGTTAAGAGGCTTGGATCTAATTTATTCTCCTCATTCTATCCTTCAGCCCAAGCAAGTTACCCCATCACCAGGCAGGGGCAGAAGCAGTCGGAACACAGTTGGAGCTCAAAGAGAACCACCTCCAGAATGACCCTATTCAAACTGTCACTGACAGTTCTTCGCAAAAATAAATCAAAGTGTTCTGTAGCCATTCAAAAGTCTCATGACTCTTTCTCTTTTTTATTTTATTTTTTATTTTTGAGACAGGGTCTTGCTCTGTCATCCAGGCTGGAGTGCACTGGGTGTGATCTTGGCTCACTGCAACCTCCACCTCCTGGGCTGAAGAGATCCTCCCATCTCAGCCTCTCGAATAACTGGGACCACAAGCATGTGCCACCATGCCCAGCTAATTTTTGTATTTTTTGTAAAGATGGGGTTTCACCATGTTGCCTAGGCTGTTCTCAAACTCCTGAGCTCAAGGGATCCACCTGCCTCAGCCTCCCAAAGTGCTGGGATCACAGGCACGAGCTACCACACCTGGTGACTCACTGACTCTTTTTCAACAACCCACATTAAAGAAACGTTAACACCCTGAATGTTATTCTTACACCTGAATAACAATCCCAAAAGCAATTGGCGAAAATAACCTGTCTTTTTTTCAGACAAAATGTTAAGCTATTTGGCAGGCCAAGAGTCCTGCTATCAAAGGGCAGACAGACCTCAAATTCCATGAGTGATGCACTCCTAGAAATAAATCTGCTCATTTGCAATTAAAAGCAATAGCTGAGCCTGTCAGAAAAAAAATGGGGCAAGTATTTGTGCCCAATGCTTGGTAGCCTTATTTTATGTGTACATATAATAATATTTAAACATGAAATACTGCAAAGAAAGGCTGATGTTACTTACATGGTAACACCAGTCCCCTCACTCATGGCTGGCGGAGCTAAATTCTGGTACACCCACCTTACAGAAGGCAGTTAGCTGCAATGTCAAGAGCCATCCAGAAGTTTAGACCCTACTTCGCCCTATAATTTCACTTCTGGAAATGTATTATAAGGAAATAATTCAAAAGAAGGGAAAGGCTCCGCAAAGGAAGCCAACCGTTGCAAGGTTACTTCTAATAGTAGAAACTATAGAAACAATCTAATGTCTAATAATATGGGAACGGTTTAGAAAAGCAGGGCACATCCGCTCAATGAACTATTATGCAATTATTAAAAATAATAAGATCATGGAGCAAAATGGAAAAAATCCTGTAATACCATGTTAAGTGAAAAACAGCAAGATATGAATTACACGTCATAACTGCAATTTATCCATGCACATGTGTAAGTATTACAAAGGTCCCCTGGGAGGAGGGGAGAAACAGGGGACTAGCTGAGAGGGCCAAGTCTATTAGCCATCTATACCTTTCTTTGAATATTTTTCTTTGAATACTTAAATTGAATTGCATAGTAAATCTATTTAGGTTGTTGCCAAAGTAATTGCAGTTTTTGGCATTGAAAGTAATGACAAAACCCACAATTACTTTTGCACCAACCTAATAACTTTGGGGATGAATAGAAGACATGAGTACCAGAAACACAAGGCACTTGAGGGACAAGCCAACCTTCATGGGATCAGAAAGTGGCTTGAAAAAATAGGAGGGAACCAGAGTCGAGGCACTAACAGGAGGGCGGGTCAGAAGGGCCCCCATCCGCCCCTGAAATCATCTCCCTGCCACCTGGCACAGGCCAGGGCCTGGCCAGCCACGCACATGTGAATCTCACAGTTCTATACAAGTTAAAACAATCAACACGTCAGCTCCATGCATCAGCGTAACTTCAGCTCTCAAAACCGATATTCTCTCACTCTGTCGCCCAGGCTGGAGTGCAGTGGTGGTATCTCGGCTCACTACAACCTCCGCCTCCCGAGTTCAAGTGAGTCTCCTGCCTCAGTCTCCAGAGTAGCTGGGATTACAGGCGCCCACCACTACACTCGGCTAATTTTTGTATTTTTAGTAGAGTTAGGGTTTCACCATATTGGCCAGGCTGATCTCGAACTCCTGACCTCAAGTGATCCGCCTGCCTCGACCTCCCAAAGTACTGGGATTACAGGCATGAGCCACCGTGCCTGGCCTCTAAACCAATATTCTAAAAGTAGAAGGCGTTCAGAGTTGGCACAGCTACTCTTCTTAAGAAGCCTGGCTTTGTCCTGTTATTGTTCATCTTTTAAGTCCCTTTCCCTCACTGATGATAGTCAAGAGATGCCTACTGAGAATCAACACGATGTGTGTGTGTTGGGAGGGGGGGGCGGAGGGGGGAAATCAGAGAAAAATATACTATGATCCTGGACCTAATACACACACATACAAACACACGTATAAATTTCAATTGGTTGATATATTTTCCCACAAATAATTCAACCCTTCAAAGGACTTTAGTTCAGATCGCAGACATCACAACCCTGCAAAAGCAGGCACTTCACTAACCTAGACCAACCTAAACAAACGTTCCTGAACAAAAGGGAGGGAGAGCTCCGGAATGCCCACAGCTCAACCATCCTCCCTCCTTTCGGCAGGCAGCACAGGCCAGGCGGAGGTCCCTGCTCTCTCCCTGATCAAAGTGCAAGGAGGGTGGAGCAGAAATCGGCTCTGTGTTTCCATTCAAGGCTTATCTGCCCTCCACCCTCCCACAGACAACTGAAAATGGAGGCACTTCCTGTTGAAAGAATGTGTTATCAGGGCCAGACCCAGCCTGGGCTTAGCACTGAAAGCTGGCCGGGTTAGGTGGGAGACAGGCAGAGCAGCTGGGCTGGAAAACTCCCTCTTAAAGGAGTAAATGACTTCAGGGAGAGCTTGGGCTGCTACAGATTGGGACATGGAAAATATCCGCTAGCCTGAGAAGTAGCCACAGTTCATCTTTAGATCACCTAGAATTTTTTTTTTTTTTTCCTGTGAGGAGCCTTCACTCATTTTTGGACACATATCTGAAAAGTCAAAGATTTCTGATTGGATCAACTCATGGAGACAAATGCCCAGCAGTGTCTCTGTTTTCCTTCATTTCGCACATCCCATAATGGGGAGGGCAAGAGACAGCTTCTGATGGGAAGGCAACACAGCCGAGAAAAGGAAACCCTGAAAGGGCGTAGCCTTTTCCAAAGAAAAACATGGGTTCTTCGGCTTGTGGATTACATGCATAAATTTCCTTTGAGGAAGAAAACCAGAGAGGAGTGTACGGGGCATGCTCTATCTTCCTTGCTGGAATCTCTCTTCATGCAGTTTCGGTCTGAGGAAAGAAAACACTGCGCCCCAGGCAGGCTGAAGGACGACTGTGTGATCCTTCCCAGAGCAGAAGACTTTGATGGTGATCACATGCCTCCTTCACTGCAAGGCAGACTGTCGGCTCCCCCAGCCTCTGATCCGTCCTTCCTACACATCTGAGTGAGACTGTGCTTACGGCTTTTTCTTGTGTGAGGGGAAGCCAGCCGTCCCTCACTGCCAAAGCTCTTCTCTGCTTTTGTAACCTCTAGGTTAGACTCCTGTGGTGCTTTATAGCTGCCTTCCTCCAAAGAGGAATTAAAAACTTTGTATAAATTCCAACAAAGGGGAAATGCTTTCCTGCAAATCGTAACTTCCACTATATAAACTACGATCATTTCAGTTTGGCTGGAGGTAACAGAGGACCAGATACAAAGTGACAGTAATAGTTTAGAAGGTGACACATGAAAGACACATGAACACACACAAATTCTGTCTCCACCAGGACATGTGAAAACCAATCACAATGAAACTCTCGAATTCTTAACAGCTTAATAAAACAAAGGAACATGGACACCTTTTCTCTAGAGAGAGAGTCACCGTCACCTCAACTGATGACCTAACTATTCAGCAGAATAGTTTTGTATATTTAATTCGGCAAACAAATTCCTTACTGGAAATTTCACCGGCTGCTCCCCCACTCTGCCCCAACCCATACCCCTCTCGCCCCTTCTAGGCCTGAGTAGGCAAGGTTATAGCCACACCAAGGGATGCTGCCCTTTTCAAGAAGACGAAAGCAATTCTATGCACATAATCTATTCTGGACAAAAGAGCAAATTGCTTTATGTATCTGTGCACACTCAACAGCAAGCATGTTGTGGTGAAGAAAGGCGCCAAACTTTATAAGTACTCTGGGATTATCACCAAAATACTCATGTACAAATATAAATTGCAAGGGAGAGGGTTTGTCCCACAACTTGAAGTCAATGAGGACCCTAAAGAAAAAGCTTATCTTCTAAATGAATCAGAATGAATTACACTATTCTAATCTTCAAATTAAGTGGGACAGAATCCTGAGGCAAGATTTAAAACCTGGTGAATTATGATCTTAATTTTTATAACAAAACTGACTTTTCAGGAGATGGATGAGCATCTTAATCTCTCCATCTTAATTACAGAAAACATACCAAGAAGCATTTACAATGCACTTAAACCACAAAAAGCATTAGGAAAGTACTAAGTATCAGAAGGAATAAAAAATTTGCTATCAGTGAAATACAAATCTCTAAAATGTGGTTACTTTCTTAACACAATAACTCTACGTCTCTAAATTTCCCCATTAAGAAAGTGAGGATCTTATTCTAATATCTTGGGATGAAAAAAAATGCCACGCAAATAAAGCTGATTACTATTAACTTCCAAGACCCGTATTTAAGTAGTGCTATTCTTCTTAAACTTCAAAGAGGTCTCCAGGCATCTCCCACTCACTCTACACAATACTCCTAAGGACCAGATGGTAGGAATTACTTTTCCCCTTTAGTAGAAGGAGGAAAACAGAGGCTTTACAGAACCTTGGCAGCTTGCTATACTCACACAGACAGAGCTGGAGCTAGCGCCTGGCTGCTGGAATCTGTTTCCTCCCAGCTGCTAATCCGTGAACCCCCAGAATAAACTTTTGACCATATTCAGGCTTCACCACGAATCAAGCAACTAAATTTAATGAGAGCTTTAAATGTAAAATACTTGTGTTTAATAAAATAAAAATATGGTTCTGCAGCATGTGGCCCAGCTCTGGTGAAACCGTGCCAGGCCAACAACCAAAACAGGCAGCACACCATCAAGTCGGATCATGATTTAAGCATCGTCAGATGTTGACTTGGAACCGTTTACTCGTAAGACCCCAACAGGACATTAGAATCAATGCCTAGTTATGTATTTGTCCAAATCATTCTTAAAATATGAGGTCAATAAAATAATGTCTTTGTGCTCAGTCTCACAAATTCTGAGTACTGGGCCTTTAAAAAAGCCTGATGTGATGGGTAGCTGAGTGGTGAATTGTCACATTGCCAACACCTGTCTATGGAGATGCTTTTTTAAATTATTAAAATTTCAGAGAAAATTAACAGGTAGGTCTAAACATGAACAGAACTAACAGATTGTACTTAATTCATATCCACTGGATCTTCATACTGCTAGTAACTCTTCTGGCAGACACCCATGAAATGCATAATAAATTACTTTTGTTCCAGTAAAGGAATTCGTTTTCTTCGAAGATTCATTTAGCAATAACCTTTCAGAGCAATCTAAGCCAGATTTCTTAAATTTGGCCATGTTTTCCCGTAACATTATTTCATGTTTTCTGACAATTTTGTATATTCTTATAGAGGCGTTGGGGGGGCGGGTGGGAGAAAACTGCAAAGAATCTGTAATTTGCAAAGAAGAGCTGTATTCTGGGATGAGGCTATAAGAAATGGTGAATAACTTCTGCCCACACTTATTCTTTATCCAGTATTCTGGCTATCAGATAGTGATAATGAGTCACTTATTAAATAAACCACAATTCTGTGATAAATTATGTGGACATATGTTACAAACTATTTAAAGCTTTACTGTTTCCTAATGTACAAAGCCATTGGATATTGATGTAGCACACAATGCATTTTTAAACTACTTCTTACCATCCTCCCTGTCACACACACACACACACACACACACACACACACACACACACGAGATTTAAAAAAAAAAAAAAAGGAAGTCTAGAAAAAGCCTTGAGATCAGAATGAAAGTATGCAAATCCGCATGCTTGAACATTCCCTGCCGGGGTGACGTGTGACTTTCACGCAAAGGCCAATGTGGTCAGACAAGAACGTGAGTTATTAGAAGGGGCTGTGAACATAGAAAGAAAGGGAGCCTGGCACATAGGGAGCATGAAGATAAAATGCCAACAAAATATTTATGTTCATGGCTTGTAGCATGTGGCAAGTGGGATATTAATAACTGTGATGATTGGTCAACTCCCTGGGAGTGGTAACAGCCCTGGACTGGGAGGCAGGAGACGTCGGTTCCAGTCCCGGCTTCAATACTGGCTTGTTTTGTGACCTTAAGGAGTCACTCCGGATCTTGGTTTATAAATGAGGCAATAATAATACCTAACCACATAACTCTCTCACAGACCCTTTGGGAGATTAATGATTTTTTAACCCCTTTGCTACTCATTTAGAAAAGAGTGTTTTGGACGATAGACTGAAAAAAAAAACAGGCACTTCACTATTAAGAAATGCTTTTTCAGTAATTTCTTCATAAACATTCATTGAAGACAATTTTAACATTCTGAAAAGTTCCAAAACAGCATTTGTTTGTGTATGGATTTAAATCGCAGCATTAGAAGGATTTCAGTATGGCAATCTTGTGTTTCTCTTAAAAGAACCTTGTTATAACCACATTAGGTATGTCAACAAAAGTAATTTTTACTACTTTTTTTTTAACTTAATGTTACCCAACTGCCATATTCTTAGTACCATTACACATTTGATTTCTAAGTATAACATTGATAAGAAAATTTGCATTAACTGTCTTAAATACATTCTTGGTCAAGAGCAAATAACTTCTCACAGTTTTCCCACCTGTTTCAGTGGGAGGATATGTGATGCTAAAATTATTAATCAAACTAGTCCAATTTCTTTAAGAAAACATTCTTTCTTCTCTCTGAAGATTTCAAAGAAATGAACTAATATCGCATATTAATCTAACACGCTGTAGTGGCAACAACACTGACCGCATCAGCCAGACCTGCGGCCAACGTGAAACCACGCGTCTCAATTTGACACGTGACCTTGGAACTGTTCTTTACCTTCTGCATCTCACTTAGAAGGAGGAGTAAAAAATAAAATGTATCTAAAACACCTGGCACATAAAAGGTACCTGATAGAAACTAATTTCCTGCCTCCCTATGTTCACTATCTTATAAGTGAGTGAGTATTAGGAAAGGGAAAAACTTCCTCAAAGCAAGATCACTATGAGAAAATCGAAGACCAATCCACCACTGTTTGGCTCTCGAGTCCTCTAGAAGCTCTGTGGCATATTCAAGTTAAAAATGAAGCACTAATTTTCTGCTCCAGCCCCAGCAGGCTCTTGCATCAGAGCTCGCCTTCATACTTTCCTCTGAGCAACTTAACAGTATAAGCACAGCATAAGTCCTTCACAAATGTTCCTTTCAGCTCTTTCACAGGAACTATAATTTTGTGACCAACCATAGTGCACAGTAAATCAAAAAAAAATTCCATTACTTGAAGAAAAAGACAGTGGAGTGTAAATCTGCTAATAAAGAACCCCCCTGCACTGGAAAATGCATAGTAAGCTACAGGACCTACTAAGGTGTTTTTCTATTTCCACCACAGGATGCAAATATTATATATGAAATAAAATCCATGAAAACAATTTAAAATATTTACCTGCCTAAGCTTTCTTCAGAGGCCTTATAGAGCACATCAAATAATCTTAACTTGAGTCAGTCTCTAGATCACTGCTGTTGGCCACAAGCACTTATGGGTGCTTAACTCCTTCAAACGACCACGCAGCTCAGGAGTGACTACAGTAGGGAAATAGGTCTAGCTAAGCACACAGTGTCCCAGAAGCACACAGGGGACGGGAACGATGACGCCTATTTACTAGCAAGAAACAGACCAAAAGAGTGGTTAAGGCCCACCCATCCAGGCCCAGATGCAGCTGGCGAGGAACCTAAGTCTCTATCTCTCAGCCTATTGTCCACCTCTCTTTGTGGAAGTTATATATCACCAGCAATGCCCCACAAAGGTGAGGAAACACATTTCCTATCCCTAATACACCATGTCTAATATGTTTCCATTAGAAGAGGTAGCCAGGCAGCCACTCCAACCATCCTGCCCCCAGGATCCCTGGAGGCAGAGAAATTACAGTACAGGCCTAAAGAAGGTCAGCGCATAGAATCAGCTGGCAGATGTTTTTCCTCCCTAATTGTGAGGAGGAAACTCTGCTTGTAAACTTGACAAGCAGGAGCATGCTACATTTGTTTACATCAATTATCAAAATACAGAACGCTCCAGTAAGAAGGTCCTAATTGTTGGACTCCAGTGTACAGACAGAAAACACATTTGTCACCGAAGCAGGATTTAAATAAAGTCCATCGTTGATTTGAAATATTTTCAAGTATCTACTTTCCACCCGTTCTACCAGCCTCACTTCCTGCCTTTGGCTTCTTACCCCCTACACTCCAGTCACAATGAACTAACTATTTCCCTTCAGCTCCAAAGATTCCTATGCCTTCTTCTTTCCTGGATACCTCTATCCCAATTTTTCCCCTGCAAAAATCCTAACTAATTTTAATTTCCTCTACTCTGCGGAGCCATCTCCAACTCTAGTTATCACTCCTTTAAAGCACGTCCAAATCTGACCAGTAGTAAGATCTACATCTATACCTGTCTCTCTCTACCCACCCCTACCACCTCCATGTTTTAAACAATTCCAGATGTGGCACTTTGTTTTACTCAAATGGAACAAAGACCAGTAAAGCAAGGGCTGGTCATATATATTTCTCTCTCCATTTAACTTCAACACTTTATGTTTAATGATGATTTCAATATTATATTGGTAGTTTTAATATTAACTTAAATAGGGTTTACTTTTTTTTCATTTTTTTTTTAAACTAGAAATAGAGACAGAAATCTTGCTATGTTGCCCAGGCTGATCTCAAACTCCTAGTCTCAAGTGATCCTCCAGCCTCAGTCTCCCAAAGAACTGGGATTACAGGCGTGAGCCACTGCACCTGGCCTAATTTTTAAAGTAATTATTTATAGAAACTATTTTTAGGCAGGCAAAATATGTTCAGTGACTCCTTGTTCTCAGACATTGTCTTATTGCTAATTTTTTTTTCTTTTTTTCTGTAGCTGCCATTTTCAGATATTATTGCTAATTTCATCTCCAAGTTAATCCCTCCTATTACAAAAGAAATTAAGAAAAAAACTTTTTATCTATAAAATTTGGGGATTGAGCTATAAAGTATCCTCCAGTTTTACAAATTTTGAGTTATAGGAGGAGAAATAGGAGGAGTAGGACCATTTGTGGACTACTTATTAAATCTTATTGCAGAAACAGAACATTACCATGTTTCTCTCCTAAATAACAACCAAAAAAAACTATAAAATACAATTCAGTCAATAAACGGAATTCAAGAAAAAAAAGATTTTAGTATTCTTACAATCCATAGAGAATAAAAGCCAAAGAAAAAAAATTTTTTTTTTTTTCTGAGACAGAGTTTTGCTCTTGTTGCCCAGGCTGGGGTGCAATGGTGCAATCTCAGCTCACTGCAACCTGCAACTCCCAGGTTCAAGAGATTCTCTTGCCTCAGCCTCCAGAGTAGCTGGGATTACAGGCATGCGCCACCGTGCCTGGCTAAGTTTGTATTTTTAGTAGAGACGGGGTTTCTCCATGTTGGTCAGGCTGGTCTCAAACTCCTGACCTCAGGTGATCAACCCACCTCAGCCTCCCAAAGTGCTGGGATTAAAGGGGTGAGCCACCGCACCCAGCCCAAAGAAAAACTGATATCTATTTAGATCAACTAAATATACATTTTTTAGTAAATCTGCATGGATAAGAAAATTCTTAGCCAGAAAGAAAGACTATTTTTGCCACAGAAAGCAACCATTTATCAAAAATTTAAGTTTAACATACATTTTTAATAAACAAAAATAATTTCAAAAGAAAAAAATAGGCAATATTTTAAGCAGGGCTGTATGACCGTGAGTCCTCCTGATTTCAGACAGAAACACACTGCCCTCCCTGTGCCTCCAGCACATGCACAGCCTATAACCAAGAGAAACTGAGTCATAAGGTGGCAAGGTCATCGACTTGCTGACTCTTATCTGAAGGAATGTCTCCTTTTTGCCCAGACACAGGTCTCATGAAGGCACAGATTAACAAGTATATAAAGCTAAGACATGAGGCTTCAGAGCAGCACAAAAATTTTCGTGGCATTAGGACAACTTATCCTGGAAGAATGCCGTGCACTAGGAATTATGCCCACACCTTCATTCCTGCTAGGGGAGGGGAGCCCTGGAGCCCCCTCTCCCAGAAGCAGACAACCACGATAGACCCCTTCCACAATACTCAGCTCCTGTGGCTCCTTTCGTCCTGGCCAAGAGAGCTCAGGACTCTGTGTCATGCTAAGGTCCTGGTGCCATCACTTAAATGGCCACGTGAAAGGCAGGTCAGAACCCTGTTCCTGTCATGTCCCAGGACTTACAATAAGCCTGCTGGGAATGCCTACCGGTGATCTCCTACAACTGATTTTTCAGTGGGGAATTAAAGTAAACAGCATGTTTCATGTGGGCCTCTGGAACAGTTTTTTACTTCCTTGCTATAACTCACAGTCATTAAAGAAAGGCAGTGATACTGCTACTTACATCTCTAAATGGAGGGATATGTGGCCCCCAGTTCCACCTTCTGCTGGGAGGGTGCCTAAGATCGCCCTTTGCTTTGTAGTTCCGTGGCCCCATCAAACGAGGGTCACCCTGCACTACTAATTTCTACCAGTCAGTCACAGGGAGCACTGGAGATCCGTGGGGTGGACGCATTACCTTAGGAGGCTTAAACTCCAAGCCAACCTCGGTGCTGTGTATGTAATACATATACTTTGTAAACACCAGATACAACCTTGCTATGTGGATCTGATATTTTCTTCACCCACAGCATTTCACAAAATCCTACAGGCAATCAGTCACAAAGCCAGCTGCCCTCTAACATTATGCACTGTGACCAAAATGGGAAAATGACACACCTTTGTCAACACAGGCACCTTTTAGAAATGCTTCTACCAGCTGCTCACAGATGGCTCCTCCAGCAGACTCTTCACAGCTACTCGGCAGCCACATGGGCCATGCCATACACATGAAGGCTCAGCCCACCCAGAGAGGACATCAAAAAGTGCGAAGGGATCCACAGTTATACGCAGGCACGCCATGAAAACAACCTGGGGACACCACTCAAGCCTACTACAGGTATTCTTACAGGGGGACAGCTTCCAAAGGCAGCCAGCAGACGAGTAGCTGTTTCCCCACAATGGCCACAGCAGGTAGAGGCTTTTGGAGACATCCATGAAATAAAACCCTGCAAGCCCAGGCACCAGCCGTGTGTGCCCTCGGAACAAGGCCAAGAGTCAGTCCCTGGGGAACTGGGGAGGTTGGTAGGCAGGCCAGCAACCCTACCCCCTGCCCTGGTAATGGCAGTCAGTGTTTCTGCTGCGCAGCCCAGAGGCTGGAGAGCTCGGAGAGATGCCCCCTGGCTGCAGCTCACACCAGCCACTCCCAGCTTCTCAGTCCCCGTGGAGGCTGCCTAGACTACCGCAGGGATGGAAGCTTGCAGCTGAAGACCTGGTGTGAAACTAGTACTCTCCAACCCCATCCTTAACATCCTTGTTGCTTTGCCTCCTGGCCTCTGGTGGGGAACTGATCTTTCCTCTGAAGGGCATTGACCAGCAAGCCACCTCCATCTGCTCTGTCCCTGGTGAGAGTTCCTGGGACAATAAGCCTAGGACCAGAGATGGAACTCCCAAGGCCCTTCTTCTAGCCAGACCATGGCCCTTTTCACTGGCTTTTCACTCCTTTCGCTGGACAGCAACCGATAGGACTTGCTAATAGCAAATTTTGAAATTTTACGTCACAAAATCACAAGACTCCACCCACAATGGTTCCAAGTCCCCGAAGCCCATTGTTGGGTATATATCGACCTCAGTGCAATTTATCATTCAAATTAGTCTTTTTGCCACATTTAAGCTGGACTGTACCACCAACAAAAGTGACTTGGAGCTGGCAGCAGTCCTCATTTCAGCTAGGAGAGAGGCGGCTCCCTCCCTGCTTTAGAAAACCAAATTGTTTTGCCTCTAGCTACATAATTGCTCCTGAGGACTACGGCATAATAAAGGATATTTTTAGGCCAGGCGCGGTGACTCATGCCTGTAATCCTAGCACTTTGGGAGGCTGAGGTAGGTGGATCACTTGAGGACAGGAGTTCGAGACCACCCTGGCCAACATGGTGAAACCCCGTCTCTACTAACTATACAAAAAAAAATTAGCCAGGTGAGTTGGTGTATGCCTGTAATTCTAGCTTCTCGGGAGGCTGAAGTGGGAGGATTGCTTGAATCCGGGAAGTGGAGGTTGCAGTGAGCCGAGATTGCGCCACTGCACACTCCAGCCTCGGTGACAGCAAGACTCAGCCTCAAAAAAAAAATAATTATTATTAAATAATCTTTTCATTTCCCAAGAAACATGTTCTATTTACCACTTTCAATCCTCAGTTACATCTAACCTGCCTGTAAAACACAACACCATAGCATGGAGTCCACCTTTATAAAGCCTAGAAACATTCTTTACCATGAGTCTGCAAAAAAAAAAACAACTAAAAGGCTTCTTCCCTTGTGAAACTCTAAAAAGACGTTTTGTTTCCTTACAGAAAAGGCTCAAAAGAATTTGGGTAGGAGGACAAAGAAAAATATCAAATATAATTTTAAGCACAGTTTAAACATTTTGTTTTAAATATTTAATTTTTGTTTGTTAAAGCCAGTAAAAATACAGTGGAAAGAAACCAGGTCTGTGGTTCCCAAACACCTCCGGGGCAGTAGTTCCAATTTCACCTGGGGCACTTGTTCAACAACAGATAGATATCCAAGTCCCACACCCAGAGACTCTGACTTGGAAAATCCAGGGTGGGGCCCAGGAATCTGTAGTATTTTAAAGTACCCCAAATAATTTCAGGAGAAAACTAAATGTAGAAAACAATTACTAAGTAAATAGGCATTTAAATGCTGGTGTTTAGTCCTAATCTTGTCTCAGTGTAGTCCCAAGGGTCACAAGGACACATTTTAAAGTCCTGCTTGCCGCAGGCCCTGCCTTGGAGCTCACTGACGTCTGAGGGAAGGCCCAGTATTTTTTAGAAGGGCATTCCAGGTAAATTTGGGAAACATTAGGGTGGGAAAATGCTCTCTACTAGAGGCAAACTGAGTTTTGGTCACAGCTTTATAAGAAACTAAGTCTGTGATCCTCACGAAGACCCAGGCATCTCCTGTCCACAGTGGCACAAATCACTCCTAGGTTTTGTCATAGCTGAAATAAACGCCAGTACAATTAAGGTACATTAGAAGAAGGCAAGCTCTCCCAGCAAGAACACAATTGGGCAAAGGAAATAGTGAATACAGCAGCATATAACACTTTATGATGAGCTTTGCTTTGGGTGGATGATAAAAAAAGAAAAAAAGGCTGGAATTGATAGGATAAACAAAAGCTACTTAACTGTTATGGGCACTGTAATCTATGAAACCACTGGCCTCATAGTTCTTATGATCTACATCGGAAATACATAAATATACACATATAATATATATAGCAACTCTGATAAAAACCTGGAAATAAAACAATTTAAAACACTTTAAACCAAAACTTCTTGCTTTTACTTGGGTTAATTTAACCATAAAAAAATGATACCGATCTTAATTAAGAGGTTTGTAAAGTACTTAAGTTTGTCATTTTGTTGACATTTAAATGTAATTTCCTCTAAAAACTATTCTTAGGTATCAACTAACTAAACTGAACTGTTGGTTTAGATTATTGTACTACCAGATAAGATAAAATTTGAGATAATTTACTAGAGAGCAGCCCAGTAATTTAGGAGTCTATGCTGTTTTAATACTTACCCCTGAGGCTGTAGGTTGTGTTGTGGGGGAAGTATTTTTGCTGCAATCATCTGAGTTAGAAGAGGTGGAAGTTGGAGTCATGGGAATGGAATTATTGCTATTACCTGCAACAGTCAAAATAAACCTTATAAATATACATATGCTCTACTGTTAAGGTTGGCAAATACTTTACAGTCAAACGTCATTTTAGTATATTTACCAGAGCAAGTCTTTGATTTATTTATGTTCTTAGGTTTTCGTTTCCTGGTTTGAATTCCCTCTTTTTTCATAGCAAGTGGTCTGGGCACCTAAAAAATTTTCACATAGGCCATAAATTTAATATTATATTGAAGAAAAACCAAAGACCCAACATTGGCACTAAAAGCTCTCATTTAAAAGAATTTGGCGGCCGAGTGCAGTGGCTCACGCCTCTAATCCCAGCACTTTCAGAGGCCGAGGCAGGCAGATCACCTGAGGTCAGGAGTTCGAAACCAGCCTGGCCAACATGACGAAACCCCGTCTCTACTAAATATACAAAAATTAGCCAGACTTGTTGGCGCATGCCTGTAATCCCAGCTACTTGGGAGGCTAAGGCAGGAGAATCGCTTGAACCCAGGAGGTGGAGGTTGCAGTGAGCCGAGATAGCACCACTGCACTCCAGCCTGGGCAACAAGAGTTAGACTCCATCTCAAAACAAGAAAAAAAAAAAAAAAAAGAACTTGGCATAAATTTCAATCCAATTTTTATACACACTCAAGATCCCAAGTGCACAAAGACTACACTTTCCTCATCAAATGCAGAGATTCCTTCAGAAAGAATGAGATGATTTGCCAAGGAGAATTTAATTCCTTCAACTTAACGTTTATTGTTTGAAATGAGTAGCTATTCATTGAAGAAGTATTATTTCAAAGAGATCATGTATTTCCTTCCTCCTACAGATGCAAGGTTATTTTTCTTTTTAAGATTGAGTTGTTTATTATATTTTGTGCAATCCTTTAAAATGAACTATGAAATATTTCAAACTATAACTATTAAATGCATTACTCTTTTGCACAAATGTCTGATTACATTCAAAATTTTTAAGAGATATAGACTAGTGATTGTGCATTTTTTATTGATTTCCTTAATTGTGCATTTTTAAAAACAGTTACTACCATATTACCAATTCTAAAATACACACTTTTCACATTTTCACATTTCTAAAACTGGAATGTGTCTTAAATGAACGTTTGCAATAGTTCAACTGGTAGCATTTTTTGTTTCCTACTGGTGCATAAGGTAATATTTCATATTATAATTAAAAGCACCTTCAATTCAATAAATATATTCAGTATGTACACTGAATATATTAAACATATTCAGTAATAAATTATATGCATTCAAATTTTTCACTTGAGTATCTTTCATTTGCTGATTCTTTGTAACTGATATCACATACAAACCAGATACTAAATGTATATACAAGTGAGCAGAATACATGGCATACCCCATGGAGTTTCATGTAGAGTCCACAAGCATTGCACACGGGTTCACCCTCGGCGTTTCTGCGCCATAAGGTGGTAGTTGTGGTGTGACAGTTGGCACAGGACAATCCAAGCCGCCGTGATGAAGGCTAGAAACAGTACAAGAACATAAGTGGAAAAATATAAGTGACATATATATATATTACATACATACATTAAGGTATTTTGTCCCTGTCATCAACAAGTATGTATCTGTTTTATTATAAATGAAATGGTCCTTGAGAAAAAAAATTGCAGTGTACTTATACTGACTTTTCTGGGCCAAGAAATTTGAGGTTTGCATAGTATGCTGGACCCTATAGATTTGATTTACTTCTCCAGCTAGCCTGTCTCCGTGAATTCAAGAATACCCGGGAGCAGTCATATAGTTGGCCAATAACTTCATGCAAAGCTTTTACCAGCATCATATCAAGGAGAGTTTCATCCCTGGTTTCTTCTCCAATTTAGAGTTTCCCAGATACTACTGGTATCTTTTTTAGGGGAATTAAAAGATTTTCTAAAAGTTGGCCAAATAGAGTTATACTCAAAACACACCAGAAGTAACAACACAAGTAGACATTAACATGAAAGTGCCCCACCTCCCTGCCGCCCACCCCCCACCGTGGACAGCAATTGGCCGTGCACTATAGTCACAGGTCTAAGATTTAGGTCGTGAAATGCAATCACAAGCCACTTGCTAATGTGCTAAATGGCTCTGGGCAGTCTCCACTTCCCCTGAAAACCGGAGATCACCAGGTCTATTTCTCAGATATATGTAAAGGAGTAAACCAGAAACTTTGAAAGTACGTTAATGGAAACTTTGAAAGTACATTATTAGAAATGGCTTTCAGAAGAGGGGTAAAAGTTTTTTTTAAAAAAAAAAAAGAAATATATTTGAATACATTCCATAATTACCATCATGATTGCCTGCTGCCTGCATTTTTGTTTTATCTATTTTACAAAGGATACGAGCAAATTTTATGGCATAATCTTAATGCTGCCACTGTCTTAGATGCAGTGATACTAATATCAGTATTTGCCCTATCAGTATTATTCTCAACTTTCGTTCATGCAAAGGGTTAATTGGTATTACCAGGAAAGGTAAAAGGCCACCTGTCTGCCACTGTCACTCCCATTTCCATGTTTTCTTTATGCCCATAACAGCCTTAAAGGGAATTTATTACCTCTAGATTACTACATGTTAATTATAATAAGCTAACATAACTTCTTACCCAGAATGGCAAAATATAAAACTCGTTTTTAAGTTGCCAAGCTTAAATTTCCTTTCAAATGCTGTAAATTACTTTAAAAATTGTGACATAGCTTCAGTTAAAAAAAAAATGGATGCTTGCTTCAGCAACACATATACTAAAATTGGAAGGATACAGAGAAGATTAGCATGGCCCCAGCGCAAGAATGACACCCAAATTCGTGAAGCCTTCCATAGTTAAAAAAAAAAATCAGAGAAAGATTCAGGACCAAACCAAGTTGAAAATTACAAAATTTGGGAAGTTAAGATCAATTGTAAAGAATGAAGAAGAGAGAAATGTAAATTGAGTATGTATCGAATATTCACAGATTACAGGACAGAGACTTCCAAAACCTTTGCTGGGAAATTTAAAAGATGAAATTAAAATCTGCATTTATGGTTTACATCCTGTTGCATTACTTAGCATCACTCTACAGAGAAGTTATAAACAGAGACACTGGCAAACCTTTTAGCACTACAACATTTCTAGGAAGTCAGTGCTAAGAATCAATTTGCCTTTAGTTGAAATGAGTATGCTTGGCTCACAGGAGAGCTACCTGGGAAACTGCTTTGCTAAAATGATGACAACATATTAACAAAACTTTACACATCCAGGCTTTTCTTTTTTCTTTCTTTGTGGTTAAAAGAAAATAATTTTTTAGGAAAGGATTCCTTTCTCTTCATAAATGTGAAATCAGTAAACAAGGGACAGGAAGGTTCACTTTATAAACCAGCCATTTATGACAGTTTCCAGTGGAATTTGGAGCCAATGTGAAGCAAACTTGTTATCAGAATTTGCCATTATAACAAAGGACTTTATGACTGTCAACTGCAGATCATAAGTGAAGCCAGTCCTCATAAACATGTGAAATGCAGGTGAATGGGTTATAAAAGTTCCTTGTAACAAGTGATCTCAGTCATATTCCTCACTGACAAGGAATTCAAGTTACACCATAAATCTCTTATTTTGCAATGTATTGCAAGTTCAAATTCACAGTGATTGGTTCTATAGTGCTGGCTAAACAAACTTGAGTTCAACATTCTGCTTCTGAGAACTAAGCCAGATCCATCAAAACCATAAATAAGAAGCCCACAAGGAGACCTAATTGATAGTGACACACCCTTCAATTGGTATCATTTATAACCCATTTACAAAGCATATTTGCTGACCTTGGTTATGGCCAAGACACCTGCTAAGCACAAAGAAAGCTAACGATTCAGAAATGCTAAAAACTGTTCTTTTTTTTCCTTCTAAGTTATTTTTACTGGTACATGCACAAAACAAATGGCACTATCTAAATGTTACTAGATCAAATTTATAATGCAACTGGAACCTAAATGACTACTATTCCACCAAATTTTTGCTCAATCTCTAGAAAATGTTACCTTTGAAAGTTCAGTTAGTACTCAGCTCAATGTGCCTTTCCAGAAAAATAAATCGGTTTCATTGTTCATGTGTTGTCTATTATATGAAAACAAGGAACTTCTGTGGGATATTTTCCAGTTACTACTTTTTCTTCTTTAATATGATGCATTTAAGAAAACATGAAACCCACAGTCACACACTGCAGTTAAGGGTACCCTTTAAAGAAAATTTTAAGCTGTGGGAGGTTGTAACGAGTTTAAGGCACATACACTCATTAAATTAACCTCGGCCACTTTATTTTAAATGCATTAAAACAAAACCAACCATAAAACTAATTGCTTCTCTTTAAGGTGTCAGACTTACATTGTGATGCAATTTCACTCTAATCTATTTAACACAAACAACATGTGTAGCATTTGTTCCTGCTAATTAGAGTATAACAAATAAATTACTGGGATACTTAAGACGTCTGGCATCTAACTGTAACATATTTAGCTTTAAAGGGTTATTAGATTATGAGTACTTCGCTAAACAAATGTTAACCTTAGAGTGGGACTGGTGAAAGCTTTCCTTTATTTTCTCTATTACAGCGGTAAATACTCTCTCCGGCTAGGAAGCACACATAACAATGACAATACGAGATTAATCCCTGAAATCAGGATTCCCTTACTTTAAAACATGGTGGCCGGGCGCGGTGGCTCACGCCTGTAATCCTAGCACTTCGGGAGGCCGAGGCGGGCGGGATCACATGAGATCGGGAGTTCGAGACCAGCCTGACCTACATGGAGAAACCCTGTCTCTACTAAAAATACAAAAAAATGAGCCGGGCGTGGTGGCACATGCCTGTAATCCCAGCTACTCGGGAGGCTGAGGCAGGAGAATCGCTTGAACCCTGGAGGCGGAGGCTGCGGTGAGCCGAGATCGCGCCATTGCACTCCAGCCTGGGCAACAAGAGTGAAACTCCGTCTCAAAAAAAAAAAAAAAAAAAAAAAAAACAAAAAAACAGTAAAACGTGTGCGAATTGGGGAAAATGCTCAACTTAAGAACATACAAACCACACTTTTACTCAAGTTCTACAAAGTTCTCTGATTTTGAAATAACAAAAGTTAGAGCAAATAAATTTTCACCAGGCTCAAGGGCAATCCAAGATATGGTATTTGGGGATACACCTGAGGATAAGAGGTAGAAGTGACCAAGAAGGTGGAAAGGACAAAGTAAACGGCACCCAAAAGAATGTGGCTGTGAGGAGGCGTGAGTGGGTGGATTTCTGGCATATTCTATTTGGGGGACGAATGGTATAAGTGAGCATGGTTTTTCAAGCATAAAATCTAAACCATACACAGTGAAAAAAGTCTTCCTTCGCCCGGCCTCGGTAGGTCTACTGTTTTTCTCCTCGGGTTACCATCACCAATTTCTTGCCTATCTTACCAGAATTATTACGGTGCTTTGGCAAGTACACCTAGAGATATATAGATTATTTTTTCTTTTTTTGCTTAAAACATGGTAACATTTTGCACCTTCCTTTTTTGTTTGTTTTTGTTTTTGTCATTTACGGACGTCATCCCCTGCGCGTAAACATGGGGAAAGGCTATCTTGGCTTCCCAGAGGCCAGTTTCGGGGTAACTTCTACTTGGGCGCCAGCGGGTGGGCGTTGGAACAGCCGGGACAGGATGGTACCGCTGGGTCCCCGCTAGGGTGGGACCGCAGCGGCCGCACCTGTCCCCTGGGAGGGGGACGCCCAAGGCAGGCCGAGCCAGGGCGGGGCCGGCCGGGCCAGGAGAGCCCGGGGCCGGCCGCGAGCCAGGGGCAGGGCGGGTCACACTCACCACGCGCTTCTGCGGCTTGATGAGGGGCCGGCTGAGGCCGTTCATCTTGCTGTAGAGCCCGCAGGCGTTGCACAGGTAGTGGCCGGTGCCGTCCCGCCGCCACAGCGGCGTCTGGATGGAGCCGCAGTTCACGCACTCGCGGCTCTCGGACAGGTCCTCCAGCAGGTCTGCGGCGACAGCGGTGCGTGAGGGCGGGAGTGGGCGCGCCGGACCCGTCCCTCCCCGCGTCACCCCGGGGACCCCGGCCCCCAGCCCCGGTGCCCGGCTTCCCTGCCCGTGCCCTTCCCGGCTGAGCTTTTCTCCTTGGCCGCAAAGCCAGGAGCAGGGTTATTTCGTCACTATTGCTCCACTGACCATTTGTCCAATACTTCTGCACACCCGGAGCGCCCCAGTAGAGACTCCGGGAAAGAGACAGTGCTGGAAGCAGAGGACGTCAGAGTCCGAGATGAGCGGTGGGGAGGTCGGCTTGAGTCCCCTGACCCCTACTCTCAGGCTGTCCCGGAGCTTTTAAAGACTGAAATCCATCATCATTACAGTACGTCGTTGCCAAACCCGAGCAAGCCACACAGAAATACTGACCACTGAGCCCCGCTGCAACCCACAAATATCCGGGGACACAGCGAGGCTGCCTCATTAACTTTTATCTCAAGTAATTTTAAAAAGTATTTTCTACATCTGCCACCCGTCCATATGTGCCTCTTCTCCAATTAAAGATACACAAGTGAAATTAAAAGTACTATTCTTAGGCACCTACGTTAGTTAG
Source organism: Homo sapiens (assembly GCF_000001405.40). NCBI lineage: Eukaryota > Metazoa > Chordata > Mammalia > Primates > Hominidae > Homo > Homo sapiens. Next base: position 22,176,358 of record NC_000018.10, on the reverse strand, counting down.
AAACTAGAAATGAGAAGATTACTCTCATCTTTTCAGGGGAAAAATGCACTAACGTTAAGCACAGAGTTTTATTTTCATGCCACAAAGATCAAATGCTAAAATCCCGATTTAGAAGTGGGTCCAACTGCTTCTATCTGCAAAATTTTTATAAAAGGTTGATACCTTACTGATTGAGAAAATTACCAAGACCTTCCCAGTGATCATTTTGAGTTAGCAATCGATTTAAAATGTGTTTATTTTACATAATTTTATTATTATTATTCTTTGGTTAGTTTTCAGAATTCACAATAACCTAAACCTGCTAATAAAAACAAATCCTAATTAAGAGTAAATGTAACATTTATTACTTCTCAAGAAGGTTAAATATGGAAGAATAAATGTCTCTAAAAATGAGAAAGGTACTTATTGTAAGTATAGACCAAAAAAAAGTATAGACCGCCATTTAAGGTTCTTTAGATTATAGAAGGTTTAAATGTCCTAGTTCTGCATTATTGAAGAAGCATTCCTGAATCACTTTTTAAAGTAAATAAACATTACACTTCAGAGTTTTAGCTTAAGATTATGTGCTGGTGAACCTTTTGGTTCTTTCTCATCCCCTTGCAGTTTATTGCTTGTGTCTACTATCAACTGTGTGGTAACGATATTTAAATATGACTTTAGCATAAAAACTTTAATTCCATTAATACTATTTACAAAACAAGTCTCTTTTCTCATTTCTTATTAAGTTTTAAAGAAACTGGCATCCTACACAACCCGAGTTCAAAGTTGTCATGGGGATACTGCAACTTACAACACATCACAAAGGTTTATTCTTCTCCGCCCTAAAAGCCACTATTGACTACGGTAATCAGTAAAATGCTCAGGTCTTCAAGGACACTGAAGTTAAACAAGGTATTTGTCTTTGTTGTTGACTTTAAAATGTTACCTATCAGAGCCCCTCTGGATAGAGGAGTGGGGCATTCCCTGGAAAACCCAGTCCTATGACTGGGAACAATAAGAATCCTATTAGAAGACAGTGTGAACTCCCCAGGTAGAACTATTTAGTCATCTGAAAACCCAAAGACAAAATTTAATTAAAAGTCCACTTTGGATAAATACAACCTAGGAAGCTTGCTTATTTTTAGTTGAATAAAATCTCTCTCATTCCCTCCCTACCTCTTTCCCAAACCCACCAGGCAGCTATAATCCTGTAAGTGACTAAAAAGGAAAAAAAAATGCTGTCTTTATAAAAGCTGTAAGATATAAAAGCTGGGGGCTTGCTCACCAAGTTCCCCCTTTTCAACTCACCATTTCTCTCCTAACATGGCTGTTTGCGGTGCCCTTGGGGAGTGATAGATTCAGGGGAGAAGGGCACCACCACCTGTCTTTCTGTGTGTGGTACCAAGACACAGGGACTCACAGTTCTGCAGGCGCTTAGGAGGGTGTAGGACCCAGGAAATAAAGGAGTGTGAGGACTCTGAGCTCACCCCAAAGTAAGCTCACCCCATCTACCCAGTCAGCGAGAGGTGCATAGTGTGGGTTTCCAGAAGCCTCCAAATTGTGCGGGTTGATCAAGTTCAGCACTCAGGTTTTAGCTCTGGTGTTTAAAGTGTCTGCCTCCAAAAACGGTTTGTTTAAAAAAAAAAAAAAATCTAAGAAACAGGAAATCTAGCTAGGAAGCTGGCCTCAGAATACCTGTGAGGACAAGCAAAGTTAGGGTCACTCGCTCCCCACCCTTCACCCCAATACTGGCTTGGTCCCAGTCACTTCCTGATTTCCTAACAGACTCTATGCAAAAGCTGGGTGTTCCCAAATCCCTTCCCATTTTTTTAAACATACTTAAAAAAATACTTAAAAAAATAACAAATCTTCTGGGTCTACAGAAAATTCCTCTAACTGTGGTGTGCCCAGAAGATGAAAAAATTAGGAAAAGTGTAGGCTAAATTTAAAACAAAAAGAAACATATTAACTTGCCCACAACTGCCCCATACTGCCTCTAAAAGGATTTCTCATACAGGACCAGTTACTGTAAACATCAAAAGACTCTCTCAGCCATATGAAATGCTGGAAGATTGGAGGAAAGGAACCTGGAGATCAGGCTAAGGTGTGTCAAGAAATAGGCAGAGCTGCAGGCGCTGGCTCAATCTGCAGATACTACCCCTCACCCAACTCACAACACCCTTGCACATTCCCTACGGAACTCCCCGACTGACAAAATAAGCTTCACACCCAACCATTACCTCCTTAGAGATTCCCAGCCTCTCCATCTCTCTGCTCCTGGGAGCCAAACACGGGTCCCTATGCAGAGGTAAGGATGAGAGCCCTGACTCTCAAGTCCCAAGCCAACAGTGCAAATCTCAACAGGGTCCCCCGATCCCATTCCACACACAGGGGAAAAATGGTCTCCAGGGCCAGCTTTGCAGCAGAAGCAAAAAGAGGGAATTTCGCTGGGCGCGGTGGCTCACGCCTATAATCCCAGTACTTTGGGAGGCTGAGGCGAATGGATCGCCTGAAGTCAAGAGTTCAAAAACAGCCTGACCAACGTGGCAAAAACTACTAAAAATACAAAAATTAGCTAGGTGTGGCGGCGCGCGCCTGTAATCCCAGCTACACGGGAGGCTGAGGCAGGAGAATCGCTTGAACCCGGGAGACAGAGATTACAGTGAGCCACTGCACTCCAGACTGGGCGACAGAGCAAAACTAAAAAGAGGGAATTTTGAGACCAAGTCTTGCAGCGCTTGGAAGAAGACAGAAAGAACTCAGGCTATCAGAGAGCTGTTCAAATTGGTTCCCTCTCTTTCAGACCACTTGCATTTCCAGCGTGTCTTTTGCGGACAAGGTTGGGAATGTCCCATTTTATCCTAAGGAATCCTGGCCCCTAGGACTGACTTGCTGTCCTAAAGGTAGCGTCGAGGCTCCCACGAGAAGCACAGACCTGGGATACACAAGACACCGGGGTAGGACTGTTTGGAGTAATGTGCCTTCCTCCACTCTGCCACCTCTGTGACTCAAGGGGCCTCCCCCACACCTCCCCTCAAACAAACTACAATAAAAAAAGATGTTGTTTCCTTAGAAAGATTATCAAACAGGTGAAATATAAGGTAAGATAAGCCAGTTGAAAGCACCAAGGACGCAGAATGTTGCATCTGAGAAAAACAGCCTAACAGGGCTCCCACACTCCTGTGCTGGAGTAAACAAAACACTTTTCAAAACGAGGTATTTCCAGGTATTTTTGACAATAGCGTTTTCACGGTTTACCCCCTAATGGCTCCCAGATACAGGAAAAAATGAGTCAAATTGGAAACTGAAAAATTGGCGGGCTAAACTTCGAAGGGAGAATAGGTGCCCCAGCTCCAGGATCCCTGAGTTGCAGCCTGGCCATGTGAGCAGCAGCCCCAGACCAAGGCCCAGCTGATGCCAAGCCCAAGGGCCTATCCACCAGCTCTCCTTCACCATGAAGTCACAAGTCTGACCACTCCAGGTGCCCTCTCTTCTTTCCCTCTCTCCCTTGTGGGAGAGGAGACGCCAACTAGCTTCCCTAGGAACATCTAGGTTCTTCTGTTGTGCTCTTCTAAATACCCTTCTCTAGGAAAACACAAACACGCACCCTTTGGAGAGTTAAACTGGGTGAGCCTGCATGTGCTTGTGTGTCTGTTTGGGGGTGGATCAAGTGCCCGCCACTCTCCCAAACTTACTCCCATCGTGGAATTTCTTCCACTCACCCAAAGTAGGGTCTGCGATGGGGCTCAAGCGCTGTTAGTTCCCTCCCAGCCTCGTTTTTCCCCAATAGCAGATGCCATTCACTACTCATCAAGGCCCTGAGCTTCCCCAAGGCACGAAGGTACAGATGTGCATTTAGTCTCATCCGTGGAAAGGAACTTGGCACAACAGACTCAAGTCTTGGCACAACTCGCCTCAGCGCTACCGGACTCTGGGTTACCCAGCCACAGGCCTGCAAATCCTTCCTGGGACCAGGCCGACCTCCGCGCACCCGGACGAGAAAGTCCTGAAAACAGGGCCCGAGTGGAGCAGCTGCTCCACGTCCCCCGTGCGCCCCAGCGCTTTGGACCCGCACCCCGAACCTGAGGCGCGACCCTTACCTGCACTGGGACCCCGGGGCACCGGGAGCGGGGCTCCGGCGCGGCTCTGCAGGCTGTGCAGCACCGGGGTCTCGAAGGGTCCGGCGGGCCAGGCAGGCGTCAGTGGCGCCCCCACGTAGGGCGAGTAGGGGCTCGGATGGTGGTGGTGGTGGTGGTGGTGGTGGTGGTACGTCCCGTTCAGCGGCCGCGCGGCCGACAGCGAGCTGTACTGGGGCTCGCGGCCGCCCATGGCCGCCAGGCTACTGCCGCCGCCGCTCACGCCTCCCGCGCCCCCACTGCCCGCCGCCGCGTAGCCTCCCGGCTCCCGCGCGGCGCCGTTGGCCATGGGCGGGCTGGGAGAGTAGGGGAAGCGCGCCGAGACGTGCGCCGCGGCTGAGCCAGCGCCGCCAGGCCCCGCGGCCCCGCCGCCAGCCGCGCCGCCTCCGCTGCCGTATGGAGGGCTGTCGGCCGAGGCCTGAGGCCAGCCGGGGTGCGCGCCCGCGCCGCCCGCGTGGTTGGCTGGCCCACTGCCCGACCCCTGCAGGTGGTACGGTAGGCCGGGCAGCATGGAACCCACGCGGGTGGTGGGCACGTAGACCGGGGAGCTGGCCGCCGCCGCGGCTGCTGCCGCCGCGGCCGCAGAGTGCACGAAGCCGCCGGGCGCGCCGTCGTAGGCGGCCGGACCCTGGCTGGAGAGAGCGGCGAGGGTCTGGTACATCTCCTCCGGCTGCTCGGGTGCGAAGGGGCTCAGCTTGGCGCCGCGGCTGGACCACAGCAGCTTGCTGGCGGTCGCGGCTTGGTCGAGGTCAGTGAACAGCAGCAAGTCCTCCCAGCTCGACAGGTTGCCCCCGGGGCCCGCGACCCCAGGCGCCGAAGGTCCGTGGGGAGCCCCGAAGGGATGCGAAGCGTAGGAACTGAGCAGCAGCGAGCGGGCCGGGGGTCCGGCCGCCGCCTCCGTGTCGAGCTGAGGCGTCCCGCAGTTGCTGGCGCCGCCGGGGCCCCGCTCTCCGCCCCGGGAGCAGGAGGAGGACGAGGAAGAGATGGGGGAAGGCGGCGTGGAGGGCTCCCGCGCTGGAAAGGCTCTGGAGTCGCTGGCGTCCGCACCCGCGGCCCCGAAGCGCTTCGGCAAGCACCAGCCGCCGTCAGTCAAGGCCATCCACGGTCCGGCGCCGCTCCAAGCTGACGTCTAGCTCCTGAGGTGGGGTGGGGGAGACGGGTATGGTAGGAGATCGACGGGTTAACAAGAGCGTAGGCTGCACGCTACCTCGCCTCCACTCCTTTTTCTAGTTCAAATGGGATCTGACTTCTCAAAGATCCCATTTGAGACTTCTCAAAGATCCTATTTCTGCCCCGGGCGTGGAGATCAATAAGGGAGGGGAAGGGAGCCTGCGCAGCCGCCACAGGGCCCTGGAAGGGCTGGGATACCAGCCCTCCCTCAAAGGCACCGCTCCGGTCCCCGCGTCCTCCCCGCCCACCCCCTCGGCCGCATCCTTTCTCCGTGCGCGCGCCAGATCCCAGGGGTGATCTGCAGAAGCTGGCTGAGGCTTTCCTTCCGCCCTAAAGTGTCTCCCCCGGGCTGATGACACACAAAAGAATTTAAGTAGCTGTGCGTGTCGGCACCGCCGCATCCCGCCTCTCTGCGGATGCCCCTCTCCCGAAATGCCTCGGGGTGAGGGTTCCCCACGGGAAAACCCTTCGCGTAAGGAAGGCAACCTGTCCCCGAAAACGAAACCGCCGCGTTCTCCTATATTGGCTCTCCCAGAGCTTCCCGGACTGCGCTGACCAGCCCGAACGCGAGCCCCAGAGAGAAATGCAACTCGGCCCAGGGAAAGTGGGACGCCAGGGCGGGGGCAGCAGTCTGGGTCCTTCCCAGCAGAGGCAATGCGGAGAGCTTGTGGGGCGGGAATCGCCAGCCCCACCGGCGTCCCCGCGGCGCCGCACACCTTAGACACGGCCCGCGCCTGCAGCCACCAGCGTGCGCGCTCACGCCGGCCGGGCCACCCGGCCCACCCCGCGGTCATCTCCAGCAGCAGAAACGCCGGACCGTTCCGGAATCGGACGTAGCGGGGTGGAGCGGAGAGCAGAGAAAAGGAGGGGGAACGCAACGGGCTGGGGAGGGGGGAGCGTGAGACCGCCCCAGAGCCGAGGCGACCCCAAATGGGAGAGCAGGAAGAATGACAGGGAGACTCGGAGCGAGTGGGGGAGGGAGGTGAAATGCAGCCGGGCTGGCCTCCTCCAGGCTGCTCTTCCAAATCGCCTCGGCTCATCGGAGATTACCACACTAAAATTAATGCCCACACACAGACCTGGCTAGATAGCAAGAAAGAAGTTTCTCTGCCTGCCTAACTACCGGCTCCCGCCCCTTTGCGCCGAGATAACTCGGAGATAAGGCTGCGCGCAGATAAGCGCTTCGAGGAGAGAAAAAGAGACTAGAAGTTGGTCCGCGGTGTCCCGGGAGCCTGGGAGCCGCCTCAGCCCGCCCGGAGGGAAGGAGGGAAACACCGTCGGAGCCGACCGCGGCCTGGAGAGGGCCGGAGAGCCGGAGGCCAGGGGCCCGCGACGAGTAGGGGTGGAGGGGAGGAAAGCGGGGAGATCGCGCGAGGAGGAAGCAGCCGAACCTCGGGCGGGCGCTGCGCATGGAGAACGGCCGCGGCGGAGGGTGCTCCCAGGCGCGGAGAGAAGCCGAGGGCGCCAGCGGGCGAGCGCGAGTCCGGGGTCTGCGCCGCGCTGCTGGTGAATAAAAAGGAGAGAGGAGGCGCCTCTTACTGCTCTGCCGGAAAACTGCAGCCTGGGCTCCTGATTGGACTCACCGAGCCCTAAACAAACAGCGCTCGCCGAAGGGTGCCAGGCTGTGGGTCGGAACTGCGCTCAGCGAGCAGCTGGGCGCTGGAGGTGAAGAGGAGGAGGAGGGATCGAGGGGAGGAGAGAAAAGAGGGTGGGGAGGGGACGGCGAGGGGGGAGGGGAGCGCGCCGCCCAGGCAGACAATGAGAGCCGCGCTGCCTGCGGGCGTGGGCTGAGCCGCAAGCCCTGTCCCCGGAGTGGGGGCGAGTCCACCCGGGGGGCACCGAGCCCAGGGACCCCGGGGGAGGGGCGGAGGCCACAGAACGCCTGACCTGGCTAGCGACCCGCACCCATCCAGCGGCGGTGCACCCTCCCGCTCCCGCAGTCGCACACACACACCCACACGAGGGAGGGGGAGGGAGCCTTGGCACGGGAGGAGTTGGCAGTGCACAGTCCCGCGCCGCCGCCGCGGCGGGAGGGGCGCTCCAGACCTTGGGTCAGCACGCCCCCAGAAGGAAGGGGGAACGTGCTCTGCGCCCCCCCGCCCCCCAACCCCCGCCTAGCCCCTTCACAGCAAATGCGCTTTTTGCCCTGAAGTTGTGTGAGACCGACCTTAAACTTTCTCCGACCCTATCTCGGGATGCTACGGCTCAGGTCGTGGTGGTTTCGGGAACCTCAAGACAACATTCCCCAGCTGACCTTTGGGAACTTTAACTCGGGTCGTCATGTACGGAAAGGTAGTCTATGGGGTACGCAGAATGGAAAAGGGCTTCCACATCAGTCGTGTCCGAGGACGCTCTCCAACTTTTGATGTCCCTGGAGAGTTTCTGATATTTCCCTGGAGAGTTTCAGGTAAGTCACAGATAAGTCACTGCGAAGAGGGGGTGTCACCTTCCCTGGACCCAGCGCTAAATGCTGCTTCCCCACCCCCACGTTCATATACACACCCCCTCTTCGCTCCCTCCAAACAGTTATCACAACTCTGTACAAACTGATACGGTCCCTAGCGGGCAAAAGGGACTGGAAATGAACGTCGCGGGGTTATCAGCGCCGATCTGTCAGCGGCAACTCGCGCGGCCGCAGGCTCGTCCGCTGCAGGAGCCGTGATATATGTCTCGCTCCCTTTCGCTTACAGAAAGGATTTCTTCCGACAGACGTGACCCCAGAAGGCTGCCGAGGGAGACTTTAGGACAAGAGGCGTTGTTTTTGTGAGAATGAATTTTTATACTTTACCCCGACCCCACCCCCTACCCCCCGCCCAGGTAAATCCAAGTAAATGATTTTCTGAAGGTCGGTCTCCTAGAAAGCGTTTAGGCTCTGGTTTTTTGTTTTGTTTCTATTTTCGTGTTTTCCCAGTTAGGGAAGGAAGAGGAGCCTGTGCAGAGTTGAACTGGGGTGGAGAGGTGCCTTGTAAAGTATGGTTTCCAGAGATGGTGAGACCTCGTAGCTAAGCGTTGTTTCCTCTGCACGTAACTGTGAGTTGTGAACTTGTGGCTCCTGGGGGAGCGGGACAGGGCCTGGCAGTGCGGGGGAGGGGGCAAGGAATTCAGGAAGTTGGCGAGAATTCTTCGTTTTTCATTCTTCGTTGTAAATTGCTTCTAAACACTTCTGAATTTTAAATTGCTACCGAGAAGGTCCAGAAACCGTTCTCATCCAATTTAGTCACTTTTATTACGTTCCACTTTGCCTCCCCCAATCACTGCGGCGGCTCCCAGTTTCAGCGTGGCCGCATTTGGAAAAGGCTGAAGGTAGAAAACTCTGGAATGGAGAGGCTGGCGACTGGAGCAGGATCCAGGGGCTTTAAATTTTAACCTGAATGCGATCGAATGCGCGACTCCCAGAAGAGATAGCCAGGCGTCCGCCCGGCCGCTCAACCCCCGCCAGGACTCGGAATGCCTTGCTTTTGGTTCTTTTCGTGAGTTCCGACCAAATGTTTAAGTGGACTGGGTTTTGCAGAAGCTCATTTGTAAGCACTGACGGAAATGGGTTGTGGGCATTTGATTTCCTTTGATTCCAACGTTTTGAAATAATGTTTCTCGGATTTGCTATTCGAAGCAATTTTCTAAAAACTCATATCTTATTTGCTAAAAATAAACTCTTTGGCTCAGTTTGTGTCCAGGCTGTGTACGGCCTCCAACCCTGAGCCCCGAGGAGATCGAGCCCTGGCGCGAGCCTGATCTCTGTCCTGTGTGTTTCTTTGTATTTGCAAGTACAAGGATGTCTGCGTGGATATCCCTGGACACTCGATACCCCCCGGGGACCTGCTTTTCCCGCAGCTCCGCAGACGCGGCGGGAGGGCGCGCTGGCCCCGGCGCTGCTGGGACAGAGGTGAGCAGCGGGGTGGACATTGACCGATTCGACAACGTTCGGGCTCTAAGGGCTCGGGAAGGGACCCGGCATTTTACCCTCCAGATTCCCAATCTATTTTTAAAAATAATGTTCAAAACATATGGGAAAAATAAGTGATTGCTCCTTTTCATGGTCACAGATTGTATTTATTTTTTCAGACTGGTTTTCCAACCTAACGAGGGAATGGGTAGTGAATGTTGTTGTTGTTGTTGTTGTTTATGTTGGTTAATTTCGAAATAAAACTGTTTAACTCGTACAGTTGATTCAGACAGAAAACCAGGCTGCCTGACGTCTCCAATGTGCCTTTTCCCCAATGCATCTTTGGCGCTAGGGACCGCTCTGGGGAAGACAAGCATGTTTTCAAAGCCACTCCCATGAGCCCCAGACCCGCGCGTGGAGCTTCCTGGGCGCGCCCCAGCTGGTCTGGAAGGCCGGCAAATTAGGAAGTTTGGAGGGAAGAGGTGCACCCCAAACTAGGGAGAAACCCAAGAGCTGGGGAGAAGGCCCCCACTAGTGTCCAAAGTACGCGGACAGCTCTTAAAAGTTATTGTTTTCTTCGTGGGGATATATATTTTTTCTTTTCCTTCCTTTCCTTTTTTTTTTTCTTTCACCCTCGCATGTCTCCTCTTTCGGGATTTGCTAATCTTGAACGAAACTGTTCTCTCCGGACTGTTTCGACCCAATGAGCGGCCCCTCCTGGGCAAGTCGTCCCCCTTACCCTCACAGAGGGCTGGCTCCCGGGCGCGGCCTGTCCCCAGGGTTGATTTATTTCGGCCGCGCCACACCACTATTCGCGATTCGAATCCACCCAGAACACTGCAGCCAATTGGGCAGGGGGCGGGGGCTTGGCTGCCAAACGGGAAGGGTGTTTGGGGACCCAGTCTTGCGCCGCTTCCGGAGGAGCGGCGAGACCCAGCAAGGACCCGCGTCCCCGTGCACCTCCACCCCCGCAAACTCACGCTCATTTTACGATCCTGTCACAAAACTGGCTGCTTCGGCGATGTTTCATAAGGAAAAAGAATGCATTTCTGACTTAAAACATATTTTTAACTTAGATTTTTAACAGCCCAGATTTATGAGGCCTTCTCGCTTATACCATATTTCTTCCCGTCTCTGGGACGCTTTTACCCAAGGACCCGGGGTCACCTCAGAGCCCCCCACCCCTGCCAGCGTCTGGGGCCAGTGGTGGGTTCCGGGCGGCGTGTCCCCCACTCAGCGGCCGCACTGCACGGTAGGCCGTCGACCAGAGTCCTGGCGGTGATTTTCTTTAAGTTTAAATCTCGGGAAACCAAAAACACTCTTTAGAAACGTCAGGTGGTGGCGGCGGAAACTTGCAGGTCGCCCCCACCCCCAGCGCCGGCTCCCGCCGGCGGCCACTTCGGGGAAGGACCGCGCGGAGCCAGCGCCGGGGTCCCCGGGCGGTCGGAATCGAGGCCCGGCGCGTTGCGCAGGCCAGGCCCGGCCCGGAGGCCCCTTGCCCGGCGCAGCCCCCGGCCGACCCCCGTGCGCCGCCGGCGGCCGCCAGCACGGCGCGGAGGTGGGCTAGCGGCGGCGGCGCACGAAAGGTCACCGCGGTGGCATTCCTCTCCGCGCTGTTTACGTGACTTAATGTACTCGCTGCGCCGCGGGTAAGTTCGGGCTGCGATAAGGGGGCGGCCGGGGGAGGGTCGCCGTAAAAGCCCCACGCCGGGCGCCTCCAGCCCTCCCCTCATCCATTAACCTTTTTACTTTCTTCTCCGCTCTCTCTCCAAGCCTGTTATCTAGGCCACCCAATGACCGACGAAAGATTTTCCCTCCCTGCTTCTCCCGTGGCCGCTTTAAACCAAATAAATTTAGCTATTAAGGGCCAAGATGTCTGACAAAAGATCGAAAGGTGTCTTTCCGTGATCGCTTAAAGAAGCGAAGGAGAAGCTTGCGGCTCTCAAATCCCGATAAAGAAATTCCGCGCCGGCGCCGGCCTCCCTCCCCGCGGCCTGGTTGCTCCCTGACGCCCTGAGACCCCGACTTCGGCGGCCGCAGACCTCGGACGGGCCCGGCGGGACCTGTGGCTGCCGCCTGGGGAAGGTGGAGGTCCCCGGGCTGCGGGGCCAGGGAGTGCCAGGCCCTAGGAGACGGGCGGACAAGGGGGTCCCCGGGAGCTCTGGAGCTCCAGGTGGGAGCTGGGTATCCTAAAACGGCCCCCGTGCACTTCGCGGAAAAACTAAGCCAAGCTCAGGGGGCCGAAATTACCACTCCGTTTTGATTATTTTCTGATACTAAATAATAAAGATAAAACCAAACTGCCCCCACCTACCATCCCACTCCCTGTAGGTCTGCTAAGGGGCAGTGTGCTGGTCCACGTCGCTGGTCCTGGGGCAGCGCTCCCTTTGAACCCCAGGCTGAAGGTGGTGGGTGGAACTGAGGCTGCCAGGGAAGGTGTGGACTCGCAGAGTAACCGCACGCAGGTGGGAGGCAGAGGTCCAGTCATTCAGTCATCCCTCGGCTTGGGTTTGGTTTGAAGTGTGGTATTTATTATCATTATTAATTGCTACTGGCACCACTACATAAAGCCTAGGGCTGCCAGCTGGGCTGAGGCTCTGCCCCTGGAGTGATCCCTTCCCTTTCACCAACGGGTGACGGCAGGGAAGATCCAGTTTCCTGATCCTGGATACTAAAAAGTGGGCTTGGGGAGTCAGTTGTGATGTTTTTGAAGTTTTCTCCTCCCCTTAAGTAAAAAGAGTCCATATTCCAGACCAGCATAAACCTTTTCTACCTTTTTGAAATAGGACAAGGAGGTGATGGGGTGGGGGTAAGTTTCAGATGAGACCCCTTGTCTTCCCTGCAGAGGGCTTTCCCAAGTCTTCTGCCTCCCCCAGTGTGTTCTCTGGCAGATGCTGGGAGCAGGACTCTCAATTCCAAAAGGCAGCCCAGGGTCTGCTGTCTGTCCCCTCACACTAGGCTGGGAAGTGGAAGATGCCTCTCTTTTTTTGTTATCCCTTCCAAATAAGGTGAATGCCAAAAATCATACGTCCTATCTGATCCGTACCCCACCAGCCTCTGGGGAGGGGAAAAATTAGAGCATCAGAGGAAAAGGGAATATTTCTGCTCCCAAGAAGGTGAAAGAGATGGAGAAATGCCCAACCCACTAGGCAGGGAGGACCTAGGCTCTTCCTGGATTTTGCTGGTATCACAAGGTGTGCAGGCCATGCCAGTTCTAGGGCCAGGGTCCAAATACGACCGTCCCTGGGCTGTCTCAGCTCAAAGACCTTCCTGACTGTTCAGTAGTTTTTTGGTTTTGTTTTTTCAAAACCAAAAAGCGTGGGACAGGGATGGCTAAAGGGAAGCAAGAAAAAGAAGAAATCAGCTTTTGGAGACTTGCTGAATTACAAATGCCCCACTTTGAGTCAATTAAAGGGGCAGAAAGTGCCCAAGAAACAAACAAAAAAATAACCCAGAAATATGACCTCTCCATACAGCTATGTTGCAAATATGCAGAGAATTAGGACCAAAGGCTTGTCTACCAGGATGCAGTCCTCCAGTTCCCTGCCACTTGCCCAAGGCATACTGAGTATGCACTGCACGAGGAAGAAAGAGAAGAGTTAGCTCCTAGTTTTGAAGTGTTTACAGTCTAGAAGGTTGGCACCTCTGTAAAGCCGGTTAGGCAAAATCCCACTTTCCAAGATGGAAGGAGATGACCGAGTCTTTTTCCCTTCTCTAGAAAAGTCTAGATTGCCCTCTAGGCAACCCAGCGGGTTTGAAAAGAAAGGAGTGGCTCATACACTGAGAGAATTTCCAGAAGCCATTGGGCCTGCGCAGGACCCTGGGCCAGGCTGCCTGGGTTTCAATCCTGATGCCACCATTTACTAGCTATGTGATCATGGCAAATAGCCCAACCTCTCTGTGCCACAGTTTCTTCATCTGCAAAATGGGGATAATAAAAGTACTCCCATTACGGGATTGCTAAGAGGATGAAAAGATTTCTTACATGTAAACTGCTAATAGTACCTGGCACATAGTAAGTGCTATATAAATGTTATTACTAATATCTATTGTAGTAGACTTTCATATACTACACCAAATTTCGATTTCTTGTTTGGCCCAACTGTCCCCAGGAGCAAGATTAATTCCCAGTAAATAACTTCTTTGAGCACTCATTCAGTTGGGACCTGTGATTCACCAGAGGTCTCAAGCCTTTTCTATGTACCAGCAGTGAGGACTTTATTTATTGCATTATGGTAGGAAAGGAGGTGAAGGGTGAGACAAACATAGGTTCTTTACTTGTCTTTGGTTCCTTTGAAGAGGAGACATCCCTTGTTCCCCTTGCAAATGCCAGCAACAGATCTTCTGCAATATCTTCTACAGGACAAAGACAGTAATCTTGAGGCTCCTCCTCTGCTCCAACAAAAGAATCCCTGTCCCAGCAGCACCCCTTCCTGGGAACCTCTTTCTGGCAGTAGACAGGAGTGAATTAAGAGACCACTAAGAAGGGCAACCTTGAGGACTGGCATTAGATATTAGCAGGGGCGGGGGGTGGGGGAAGAACTAATTAAAGTGACCTGATCATCTAACTTCAGACTTCTCTTATGCCTTTTACTCTTCAATTTGGTTTTGTTATATATGCAGATTTATTATACTTTAATCATATTTTTTTGGAAGGAAGAAAAAAAGAAAGATCTCTGAGAAGCTAGGGAACACATTATTGATAGGGAAAAAATCTAGGCCATTCCAGTCATTTTTCAACTGATTTTCTGTTTTGTTTTGTTTTTTTTCTTATAGCACCCTATCTTCTAAAAGAAGATCTAAACCTTCATAATGAAAACTTTAAAAAGGAATTTATGGGATGTAACAAAGAATACTCTTCTCTAGATAAAATGACAGGGAAATAGATTTGTCTTTCAGAAGGCAAAGTCTGGAGGGAACATAAAAGTCTTCCCGTCCCTGCAGTTTTTCTGCCCGATTTGTGCCCAGAGCCTGTTTTTCTCTTGTCTTTGACAGTTCTGATCTTCTCTACGTTTGATTTACTGAGTGCTGTCATTTCTCTGCTCTTTACTTTCACAATCACACATTCAAACCTGATAAAGTTCAAGACCCTGAATACTTGCAGCTCTCCCAGATTTACAGCCCTCCTGCCCCCCAGCCCAGCCAGCCGTCCCGAGGCTGATTGAATCCTCATGGACAGAAGCCTTTGGGGGTCAGTGGAGAGCCAGAGGGTCCAAGAGGGCCAGGCCCAGGGGGAACATCAGCCCCTGTGTCAACTCTGTTATCCATAGCAAGCCTGGGTAGGTCCCTTCCCCTTGAAAGCGATTGTCAACATCCTCTTGTTTCAGTTCTCACTTCTAGCCTGTAACCTGCCTGTGGGCAAGTACAGGAACTGTAACTCACAAAATAGAATTGGTGAGGATTCAAGAGGCTGAGATGGAAGTATCGCTTGAGCCCAGGAGTTCGGGGCAGCAGTGAGCTATGATTACACCACTGCACCACTGCACTCCAGCCTGGGCAACAGAGCAAAGCCCACAGTCAAAAAAAAAAAAAAAAAAAAGGCCAGGTGCAGTGGCTCATGCCTATAATCCCAACACTTTGGTAGGCTGAGGCAGGAAGATCACCTGAGGTCAGGAGTTCGAGTTCGAGACCAGCCTGGCCAACATGGTGAAACCCTGTCTCTATAAAAACAGCAAAAATTAGCCAGGCATGGTGGCGTGTGCCTTTAGTCCCAGCTATTCGGGAGGCTGAGGTGGAAGAATCACTTGAACCCAGGAGGTGGAGGTTGCAGTGAGCCGAGATCACTGCACTCCAGCCTGGGTGACAGAGTGAGACCTTGTCTCAATTAAAAAAACAAAACAAAACAAAAAAAAAAACAGAGAGAGAGAATTGGATGCAAAATTGTGGTCAATGTGCATGCATAAGTGCTAGATTTTCCTGGACTACTAAACAGCCTTGTAATCAAGGGCAAGACACTTAACCTCTTCGTGTCTCAGTTGCTCCAT